>NC_000008.11:126339222-126964222 GCF_000001405.40 Homo sapiens
TTCTTTTTCTCCACCAGTATATGTTATTTTTTACTTTTTAATAACAGACATTCTGACTGGTGTGAGATGGCATCTCATTGTGGTTTTGATTTGCATTTCTCTAATGATCAGTGATGTTGAGCTTTTATTCATGTGATTGTTGGCCACATGTATGTCTTCTTTTGAGAAGTGTCTGTTTATGTCCTTTGCCCACTTTTTAATGGAGTTGTTTGTTTGTTTTTTTTTTTTCAAAACAGACTTCACAGCAACAACACTAAAAAAAGACAGGGAGGGACATTATATATAACAGTAAAAAAAGACAAGGAGGGATGCTATATATATAGCGATAAAAGAATAGTCCAACAGGAAAATATCACAATCCTAAATGTGTATGCTCCTAACACTGGTGCTCCCAAATTTACAAAACAATTACTGCTTGACTTAAGAAATGAGATAGACAGCAACACAATAATAGCGGGGGACTTCAATACTCCACTGACAGCACTAGACAGGTCATCAAGACAGAAAGTCAACAAAGAAACAGTGGACTTAAACTATATCCTAGAACAAATGGACTTAACAGATATTTACAGGACATTCTACCAACAACTACAGAATATACATTCTTTTCTTCAGCACATGGAATGTTCTCCAAGATAGACCATATGATGGGTTACAAAAGAAGTCTCAATAAATTTAAGAAAATCAAAATTATATCAAGTACCCTCCCAGACCACAGTGAAATAAAACTGGAAATTAACTCCAAAAGAACCCCCACAACTATAGAAACACATGGAAATTAAATCATCTGCTCCTGAATGACCTTTGGGTCAACAACGAAATGAAGATGGAAATGTAAAAATTCTTTGAGCTGAATAACAATAATGACACAACTTATCAAAACTTCTGGGATACAGCAAAAGCAATGCTAAGAGGAAAGCTCAAAGGCCTACATCACAAAGTCTGAAAGAGTGCAAATGGACAATCTAAGGTCACACCTCAAGGAACTCGAGGAACCAGAACAAACCAAGTCCAAACCCAGCAGAAGAAAAGACATAACAAAGATCAGAGCAGAAGTAAATATAAATGAAAAAAAAAGTACAAAAGTAAATGAAACAAAAAGCTGATTCTTTGAAAGGTAAACAAAATTGATAGACCATTGGTGAGATTAACCAAGAAGAGAGAAGATCCAAATAAGCTCAATTAGAAATGAAATGGGAGATGGCCAGGCGCAGTGGCTCACACCTGTAATCCCAGCACTTTGGGAGGCTGAGGCAGGCAGACCACAAGGTCAGGAGATTGAGACCATCCAGGCTAATATGGTGAAACCCCGTCTCTACCAAAAATACAAAAAATTAGCTGGGCATGGTGGCAGGCGCCTATAGTCCCAGCTACTTGGGAGGCTGAGGAAGGAGAATGGTGTGAACTTGGGAGGCGGAGCTTGCAGTGAGCCAAGATGGCACCACTGCATTCCAGCCTGGGTGACAGAGCAAGACTCTGTCTCAAAAAAAAAAAAAAAAGAAAGAAAGAAAGAAAGAAAAGAAAAGAAAGAAATGAAATGGGAGATATTACAACCAATACCACAGAAATACAAAAGATCATTCAAGGCTACTATGAACACCTTTATGAAAACAGACTAGAAAATCTAGAAGAAATGGATACATTTCTGAAAATATACAACCCTCCCAGATTAAATCAGGAAGAAATAGAAACTCTAAAGAGACCAATAACAAGCAGCGAGATTGAAATTATAATAAAAAAAAATAACAACAACAAAAAAAGTCCAGGACCAGATGGATTCACAGCTGAATGCTCTCAGACATTCAAGGAAGAATTGGTGCCAATCTTACTGAAACTATTCCAAAAGATAAAGAAGGACTCCTTCCTAAATCATTCTGTGAAGCCAGTATCACCTTAATTCCAAAACCAGGAAAGAACATGACAAAGAAAAAAAAAAAACAATAAAACTACAGATCAATATCCCTGATGTAAAAATCCTCAACAAAATACTATCTAACCAACTTCAAAAGCATATTAAAAAGACTACTCCATGATCAAGTGAGTTTCATATAAGGAATGCTGAGATAATTTAACATGTGCAACTCAATAAATGTGATACATCACATAAACAGAATTAAAAACAAAAACATCTGATAATCTCAATAGATGCAGAAAAAGTATTTGACAAAATCCAGCATCTCTTTATGATTAAAACCTTCAGCAAAATTGGTGTAGAATGGACATATCTAAAGGTAATAAAAGCCATCTATGACAAAATCACAGCTGACATTACACTAAATGAGGAAAACTTGAAAGCATTCCCCCAAGAGTCAAAACAAGACAAGGATGATCACTTTCACCACTTCTATTGAAAACAGTGGGATGGAGGAGCCAAGATGGCCGAATAGGAACAGCTCCGGTCTACAGCTCCCAGTGTGAGCGACGCAGAAGACAGGTGATTTCTGCATTTCCGTCTGAGGTACCGAGTTCATCTCACTAGGGAGTGCCAGACGGTGGGCGCAGGTCAGTGGGTGCGTGCACTGTGTGCAAGCCAAAGCAGGGCGAGGCATTGCCTCACTTGGGAAGTGCAAGGGGTCAGGGAGTTCTCTTTCCTAGTCAAAGAAAGGGGTGACAGACGGCACCTGGAAAATCAGGCCACTCCCACCTGAATACTGCGCTTTTCCGAAGGGCTTAAAAAACGGCGCACCAGGAAATTATATCCTGCACCTGGCTCGGAGGGTCCTACGCCCACAGAGTCTCACTGATTGCTAGCACAGCAGTCTGAGATCAAACTGCAGGGCGGCAGCGAGGCTGGGGGAGGGGCACCCGCCATTGCTCAGGCTTGCTTAGGTAAACAAAGCAGCTGGGAAGCTGTAACTGGGTGGAGCCCACAACAACTCAAGGAGGCCTGCCTGCCTCTGTAGGCTCCACCTCTGGGGGCAGGGCACAGACAAACAAAAAGACAGCAGTAACCTCTGCAGACTTAAATGTCCCTGTCTGACAGCTTTGAAGAGAGCAGTGGTTCTCCCAGCACGCAGCTGGAGATCTGAGAACGGGCAGGCTGCCTCCTCAAGTGGGTCCCTGTCCCCTGACCCCCGAGCAGCCTAACTGGGAGGCACCCCCCAGCAGGGGCACACTGACACCTCACACTGCAGGGTATTCCAACAGACCTGCAGCTGAGGGTCCTGTCTGTTAGAAGGAAAACTAACAAACAGAAAGGACATCCACACCGAAAACCCATCTGTACATCACCATCATCAAAGACCAAAAGTAGATCAAACCACAAAGATGGGGAAAAAACAGAACAGAAAAACTGGAAACTCTAAAAATCAGAGCGCCTCTCCTCCTCCAAAGGAACGCAGTTCCTCACCAGCAATGGAACAAAGCTGGACGGAGAATGACTTTGACGAGCTGAGAGAAGAAGGCTTCAGACGATCAAATTACTCCAAGCTACAGGAGGAAATTCAAACCAAAGGCAAAGAAGTTGAAAACTTTGAAAAAAATTTAGATGAATGGATAACTAGAATAACCAATACAGAGAAGTGCTTAAAGGAGCTGATGGAGCTGAAAACCAAGGCTCGAGAACTACGTGAAGAATGCAGAAGCCTCAGGAGCCGATGCGATCAACTGGAAGAAAGGGTTTCAGCGATGGAAGATGAAATGAATGAAATGAAGAGAAAAGGGAAGTTTAGTGAAAAGAGAATAAAAAGAAACAAGCAAAGCCTCCAAGAAATATGGGACTATGTGAAAAGACCAAATCTACGTCTGATTGGTATACCTGAAAGTGACGGGGAGAATGGAACCAAGTTGGAAAACACTCTGCAGGATATTATCCAGGAGAACTTCCCCAATCTAGCAAGGCAGGCCATCATTCAGATTCAGGAAATACAGATAATGCCACAAAGATACTCCTCGAGAAGAGCAACTCCAAGACACATAATTGTCAGATTCACCAAAGTTGAAATGAAGGAAAAAATGTTAAGGGCAGCCAGAGAGAAAGGTCGAGTTACCCTCAAAGGGAAGCCCATCAGACTAACAGCAGATCTCTCGGCAGAAACTCTACAAGCCAGAAGAATGTGGGGGCCAATATTCAACATTCTTAAAGAAAAGAATTTTCAACCCAGAATTTCATATCCAGCCAAACTAAGCTTCATAAGTGAAGGAGAAATAAAATCCTTTACAGACAAGCAAATGCTGAGAGATTTTGTCACCACCAGGCCTGCCCTAAAAGAGCTCCTGAAGGAAGCGCTAATCATGGAAAGGAACAACCGGTACCAGCCGCTGCAAAATCATGCCAAAATGTAAAGACCATCAAGACTAGGAAGAAACTGCATCAACTAACGAGCAAAACAACCAGCTAACATCATAAAGACAGCATCAAATTCACACATAACAATATTAACTTGAAATGTAAATGGACTAAATGCTCCAATTAAAAGACACAGACTGGCAAATTGGATAAAGAGTCAAGACCCATCAGTGTGCTGTATTCAGGAAACCCATCTCACGTGCAGACACACACATAGGCTCAAAATAAAAGGATGGAGGAAGATCTACCAAGCAAATGGAAAACAAAAAAAGGCAGGGGTTGCAATCCTAGTCTCTGATAAAACAGACTTTAAACCAACAAAGATCAAAAGAGACAAAGAAGGCCATTACATATGGTAAAGGGATCAATTCAACAAGAAGAGCTAACTATCCTAAATATATATGCACCCAATACAGGAGCACCCAGATTCATAAAGCAAGTCCTGAGTGACTACAAAGAGACTTAGACTCCCACACATTAATAATGGGAGACTTTAACACCCCACTGTCAACATTAGATCAACAAGACAGAAAGTCAACAAGGATACCCAGGAATTGAACTCAGCTCTGCACCAAGCGGACCTAACAGACATCTACAGAACTCTCCACCCCAAATCAACAGAATATACATTTTTTTCAGCACCACACCACACCTATTCCAAAATTGACCACATACTTGGAAGTAAAGCTCTCCTCAGCAAATGTAAAAGAACAGAAATTATAACAAACTATCTCTCAGACCACAGTGCAATCAAACTAGAACTCAAGATTAAGAATCTCACTCAAAACCGCTCAACTACATGGAAACTGAACAACCTGCTCCTGAATGACTACTGGGTACATAACGAAATGAAGGCAGAAATAAAGATGTTCTTTGAAACCAATGAGAACAAAGACACAACATACCAGAATCTCTGGGACGCATTCAAAGCAGTGTGTAGAGGGAAATTTATAGCACTAAATGCCCACAAGAGAAAGCAGGAAAGATCCAAAATTGAACACCCTAACATCACAATTAAAAGAACTAGAAAAGCAAGAGCAAACACATTCAAAAGTTAGCAGAAGGCAAGAAATAACTAAAATCAGAGCAAAACTGAAGGAAATAGAGACACAAAAAACCCTTCAAAAAATTAATCAATCCAGGAGCTGGTTTTTTGAAAGGATCAACAAAATTGATAGACCACTAGCAAGACTAATAAAGAAAAAAA
The DNA here is from genome assembly GCF_000001405.40 of Homo sapiens. Classification (NCBI taxonomy): domain Eukaryota; kingdom Metazoa; phylum Chordata; class Mammalia; order Primates; family Hominidae; genus Homo; species Homo sapiens. Next base: position 126,344,718 of record NC_000008.11, read on the forward strand.
GAGAGAAGAATCAAATAGATGCAATAAATATGATAAAGGGGATATCACCACTGATCCCACAGAAATACAAACTACCATCAGAGAATACTACAAACACCTCTACGCAAATAAACTAGAAAATCTAGAAGAAATGGATAAATTCCTCGACACATACACTCTCCCAAGACTAAACCAGGAAGAAGTTGAATCTCTGAATAGACCAATAACAAGAGCTGAAATTGTGGCAATAATCAATAGTTTACCGACCAAAAAGAGTCCAGGACCAGATGGATTCACAGCCAAATTCTACGAGAGGTACAAGGAGAAACTGGTACCATTCCTTCTGAAACTATTCCAATCAATAGAAAAAGAGGGAATCCTCCCTAACTCATTTTATGAGGCCAGCATCATCCTGATACCAAAGCCTGGCAGAGACACAACCAAAAAAGAGAATTTTAGACCAATATCCTTGATGAACATTGATGCAAAAATCCTCAATAAAATACTGGCAAACCGAATTCAGCAGCACATCAAAAAGCTTATCCACCATGATCAAGTGGGCTTCATCCCTGGGATACAAGGCTGGTTCAATATACGCAAATCAATAAATGTAATCCAGCATATAAACAGAACCAAAGACAAAAACCACATGATTATCTCAATAGATGCAGAAAAAGCCTTTGACAAAATTCAACAACCCTTCATGCTAAAAACTCTCAATAAACTAGGTATTGATGGGACGTATCTCAAAATAATAAGAGCTATCTATGACAAACCCACAGCCAATATCATACTGAATGGGCAAAAACTGGAAGCATTCCCTTTGAAAACTGGCACAAGACAGGGATGCCATCTCTCACCACTCCTATTCAACATAGTGTTGGAAGTTCTGGCCAGGGCAATTAGGCAGGAGAAGGAAATAAAGGGTATTCGATTAGGAAAAGAGGAAGTCAAATTGTCTCTGTTTGCAGACGACATGACTGTATATCTAGAAAACCCCATTGTCTCAGCCCAAAATCTCCTTAAGCTGATAAGCAACTTCAGCAAAGTCTCAGGATACAAAATCAATGTGCAAAAATCACAAGCATTCTTATACACCAACAACAGACAAACAGCCAAATCATGAGTGAACTCCCATTCACAATTGCTTCAAAGAGAATAAAATACCTAGGAATCCAACTTACAAGGGATGTGAAGGACCTCTTCAAGGAGAACTACAAACCACTGCTCAAGGAAATAAAAGAGGATACAAACAAATGGAAGAACATTCCATGCTCATGGGTAGGAAGAATCAATAGCGTGAAAATGGCCATACTGCCCAAGGTAATTTACAGATTCAATGCCATCCCCATCAAGCTACCAATGACTTTCTTCACAGAATTGGAAAATCTAAAGTTCATATGGAACCAAAAAAGAGCCCGCATCACCAAGTCAATCCTAAGCCAAAAGAACAAAGCTAGAGGCATCACACTACCTGACTTCAAACTATACTACAAGGCTACAGTAACCAAAATAGCATGGTACTGGTACCAAAACAGAGATATAGATCAATGGAACAGAACAGAGCTCTCCGAAATAACACCGCATATCTACAACTATCTGGTCTTTGACAAACCTGAGGAAAACAAGCAATGGGGAAAGGATTCCCTATTTAATAAATGGTGCTGGGAAAACTGGCTAGCCATATGTAGAAAGATGAAACTGGATCCCTTCCTTACACCTTATACAAAAATCAATTCAAGATGGATTAAAGACTTAAACGTTAGACCTAAAACCATAAAAACCCTAGAAGAAAACCTAGGCATTCCCATTCAGGACATAGGCATGGGCAACGACTTCATGTCTAAAACACCAAAAGCAATGGCAACAAAAGCCAAAATTGACAAATGGGATCTAATTAAACTAAAGAGCTTCTGCACAGCAAGAGAAACTACCATCAGAGTGAACAGGCAACCTACAAAATGGGAGAAAATTTTTGCAACCTACTCATCTGACAAAGGGCTAATATCCAGAATCTACAATGAACTCAAACAAATTTACAAGAAAAAAACAAACAACCCCATCAACAAGTGGGCGAAGGATATGAACAGACACTTCTCAAAAGAAGACATTTATGCAGCCAAAAGACATGAAAAAATGCTCATCATCACTGGCCATCAGAGAAATGCAAATCAAAACCACAATGAGATACCATCTCACACCAGTTAGAATGGCAATCATTAAAAAGTCAGGAAACAACAAGTGCTGGAGAGGATGTGGAGAAATAGGAACACTTTTACACTGTTGGTGGGACTGTAAACTAGTTCAACCATTGTGGAAGTCAGTGTGGCGATTCCTCAGGGATCTAGAACTAGAAATACCATTTGACCCAGCCATCCCATTACTGGGTATATACCCAAAGGACTATAAATCATGCTGCTATAAAGACACATGCACACGTATGTTTATTGCAGCATTATTCACAATAGCAAAGACTTGGTACCAACCCAAATGTCCAACAATGATAGACTGGATTAAGAAAATGTGGCACATATACACCATGGAATACTATGCAGCCATAAAAAATGATGAGTTCATGTCCTTTGTAGGGACATGGATGAAATTGGAAATCATCATTCTCAGTAAACTATCGCAAGAACAAAAAACCAAACACCGCATATTCTCACTCATGGGTGGGAATTGAACAATGAGAACACATGGACATAGGAAGGGGAACATCACACTCTGGGGACTGTTGTGGGGTGGGGGGAGGGGGGAGGCATAGCACTGGGAGATATACCTAATGCTAGATGATGAGTTAGTGGGTGCAGTGCACCAGCATGGCACATGTATACATATGTAACTAACCTGCACATTGTGCACATGTAGCCTAAAACTTAAAGTATAATAATAATAAATAAAATAAAATAAAATAAAAAGAAAATAGTGCTGGAAGTCCTAGCCAGAGCAATCAGACAAGAGAAAGAAAGGAAGGGCATCCAAATCAGTAAAGAGGAAGTGAAAATGTCACTGCTCACCATGGATATTATTGTATACCTGGAAAACCCTAAAAACTAATCCAAAAAGCTCCTAGTAAAGTTACAGGATACAAACTCAATGAAAAAAAAATCACTAGCATTCCTATACACCAATAACAGCCAAACCAAGAGCCAAATCATAAAGGCAATCCCATTTACAGTTGCCACAAAAAGAATAAAATACCTAGGAATCCAGCTAACCAGGGAGGTGAAAGATCTCTACAAGGAAAACTACAAAACACTGCTGAAATAAATAATTGACAACACAAACAAGTGGAAACATCCCATGCTCATGGATAGGAAAAATCAATATAATGAAAATTGCTATATTGCCAGAAGCCATCTACAGATTGAATGCAATTGCCATCAAAGAACCATCATCATTCTTCACTGAACTAGAAAAAAAAATCCTAAAATTCATATCAAACCAAAAAAGACCTGGCATAGCCAAAGCAAGACTAAGCAAAAAGAACAAACCTGGAGGCCTGACATTACCTCACTGCAAACTATACTGCAAGGCTACAGTTACCAAAATATTGTGGTTCTGGTATAAAAATAGGCATATAAACCAAAAGGAAAAGAATAGAGAACCCAGAAATAAAGCCAGATACTTTACAGCCAACTGACCTTTGACAAAGCAAACAAAAACATAAAGTGGGGAAAGGACACACTATTCAACAAATGGTGCTGGAATAATTGGCAAGCCATATGTAGAAGAATGAAACTGAATTACAACTCTCATGTTATACAAAAATCAACTCAAGATGAATCAAAGACTAAAATCTAAGACCTGAAATCATAAATATCCTAGAAGATAAAATTGGTAAAACTCTTCTAGACATTGGCTTAGGCAAAGGATTCATGATCTAGAAGCCTAAAGCAAATGCAACAACAACAAAAAATAAACAGATTAGACCTAATTAAACTAAAAAGCTTCTGCAAAGCAAAAGAAATAATCAACAGAGTAGACAGACAACCCACAGAATGGGAGAAAATATTCACCAAACTATGCATCTGACAAAGGACTAATATTTGGAATCTACAAGGAACTCAAACAAATCAGTGAAAAAAAAAACCCACAAATAATCCCATCAAAAAGTGGGCAAAGGACATAAATGGACAATTCTCAAAAGATATACAAATGGCCAAGAGACATATGAAAAAAATGCTCAACATCACTAATTATTAGAGAAATGCAAATTAAAACCTCAACAAGATACCACCTTACTCCTGCAAGAATGGACATAATTAAAAAAATCAAAAAAGAATAGATGTTGGCGTGGGTGATGGAAATGGAACACTTTTACACTGCAGGTGGAAATGTAATCTAGTACAACCACTATGGAAAACAGTATGGAGATTCCTTACAGAACTAAAAGTAGAACTACAATTTGGTCCAGCAATCCCACTACTGGGTATCTACCCTGAGGAAAAGAAATCATTATATGAAAAAGACACTTGCACATGCGTGTTTATAGCAGCACAATTCTCAGTTGCAAAAATATGGAACCAGCCTAAATGACCATTGACCAATGGGTGGATAAAGAAATTATGGTATATATATACCATGAAATACTACTCAGTCATAAAAAGGAATGAAATAATGGCATTCGCAGCAAACTGGATGGAGTTGGAGGCCATTATTTTAAGTAGAGTAACACAGTAATGGAAAACCAAATATCATATGTTCTCACTCATAAGTAGGAGCTAGGCTATGAGGACATACAGGCATAAGAATGGTATAATGGACTTTGGGTACAGGGGAGGAAGGGAGGAGGGTGGTGTGAGGGATAAGAGACTACACATTGGGTAGATTATACACTGCACAGCTTGGGTGATGGGTACAACAAAATCTCAGTAATTACCACTAAATAACTTATCTATATAACAAAAAACCACCTGTCCCCCCAAAACTATTGAAATTGTTTAAAAAAAGAATAGTCGGCCAGGCGCGGTGGCTCATGCCTGTAATCCCAGCACTTTGGGAGGCTGAGGCAGGTGGATCACAAGGTCAGGAAATCGAGACCATGGTGAAACCCAGTCTCTACTGAAAATACAAAAAATTAGCTGGGCGCTGTGGCGGGCGCCTGTAGTCCCAGCTACTCAGGAGGCTGAGGCAGGAGAGTGGCGTGAGCAGAGATAGCGCCACTGCACTCCAGCCTGGGCGACAGAGCGAGACTCCGTCTCAAAAAAAAAAAAAAAAAAAAAAAAGAATAGCCAAAAAGAAAAAGAAAGTGACAGTCATAGATGGCACTGCTGTGATTCTAGCAAGGCTGTAGGCTTCCAGAGTCTTTGCTCTTAACCAGTATTCAACATGCTTTTTTGCAAGAATGTATGCAACCACTTTAGGAAAATATTTTTAACTCTAAAAAATACAGTAATATTGAACATATGCATACTATACAACCCAAAAATTGCATCTTGGATGTGACATATTGCAAAAAATCAGTGCAATGCTTTCAAGATTCTCCCATTAACAAGTGCAGTTTATTTTCCCATTCTGTGAATCTGGGTTGCTCTCATAATTTTTGTCCAGGAAAGTAAAGTAGAAGTGTTGTTGTGTCAGCTCTGAGCTTAGGCCTCAAGAGACCTTATAGTTTGTGTTCTTACTGGTCTTGGAACCCCACCACGCTGCATATAAGCCCTGTGCCAAGTTGCTGGCAGATGAGAGACCATGTAGAACAGAGATGAACCATCCCAGCTTAGCCATCTTAGACCAGCCAGCCCCCAGATTCCCTGGCAGGAAACACAGATGCATGAAAAGCCCAGCTCAAACCAGCAGAGCTTGAGCTCAAGCCAAAGTACCAACCCACAGAATTGTGAGCTATATAAATGGTGGTTGTGTTAAGTCACTAATTTTTTGAGACGGTTTCATGAAGCAAAAAACAATTCACTAAATACATTGGGTATATATATATATATATATATATATATACACACACACACACACATATACCAGATGTGTATTTTTTCTTTTTCTTTTTTTCTTTTTTTTGAGATGGAGTGTCACTCTGTTGCCAGGCTGGAGTGCAGTGGCACAATCTCAGCTCACTACAACCTCTGCCTCCCAGGTTCAAGCAATTCTCCTGTCTCAGCCTCCCGAGTAGCTGGGACTACAGGTGCGTGCCACCATGCCCAGCTAATTTTTGTATTTTTAATAAAGATGGGGTTTCACCATGTTGGCCAGGAGGGTCTCGATCTCTTGACCTCATGATCCACCTGCCTTGGCCTCCCAAAGTGCTGGAATTACAGGCGTGAGCCACTGCGCCTGGCCCACACCAGGTATGTATGCTTTTAGACTGTTCATAACAGTACTGTTTATGCTAGTAATAAAACAATTTAAATAGTCAGCAATAAATAAATACACAAACTGCATAATAATCATACAATGGAGAACTCTACAGCAGTGAAATTCTCAACTAGAGAGAACAACATGTACTACCATCAATGGATCTCATAGGCAATAAGAAATGAAAAAAAAGATGCAAAAAAAAAGTGGTACCAAAACATGCAATTTGGTACCACTTATATTAAGTTGGAAAATAAGCAAATTATATATTGATTAGGGATTCCTTTTTATGTGGTAAGTCTAAAGAACTGCACGGAAAAAATAATCATCATATAAGTCAGAGTAGGCTAACTCAATACAAGTTTTTCTCTCACTTAGATCATAGTCCAGTGAACTTGGTGGTGAGAAACTCCTCCATATGGTCATTCAGGGACCCAATATTGTCCATTGTATTTCCCCCTCCTTGAGAACTTCAGGACCTTCTTTATGCAGCCAAGTAAGGAAAAAGCTAGGAATATTACTCAGGAGGTTTTTCTGGGTGAGATCAAGAAGTTATGTACCTCATTTTGTTCACATTCTGTTGGTCAGAATTCATTTACATGCAAGGGAAGTTGGTAAATATAGCATAGCTGTATGGCACAGAAAAGAAAAGGGACTTTTTGTAGTAGATTTTGTTGTAGTTAACACTGGGTGGGTGGGTGGGGACAGAGTGAAGTATATTCAGGGGAGAAGAAATGGACGGCTTCACCTATATTGTTCTACTTGCTAAGCTATGTGGGATGCATGCATGGATTTTTATTATATTTTCTTTAAGTATTTGCTTTTTCTGAACTATGTCATTATACAATGAAGAGCTTATTAAAGTAATTAAATAGAATGTAGGATCTCTAATCAGGGAAACAGAGATTAAAACAATTCTGTATGAAATATTCAGGAGAAATGAATCAGAATTCTAGAAGAATATCCTGGGAATGGAGTAGGGATTCTGCAATTTAGAACAATGTAAGTGTGCAGGGCTGATTTCTGTTTTTGTTGGGTTGTCCTTTGAATCAAGATTGATTCTGGAAAGGGATGTAAATGAGCATCAACAATTCTATAGGTGGCTGAGCACTGTGGCTCATGCCTGTTTTCCCAGTGTTTGAGTGGTCGAAGTGGGAAGATTGCCTGAGCCGAGGAGTTTTAGATCAGCCTAGATAACATGGCAAGACCCTGTCTCAAAAAAAAAAAAAAAAAAAAATTTACAAGAAAGTCTAAACACCCAATGACATCAGGTAAGGGCTCTTACATGCACCGTCATAGCACAGAATTGTAGAATTTTCAGAGTGGAAAGGGTCTTCAGAGATATGTACTCTTATCAGCTTTCTACCAAGGACAGTTGTGTCCTCCCCAGTACCTTTGGCAGGTGGTCATTCAGCCCCTGGGAGAACATTTCCAGTGAAGAGTGTTCCAAGCCTTCCTATAGTCCTGACTGTCCAGCATGCGTGGCCTCATACTTTATTTTCTGCCAGGCCAGGAGTAGACAATCCAAGGTAATCCACTATGTTGTCAACTGGGCTGCTGTTTTTGGTAAAGGTAGTGGCCTTTCAATGGCTTAATCCAATGGATTGGCCCATAGAGTGCCTAATGGGAGAATGTCTTGGAGTGTGTGAAACTTTCTTCGGAACCTACAGATGCTCGCTTATTTATCTGCATATTTCTAGACACATTTCTAAGGTAACCCTTTATATTGCAGGATGCATATCTGAGATCAAGATTAAAAATTATTTTTTTCACCATTTGAAGTTGATATTCAGCCTATGAGGGGCCACACCCACAGTCATAAAGGTGATATTTCCTTACTCTGTACTCCTGAGGATCTTTGTGTATACCTCTTTCTTGATACTTCAAATATTCTGGCATCAACTAGGGAGTGATATTTGTCTATGTTCCTTCTAGTATTTGATGACTTCCTCATAGATATTAATCAGCCACAGTGTCTGGTCTACAGAAGATGACCAATAATAAGAAAAAATGCAAACATAAACATTAGAAAAGTTATAAGGAAAATAATTCAAAAGAATTGATGAGATGTGAGACTACTTCTACTTAATAGGAGTTATTAATTACTAATACAAGATTTCTATGAGAAACGGTTGAACACTTAAATTACATGCAAATCAGAAGGATTTCAGAATACAGATATTATGGCCATACTAAAATTTCAGATCACCAGGAGTATGTAATATCCCTCCTTTTCTAGATATTGCAGTTAGCTGTATTCATGTGCTAAAATTCACGAAGATGCACGTGTTTACAAAGTAAGGGAGGTAAGATTGAAAGTGGCAGTTCACAGCTCCCAGACAAGAGGGTTCCATTTTGAAAGTGGCAACCTTCTCCTTTCCACTTGATTACAGATCCAATTGAAAGATAAGCATAAAAATCAGATAAAAATTATCACTTAAGTCTTTGGGCAAATCGGCTTGTTAAAATTCTGAATTAAAAAATTCCCTGAAACTGCAGGCCACTCCGCAGTGACAGATCCAGCTCATCTGTGCTTGTGACATGGCTACAAAATGGTGAGAAGGATTTGAGTTGTGTTCATTTCATTCTTCCTGCTCACCAGTCAAGGAAAGGCACTGCTCATCAGCCCAAATGCCCATCAATCAATGAGTGTATAAAGAAAACGTGAGATATAAATGTATATACACATACCATGGAATACTACTCAGCCACAAAAGGAACAAAATAACGGCATTCACAGCAACCTGGATAGAATTGGAGACCATTATTCTAAGTGAACTCAGAAATGGAAAACTAAACATCATATGTTCTCACTCATAAGTGGGAGCTAAGCTGTGAAGACGCAAAGGCATTAAGAATGATACAGTGGACTTTGGGAACTCAGGGGAAAGGGTAGAAAGGGGGTGAGGGATAAAAGACTACACACTGAGTAGAGTGTACACTGCTTGGGTGAGGAGCGTACCTAAATCTCAGAAATCACCACTAAAGAATTTATTCATGGAACCAAACACCACTTGTTTCCCAAACACCTATTGAAATAGGAAAAACAAAAAAAGAAAAGGCACTCCTCATGAGGGGCAGTGACGGTTGGGCAAACCCAGCAGAGCTACACAAATGGAAACCCTCACATAGAAACAGAAGAGTAAATAAGTGTGCCCCAATAACAAAGTAGGCTTGCCAAATTCTGTCCATAGTGTGCTAACTCGTTTCCCATAAAACACTGGGGAGTATGCAGTACTCTGAATCTTTTTTTTGTTTTGTTTTGTTTTTGAGACGGAGTCTGGCTCTGTTGCCCAGGCTGGAGTGCAGTAGCACGATCTCCACTCGCTGCAAGCTCCGCCTTCCGGGTTCACGCCATTCTCCTGCCTCAGCCTCCCGAGTAGCTGGGACTACAGGCACCCGCCACCACGCCCAGTTAATTTTTTGTATTTTTAGTAGAGACGGGGTTTCACCGTGTTAGCCAGGATGGTCTCGATCTCCTGACCTCGTGATCCGCCCGCCTCGGCCTCCCAAAGTGCTGAGATTACAGGCGTGAGCCACCGCGCCTGGCCTAGTACTCTGAATCTTATTCATGATCCAGAAGAAGGTGGTTTGACAGGTTCTCTGGAACTATGTATCCCTCCAACAGCAAGGAGCAGCACTATTTCTCCTCCTGGTATCCCCACTGAATGCTGATAGAAGTGCAAGACTGTCATGGGTAATAAATACATAAGCAGGTCTGAGCTTCAATAGCAAGGTGCAGAAAGAATCAGGGAGCATAAAATAGAGTTGCTTAGGATTCTGCTGACTAGTCTAGGGCAGAAGTAGGGCTGGCTGATTGTACACTTCCTCTGTCAGAGCCTGAGAAGCTCGAAAGGATTGTTCAGAAAAATCCCAAAGCAGGTATAAATTTATGCTCACAAGTATTCCGCTGTCAATGTGCAACTCTAGCTGAGGTTTTGGGTGTATATTTTGATGTAATTAGAAAAAAAAAAAGACTATGAAGACCAAGAAAACACATCAGTCTTTTACAGTGCAATTATATGGTTTTCTGTGGCTTTGTTCTATGACTCTGAGGCAGACACATATACATATGTGCATTTGTTTTGTGAATTTATGTATTTATATAAACACATCACACATTGTCAGTTATTAGAGGTTTCTTATATGTAAATTATTCTAAGTAAAGTATAAATATAAAATTTAAAATACAAATATATTTAAATATAAAAACTTCTTTAATATTAGTTTTACATTTATAATATTTTGAAATAGATGTCCTGAATTATTAAAAGAAGATTCTGAGAAATAATTAACCATTTCTTGATTCCTTAAGTTCATCATTATGGGATGGACTTGGGTTATTGAAATATTTAGAGAACTTTTCCCTTACATGTAATGGTCCAGACTGTGCTTATCATCTCTCTGTCATGATCAGCTGCTAGATATTTTTGAGATAAAATTTACACACAGTGAAATGCACAGCTCTTAATTGTATAATCTGATGAGTTTTGATAAATGTTATATCTGTGTTGTCATACCCCAATCAAAACACAGGATACTTCTATCAGTGGTACAATCATGGCTTATTTCAGCCTCCAACTCCTGGGCTCAAAGGATCCTTCCACCTTATTTTTCGTAGAGACAGGTCTCCATATGTTGCCCAGGCTAGTCTCGAACTCCTGGGCTTGAGTGATCCTCCTGCCTTGGTCTCCCAAAGTGCTGGAATTACAGGCGTGAGCCACTGCTTCCAGCCCATACAATGTGTTCGTCCATTTTCCTGTTGATGGATATTAAGGCAGTTTCCCTTTTATCCTATTACAAAGAAAGTTGTAATAACATTTTTATAAACATTTGAATAAGCAACTTGATAAACATATGAAAGATAAGACTTGAAATTCCTAATAGAATCACATGCAAAAAATTAGTCTGCAATAAGTCATAAAACAAAATGTAGAAACTAAAACCAAAAAGCTTCCAGAAGAAAAAGAATATAGGAAAATATGTTTATAACCTTGGGGTAGCAAAGATTTCTTATATTCTTAACATATTTTCCTAAATTCTTAACATAAAAAGCACTAAACGTAAAAGTTGGCAAATTAGACATCATGAAAATGAAGAGCTCATCAAAACACACCATTAAGAAAATGAAAAGTCGTCAGTGTAGTGTAAGCAGTGAAATGTATTGCAAATACATTTGACAAAGTAATTGTATAGAAAATAAATAAAGAAATAAAAAATCAACACGAAGAACACATGTTAATTTAAAAAATGACAAAAGATTTGAAAAGCTACTTCACAAGAGCAGATCTAATGAATAGCAATAAGCATATGAAAAATGCTCGATGTCATTACTCTTAAATAATATGTATGTATGTATGTATGTATGTATTTATTTATTTATTTATTTTTGAGGTGGAATCTTTCTCTGTTGCCCAGGCTGGAATGCAGTGGCATGATCTAGGCTCACTGCAACCTCTGCCTTCCGGGTTCAAGCGATTCTCCTGCCTCAGCTTCCCCAGTAGCTGGGATTACAGGCACCCACCACCATGCCTGGCTAATTTTTGTATTTTTAGTAGAGATGGGGTTTCACTATGTTGGTCAGGCTGGTCTCAAACTCCTGGCCTTAGGTCATCCGCTCACCTCTGTCTCCCAAAGTGTGGGATAACCAGCATAAACCATGGCACCCAGCCATTTTTTAAACTCATTTAAATGACTAAAATTAAAAAGATGGACACTGCCAATCCTAGTGAGAATATCAAGGCACTGGAACCCTATCCATGGCTGAAGACAGTGTACAATGACACCGTCATCTTAGAGAACTGTTTGGCAATTTCTTGAAAATTTAAACATAGGTAACTTTACCCAGCAATTCCACTCCTATGTATTTACACAAGAGAAATGAAAACCTCTGTTCAACTGCTGTTTTTTGATTATCTTATGCAATATGCTTTGAAGCATTTTCCTTTAAGATCAGGCAGAAACAGGACAATAAAGAGAAACCAACATCATCTGAACACCTTTTATGTGCCAGATGATGTGATAGGCAGATTATACATATTACTCCAGGAGTTATGTGACTTTCCTAAGGGTAAACGAATAACAAATAGCAAATACGACTTTCTTTTATCCTTGTATGCATTCATCAATAAGTTTCTGTTAGTATTGGCCATTGTCCTGAGTACTAGATGCACTGCATGAAAAATAATAAAGAAAAAGATAAGGTTACTGTTTTCATGTTACTTAAATTCTAGTGGGATTGAGATGACATAAAAAATATATATATATATATAAAAAGGAGGGGTTTCTGATTGTAAGCTACTGTGAGGAAATTGCAACAGGGTCATAGGACAGAGTGGCTGACAAGGTGGAGGCACATTGGAAATAGCCATGGAAGATGCATCTGGGCGATGGTGTGTTGGAGCTGCTGCTCCACTGATGAAGAATCAGGCACGTGGAAATCTGGAGAAGAGTCATCCAGGGAGAAGGGACAGCAAGAACAAAGATCTTAGGGTAAGAACTAACTTAACTGGGTCAAGGAGTAAATGGAGTCCTGTGTGACCAAACAGGGAGAGTGATGAGGACGAGGGTAGAAAGGTTGGTAGGGGCTAGATCATGCAGTGCCTTTAACACTATGGTAAAAAGTTCAGATTTTATGCTAAATGCAATGGGACTCCACTGGAAGGTTTTAAACCAGAGTTTTAGGATCCACTGCTGGAACATTGTCAGTAGTCAATTGATGTTAACTACAATATTACAGCAGGGTTTGACTTGAGGGTTGCTTGTATTGCTTCTTTAATAAAGTCAAGTACACATTTATTTATTGATTTGTCCACTCAATAAATATTAATTGAGTTCTTCTATCAGCCAGATAACATTCCAGGCATAAACAATGTAACAGCAAATTGTACAACCAAAAGCCCTGCCCTTATAGCGCTTATGATCTATCTCTGTGCTTTTCTAACCTGGCCGCATAATTAGAATTTAATTATGGGGATCTAATTTAAAAAAAAAGAAAGAAAAGAAAAGAAAAGGAAAGAAAGAAAGAAAGAAAGAAAGAAAGAAAGAAAGAAAGAAAGAAAGAAAGAAAAAGAAAGAAAGAAAGAAACCAATAGAGCTCACTGATTCTTTTATCTCTCCAGATTATCCCATCATGCAAACTCAGGTGAGCACAACTCTATTCCTAATCATATGGGGGCAGCATGAGGTAGTGTTTTTTTGTTTGTTTGTTTGTTTGTTTTTTGTTTGTTTCTTTGTTTTTGTTTTTGTTTTTTTGAGACAGAATCTTGCTCTGTCACCCAGGCTGGAGTGTAGTGGCACAATCTCGGCTCACTGCAACCTCCACCTCCCAGGTTCAAGTGATTGTCCTGCCTCAGCCTCCTGAGTAACTGGTACTACAGGCGTGCGCCACCACACCCAGCTAATTTTTGTATTTTTAGTAGAGGCGAGGTTTCACCATATTGGCCAGGCTGGTCGTGAACTCCTGACCTCGTGATCCATCCGCCTGCCTCAGCCTCTCAAAGTGCTGTGGTTACAGGCGTGAGCCACCGTGCCCAGCCGAGATTTTAAAAGAATATTTTTAGGCTTCCCTTCAAACATTGCGATGAAACTGGAGCACAGATAAACTTCAAAGTGCAGCCCATAATTTATTGGCCAGCAAGTAGCAGAGCTGAGATTTGAACCCATAACTTTCTACCATTTAGCAATGCTTTTTCCATATATAACAGCTATAAAATGTTTTTAAAAAAATAAATAGCATTCTCTTAATTACTTATTAACTTTTCTATTTAGTATTCAGTGCTTTTGTTTCCTAGGAAAGGCCGTCAGAAAAGCTAACATATAATTACAAGCCGAGTTCTATTCTTATATTTCAATTCCAGAATTGATTAGAGCAATGTCACGATTCTTCACAAAAAGGATAAAGAAACTTAGAATAACTTTAGTTTTTACAGAGTCTGAACATTGTTTGCTTAAAATTTGTTTCCCTGCCCTTGTCCTGCCTAATTGGAGAATTAAGGTAGGATGGTGCTTCTGTGGATGAAAGTCAGCCCCTGGCCTGAACAGCAGGTATGTGGGACATATTCATTTGTAGGCATCAAGTTGGCCATATTTGAAATAAGAATTTAAAGAGAACAGGTTTTCATAATGACAAAATCTTCATTTTTGTTTGACATTAATTTGCATAATCTAAGTAATTTATGTCTCACATGCCTTTGGAATCAAATACTAGAGAAAAACAAATTTTTCTTTCAAATCCAATTGTGAGTTTACATTTTGCCAAATTATCAGCTAATATGCAACTTCAAGGAATAAGGACCAGGAATTAACTAGACACTCAAGTCACTGTCTTTATTAAAATTCATGTTAATATAAAGTGTGACTTCTAGTAGACCTACTTTGTCACTGCATACAAATAACTCAATTGTGTTGGGACAAGTAAATGTTTTGCATGTATATGAAGAGATTGATAAACTTTTGTTAGTTATCAACGTCCTTTAACATCAAGAGGTTTAAAATATGTTAGTACAAGACATTAGATCAAGATAAGGGCTGCCTTTAGTTGAGTTGTTGAACATTCATTTTTTTGAATAAAATAGATATGAAAATATACAATATCTGATGTTGTACTAATATGTCACATACAATATCTGATATGTGTTCTCATATGTCACTGTCACTCACTTCACCCAAATAGGCAGCTTTTCTTCCTAGCCCAGTGTAGGAAATTATCAATGTAGATCTAGTGGGGAGCCAAAACTCCTGCTCCAACCCCAGGAGTAACGAGAATCACCCCCCTGCTTGGAAGTCAAAGAAGACTGGGTAGGGAACTTGGACTTCTCCCACCACCTGACCATAAAAAGACAATGACCCCATTATTCCTTACCAGAGGGGTGTCAGAGAGAGCTAGCTAACCCAGAAGTTTTAAAACAAGGTAGTCTCATAACACAATACAGAAATGTCCCGTTTTCAATTGCAAATCACACATCATACCAAGAACCGGGACAATCCAAGACAGAATAAAAAAGAGAAGTAATGGATGCTAACATAAAGGTGATAGAGATGACAATGTTCCAGTGATTTTAACGTCGCTCTCATAGAGATGCTTCAAGGACAACTACAAATTGGCTGGAAACGAATAAAGAAATAGAGTCTCAACAAAGACTAGAACGTTTCAGCAAATAAATAGAATATATAAAGGGAAAGCAAATGGGAATTTTAGAACTAAAAAATACAGTAGCTGAAATTTTAAAAATCATATTGGATGGGCTCAATAGCAAAATAGAGGGGGTAGAGAAAAGAATTCACGAAATTAAAGATAGAAAAACAGAAATCACCAAATCTGAGCCTTGGGGACCTACGGGATTGTAATAAAAGACCTAACATTTGTGTCACCTGTGTCCCAGAGGAGAGTTGAAAGAGGGAAGGGCTGAAAAATTACTTAAACAATGACTGAAAACTTCCCAAACTTTTCAAAATACATAACCCTACAGATTTAAAAAGCTGAGCAATTTTTAACTAAACAAACGTCTCAAAATTCACATCTAGACATATTGTGCTCAAACTTCTGGAAACTAAACACAAAGAAAAAACCTTGAAAGCAGTGAGAGAGAAAAGATACTTTACCTACAGGGAGAAAACAATTCGAGTAACAGCAGAACTCTCATCACAAATAATTGAGGCAAAAGGAAGTGGCACAACTGAAAATCCTAGACAATATATACAAAATGGACATAGAGAATACTCTGGAAGATAGAGAGGAGAAGGCAGACTGGCTAGAAAACCCAGGACCAGAAGAATAGCTCATCTCACTCCTTTTACAAAAAAAATCTCAATAGGCCACAGATTTAAATGTAAAACTTTAAAACCTTTTAGTAGAAAACATAGGAGAAAACTTTCAGGATTTAGAGTCAGGCAAAAAAATTCTTAGATTTGACCCTAATCATGAATCATAAAAGAAAAAGTTAATACATTAGACTTTAACAAAGTGTTAAAAATTTGCTCTATGAAAGACCGTTTCAAGAGGATAAAGACAAACTACAGAGTTGCAGAAAATTTTTGCAAATAATATATCTCATAAAAGATTAGTATCTAAAATCTATAAAGAACTCTTGAAACTCAATAGTAAAAAAAAAATTCTTTTAGTTTAAAAAATGAAAAAAGGCTGGACACGGTGGCTCACGCCTGTAATCCCAGGACTTTGGGAGGCCGAGGTGGGCAGATCATGAGGTCAGGAGATCGAGACCATCCTGGCTAAGACGGTGAAACCCTGTCTCTACTAAAAATACAAAAAGTTAGCCAGGTGTGGCGGCATGCACCTGTGGTCCCAGCTACTTGGGAGGCGGAGGCAGGAGAATTACTTGAACCCAGGAGGTGGAGGTTGCAGTGAGCTGAGATCTTGCCACTGCACTCCAACCTAGGCAACAGAGTGAGATTAGGTCTCAAAAAAAAAAAAAAAAAAGACATAAAAAGACATTTCATCAAAGAGGATGTACAGCTAGCAAATAAGCACATAGAAGGTATTTGGCCTCATTTGTCGTTAGGGAAAGGCAAATTAAAACTATAATAAGATATGACTACACTTATCAAAATGTCTTAAATGCAAAATAGTGACAACATTAAATGCTGGCAAGAATGCAGAAAAACTAGATAATTCACATATTGCTGGTGAGAATGTAAAATGCTACAACCATTCTGGAAAACAGTTTGGAAGTTTTCTTTAAAAACTAAACACACAGCTATCATACAACCCAATAGTTACACTTGTAGGCTTTTATCCCAGAGAAACAAAGACTTCTGTTCACACAAACCCATATACAAATGTATAGTAGTTTTATTTGTAATCACTCAAAACTAGAACAATACAGATACCCTTAAACCGGTGAGTGGTTAAATAAACTGTGATACATCCACATATATCATGGAATACTACTTAGCAATAAAAAAGAACAAACTATTAATACACTCAATGACCTGGATGAATCTCTGGAGAAATACTCTAAGTGAGAAAAGCCAGTCCCATAAGGTTGCATGTTGTATGATGCCATTTACGTAATATTCTTGAAATGATATATTGTTAAGTAAAAAAAAGCGAGATGTAGAAAATATGTGTAGTATACCATTTATCTAAGAAGAGAGTAAAGAATGCATACACATTTATATTTTCTTAAAATAAAAAGAAATAGGAGAATGAAGCAAAAGCCTAAAAAGAAATGGTCCTCTGGAGGAAGGAAGAAACAGGGAAAGGGGACAAAGATAGAAGATAAATTTCTCTGGATATTTAGATAGATCTTTGTCAGATCTATCTTATGATCTGATTTTGAAACACATTAGTATTTTGCATAATTTTTAAAAAATTCACAATAAAAAATCTCTACAAATCAAAAGCAAAATAAAACAATTGACCTTAATGGCATACTGAATTATTTGCTTAACCACATAACCGAACATATTTCAAATGACGTTAAAACACAGTACATTATGGCCGGGCACAGTGGCTCACTCCTGTAATCCCAGCACTTTGGGAAGCCGAGGCAGAACACTCAGGAGTTCGAGACAAGCCTGGCCAATATGGTGAAACCCTGCCTCTACTAAAAATACAAAAATTAGCCTGGCATGGTGGCAGGTGCCTGCAATCCCAGCTACTTGGGAGGCTGAGGCAGGAGAATTGCTTGAACCCAAGAGGCAGAGGTTACAGTGAACCGAGATCATGCCATTGCACTCCAGCCTGGGTGACAAGAGCAAAACTCTGTTTCAAAAAAAACAAAAAACAAACAAACAAAAAAAACTTTACTAAGCATCTTTAGTGGGGTATATCCGGAGGACAAAAAGAACTTCAAAAGATTTAAAATTGCTTTTAATAATCATATCCTTGATGGTAATAGTTATGTTGTTATTCTGAGTTCATTGTATGTGAACTATGTGTGAAAGAAAATGAATAATTATATTAGTATCGTTAAAAAATACAATGCTTGGAATAAGAGAAAAGAAACAGAGATATAAGATCTATGATAGTAAGTAAAAACTATATAGTTCTAAATTTGATTTATAAATATCTACGTGAACTTATGATGATTTATTTTTATCTCCTGCCTGTCCAATAAAAGGGCTTAGAAATAATAGCCAACCCAGTAGCAAGGAGAATCTTTAGCACCTAGAATGTAGTCTCCCACTTAAAAAAACATAAAGAAAAGAAAAAGAAAACCTCATGGATGTCTTAAATATCCCTCTAGATGAACTGATATGATATGATGTCATACTAGAAGCCAAAGAAACTGTAATATCTAATAAGATTGTATTGAAAGGTCTAAAGAGCTCAGGGAGTCCATTTAAAAGATGGCTACTAGTCATAGATGGAGTGATTTGTCATCATAAGAATAATCACAATGGATTGAAAGATTTCAAACATGTTTTATCCATGAGTTCATGAAGTTACTAAAAGAAAAAACCTGCTCATTCTCCTTTGGAGTATGTTACAGAGCCGTCTCATTTATTTTGAAAACTGAAAATAATAAAAGACTCAGATTTATTCTCCCTTTCCTGTAAGAATTTATTTCAGGGAAACCAAAGGGTTGATGAAGGGAAGTTTCTTTATGGAAGCATTTCAGCTGACAAATGAAGGAATAGTAGAATTAGAATGTTGCCATTTTGCAACCAATGGTGATAGACTGCAATGACGGATGACGGATCATTCTAGACACTGATTTTCATTTGCTGCTAACATCTCAGACAACATTTACTTGCTGATGAAAGTACAAAACAAAGTACATGGGAAATTTTTGCCAAAAATCAAGCTGAATTGTGAAAAAAAAAAAAAAGCTCTAGAGCCAACCTCCAATTTAAAGAAAACACAGGGAACAAGTTAAGTAGCAGAAAAATCCAAATTGTGAAGAACTCTCAACACTAATGATCTGGTTTCTCTAAGAAACAAATTATAATGATAAAGAGAGTTTAAAATTGTATAAAGATGAAAAGAATGAGAAAGAGAGAGCATGCACTTAGGAATTAATAGATTAAAACTACTTAAGGGAAATACAAAGCATTGCATTGCATTTATGAATCTTATTTTGATCCTGCTTCAAACAAACTGAGAATTTTTTAAAAAGATAATAAAACAATCTTAACACAGCTTGTTTTCAAAATTGATTAACAAACTATTTTTCTAATTTTATTCTATGCATGATGTAATATTGAGATGTGTTTTTAAAAAGAGTTCTTAACTTTTGGAAAAAAATGAGATATTTATAAATGAAATAATATGATCACTGGGATTTGCGTTAAGATGACTGGGGGAAGGACTGCATGAGGATATAGGGGTGATACGTTTGGCATAAACTGATAATTGGCAGAGTTGGGATATGTTTGAACTTTTTCATAATAAAAGGCTGTCATCATGGATAACACTGTGAAGTGTCATCTAGGACGAGGTAGTGCCTGTGATGGAGGTGAGGACCATGAGGCAGAAGCAGTCAGAGGTCAGCAGGTCAAGGCAGGAGGGCAGATTCTCAAGAGAGTAGAAAAGTTACAGTCACTGAGTAACCCTAATCGAAAAATCCAAAACTTGAAGTGTTCCAAAATCGGAAACATTTTGAGCGCTGGTATAATGCTCAAAGGACATGCTCATTGGAGCATTTTGGATTTTTGGATTTTCAGATTAGGGATGCTCCACCAGTATATAATACAAATATTACAACCCTCCCCAGTCCCTGCAAAAAAAAAGAAAAAAAATCGAAAATCTGAAGTGCTTGTGGCCCCAAGCGTTTGGATAAGAGATACTCAACCTGTAATAAAAATGAATAAACCTCAGAAATAGGCAATGACATGAGTGAGTCTCCCAAACAGGATACTGAGACACATATAAAAAGACACATACAATATAATTACATTTGTTCAGCACTCAAAAAAGGCTAACTTAATCTATATTATTTTGAGATGCATATAAAAGTCATAAAATGATAAAGAAAACAAAGGGATGCCTCGTTATTATCCTCCCTTTCAAACCATTGAAATCATTCTACATTATTTCAAAGTAAGTGTTGTTTTGAAATTATTTTTCTCTATGTAAATGCACTGTGGGGAAGAAGGGGGAAAGGTGGTTGAAGGAAGGTGAGGAACTGCAGAGAGGCCTTTATTCTAAAGGTCAGGATGCTGAGTTCTGTCCATGAGGATGGGCGGTATATGACTGGCAGAAGGCACAGAGGATATATTTCAGCCTGGCAACAGTCTAGTTTTTGACCCACGTGATAGTTTACTAAGTTCACGGTACACTTATTATTTAAATCACACATATATTTTCCGTACCTTTCTTAATATGCATCACATTTCTCAATTTCAAAAGAAAACTTTATTGAGGAAGAAAAGCAATGATTCATGGTCAATGTCATGGAAAGAAAAATTTCACCTCCACACGTGCCCGCCCCTAGTCCTGAGATACTTTGCAGAGGTCTACCAAGTGGCAGGGAGTGGTATCCCGTGGAGGAGCAGGTGGGGACATTCTGTGGAGTAAGGAATATGGAGATGCAGTGTGTGCTTTTGCAGCGATGAATCCAGACAAGGTGATTTTAGTCGGGAGACCAGTGGCTGAATGGGATTTCATCCCTGATATTAAAGAGGACAGGATAGAGGGAGTTGATTGTAAGCAACAGACATCAACACTCTGGGTGGTATAAAGTTATTTAGAGTCCGGACTCCCATGGGACTCCAGGTTTCTGTTGGTTCTGGTTCTACCAGCAGCTTCATCCTGGTCAGGGTGGTGAAATGCCAGCCCCGCTGAGACCACCAACATCTGTGGGACCCAAAAGCCACCAGCCACACCTGATCTGTTTGTCTGCATCTTTCTCCTCTATCTGTGGTGAAACCATGTCTGCTGTGAGCACCATCATATCTCCAGAGCCCAGCACACATGCCTGGGAAATTGTAATGCCTGCTAAATCTTTGAAGAATGAATGAGCAGATGAAGAATTCCTATTTTACATTAGGAGAATTCGAGCCTGGAAGAGCTACAGAAAGGAACTGGAGCTAGCAGTGGCACAGACTGTTTAATAACACTTAATACTCAAAACTGTTTTCCAAAACTGACTAATTTTTCCTTCCACAAACTCCTCTGCATTTTTTTACAATCCAGATTCCGGCAGCTACGGTTCAGATACTGCAAGGAAAGGAGTGAAAAGGGTTTTCATGCTTTTAGTAAGTGGTCATTCTTCATTATTTCAAAGTAAGTGTTGTTTTGAAATTATTTTTCTCCACGTAAATGCATTGTGGGGAAGAAGGGGGGAAGGTGGTTGAAGGAAGGTGAGGAACTGAAGAGAGGCCTGGAGGATCAGTCATAAATCAAACAAGATGGGGAGGAAAGAGAGCAAATTAGTGAAGGGGACAAAGCATGGAAAGAAGAAACAAGCTTCAGGGCACTGGAGAATTAGAAAAGGAAGGGCTGTGGGGAGGTAGGAGAGGGACAACTGACAGAGTAATGGGATCCTGTTCAGATGACAAACACTGAGCTCCCATGCCTGCCTCCCCCACCGCCACTCCCGCCCCGCCACCCCCGTCACCCCACCTCCAGGCCACATCTGCTGCAGTCGCCTCCTAACTGGCCTGCTTTGCTCTGGCCTTTCCCCAACCTGCTTGATACCTGCTCACCCACTACAGGTCAAGATCAAAGTCAGGAGAGCTGTTTTCTACTCCAAGTTTGAAAAGAGCACTGTCAAAGAGAAACACAACACCAGCCACATGTGTCATTTTAAGTTTTCTAATAGCTACATGAAAAAAAAAAAGGTGATATTAATGTTGATAATATATGTTATTTAGGGAGGCATGGAAATAGATTTGTTAAAGGATACAAAATCACAAATTCTAGTGTTCTATATCACTGTAGGATGACTATAGTTAATAATATGCTACATAGTTTCAAATAGCTAGAAGGAGGATATTGAATGTTCCTAATACAAAGAAATGATAAACATTTGAGATGATGGATATGCTAATTACCCTGATTAGATCACTATATATCTATACATTATATGTATCAAAACACTATGTACCCCGTGAATATGTACAACTATTATTTGCTAATTTTTTAAAATAATGTTAGAATATATATATTTTATTTAACCCAATATATACAAGATGTTATCTTTTCAACATGCAATCAATATAAAAAAAAAAGTAGTGAGCTAATTTATATTTATACTAAGTCAATGAAATCCCATGTATATTTTAAACCTAAAGACATTCAAATTGGACTAGCTTCCTTTCAAATGCTTAATAGCAACATATGATGAGTGACTATGGCATTGGACAGGGCAGGGCTACTGTGTGACCCTGGGCATACCACTTCACCTCTCTGAGCCTTGATTTCTTCCTTTATAAAATGAGTGTCAGGCCAAGAGGATCTCTAAGTTAGCTTTAACATATTATGGACACATACATTACCCACAAAGTAAAGTTCTATTTCATAGCACTCAACTCTACATCTCACCATGGCCATTGGGCTTGAAAATGTACAGCAGAGGTTGATGATCCCAAACAGTGATGTTGATCTATTCAAATGACAATGTAGCAAGCAGAGGGATAGTCCCTTTAACATAACCATTGCCTCACTATCCACCAACATGCCATAAATACAGTTCTGTTACAAAGAATGTCAAGTTTATGACTTTGCATCCCAAAGAGTCCCTTCATAGTATTCCCTTAATCTGCAGAAATGAGAGAACGGTCCATTAAATTACACAGATCAGCCATTGCTACTAACAAGAGAACATCAAAGGTGGAATTTTTATAGCAGAAAATCCAAAGACTTTACTAGGGTCCAGTTGGTTACATTTTTTAAAGTTCCTTAAGGGAAATTAACTAAAACTTTCCTCTATAACATGCACTGTTAGAAGCCACACATGTGCTTCACTCTTGGCAAAGGGGTGAAGGTCTCCTTTCCAGTAGAATGCTTCCCAGGGAGATTTTCACCACTGCCAAATTCTGGGAAGACAAAGGAATGTTTCCAGCCCTGAAACTAGCTGTATTAGTCTGTTCTCATGCTGCTGATAAAGACATACCCAAGACTGGATAATTTATAAAGGAAAGAAGTTTAATTGACTCAGTTCTGCCGGGCTGGGGAGGCCTCAGCAAACTTGCAGTCATGGCAGAAGGGGAAGAAAACATGTCTTACACGGCAGCAGGCAAGAGGGCTTGTGCAGGGGAACTCCCCTTTATAGAACCATCAGATATCGTGAGACTTATTCACTATCACGAGAACAGCATGGGAAAAACCCGCCCCCATGATTCAATTACCTCCCACCAGGTCCCTCCCACGACACGTGGGAATTATGGGAGCCACAATTCAAGATGAGATTTGGGTGAGGATACAGTCAAACCATATCACTAGCTTATGACAGAATTTTCTGGAAGCTGCCCTGATCAGATAGAATCCTGTCTCCTCTACACTCTGGCTCCAGACAACCTCCCTGAATTCATCTTCCTCCACCCTGTTACCTGCCTGACTTTGAATCTCTTCCCCATGTCCCAGCTGCACAGTCCTGCCTCTCCTTGGCCATGCTATGCCTTTGCATGTGCTGACAGGAATGGCCCCCCGTCCTCCACTGTGCAGAACATACCTTGCTATTTAAATCACAATTCCTCTGTGAAGTCTGCTCTAATTCTACCTGACAAAGTGAGCAGTAACTCTCTCTGCGTTTCCATAGCTCTCTACGTGACATCATGTAGCAGCTGTCACAGTGACGTGCAACAAGCCCACCAGAATGTGGAAATGAAGACAAACCAGAGTTCAAATACCTGCTCAACCATTCTGTCACTTTGTGCTGGTCAGGAAGTTACTTAACCTCTTTAGATTCTTTATAATTAAAATGGCAACAAAAGTATCTACCTAATGACACTATTAGGTTCTTTTAGTTAATATTCACAGGATGTCACTCAACAGTGCTTGTTACTGATAGTATTAAAAGTACCTGACATTTATGCATGAGTCCATTAAAAGCTACTTACTGAGCATCTAGTAAGCGTTGGGCACTATTCTAGCTTTAGAGGAGACATTCAGGCAAATAAATTACTCAGTCCCTGCTTGAGAGCAGCTTATTATCTCAGTAAACAAAGCCTCAGTCTTTGATGTTGGACCATAAGCTTTCTTTCCCCTTGTTCTGTCCTCTGGAAGGCAAGTAAACAGCTGCCTTTGGTAACTCAGCTCTGTTGGGATGCCTGCTGTTTGACTGGGAAAAGCAGATAGTTGGAAGGTAAACAAGATAAAGCTATCTTCAGTAAGACAGGCTTCAATAGGAATCTATACAGAATCAACAATTATAACACCACCTAAAAGATGCTCTGTCCCTGTCTTCCTTACGTTAACTTTTCATTTCAATGTCAATTTCTGAACAGCTTCTTCCCTCCCAGGTGGGGACAGAAGAGGCCAGGAAGGCTCTGCCTCACACTAGAATTAGAAGCCGTGGCTGAGAGTTAGCAGAGCCAATAAGTGGCTAAGAATGGCTGTGATGAAACCCATCTTTCTAATAGGTTCAGTTTCCTTTTTTTTTAAATACTTTTATTTTAGATTTGGGGATACACATGAAGGTTTATTACATAGGTGAACTTGTGTCATGGGGGCTTGTTGTACAGATTATTTCATCACCCAGATATTAAGCCCAGATCCAATAGTTATCTTTGCTGCTCCTCTTCCTCCTCCCACCCTCCACCCTCAAGAAGATCCCAGTGTCTGTTGTTCCCCTCTTTGTGTTCATGAGTCCTCATAATTTAGCTCCAACTCATAGCTGAGGACATGTTGTATTTGGTTTTCTGTTCCTAGTTTAGTTTGCTAAGGATAATGGCCTCCAGCTCCTTCCATGTTCCCACAAAAGACATTATCTTGCTCTTTTTTATGGCTTCATTATATTTCATGGTGTATATGTACCACATTTTTTAATCCAATTTGTCACTGATGGGCATTTAGTTCGATTCCATGTCTTTGCTATTGTGAATAGTGCTGCAATGAACATTCACGTGCATGTGTCTTTATGGTACAGTTTTCTATTAAGAAAGTGAGAGGAAATGCCTGGAATCATTCTGATTCAGCTACGCATCTTTCAGGAAGAGTTAGATTAGAGAAGATGAAATTAAATTTTTTCCTGTCTAAGAAATGAGTTATCCTGGAGAGAAGGGTATTCATCCCTCTGGGGTGCAGAACTGCCAGGGACATTGGAGGGTTGGAGCAAACCTGTCTTCTGGGAGGTGAAACCACTGTAATGGAGCAGACATTGGCAGGGCAGGACCAGGGCAAGGCATGGAAAGTAAGAAATTTCAGGGAGAGAAAACAGAAGCCCAGAGCTGCAGGCTGGCCATGCTGCTCAAGGTGTGAGAAACTCTGATCCCATATGTGCTGCCCGACATCCCTGACATCAAGCTCAGATTGGCAGGAGTCTTCTAGATTCCCTCTTACTAGATCTAGTAAGATCTAGTAGTCTACAATGCCAAGTTAAGCTAGATTTGGCTCGGGAGAACTTGATACCTTCTGATGGCAGAACTGGAAAGGCAGAGGCTGCCCAGGAGTCATGTGGCCAATACAACAAAGCAAACCCCCAGGCTGCAATGCAGAACCCTGGGTTGTGGAGCAAAGGGGCCACTTTCCAATCTCACCTCAGAGGTATAGTCAATGCTAATCAACCCTGGGTACCTTATTTGCCCAGGAAACTTCATCCTGCCCCAGGGATCTGGGTGGCAGAAGCTTCTGGTGCTAAATAAGCTGCAGATCTGATCACAGTGCAATGCCACAGGTGTACAACCCAAGAGAGCTTCAGATTGAGAAAGCCCAGTGATTCTTGCTACCTTCCTTGTCTCTAATAATTGTTTTCTAGCTAGGAACAAAAGAGGCAACTCTCTAGATTTAAACATGGGCATTAAAGAAAGAAGATGAGAAAATGTAGGGGGCTGCGATGATGCCCCAAAGCTCTGATTAAAACAAAACAAAAGACATTTAAACAAGAGCAGAGGCCTCTATTAATTATGAAGCTGCCCTAAACAAAACAATACCTGGTGACATGCGGTGACATTTACTGCAAAGAATGGAAGACCGAAGTACTGGCCTGCCCTTCGGAGGACTGTGTTATTACAAAGATAAGGGGGAAACGCAGCTGTTTTTGCACAACCCAAGCAAAAGTCCAAACTAGAGAATGAGAAGGTGAATGAATGAAAAAAAGTGTCCCAGAGCATCAGCAATTTCCCTCCATCAGGGTCTCCCTGATAACTCAGTTAGTTGCCTTTCAAAAGCACTCTCGGGGAGATGCCAAGGAGTGGGGAAAGAGCAGTGACTGGGATTGGAAGGTCAGCAGGCTCCTGTCTCAAATCTTCCCCTCGGGGGTGATCGCAAGACAAGACAACTTTTGTCACCTGCAGGCTTGTGTGCCAGATTGTGAAATGTCATCTCCTCTGGGCTGGGTAGCATGGCCCTTCTTTCACATTTCCCTTCACATAAATGATACTTTCTTCCAGACTCTAAGAGCCTCCTAGGCATAAGAACTTTCTCTCATTCAGTTTCAAGTTCATATTGTCAGAGCCTGTTTGGCACAGAATGAATGAAAGACAGGAAAGAAGGGAAGGAGGGAAGGAAAAAGAGGAATGGATAGAGAGGGGAGCGAAAGAAGAAAGGACTGTTGAGTGAGGTATTGTGGAGTAGTGAAAACTTAGCTGTCAGCCAGGCACAATGGCTCATGCCTGTAATCCCAGCACTTTGGGAGGTGGAGGCAGGTGGCTCACTTGAGGTCAGGAGTTCGAGACCAGCCTGGCCAACATGGTGAAACTCATTCTCTACTAAAAATACAAAAAATTAGCCAGTTGTGGTGGCGTGCGCCTGTAGTTCCAGCTACTCAGGAGGCTGAGACAGGAGAATTGCTGGAACACGGGAGGTGGAGGTTGCAGTGAGCCGAGATCATGCCACTGCACTCAAGCCTGGGTGACAGAGTGAGACTTCATCTCAAAAAACAAATAAATAAAACCTAGCTGCTGCTTTAAATCAAATCTGGTAGTATCAAGTGTATGGGGCTCCAGGGCCAGACTACACCTTGTTAATTCCTGGCCAAACAAACTGTGTTACCTTTGGCAAGTTTCTTATCCTCTGTGTCCCTCAGTCTCCTCCTAGATAAATGGGGAATTGTGATGTCATCCATTTCTTAGGTCTGCCATGAGCATTAAATGACGTAGATTATATAAATTGCTAAGCACACACTGTCTGGCACTTTCAGTTATGCACTAAATCTTAGCAATTGCTTGTCATTAAGAAGAAGTAATTCCAATGAAGCCCCTGTGGTTGAATTGAGTTGGGGGAGACAAAGCCCCATCTTCTCTCCCTTTCTCTGCCCTCTAGGGTGCTGGAGAGAGCCCTTGCTCTCCCTGAGATATTAGAAATCTGGGAATCATTATAGAAAGGATTCAGGCACTGAAATCAGGCCTGGATTCTAATCCCACATTCATCACTTAAAAAGAAAGAAAGTTACCTAACCTCTCTGAGCAGCAACGCTTATCTGCAATACAGGTGTTAAATATGCCCCCCTGGAAACCTATTGTGAAGAGGCAATAAGGAAATGCATGCGGAGCATTTGGAACAGTTGGCCACTTAGCAGGTGCTCAGTGAATTTGCCTCCATCTCTGCTGAACACCTCCTCTGCTAAGTGCAGAGCAGTTGATTGCTATTTTCCAGGACAGTGGAAGAAAACCCCTACTCACACAGCCGCCCAGGAATTTGACAACACGGAGTCCCATTTGGACATGTGAGGTGGTCATTTCCCACACTTGATGGGCAATATGGAGTACCTGGGGTGTCCTGCGGCCAGATATGTCAGCCTGCTGCCAGCACGGGGGACAGATTGCAGTCGCATGGCACGGCCCCTTCCAGAGGCCACATCTTTAGCAGACAGCGAAAATGCAAATCAGGAAATGTGTGGCTTTGGAAATGACTCTATCAATTGTCAGACTGAGATGCTCCAAGACCGCTGGGTGACTCTGAGCAAATATGAAAAAAAGAAAAACCCATAAATTCCCAGCAGAAGTTTCATACGTGACTCAAAAATGACAGCTCTCTCATTTCAAACAAGATAGCTACCTGTTGCATAAAGAAAGAAAATTTCCAAACATGTCTTGCAGTGTAATTTTTGGCTTCAGGATGGAGGGAAGCACAGAAATTTCAAGATTTCTGACTGCTTGATCCTCCTGTGTGAAATTAAATTTTGAAAAGGAAATACAGAAATGGGGAATCAAAGCAAGGGTATTAGCTTTGAGTTACTAATTTTTTTCAACAGCTATTTTTTTCCTCCTTTTTGCTAATTAATCTTTTTTATTATGGAAGATTTCTAATATACATAAAAATAGAATAACACAATGAATTCCCATCCTTCCATCAAACACTTTCAACAGTTCTCCAGTCTTGTCCCATTTCTATCTTTATACGCCTCCCTTCCTCCTGTTCTATTTTAAGGACAATCTCAGACATGATATCATTTCATCCATAATATTTCACCACAACTCTTTACTGAGCACCTTCTAGGTATGCTTGCCACTGGGCAGGCAAAATAGATGAAGAAGGTGACTTGCCCTCACAAAGCTCATTGTCTTGAAGGGGGAAGTATATTTTCTGAAACATATAAAGTCAATATTTGTATTACAAATTTATATAACATGTTTATGTAACAAATATTGTAGAATGTGACCTGTATCAGGCACATTTGCAACGCTTTACAATATCAACCTTTATAATGTAGTCTTCCTGAGCAACACAATAAAATAGGTGATATTATTGTCCTGATTTTACAGATGAGAAAGTTGAGGCACAAAGAGGTTGAGTCTTTTTGCCCGAGGTCACACAGCTAGTAAACGGTGGAGCTGGGTTGCACAAAGTGCTGCCAAGGCACACCAGAGAAAATAGATAACTCTGTCTGGGGCCTTTGAGGCCCCAGAAGTTGAAGACTGCCAGTACTGTATTCCAAATAGTGTGTTATGAAGGAGTGCTCTTGGATAAACTAAGGACTCCTTCCTCCTGAAATGTGTAACATGAAAACAATTTGGCAAATAAAAACATACAAGTAGTTGTTAAACCAGCACTAGGATTTATGCTTTCCTGAGTATCCCAGACTTTTTAACTATTACAATTTTGTCTGCTTAAATATATCGTAGTTTTTGTTTGTTTGTTTGTTTTTAAGACAAGGTCTCACTCTGTCACCCAAGTTGGAGTGCAGTGGTGCAATCATAGCTCACTGCAGCCTGGCCTTCCTGGGCTCAAGTGATCCTCTAGTAGAGGTTCCCATCTAGACAAACAGAGGGAAGGTCATAAGCAAGTGTCCAGAGAAATTTCCAGTTGCACACAGAAAGCGACTGTTGTAGAGACAAACCAGAAATGTCCAGAAATGTCCAGAAATGGAAGTGGAAAGGCAGGTGAGGCCAGGCTCCGAAGGGCTTTTGTGAACCATCCTGAGGAGCGTGGACATTCCCATGGCCTCTGGATGGTGAGCAGAGATTAAACAGGTGAATAACAGGGTCAAATCGTATTAAGAACAGAATTCTGGAAACCATGAGGAAGACTGAATGTAAGTAGGAGAAATAGAAGGCCTAAAATGTCCAGGGTAACTGGGGGACTGATCACAGCTGAACCAAAGCAGTAGAGTTGGAAATGGAATTAAACAGAAATTAATGGAAATAGGAGTCAGGTGACATGGTGCCAACTGAGACTTCTCCTATTTCTCAGAACTTTGGCAGAAGCCCAAAGCTCTAAACAATAAAGAGCAAGTGCTGCAAATCCTGAGAAAAAGTTGCCAGACACATCAACAAAGAACTTGCTCAGAGGTGGCTAAACCCATGCTGAACTCATTAACCCATCACCCACCTCCGGTCTCTAGATAACAGCTGCCTGGAGATATGTCCAGGGTTTATTTACAAAAGATGGCTGGCCTACTAGAGAATGCGGGGAAGGGATACTCTTCTCTCCCAAGCCAAAAAGAGGAACTCGGTGCCCCAAGAATCAACAGAGAAGTCAATGACCCCAGCATCAACAGGGTACCAGAGCAGTGAGGAAATTCTTGGGAGGACGTGGCAGATATTTCTTCTCAGAGTTTGGTGGGCACAGAAGAAGGTATTTATCTCTTGCAATGGCAGAGAGGGCTGGCTGGATGTGCCCACAGAGCTAGAGAGCTACAGCAGGAGTGCCCCGGAGCTTCAGGGTACACAGGCAACCATGTCCACTGGCTCCATGAGTTAAGAGGATGCTGTGAAAGGTAGCCACTCAAGAGACAGTGTCCTGAGCTGGCATTTTCCAGTAGGAAGAAGTGACAGTTGTATTGCCAGAAGTATATACTGAGGGTTAGAGTCCTACCATGTTCGTGAGAAAGTCCTGGTTAACAGTGCAGGATCCTAGTGGCCTTGAAAGGGTGGAGGTGTGTGCAGAAAAGAGACAGCATAGCAGGCCTGACTGCGATCCTTGGAAAGGCTTGTTTACAAGATTAGCTCCTGACTGTACTCAGAGTGTCTGGGAATTTGGAGTGTTTCCGCTATTTTCAGAACTGATAAGAATGGCATTCTATGCCTAAACAATACAGTTTCTGCTGAACACCTGCTTTCCCTCAGGGAGTCTGGAATTTTGGTATGTGCCAGGCAGAGGCTGCCTGCATACCAGCCTCCAATAAACACTGAATGCTTTGTCTCTAATGAGCTCCACTACTTGGCAATATTTTACACATGTTGTCATAACTCACTGTTGGAGAATTAAGCATGTCTCGGTGACTCTACTGGAAAGGATCCCTGGAAGCTTATGTCTGGTTTTCCCCATACTTCGTCCCATGTGTCTTTTCCCTTTGCTGACCTTGCTCTGAGTTTTTTTGCTGTAATAATTCATAGCTGTGAATATTATTATACACTGAGTCCTGTGAGTCCTCCTATCAATTCATCAAACCTAGGGATGCCTTCAAAAAGCCTACCATTGCCCCCCAAGAGTAGCAATGCCAGCATTTGGGTATGTGCCAGACAGAGGGTGCAGATGTCAAATTTGACAGCATCAGTCATGTGAAACCATTTTTAGACTTTAATTCCCCAGTTTTCTCCTTGAGCTGATTCTGAAGAAAACAGAAACACTATAGGCTGTGGGAGCAGAGGAGAAAATGAACAGATGAAAAAGGAGAAGCAAATGCGAGAGGAGAAAGAAAAATGAACACCCCCTCTGACTTTGCAGATTATAAAAATGTGAGTCTGGCCTGAGCTAGAG
Source organism: Homo sapiens (assembly GCF_000001405.40). Lineage (NCBI taxonomy): Eukaryota > Metazoa > Chordata > Mammalia > Primates > Hominidae > Homo > Homo sapiens. The sequence goes on from NC_000008.11 coordinate 126,376,210, forward strand.
TGAGGAGGAGACAGGGAGTTGGAAGGGATGGGGTGTGGGCAAGGATTGAACTAGATTAGACATTAAATTTTGATATATTTAATATCTGAAAGTGAGACTGTCATGATAATGAAAAATAACTAGAAAGAATATAGAGAAGCCGTGTGATTTGTCTGACAGGTTATCAAGGATGGAAAGTATGCTTGGGAACGATACGGAAGCAGATCAAACTAAATGATACGGAAGCAGATCAAACTATTGATTGATTGAATCCTACTAAGTCTAGGCCATACAATAGAACCCAGATTCATACTCTAAACACAAGCAGGTTATCAATAAAACCACATGAAGTAGACAGGTAGATGTGTCTGTCACAAAAATAATACTGGGTTTGAATTTCAGCTCTACGATTTCTTAGCCATGGGATTTTTACAGAAGTTTCTTGATCCTTCTGATCCTCAGTTTCTGCCTTCATCAAAAGTGGACTTGAATATCAATCTCACACATGGGTTGCTATGGGAATAAATGAGAGAAGACATAAAAAATGCTCAGCGCTCAGCACGTGTTACCTCCTACACTTCTTGGCTACCTACTATACCCCACCCTCTTCAGAGTTTTATGAAATCTTTGTAAAAGGTGTGATTTTGTAAGGCTGCATGTTTTCATGATCTTGATTTTGTTTGTAGGCTTGAGCACCTGCCTGAGTTTTCAGAATTTGTAGTTAGTGAACTTGGGATTTGGACTCAGGAGTTATGATTCTTCCATTGCCTCCTGTAACTTAGTTGAAAGACCACAGGCACTGATGCTCTGACACTGCCTCTGTTCCCATTATGAGTGCGGGATACCTTATCTTCCATTACACATCACTGGACCCTCACTTTTCTAGAGGAGAATTGAGCGTGTATTTCCTTCCCTATTAATTTCACTATGATGGCAGATTGAATTTTATTTTTTCAATAAGAACAGACATCTCTAAATCCTTCCAAAATACATCTCCATCCACACCTTGGATAATGTAGATATGCCTGGGATTCCGAGAAGAAAAAATATTGGATTCAATCAAAGCAAGTAAAAGAAAGTGTTTCTCTAGCCAAGGCAGCATGTCAGAGCTACCCATTATAGCCCTGGGGTATTTCTGAGAACCAGAGAATTCACGAGCCAGCTACTCGCTGCAAAACTCAAGACAGCCTGGCTCCCTCTAGAAACTGCCAGCCAGTTTTTCTGCCAGCAAGAGTTGGAAACAGTCCTAGAACACAGTTCTTGGGTTTCCCTCTTATCTTTTTTCACTGCATATTTAGTCCTGATGAGAGAGAAGGCAAAAGCATTAGAAACATACACACTTAGCAAATATATTTTCACGAACTTTTTGTCTCTCTGGCCTTCATTTTCCTCTTCTGAGAATGAGGAAGACAGACTGGATTAGAGGTTCTTATCATTGGCTGCACCTAAAATCACCTGGGAGCTTTTTAAAAACACAGATGCCCAGGACTTCTCCTGACCAAGTAAATCAGAACCTCTGGAGCAGGGGCCAGAGCACAGGTGATTTCAAAGTCTCCCCAGATTATTCTGATAGGAAACTACCACTGGGCTGGATGATATTTGAGGTTTTTTTCACCTCTGACATGCAGTTTATAATCTTTAAAGTGTGACCATCGAGCAATGAGACGCCTTCCCACACCTATCATGAAAAGCCATCTAAATTCAGTTTTCTCCTTTTTTAAAAAAAATAAAATAAAATTAGAGTAGGGGTCTTGCTATGTTGTCCAGGCTGGCCTCAAACTTCTGGGCTCAAGCAATCCTCCCACCTCAGCCTCTCGAGTAGCTGGGATTACAGGTGCGACCACCACACCAGCCTTAGGTGTCTGTTTGTGCAGTAGGTAAAATTTAGGCCAGTTTTGCGGACAGACCAAACCAGAGTGTGATTTAGGGAACTTTTCTAATACTAAAACATCTGGAAGGCAATGATGAAATCTAAGATCAGGGGAGTCAAAATACAAATGCTTATAGGGTCAGATGAGTAACATGCCTGTGTGACCGAGCCAGATGTAAGAAGAAGGGGTGGGCTTTGTGGAACTAAATATGTATGCCCTGCTCATTGGCATTCAAACAATCTCCCTCCCTCTTTCCCTTCCTCCTTTTCTTCCTTCTCTCCATTTCTTCCTTTCCCTCCCTCCCTCCCTTCCTTCCTTCTTTCCTTCCTTCCTTCATTCCTTCCTTCCCTCTTTCCTTCCTTCCCTACTACTTTCTTTCCTAAACACTATTTTGGCAGAAATAAACATTAAACTGTTTGCTTAACTCAACTGTGGATCACGTGTTTGAATCCCTCTGTAAAACATTCTGATACTGTACATTAGATAAAAAACAATAGTAATGCAAATATTACAAAAGTACCTGCCTCGTTACCAAACCGCCAAAAGACATCATCTCTTCCACATCCCACACTGAATTCTATTTTAAAATTGAAGGATACGGCTGGGCGTGGTGGCTCACGCGTGTAATCCCATCACCTTGGGAGGCCGAGGTGGGCAGATCACCTGAGGTCAGGAGTTCGAGATTAGCCTGGCCAACATTGCGAAACCCCATCTCTACCAAAAATACAAAAATTAGCCAGGCATGTTGGCGGGCGCCTGTAATCCCAGCTACTCAGGAGGCTGAGGCAGGAGAATCGCTTGAACCTGGGAGGCGGAGGTTGCAGTGAGCCGAGAGTGTGCCATTGCACTCCAGCCTGAGGGACAAGAATGAGACTCCATCAAAAAATAAATAAATAAATAAAAAATAAAAAAATTGAAGGACAGACAACAAGAACTGTGGCCAAGCACTGCTCCAAACCTAATCACCCCCCTTTTCTTCACCCATCTCCATGGTGCTACAGAATTTGAACCCATAATCTTAAATCAAATGTCTACTTACAGTCCTTTGATTCTGTGTGCCAGTCAGATTTTTCTCTTGGACTTACTGAAGCTCCTTGCCACCTAGAATTTCATCAGCAAACTCCTCTGATTACAGCACCTCCTACAACTTCAGAGAGGAGCGTCTCTTCATTTCCTCAGCCCTGGAGGGCCCTATCAACCACCTGTTCTCTAACCCAGGGTTTCTTAACTTCAGCCTGATGGACATTAGGGGCCAGATAATTATCTGGGGGGAGCTGTCCTCTGCATTGTAAGATGTTTCCTAGTATCTCTGACCTCTACCCACTAGACGCCAGTAGCAACCCCCACTCTCAAGTTGTGACAATCAAAAATGTCTCCAGACATTACCAAGTGTCCTCTCAGGGACAAAATTGCCCTGGGTAGAGGACACAGCTGTAACTGAACACAGTGTCCGAGTGCCTGGGAAGAAAATGGTACAGTAAGCTCCAACAGTTTGGAATACAGCCAGCATAATATCCAAGCTTAGAAAAAAAGAAAAAGAAAAAGCCCCAACTGAAAAGGAAACAAGCTTCAGGATGATCAGCTGTGTCAGTTCCATTTAATTGTAAATGTGGACAGGCTCTGCTGAGTGAAGTACAGAATGTTTCTCGCCTCGGGCGCTGATAACATATTAGAAAAAAAGCAACCTGAGAGGCATTTGTTTTTGTGGGAAGTACGTGCATGGGTAAATCTCTGCTCATCAGATTGTTTCGAATTAATGTGGATGCTATAAATAAAAGGTTCTCCCTTTTTTGGACCAGCTTTGATCTATTGTTATCCCTCTCTTTTTAGAAACCTTTAAAGGCAATTTTCATTCAGATCCTTCATCAGTGAAGCAGACAGACTTCAATAATTCCACTCAAAAGCCTCTGTGGCTTTCTGCACACAAGCCCCACGTCAATCAACCGAGCAGCCCGCTCTCCTGGGTGGCTGTCCCCCTATGTCCCTGGAGAACAGAAGTTGGATGGACTAGGCTTCGGTAACTAGGACGGGCATGTAATGTCAGGAGAGCAAGTTTGACTGACGTTTTCCTTCTGTGTTCAGGTTATTGAATAATTGTGATAGAATTACTGCAGTCACAATTCTCACGCACTCGGCAGGAAGGGGTGCAAAAGAAATGTGTCTCCTCCTGGGGTGAGGGGTATGACTCGAGAATCCTTGCCTCCAGTTTGGCCATTAATAGCGGAATCCTCTGACAGCAGCCTGCATTTCTGTAGTTGCTAAAATCCACATGTGAAAGATAACATGAACTCCCATTGTGGCAAGACAGTCATGAGTCCAAAGTAATTGAGCATTTGTGTGCCAGATGGTTATCAGAAGAAGTGTGGTGGTGAGGGGGAAGACCCTCCCCTGAAATAATCCCAGCCCTGCCTCTTACTTGCTTTGAACCCATCTGAGACTCAGTTTCCTTATATTTATATCACAGTTATCATGTTTCATTTTAAGGTCATCATAAACTTCAGACATGTGTTATGGAAAGTGCCTGATATAATGCCTGGTCCATGGAAGGTGCTCCTTCTTCTCTTCCTCTTCTTCATTATTCTCCTCTATCTCCGCCTCATCATTATTATTGTCATCACCATCGTCATTGCCGTGATGCTTCTCATTGTCATTTCTTCTTAGAGAGATGAAAGGGTTGGTGGATGTGTGCTGTATTCTGCTGCTTTTCTGGCAAAGGGAACTCTAGTTATTCTTTCCATGACATGTTAGGGAAAGAAGAACTTGTCAGTTCTAGAGAAGAGTGGGAAATTCCCCAGAAGCCTGGGTCCTGGCAGACTTTCCATGGCTGAGTGGATAATGGTAGCTTTCATAAAGATTTAATTCAAAGGTTCGGAAACTACAAAGGGGATTTGGCAAATGCAATATATACTCACCAGCCTTTCCTTTCCTTGAAGAACATGGGCTGTGATTTCATGGAAATTGAACATCTGATGCCAGAAACATCCTTTCCACTCTGATTTGAATACCAGGGTGGGTTAGAACAGCAGTGTGGACTAATGGGTTGGCCATGAACAATAAGGGCAGATGCATATGAAAGCAAATTCTGCTTCTGCTGTATGACAGTTGTTAGCCCTTATCACCTCTAAGTCTCAGCATCTCATTCTGAAAGCATGAGAATTTAATCATCTTATTTCATGGAAAATTAAAAGGTGTGGTAGGTCACGCCTGTAATCCCAGCACTTTGGGAGGCTGAGGCAGGTGGATCACCTGAGGTCAGGAGTTCGAGACCAGCCTGACCAACACGTGAAACCCCATCTCTACTAAAAATACAAAATTAGCCAGGCGTGGTGACACATGCCTGTAATCTCTGCTACTTGGGAGGCTGAGGCAGGAGAATCACTTGAACTTGGAGGTGGAGGCTGCAGTGAGTTGAGATTGCACTCCAGCCTAGGCAACAAGAACGAAACTCAGTGCCAAAAGAAAGAAAGAAAGAAAGAGAGAGAGAGAAAGGAAGGAAGGAAGGAAGGAAGGAAGGAAAGAGAGAAAGAAAGAAAGAAAGAAAGAAAGAAAGAAAGAAAGAAAGAAAGAGAAAGAAAGAAAGAAAGAGAAAGAAAGAAAGAGAAAGAAAGAAAGAGAAAAAATGATATACTAGCTTAATTTCCTCAAGGATTTGTGAGAAACTCCTAGAAAGGAGGGATGCATTTGGTGAGAGGAGCTCAACAGCCGAAAATGCTCTTAGTACTAGAGGCCATAAGAGGGCCAAGGCAACTGTTTCGCCTCAGGTCACAGTTGGGTGCCAGTGAGAGAAGTCTTTCCTTCCCCTCCTCTCAAGTTAGTGGCTGCTCCGTGTAAGGCTGAACGAAGGGCTAAAGGCAGGTCTGCACTAAGGGTATGAGTTTAAGATGTAGCTGCTCCCAGGCACAAGGACCTGAGAACCACAAGGCAAAGCCACAGAGGAGTCAGAAAGGCTTACACAGTCAGGAGAGTCAAGTCCCTGTGTCCATACACAAACGACAATCTAAGAGACTCCCAGACCAGGCAGGGAGGATTAGGAATAGGAGCAAGGTCCCATAGATTTTCATGTTTAGGATTGAGGCAGAAACTGTTGCTTGCTTATCTATTGTGACTCTAATATTTCCAGGCTCACATGCCATGGCCATGGGAAATTACAGTTACTTGTGGATTTTAAAACTGCACATCCTTGCAGCCAAGAAAACATGCAATGTTCGAGTTGTCGAAAGGGCAGAATTCTGTTAAACACTCAAGTGGGAGTGAAGAGTCCAGTTCCAAGACCCAGCTGTACTGCACATGTAGTGCTGTGGATCCCAAAAAAGCTTTCAGCCTTCATCTATGTGAGCTCATCTGTGAAACCAAGTTGTTGATTTTGTTAATTCTGGTTCTTCCATCTGCGATGTGAGGGAACTGACTCTGAGGTTCTTGGTAACTTGGTAATCAAGTTGTTGATTTTGGTCATTCTGTGGTTCCATCTGCAATGTGGAGAAACTGAGTCTGAGGTTCTCGTGATACAGCAGAATCCATAGAGAGCCATGACCTCTCCTGTAGTCACCCTGCATCTAGAAAGGAGAGAAATTTCTCCACGCCAAAGCTAGCAATTAGCACAAAGCACTCAAGGAATCCATTCCATTCTCTCACATAATTTGGCATTTTCTGCCTTCTCAGTCAAGTACAGCTAATGCAGCCGTCTTCCCTAAGGGGAATATATATATACTGGACCGAACTCCGGTTTTAACCTAAAGATGACGTAAGCACCTCATAAGGGCATTTTCCATCCACAATGGGGCAGTTTGCCTGCCTTATTATACAGACGTGAAATGCTCATCGAAGGTTCCCAGGAGCCCACGGGGAATTGAAAGTAAAAACAACTTTGCTGTTCAGAGACTCTGGAGACTTTTCCTCATTTGGAGTGTGTGTGGAGATGAATGCTAAGCACGAATCTGTGCTTACAGGGTGTGAAGCAAATTGGAATCTTGACCACAAGAAATGAAGGTGGCTAATCTAATTTGAAGACTGTGTGCAGGCAAATGAGTGCATGCGATCTTCCTGGAACCCACGTCCTACCGTTAGCAAAACCCAAGAGAGAGAGGAATATAGATTTATCTTCAGGCCATGATGGGTCCCCGAGAAACGCTGAGCACTTACTTCCAGCTCTAAAATGATGTGACTCTGTGGGTCTGTGACCCTGTGACCCTTAAAAATTACTTGATGAAAATAAAAATACACCCTGACAGGTTCACAAATAATGGTAATGGAAGTCACCCAAGCTACCGATTCTTGAGCAACTACCATATGCCAGGAAATATTAATCAGGCCAGTTCTCTACTTCTCTCTGTTTCTCTTTCTCTCTCGGTTCAGGCTGTCTCTATATAGGTAGGTATAGATATAGTAGATATAATTTGACACAAAGGATTCATGAAGTTAGCATTGTCACCATTCTTAGATGAGGTCATTGAAGTCGAAAGAGGTTAAACAACTTGACCTTGATAACCAACTGAAAAATGGAAGAGGCAGCATTTAAACTCTGAGCAATCTGAATCCGAAATTGTTTCCATTGCTTCACCCTTTATGGGTATGTATTGAATATAGGTATACTTGTAGAAACATAAAGTGACAAACCTTCAAGTAAAATTTGGGGTAAAGTCTCCTTCTAGCTGTCCTAGTGGTTTAATCGGTGTGGTCTTTAGTTAATGGTTGCTGGATATATTCACAAAATAAGAGGAAACTAGAGGCAGATTCCTATGAAGATTACTATGACAGGACAGCATCTACCCCAGAGTATGAGGTGAGAAGCTTGGCAGGGTGCTTCCTCCTGGCGGCAATTTAGGGTACTGCTACTTGAAGTGTGGTCCATGGCCCAGTGACATTGGCATCTGGTGGGAACTTGCGAGCATTTCAGGCTGTGCTTGAGGACTGCTGAATCAGAATCTGCCTTTTAATAAGGTCCTGAAAAAGAAAAGAATCACTTGCCAGAGTGATTCTTGTTTACATTAACAGTTTGAGAAATTCTGATTTAGGGTATGAAAGTAGGAATAATATGGATCGTTTATAAAACCTGGGAGATATTTATGAGCACCCATAAATCTAAGTTTCTGGAGTACTGTGATTTACATTAGTTTCCTTTGCTTTTAAAGGGAACATGGCATATAAGAATAAAACAACATTTATTAAACACTAACTCTGTCTCAGGTTCTATACTTGGCAATTTACATTTATTATTTTATTTAATTCTTATAACAACTCTATAAGGTAGCCAATCATTATTACACTCATTTTGTAGAGGAGGAACTGTTTATGGAGATCAATGAACATGCTTAAAGTCACTTTGCTGGTAAGCGGTGAGTCAGGGATTCAAATCCAGGCAGTGTGACGCTAGGGTTTACACTTTGTGTTGATCAGTGAACTATACTGCCTCTTCAGTCCATGCAGAGAAAACATCGGGAGAGTTCAATGGAGTATTGTGCTTCAACAAAGTTAGCTAGAGCTGCAGACTTCAATCACAACCGCCCTATACACAGGTGTATCTCCCAGTGGTTATCAAGTCTGCAGAAGCTAATTTACTACTCATTAAAATATAATGTTTGTGAATTAACTGAGAAGTAAATTATTCACAGTGATCAAGCAATGTCGATCATAATGAGACAAATAGACATCATTTGCTCCTGTTATGATACACTGACACATATACATCATCCGAAATTTATTCTTGCCAAAAAAAAAAAAAAAAGCATTTAACTTGGATCAGATCAGTCAAGACTGGCAAACTCAAATCGAAGAGCAGTCTCCAAAACAATTTTCCTGTACTCATCATCGACATCAGTTTTGTGAAAGGAAAAATAAAAAGGCAGGAAAACTGTTGTAGATTAAAGGAGGTTAAACAGACATGCCAACCCGATTCACTTTGTAACTTTTTATTGAATCCTAAATGATGTGTCCAATGGTAGAAACAACTACACAAATCATTATAAGGACAATTGCGGATATCTGAAATATGGACTGTCTATATATAAAATTATAGAATTGTGTTGCTGTTCAAATGTGACCATCTTATTTTGATTGTGTAGAAGAACGTTTTTGTTCTCAGGAGATGCATACTGAAGGGTTTAGAGTTGAAGGGTCATTTATAGGTGCATCTTCCTCTTAAATGTTTCAGAAAACAGGTAAGAACCAGATAAATTAGGACTAGGCACACTTGGCTCATGCCTGTAATCCCAGAACTTTGGGAAGCTGAGGCAGGATGATCACTTGAGGGCAAGAGTTTAAGACCAGCCTGGGTAACACAATGAGACCCCCATATCTACAAAAAATAATTAGCCAGATGTGGTGGTTTGTGCCTGTCATCTTAGCTACTCAGATGGCTGAGGCAGGAGGATTGCTTCAGCCTAGGAGTTTGAGGCTGCGGGGAACCACAATCACACCCCTGCACTCCAGATCTGGGTGAGAGAGCAAGACCCTGTCTCTAAAAAAATCAAAATAAACACATTTTAAAAACATAAATTAGATGTGGTAAAAGATTAATTTGCCAATCTAGATAAAATAAACATGATGCTCATTGTGTAAGTCCTTCAATTTCTCTATAGGTTTGAAACTTCAAAATTAATATTTTGGAAAAAATAAATAAGTGCTGATTCAATGTTATTTCAATGAAAGAATTGAGTAAGAGATTCAGAACTGTGTGTGATGGGGGAAAGAATGTAGGGATGAGAGCCTGGGAGAAAGTTATGCTTGGAAGAATAGAATTGCCAGGAATCTAGGTAAGCTGTAGGTAGGTGGCCTGCTTATGAATGCCATCTTCATGCATTTTGCAGTGTAAAAAGGAAAGTGGTATTGCAATGTACAGAGAGATCACTGTTGACTTTGATGGTTTGTCAGCCTCATTTTGCCATCACCAGTCAGTAGTTGACACCAGAGTCACAGGATTCCCCCCAACACCCATCATTTTGAACCAGTCTCCTCAAGCATCCTCTTGCCTTAGTCCCGAAATGTCTTGGGGACTTCTTGGTGGTCCCCACCCATGGTTCTTGCTGAAGGGTGGGTCCTAGGTAGTCATGTTTGTCCCGCCTTACCCTCACCCCTAGCCACAGGTGATTGGACTAACATCAGACACCTGAACGAAGCTGGACGGACCGACCAGGTGTCTCTCCCAGGCAACTCAAACACTGAGAAAATGAGTCCAATCTGGAGAAGCTGAGCTGAAACACCCCAGAATACCAGGGCAAACTAGAGCCAAAAGCAAACTGAAGTCATGAAAGAGAAGAAACTGTGAATGTTCAAAGATAAGTGGTGATAAAAGAAATACTTCAGCCAAATTAAATGTAAAGGAGTTTAATGGAGCCATGTACGATTCACAAATTGGGCAGCCTTCTGAGACAGGGTGGGCTCAGAGACTCCAGCGGAGCCACATAGTGGGAGGAAGTTTTCGGACAGAAAAAGAAAAATGAGGTATAGAAAACAGAAGTGAGAGCCGGGTGCAGTGGCTCACCTCTGTTACCCCAGCACTTTGGGAGGCCGAGGCGGGCAGATCACCTGAGGTCGGGAGTTTGAGACCAGCCTGGCCAACATGGTGAAACCCCATCTCTACTAAAAATACAAAATTAGCCGGGCATGGTGTCGCATGCCTATAATTCCAGCTACTTGGGAGGCTGACGCAGGAGAATCGCTTGAATCTGGGAGGTGGAGGTTGCGGTGAGCCGAGATCGCACCATTGCACTCCAGCCTGGGTAACAAGAGCAAAACTCCATCTCAAAAAAAGAAAGAAAGAAAGAAAGAAAGAAAAAGAAACAGAAGTGAGGTACAGAAACAGCCAGATTGGTTACAGCCCAGTGTTTGCTGTATTTGAACACAGTTCAAACAGTTGGCTACATTTGATTGGCCAGAACTCGGTGACTGGCACAAGTGTAGGCTACGAACTGTTGACACCTCCACTTGTTATAGCTCATGACGTAAAGAAAAACCTTTAGGCCTAACTTAAAATGTGTAAGGAGGCAGCTATAGGCTAAACTTGATTTAACAGTGGTCATCTGCAAAAAGGAGACTGGAGCAGGGACGTGGCACAAAAACAGAGTTAAAAGATTACAAGTCCCCAGAGAGTCAGAAACAGCATAGGAGCTGCCTCACGGAAAGGATTCTAAACTCCTATGCATTTCCCATTAAGCCTGACTTCCTCCCCAACCCACCCCTCTAAGGAATCCTCTCTTCCTCTTTTCTTTGAACTACTTAGGTATGAACTACTTAGGAGAGTTTTGATTCCTTGAGTGTGCTCCTCATTTGCCTGCTGCATGTGAACTGCCCCCCACCACTTTGCCTAGACAATCCACCCTCTTTTCCGGGATGCTGGACCTTGTACACGCAGCCCTGCTCTTATGGAATGGTTGTTGTGAATCCACCCTCATGTTCACACTTGTCTTTACGGGACCCAGCCCATTAGATGAGACCCATTGTGGAAGCAAACCTTAATTCACACACTCTTGTAGCCTCTGGACATTGAGTCACTGGTGTCTCCCTTGGGACACAACATCCCCAAGCCCCAAACTATTCATCCTAGCCTCCTGCTCCTTTCAACCAATCGGTGTCTGTGAGCCAGCCCTGTACCTGGGCTCACTTGAATGACAACATGATTTATTTTACTGTTTCTTTTTTTGATTGATAGATTGGTGGGATGTTTGTCCTGTTTTTAGTATACTGATTGCCTTAGGGATTCTAGAAGCCCATGGACAGGGGCTGTACTATTTATGTTTTTATTATAAAAGTAATACATGTTGGTAATAGAATTCTTGGGGAAAATAGAAAAGAGAAAAGAAAAAGAAAGAAAAACCATTCATCATTCTAAGATCCAGAGATAAGTCCTATTAATATTCGGGCTTATTTCCTTTCAGACTTGGTTTAACATAATTCACTTTATGTACCATATGCAATTTTCAATCCTCACTGTGCAGTAAATGACAAGCATTTCCCTGTATTTTATAAGTTTTTTAAAATATCACTTTAATAGCTGCATAAAATTCCATTTTACATAAAATATGTAACATATATAAATATATAAAATAATCTAGTTAAACAAGCCCTTTTATTGTACATGTTGGCTGTTTTCATTGTTTGCTAATAATATAAACAACATCTGTGTGTTTTAGATTCTTGGTGCAAATTGACAAGCTGATTTCACACACGATTTTACAATTTGCTCTCCTCTTTCTCCTCTGGTACAAGAGTTCTTTCCTCACACGGCATGTTCCCTAGCATTGCTGTCATTGTTATTTCAATGTTTACGAATTTAATTATGAAGAAAAAGGCAGATCATATTTGTTTGCATTTTATTTTTGAAGGCTAGTAAGCTTGAGGGGTGTTCAAATGTGTGATTTGACTTGATAAAGACAAAGGAGTAATACATTTTGTTTCATTGCACGATGGTCACACTTGTATTTCCATGAGATTGTGTCTCCTGCTGTACAGTGTCTTGAAATTTCAAAATAAACAAATAAATAAATAAATAAACAAAAACCTTACCATGTGAGTAAGGCAAAGATTAGTGTCATGCACACAGTGGTAGTATTACAGAGTTTTGCCAATTCTGCCCGCACTGAGAGCCAAGTTTGAATGGTTTCATATTAAATGGGAGAAAAAATAAATACGATACAAATGAAAATTGTACCTGAAGAAAAAAATAATTAGAATGTCTTGTTTTTTAAATGACTCTTCATTTTGTTGTTAATATCTGGTTTTAATTAGAAATTGTTACAATATGGAAGACTTGAATTTAAAGGTAAAGCTCTTGGATAACAGGCGGTTTAAGGGAAGGAAACTTCCGTTTCTTAGAGCACTAGGTAGAATTCTAATGATAAAAGAGGCTCTCACGCACAAAGACTGGATTCTCTCTTAGTTTTGAAAATGTTCAGACACAGAAATGCAACAGCACTCTCTATTCATAGAGTTCACATTCATTCATGAAGTCCAACATCTGACTAACTCCTTTTCTGCTGTAGTTGTCTCCTTTTCCTCCAAGGTCCAGATCAGAATCACTTTCCCTGAGCTTCCAAGAGAGAAAATAGAGAATATAAGAAGCCTAGTAAGTTAGTTAGGCTCAAATTAGAGAACTGAATTAGAGACTTGGACTTTACACCTCTTGAAAATGCCACATAATTCCATTTGTGAACTGATCCTAACTAACCTCACCTTATATGGGAAGACTCTACTCAAAACTTAACTCACTCTTAATCTTTTTCTTGTCATCTCCAAACTTGTCACAGGATGTTCACACTTTTATTTTATGACTGTTAATAACAGAAGTCATTTTATGTGTCTTCAATTTTACCCCATATAGGAGCAGTGGTATAACACAGGTGGCTTATACCAGCTCAGGAGAACTAGTTGTTAAATGGTCGGGAATTTTGTGAGCCGGCTGTTAAACACAGCCATTTAAAATTAGATAAACTTAAATTTAAATAAATTACATTAAATAAGAAAGGTAATAAATATTCCAAACTCATCACTTCCTAATTATTTACTATATTTTATTACTGTCTGTGCTCTTGAGGTTATTTACATCTATTGCATGACAGGAATTCTCTATAATTCATTGTGTGCGATTATACGTCTCCTTCCAACTTGCATCCAGTGATGTCACATTCGTAACTTGAAATTGGCCACAGCAGGAGTATTTACTCTGTGAAATTAGAAAATGCAATAAATCAGGGCTTCCCCTTCAAAGAGACAGCCACTGTTAAACATTTGCCAGCACACAACAGCATAGGAAGGTGTATTCATTAGTGGAACAGGTTGAGCTTCATAGCAAAAGCTTGGGTTTCAAAGTCAGAGAAATCTGACTGCATATTCTGGCTCTGTCAGTTAACAACCCTGGCTTTCAGCAAGTTATGTATCTCCTCTAAACTTCAATTTTCTAAACTATAAAATGGGAAGAATATTTGCCTCTCAAGATTATTTTGTTTTATTTTGAGACATCAACAATCTAATAGATGGCAGGTATTTTTCAAAGTGTAGTTAGTATCATGTCAAAAAGTTTCAATAAATTCTACTATTTTTATTACTATAATTATTGTGAATGTGACGTATAAAATATAACACTGAAAGTTTATCATATCAGATGGGGCAGAGGAAATATTTTCTCTTTTTATAATAGAAATAACTGTGATTGATCTGTGAACAATCCAATGATGAATAAAGAAAGAAGAAGGAAAGAGGGAGGGAGAGAGGAGATGGGTTTGAAGAAGGAGACAGGACCACACCATAGGAAATCCATATATCCCACTAAAATACGGAAACCAGATTCCCAGGCCAATTAGTAGCCATTGAATGTTTTCAAGCAAGAGATTGCCATATCAGAGTTATGTTTTAGATAGAATATCCTGGCATTGGCATGAAAATGAAATAGAGGCCAAAGCTAATGAGGGAAATTAGTGGGGAAGCAACCATACGGTCCAAGTTAGAGGTGACAGTGGTTTAAAATTAAGTTAGAACAGTGGAAAGGAAAGCCAGAGATAGTAAGAAAAGTAGTAAGGTGATGCCTGCCTATAGGAAGCCCTTGCCATCCTCCAGTCCTCCCTGCAGAGATAAAGAGCAGCTAGAGAAAATGCTTGAAATATTTCAATCTATCATAGCGTTTGAAAAAAATTCTTATCTTTTTCTCACTGCATCCTTTATTAAAATGATAATCATTGAGGAGCACTAAAAAGATAATAATATTAAGCACTTTTATGGAGCAAAACATTAAGCGAAAATAAAATGACAAATTGGAATATGTTATTTAGATCTCTCAAAAGCAGAGGGTTGACAAATCTTTTCTGTAAAAAGCCAGATAGCAAATATTTTAGCCTTGGAGAGCCATAGAGTATCTGTCACATCAACTCAATTTTGGGGTTACAGTGTGGAAGCAGAGATTGAGAATAGTTAAATGAATGAAAATGACTGTGCTGCAATGGAATGTGATTCATGGATTTCATATGATTTTCAGGTGTCAGAAAATTATTTTTTGATTGTTTAAAAAGAAAAAAAAACATTCTTAGTTAACAGCTTCCACAGAAACAGGCAGTGGACTGGATTTAGCCCTTGGATTTGCTGATCCCTGGATTGAAGCATGAGGGTCTTCTGTGTTACCACTGAAGAGTCCCACTCTGTGCAAAAGGTCACAGAGAACCATTAAAAGGAGTCTACACTTGAAAGATGCATGGGGCACCAGAAAGACTGAAGGGATTAAAGATATCTGGAGAAACACCTTAGATGGGACGAATGAACTGCCTCATTCTTGAGGTGAAAAACTAAATCTGAGAGGCAAAGTGAAATGAGCCTAGGAATTTTCTTTACCCAGAATTGCCTTTGGAGCATTCTGGGATTCACAGCTCTGTTATGTTACTTCTATCTATACCACTAAGGAATTTGATTTTGAGATAAATATAATTTGAAAAAATAATTTCAATTGGGAATTGAAATCCAAAGAGACAGAGAAAATATTTGCAGAATGTCCAGGCGGCTTAAATGAGCTCAATCTTCAGGCCCATGGATTATAGGCCAGGATGCTGGGAAACCACCTAGATGGATTTCAAAATTATAGTGTTAGTCTTTGAGAAAAAAAAAATGCTGTAGGATAAGGACTAGATCTGAGATGAGCAAATTTCACTCTGATTTTCCAAAAAAAAGTAAAGTATATATCTTAGAAATAACATGTTAGAAAATCTAATCATGGTCCGGAAGGAAATTCACATGCTGATGATTAAGTAGGAGGATTATGTGTCCAAAGGATAGAATTCAGTTCAGGACAGAAACCCAAGAGTAAAGCCACAGTAAGCTCATTTCCTTTACTGATATTGTTAGTAGGCGGGTGGTTCAGAAAAGCACCACAAATACATTATGATAGGATTTAGCAAGGCAGATGCAAGATCTCTTCTGACATCCTTTTAGCCTCAGTGGTAAAATGAGCATTTGATAAAAACGCCTATGTCATTCTCGATAGGAATGAGGGAATTGATTTTCTTAGTCGCTTATGTGAAACTGTATCCTCCTAGAGAAGAGAGGGAGAGAGGAAGGGAGAGGGGAGAGATTAGGAGGAAAAGAAAGGAACAAAGAGAGAAAGAAAGACAGAGAGAGAGGGGGCAGAAGAAGGAGAAAAATATTTTTGAAAACACAGGAGAACAAAAGAAAAAAATTTAAAAAGAAAACACGGGGGATTTTGACTGCAAAGATTTCTTTTCGATCAGTAAAGCCAATGGTCATAATGGTAGCTGCTAAAAGGCCCAAAATGTGAGTCTGTTTCTCCCACAAGAGATGGGGCCCTAAAGACATTTTTCCCCTGTGAATCCTGGGTGGGGAAGGAGTTTTGGACAGGAGAGGACTTTGGTTTCCCTTAGTCACATCACCCAAGAAGTCTATCTACTTTAGTTCCCAGCATAAAGCCTCCAATTGTCTATGATTAGAGCTTGATGGTTCTGGTGCTCTGGCGAGTGTCTGGAAAGGTAAGGAGGCCCCCAGTAGCATGCACTGATACTGCCAAAACCTGCTTGGTGACCACTCTGCCCTCCATCTCCAGCTCTTGGGCTATGCTAAAGATGCATACATTCTATATCTGAATCAAAACCTTGACTTATTGCCCTAAAGTTGTTTTTAGGGTTTTGCCATTAAAATTTAGGGGACTTTCCAGTTCTTCTGATTGATCTAATTCATTATCATTCAAATCCACTACCCTCATGTTGCCACCAGTTTTCTCAAATGCCATTCATTCATTCATAATTTACTCAACATGCGTTGAACATCTCTATCAGATATCAACACTGTGACAGGCACTGAGAACACAAAGGTGAACAAGACAAAATTTTTACATTTAAGGATCCTGCACTGCAATGACAAAAAGAGATCCATTATAAGAGATGCATTCATAAAAACTGAGGCAGGTAAAAGATATGAGAGGATGGTTGAGAGTAAGCAGAAAGTGAGGACCTTAACCTTATGGAATGAGGTGGGGGAGTTGGCAAAAGTCATGCAGATGAGAAATGCTGGCTTCATATATTCACTCATTCATTCTTTCAGCAGATATTTATTGAATACCTACTGCTATGGTCTGAATGTGTGTGTTCCCCCAAAATTCATAGGTTGAATGAACCCTAACAACCAATGTGATCGTATTGGAAGGTAAGGCCTTTGGGAAGTAAGCAAGTCATCAGGGAGAAGCCTTCATGAATGGGAATCCTTTTAAAAGAGGAGAGAGCTCTCTGATCCCTTCCACATTATGAGAACACAGTGAGAAGGCACCATCTGTGAACCAGAAAGGGGCCCTCACAAGACAGCAAATCTACCAGCACCCTGATCTAGGACTTCCCAGCTTCCAGAACTCTGAGCAACATATTTCTGTTGTTTTTAAGCCCCCTAGTATAAGATATTTTGTTACAGCAGCCCAGAAGAACCAAGATACCCATCAAGTGCCAAGTACAGTCTGGGATTTCTGGGAATATAGCCGTAAATAGCCTAGAGCCTGAATGAGTTCACTAAGTGAAGAAGAAAGACAGGGTTCAAAGGCATTGTTAGTGGCCATTATAAAGGCATGGAGGCAGACATTCATATGGTTCTTCAGAGTATTTCTCTTTTTTTTCTACCTTCTCATTTCTTTTCAAAACTTGTGAGTCCCTCTTCCTGTGTGGTGTTCCTCCACTGCTTAGGAAACAAGACAAACTTTTTTATTTGGTAACTTGCTAAGGTAGACTCTTTCCCAGATAACCATGTGCATAAGGCTTTCAAGAATTTCATAAATGAAATCAAGGGCATTTAAGGCAGCCCAGGAGGAGGCATAAATTTGTGTTAAGAGATCAATTGTGTGCTGACCACCAGTGTGCACTTCAGGCCTTCTTTCATTTAGGGGTAAGGTTACCTCTCCAGAGACCTGTGGGGACACTTCATAAAGAAAAGATACCTGAAAGCTCCAGGGATGTGTGGAGGCCACTTGTCTTTCCAGATGCTAGCAGAGCTGCTGGACCAGCTCAAGTGATCATGGGCAAATCTGGTCTACTTTTTCAGATACTCAGAAGCTATGGACTTGCTCACACTCAGAGGTGGTGGCTGCTGTTAGAAGTTTTCAGAACAGAAGAGGGAGCGATAGGATGGGAAGAGACAGTGTTAACAGCACAACAGATTGGCCAAGATTTTAAATTTTTCTCCAGCTTCATTTAAATGATGTAGACACCAAAGAGTGACTATGTTGGATTCTAATACATGTCTTTCACCTCCCCTGTCTAGAGCAAAGTCGTTTCCTCTTTCTTCAACCCCTTCTGACAATTTGTAGCTGGCATTGAGCATTTTGGATGTGGTTTTTTGATTTGGATGATGACAAGATATTTCTTGAAACTGATTTACTTTGTGCCAAATATGAAATTGAATTTGTGATGGTTGGAGCAGATGGAAAACCCATTTTTTAAAAAAATGCCAGAACAGCCTCATCCTAGGCCCAGGGGCTGTGAAATCGGGCCGCTTCTTTCAAATGGGAGTGGGATGGTGTCCTAGGGCTCTAACTCAGGGCAAAATAAAAGAAGAATTAGCAAAGTCATTGAGGGGTGTTCAACCTCCTTTAAGTTGGTGTCTGATTCTAAATTTCTCAGGGAAGTGTCTGTGTAGACAAGCTCAAGCAACATTATTTCCCTCAGATGGACTCCCCTCCTGCCTTCCTCCCAGGCCTCAATGTGTTCAGTGATTGCATTTCTCCCACACAGTCCTCCTCTCCTTTTCTCCTCTCTACTCCCACCCTCCATTTCTCTCTCTTCTGCTCCCTGCTTCTTCCTTGTCGTTCTCCTCCCTCCCACTCTTATCCTTGCCCACATTTCTCTCCCTTCCCTGCTTTCATTCTGCACCCCCGATCGCTTTGATGTGTTCTAATGGCTGGAACTCCCTTCAGGTTGGTTGTTCTGCTATTAACGAGGAACGAATGAATGATGATAATCAGAAGTGAAACAGAACGCTCTCCTTCCACTCCCCCTGTAAGCACTGGGCTCTAACTTTAGACAGTTTGTCAGCAGGGAAGAGGAGGAGTGAGAACAGAACTTGCAGGCTCTCTGGAGATTCTGGGTCTTAGCTGCTCAAGAGAGCCTCCTCTGGCTGGTCAGATTTAACAGCAGCCTGCTGGCCTCTGCTTCTCTCCCTCTTGCTTTGTTTTGGGTCAGGGGCCTGGAGACACTAGCAATGAAAGGTGAGAGTTACCATGATGCCAGGGCGCACCTTTTCTTGCAGCTTGGTACAGTTTCACAGCCCCTTTCTGTTCTCCTGGTGCAATCTTTTCTCTGCATCACCTCGGCCTGCTAAGGAGACTCCCTGCTTAATCTGGGAACGTAACATGGTCTTCTGTTCTTTTGGACAAAGGCCAAGTTCTTTGCCTTGGTTTATTGGGCCCCCCATCCTCTGTCATTTTTCTGCTCTGAGGTCATTCCCCTCATCTTCCCAGCTCACTACTCCCTTAGAATCTAGTTTTGATGACATTCTTATAAATCTATTCCTGGCCTTGGCATGCAGTTCTCTTTGGTGGGAGCATCCTTTCTACCCCTTTTATGAGTACACAAGCTTATTTGTCCTTTCACTTTAACCTTCAAGGTTAGCTCCTCTAGGAAGCCTTCCCTGATTACCCCTACTCACATACACCTACATCCTGCCCTCCACACGCATGCATTCTTCCCTGCTCACACGTAAATACATATTTCATCCATACCACCCACACCCCACCCCCAACACACACACACCCAGACTTACAGCCTCTACACATATGCCCAACCACACATATTAGACTGAAGTACATGTAATTGCCAACATTTGACTTTTTTCAACTACAGAAGAGTAATTTTATGACATATTATTAATTTATGTATTCTCCCACTTCTACGCATAAATGCACACCCACTTCCAAATGTACATTCTGTTTAGCTCAACATACCTCCTCTA
This sequence comes from Homo sapiens, assembly GCF_000001405.40. NCBI lineage: Eukaryota > Metazoa > Chordata > Mammalia > Primates > Hominidae > Homo > Homo sapiens. Next base: position 126,395,970 of record NC_000008.11, read on the forward strand.
CTTAGTGTTAGGTATAGAAATTGCACACCATTCACCTCTCCCTTACAGTCAGCATTTCTGGTGACACCACATTTCTAGCATTAAGCCAAACATTAATTTTCTCATCCTATACTTTGGAAAGATGCGCCTTGCTCTTCTGAACCCCAGGAAGCTTAGAAAGCTTAATGAAAGGACTCCTGCCATACAGTTCCCGTGGTATTTCAATAATCCCAGCTCACTGTATAGTATAATAAGGCTCTAAGTCAATTTTTAGAGGGTACTGCATGATAGCAGAGTGTTTATTACCAGCGCAGAAGATACAGTATGGTATAGGATAGAAGGAATACAATGCAGTTCTATAAATATTGAGAATTTACTATGTACCAGTGCTGTGCAATGAACTGGGTCCCCCTAAAATGTATGTGTTGGAGCCCTAAGCCCACAGTGTGACTGTATTTGAAGACAGGGCTTATTTGGAGGTAGTAAAGGTTAAGTGAGGTCATAAGGGTGAAGCCTCAATTTCCTAGGGCTGGTGTCCTTATAAGAAAAGGAGGAGGCCAGGTATGGTGGCTCACATCTGTAATCCTAGCACTTTGGGAGGCTGAGGTGAGGCGAGAGGATCTCTTGAAGTCAAGAGTTCAAGACCAACCTGGCCAACATGGTGGAACCCCGTCTCTACTAAAAATACAAAAATTAGTCTGGGCACAGTGGTTCAAGCCTATAATCCCAGCACTTTGGGAGGCCAAGGCAGGCAGATCACTTGAGGTCAGGAGTTGGAGACCAGCCTGGCCAACATGGTGACACCCCGTCTCTACTAAAAATACAAAAATTAGCTGGGCATGGTGGCGGGGGCCTGTAATCCCAGCTACTCAGGAGGCTGAGGCGGGAGAATTGCTTGAACCCAGGAGTCGGAAGTTGTAGTGAGCAGAGATCACGCCACTGCATTCCAGCCTGGGTGACAGAGAGAGACTCCCTCTCAAAAAAAAAAAAAAAAAAAAAAAAAGAGAGAGAGAGAGAGAAGGAAACACCAGATCTCTCTCTCTCTCTCTCTCTCTCTCTCTCTCTCTCTCCACCCACAGTGAAAAGAGGCCACGTGAGGACACAGAAAGAAGGCAGCCATCCACAAGCCAGAAAGAGGAGAGAAGCCTCACCAGAAACCAACCCTGATGGCACCTTGGTCATGGACTTTTAGCCTCTAGAACTGCGTGAGAATAAATGTCTGTGGTATAAGGCACTCAATCTGTGGCATTTTGCTAGGGCAGCCTGAATAGATGAATGCAGCCAGGCACACTGTTCTAAGCATGAGCAACAGGGCAGTGAGCAAACAGATGAGGTCTCTATGCTCACAGAGCTTACATGCTGGTAGCGGGAGAGACTCGTCCCCTGGATCCTTCCACCCAAAGGTAGTAGTGGCTTCTTGCTTTTTCTGGGTGTCAAACTTCTGGGTTCCTTCTCTCTCGTTTGATTTATCACACTCTTTCATTCCTATGTAACACATTCAATGTAGTAAATTTCCTTCTTCGAAAATACTTGAAGTGCTTTCTATTGCCTGGCTGGACCTAAGTAATAAAAGTCTATTTTCCACTGTGATTTCTGAGGATCACAGTATAATTCTGGTACCCATAAAACATGCAAATAATGCTTCATTCATTTTTCTTTTCTTTCTTTCTTTCTTTTTTTTTGAGATAGGGTCTCACTCTGTCACCTAGGCTGGAGCGAAGTGTTATAATCATGGCTCACTGTAGCCTCAAACTCCTGGGCTCAAGTGATTCTCCCATCTTAGCCTTCTGAGTAGCTAATTTTTGTAGAGACGGGATTTCAGCATGTTGCCCAGGCTGGTCTCAAACTCCTGGGCTCAAGAAATCCACATGCCTCAGCCTCTCAAAGTGCTGGGATTACAGGCGTCAGTCATTTATTCTTTTATTTATTTATTTGAGACAGAGTTTCGCTCTGTTACTCAGGCTGGAGTGTAATGGCGTGATCTCAGCTCACTGCAACCTCCGCCTGCTGGTTCAAGCGATTCTCCTGCCTCAGCCTCCCAAATAGCTGAGATTACAGACGTGCACCACCACGCCTGGCTAATTTTGTATTTTTAGTAGAGACGGGGTTTCGCCATGGTGGTCAGGCTGGTCTTGAACTCCTGACCTCAGGTGATCCACCTGCCTCTGCCTCACGAAGTGCTGGGATTACAGGCGTGAGCCACCACACCCAGCTCATTTATTCTTGTTAGCTTAATATTCACAACACTACTCTCCCTCCTTTCCCTCCCCAGGTGTTCAGTCCTACAACTTGTCTTCCTGAAACTCAACAACTCTTCTTCAAAGCTAATTAAAATAATGTCATTAAAACAAATTGAAAATATTGGATTGCTAACTGACGCCAATGCAAATGTCTCTGGCAAGGACTTTTAAACATATTACTATGCAAGTAATACAGTGATTTTTCAGAAGTCCCACTTATTTTCTGGTCTTTTCACTCTTGGTTTGTGTAAGCAATATGAGTATCTGTGCAGGCTGGTTTTATGTTCTTATCATTAGAGTTTCTTGGTTTTACATGTGGTGCTGACAGATGAAGTCCTCTGTGATTTATAAACGGGACTTCACTGCTTTTTTCTGGAACTATGAGTTTGATCAAAGCTGAGCTTGAGCTCAAGATAAACAAGAAAAAATATTGTTGGGTAGTCATTTTCAAACAGAAGTTGCCAGCAGGAGTCCCCTGGGCCTATTGCAATAAGTAGATTTTGTTTGGCATACACATACTTTTATTTTTTTAATTGGATATGTTACCAAAATATGAAAATTAGACACTTTACATATAAAACTCTCAACTTTTCTTGCCTATTAAAAGGTGGAAATATGTACACAGGCATTCCTTTTCCTACAAGGTGACAACATTTCTTCCTAATTTAGAATAAAGCATTTGGTCTCAAGATCACTGAAGTCACAATCATTTACTTCGGCTGTCTGGACCCTGCAGCCATTTGAGTTTTTGCCTCCTTTTATGGAATGTGACGTGAGGGAGAAATAAGTCTATATAGTGTTAAGCCACTGAGACTTTGGGATTTATTTGTTATTACTGCAGTGTAGCCATACTATCTGACTAATGCCTGCAGCTTTTCTGTTGTCACTGGTGCAAGCTAGATGGATAAAGGAACATACTCTTGAGGTACCTACCAGGTTGTATTAGTCATGGTGCTCTAGAGAAATAAAGCCAAGGCCGGGTGCAGTGGCTCACACTTGTAATCCCACACTTTGGGAGGTCGAGGTGGGTGGATCACTTGAGGTCAGGAGTTCGAGACCAGCCTGGCCAACATGGTGAAACCCTGTCTCTACTAAAAATAAATAAATAAATAAATAAATAAAATTAGCCAGGCATGGTGGCAAGTGCCTGTAGTCCCAGCCACTTGGGAGGCTGAGGCAGGAGAATTGCTTGAACCCAGGAGGTGGAGGTTGCAGTGAGCCAAGATCACGCCACTGCACTCCAGCCTGGGCAACAGAGCAAGATTCTGTCTCATAAAAAAAGGAGAGAGAGAAACAATACCAATAAGATACACACACACAGTTGATCTTTTAACAAGATGGGTTTGAGCTGTGCAGGTTCACTTATATGTGGATTTTTAAAAAATAAATATATGGCAAACATTTTTGGAGGCTTGCAACAATTTCAAAAAAAGTTGCCAAAACGTAGCCTAGAAATATCAAAAACTTAAGAAAAAATTAGGTCTCATGAATGCATAAAATATATGTAAATACTCATCTATTTTATCATTTACTACCATAAAATATGTACAAGTCTATTATAAAAAGCTAAAATTTGGCCCGGCGTGGTGGCTTACGTCAGTAATCTTAGCACTTTGGGAGGCGGAGGCAGGCGGATCACGAGGTCAGGAGATTGAGACCATCCTGGCTAACACGGTGAATCCCCGTCTCTACTAAAAATGCAAAAAATTAGCCAGGCATGGTGGCGGGCGCCTGTAGTCCCAGCTACTTGTGAGGCTGAGGCAGGAGAATGGCGTGAACCCAGGAGGCGGAGCTTGCAGTGAGCCGAGATCGCATCACTGCACTCCAGCCTGGGCGGCAGAGCGAGACTAGCCTCAAAAAAAAAAAAAAAAAAAAAAGCCGGGTGCGGTGGCTCACGCCTGTAATCCCAGCACTTTGGGAGGCTGAGGCGGGTGGATCACAAAGTCAGGAGATGGATACCATCCTGGCTAACACTATAAAACCCCATCTTTACTAAAAATACAAAAAATTAGCTGGCAGGAGAAAAGCATGAACCCAGAAGGCGGAGCTTGCAGTGAGCTGAGATCCCACCACTGCACTTCAGCCTGGGCAACAGAGCAAGACTCCCTCTAAGAAAAAAAAAAAAAAAACAGAAAAACTAAAATTTATCAAAGCTTATGCACATACAGACTGCACATGGTGCTATTCCCAGTCCAGAGAAATGGAAGTAAACCTAAGGATACAGTATTAAATTACAACTGCATAAAATTAACTGTGGCATACACCACACTACTGTAATAATTTTGTAGCCACATCCTGTTGCTATTGCATGTGCTCAAGTGTTGCGAGTATCCCCTTAAAACACTGTGTGATGCTAATCATCTCCGCATGAGCGGTTCCTTTCTCTAGTAAATTGCCTATCTCAGTAAAAGGTGATCTCTAGTGTTTCTCACGTATTTTTCATCGTGTTTACTGCAATAGCGTAAACCTTGAATAACACCATGGGACCCATACAAAGTGCCAGTAGCGATGCCGGAAGTGCTCCCAAGAAGCAGAGAAAAGTCCTGACATTACAAGAAAAGATTGAATTGCTTGATATGTACCATAAATTGAGGTCCGCAGCTGCAGTTGCTGCCACCGCAGACAATTCATTCATCTTGTAAACAGACAATATAAACTGAGGGTATCGATAAATACAATATGGTACTATAAAGGTATTTTCTCTGCCTTATAATCTTCTTAATAACATTTTCCTTTCTTTAGCTTACTTAAGAATACAGTATATAACATATATATTAATCACAAAATATGCATTAATCAACTTTTTGTGATAAGGCTTTCAGTCAGCAGAAGGCTACTAGTGGTTAAATTGGGAGAAAATCAAAAGTTATACATGAATTTTTGGCCAGGCGCGGTGGCTCACACCTATAATCCCAGCACTTTGGGAGGGTGAGGTGGGCAGATCACTTGAGGTCAGGAGATCGAGACCAGCCTGGCCAACATGGTGAAACCCCATCTCTACTAAAAATACAAAAATCAGCTGGGTATGGTGGTGCACACCTGTAGTGCTAGCTACTCGGGAGGCTGAGGCAGGAGAATTGCTTGAACCTGGGAGGTGTATGTTGCAGTGAGCCGAGATTATGCTACGGCACTCTAGCCTGAGAGACAGAGCGAGACTATGTCTTAAAAAAAAAAAAAAAAAAAAGAAAGTTATACATGGATTTTTGACTTCATTGGAGGTGCCCCTAACCTTTGGTTTGTTTCAAAAGTCAACCGTGTGTGTGTGTGTGTGTGTGTGTGTGTGTGTGTGTAGATACACGTGAGGGAGAGAATTTTAAAGAACCGGCTTACACAAATGTGGAGGCTGGCAAGTCTAAAATCTAATGTGTAGGGCAGGCCAGCGGCATGGAGATTCACCTAAGAGTTGATATTGCAGTCTTGAGTCTGCAGTCTGGGAACCCAGGCAGAATTTCTGTGTTGCAGTCTAGAAGCAGAATTCCGTCTTCTTTGGGAAATCTTAGTCTTCGATCTTAAAGCCTTCAAATGACTGCATGAGTCCAATTACAGAAAGTAACCTGCTTACAGTCATCCCCGCTTAACCACAGTTTCACTTTCTGTGGTTTCAGTTACCTGTGGTCAACCATGGTCTAAAGACATTGAATGAAAATGTCTAGAAATAAACAGTTCATAAGTTGTACATTGTGCGCCATTCTGAGTAGCGTGATGAAATGTTGAGCCATCCTGCTCTGTCCTGGGAGGTGAATTGTCTTTTGTCCAGAATGTCCATGTTGTATACGCTACCTGCCTGACAGTTCCAGAGTAGCCAGCTCGGTTATCAGATCAGTTGTCACGGCATTGCAGCGCTCGTGTTCAAGTCATCCTTATTTTACTTTATAATGTCTCCAAAGCACAAGGGTAGTGATGCCGACAATTCAGACATGCCAAAGGGAAGCCAGAAAATGCTTTCCTTAAGTGAAAAGGTGAAAGTTCTAGACTTAGTAAGAAAACAAATTGTATGCTGATGTTGCTAAGATCTATGATAAGAATAAATCTTCTATCTATGAAATTATAAAGAAGGAAAAAGGGCCCGGCGCGGTGGCTCATGCCTGTAATCCCAGCACTTTGGGAGGCCGAGGTGGGGAGATCACGAGGTCAGGAGATAGAGAGGATCCTGGTGAACACGTTGAAACCTCATCTCTACCAAAAATAGAAAAAAATTAGCTGGGCAAAAAAAAGAAAAAAAAAAAAAAGAAGGAAAAAGAAATGTAGCCAGTTTTGCTGTTGTACCTCTCACTGCAAAAGTTAAGGCCACAGTGTGTGGTAGCTGCTTAATTAAGATGGAAAAGGCGTTAAATTTGTGAGTAGGATAATAAGTTTTTTTAGACAGAGAGAGAGACCACATTCACATAACTTTTATTATAGTATATTGTTTATTATTTATTATTATTGTTAATCTATTACTGTGCCTAAGTTATAAATCAAACATTATCTTAGGTATCCATGTATAGGGGAAAACACAGTACATATAAGATTTGGCGCTATCCAAGGTTTCAGGCATCCACTGAGGGTCTTCAAATGTATCCCCTATGGATAAAGAGGTCTAGTGTACCCAAAAATCTACTGACTATAAATGTTAATTGCGTCTAAAAAATAACTTCATCACGGAGACATCTAGATTAGTGTTTGAACAAACGACTGAGCATCATAGCCTAGTCACATTGACACATACAATTAACCATCACACAGGTTATAAACAAAGTCTTTGTCCTGTACATCTTCCTGATCCATCAACTTTTTCTCTTTGGTTAGAAATTTAAAACATTCTCTATGTTAAAAGAAATAGATATAATATGCAGAGGGATAGAAATAATTGCTCTTGGATTTGTAATACAAGACATGAAAACATTAAAGAAATCTTCAAAACATGTCTCCACTACTTAGTCCTTCGCCAGCCACCATCAGAGTGCGTAGGTGGGTATGTCTGCTACATTCATCTATGCGGTCCGGGTCTGGCTTCCATTGCCAGCATCAGCACAAAACCCCTTCTAACCTCTAGACAAGCCTGAAGCTCCTGCTACTTATCCTGTTGTAGCTCTTCCCCAAGCACAGACACATTTTGCCATGGACCAAGAAGAAATGAAGGTCAAGGATGCGATGAGGTTGTAGTAGTGGGAGGTGGGGAAAACGGAAAGAGGATCAAGCAGAGATTCAGTGCAGGAAGTAAAGGGCTCTAGGCACAACTCAGACTGGGGCAACTGCTCCCTTCTATTCAGAAATCTCACGCTGGGATTTTTCCTCTCTCCATGCTCGTCTCTCAACTAAGAGAAGACATGGTTTGCTTGGAAGACAGCCAAGTACAGTAATTAATGGTATAGATTTAAGCAGACAGGCCTGGATTTGGGTCCCAAACTAAGCCACTCACTACCTAGCTGACTTTTAAGGTACAATTTAACCCTCTCCGGGCCTCACTTTTTTTATTTGTTAAACAGGGATTGAAAGTAATATTTCCTTAACACACACACAAACACACACACGAAGAGACACAAGGATATTAGTAAAAGTGATGGATATATCTATGTCTAGTATCTTAATTGTGATGATGGTTTCATGGGTGTGTGCATATGTCTACACTCATCAAATTGTTTGCATTAAATACGTGCAGTTTGACTGGGCACGGTGGCTCACGCCTGTAATCACAGCACTTTGGGAGGCTGAGGCGGGTGGATCACCTGAGGTCAGGAGTTCGAGACCAGCCTGTCCAACATGGTGAAACCCCATCTCTACTAAAAATACAAAATTAGCCGGGTGTGGTGGTGGGCGCCTGTAATCCCAGCTGCTCAGGAGGCTGAGGCAGTAGAACCGCTTGAACCCAGGAGGCAGAAGTTGCAGTGAGCTGAGATCTTGCCACTGCACTCCAGCCTGGGCAACAACGGAAAAACTTCATCTCAAAAACAAACAAACAAAAAAAAGTGCAGTTTGTCGTATATTAATCATCCCTCAACAAACAAAGCTTTTTTTAAATAGTATTTTTTAAAGTTATGATGAGGACTCAAAGATATTACGCCAGAAAATGCAGATAAATTATAGTTATTACCACTTTTTTGTTTGTTCTAATAATGTTCCAAGTACTTTAGTTTGTTTTTCCTTCATTTGTTCTAACACTGTTCCATGTACTTTCTGTACATTTATTCAATCAATTCTTTTTTTTTTTTATTTGAGATGGAGTTTCACTCTTGTTGCTCAAGCTGGAGTGCAGTGACACAATCTCAACTCACTGCAACCTTCACCTCCCAGGTTTGAGAAATTCTCCTGCCTCAGCCTCCTGAGTAGCTGGGATTACAGGCATGCGCCACCACACCCAGCTAATTTTGTATTTTTAGTAGAGACGGGATTTCTCCATGTTGGTCAGGCTGGTCTCAAACGTGCGACCTCAGGTGATCTGCCAGCCTCGGCCTCCCAGCGTGCTGGGATTACAGGCGTGAGCCTCCACACCTGGCCTCAATCAATTCTTACAACAACCCTGAGCTAAGAACTTGGTATTGCTCCTTGTCTATTTAGAGCCTGTGTAGGGATCAGCAAAAGGCTCCCTTTCTTCAAGCCACTTTACTTCCATCTATTGGAAAACTGTCATAATAAACTATTCTTATTAGAACAAGATACAATATTGGCATCTGCTAGGAAGCTTTGGTAACAAAGATCCACCTCTCTCATGATGGGAACGGCAACCCCTTACATCTGGTGCCATTGTGCTATACATGGCTGTAGACATTATCGTTATTTCTATTTTACAGTTCAGGTGACTTCAGTTCATAGAGGTTAAGTCACTCAGCTGAGATTATACCAGGAGTCATCACTGTGCTTTGAGCCAAGGCAAACAGCACAGGGCCAGGTAGAAAGTAGGGTTTCATTAAACATTAATTCCTGTTTTTGTCCTTGTTAGAACTAACTCAAAAAGGCAAAGTGGAGTTTCTTACAGGTTTTTGCCTTAAAAGGAAAGTTATTCAAATGGCAGTGTAATGGATAAATTAGAAAAGATAATTGCATTACCTGTATGAATTGGTATGGCATTATTAGTTGGTTTGTGCAGCATAGTTTTGATTTGTATGTTATAATGCAGCCTTTGTGTGTGTATTAAAGTTTTGCTAATTATTAAATGCCTTGCGTCTGTGACACACTTTATCCTCTTCAAAGGGTCTCTCCATTTACTCCTGACAATAGCCCTGGATTGGAAAGGACACATGTTATCATTCAGATTTCACAGACGTAAAAAGGAGGACTGTCTGTCCAGCATGGTTCCCTATTCATGTGGTAAAGGGCTAGGCAGATGAATGTTAAATCTTTTATTCAGGAAGAACAATTAATTTCTGAAGAAATCGACTGGGGTCCAGGCCACAGGCCACCCATTAAATCCTCTCTTTAACTCATTGGACAAAACCCCTGAGGATACAAAGCTAAGAAGCAGCACCTAACCCAGAGAGCTCACATGGACTGGCTGGTGAGACAATGCTACCCTGAGCAGAGTGCTGAAATAGAGATGCACTCAAGTACACCAAGAAGCAGAGGGTCCAATTTCCAGCCCTGCTACTTACTAAGGCTGCAGTCTTGGGTGAGCTACTCAACTTTCCATTGCTTCAGTTGGTTTATTTCTAAATGAAAAACACAGTAACACGCCAAAGGGTTATTGTAAAGATTAAATGAGTTTATATATAAAAGCATTTAGATTAGCATGTGACATATAGCCCAGTACAAGGGATGTACTGTGTGAGTGTGTGTGTGTGTGTCTGTACAAACACACATATATCCTCCCCTCCCCTCCCCTGCCCTCCCCTCCCCTCCCTCCTTCCTTCCCTTCCTTCCTTCCTTCCTTCCTTCCTTCCTTCCTTCCTTCCTTCCTTCCTTCCTTCCTTTCTTCCTTCCGTAGAAGTGATCAGTTCTTTGTGATCTGTTAGGAAACAGAGAAGACATCAGGGGGAAGTAATTGCCCTCACTCTTCCTCAAAAGATTTCAGGAAAATAGTCCTTGACAGAAGGAACCAGAACACACAGTATGATTAACTTTTTTGAAGTATCAGGCAAATCTCCAGAAGGGAATGAGAACTTGCCAAAGTTACTGACAACCCTATGTTTTGGAAATACTAATTTTAGGGACATTCCTTTAAAACATGAAACACATTTTCCTTTTATTTTAGACAGAGAATGTGAAGCCTACTTAGCCTTTTCTTGATGACTCAGGGTCAGTCTTTTGTTTTTATTAATCTCACCTAAGAGCCACTCCTGAGGGGCTGCCTAAATCTACATGAGTAGCCTACTGAGGAGTCTGAGAGGGGCAGTTCCTCCATGACAAATGAAATGATGTGGCCTCTTACACCATCTCCAGGTTCTCATTCCAACAGCAAAGGAAACCTGCAGTGTCTCCTTGAACCTATTCCCACCACTGTCCTCGTTTGACTCTTTCCGTCCCTTGTGGACTTTGGTTCTTTGTCAGTTTCTATTTCTATTTCTTTTTGAGTCTTAGCAAAAGGACTTGGACCTTTTAGAAGAATGGGCCCTGTGCAAAACCAAAACACTGAAGAAGCTTGGAAGGGAAAAATAGATTAAATCATTGTGTCTCCTAGAGTGTGCCAATAAAAAATAAAGACTCATTTCTATTGAGTAGTTCTCACATTGTGTTAAACTGTTCTGAGGGTTATGAGCAACATAAGAAGTAAAAGCAATGGTCAACCTTTTTCTCTGTTGCTTGAGAGTTTGCAAAGCAGCCTAACTTCCAGGATCTTTAAACAGGAGCTCTCTAAATATCAACAGGTCTGCAAATGTTTAGAGCAAGTTAGGTGGAAATGCTAGGACTCAACCCTTCTGAGTTTAAATTTTGTTCCTTTTTATTTTTTCTATTATATCATCTCACCTGTCTGAAGCAGAGAAGTTTATAATCCACTTTGTGTATGGAGAACCTGTATCCACAAAAAGTTTAATAACACACCCCATTATTAAGATGCTTGATGGGGCTTTCTAGAGCCCTGCAGGAATGCAGAGGAAGGGGATCCTCTGAGCTAGACCGTGAAAGGCACCTTTTTATTTTATTTATTTTTAATTTTCATTTTTTCCGAGACAGAATCTCTCTCTGCCGCCCAGGTTGGAGTGCAGTGTTGCAATCTTGGCTCACTGCAGCCTCTGCCTCCTGGGTTCAAGCGATTCTCCTGCCCTAGCCTCCCGAATAGCTGGGATTACAGGTGTGCACCACCATGCCGGGCTAATTTTTGTATTTTTAGTAGAGACGGGGTTTCTCCATTTTGGCCAGGCTGGTCTCGAACTCCTGGCCTCAAATAATCCACCCAAGAGGCACCTTTTTAAATGAGGCAGGGTTCGGGAGAAGGATTAAATGTGGAAATCCCATGAGCAAGGGAGTGAAAGCAGAAATAAGTCATTGCCTCTCTTTCTTTCTTCCTTCTTTTCCAAGTGCCTCTCTTTTTCTTTCTTCATGTCCTTCTGTACTTCCTTCTACCCCCAGTAGAAATCGTGACCAATGCTGGGTTTTTGTTTCATTTTGTTTTTTCACAGCCTCTAAGAATAAAGTAAAGAGAGAGAGACAGAGAGAGAGATTGGTCAGGGCAAAGGGAGTAACCAAAGAGAGAACTATGTAACATTTTCCCTTTTAGTCCCAACCTACCTGTAGGTTGAATCATATGAAATTGAAAGTATTTGTTTTTTTTTTAATTTCCTTTAAATACATCAACTTCATGTACTTCAACTTAAATATATGAGGATGTTAATAAAAATATTTCTGGATAAAGCCCAGTAAAATATGGGAGTAGTCTTTATCAAATCAGTGTGGGATTGGATGCCAACTCTCGGATGGCCCCATGACACCAGCTACAAGAACCCTCATCCTACTGCCTCTCCTGGGTACCACTGTCTTATTCACGGTCCTTTTATAGGCATCTTTAAAACAGAGCCACCCTGGGAGGTGGGAGGGCTTGTTATCGCCACTTGACTGCCATGAAACCAAGAGTTCATCTGAAAAAGCACAGACCTTGGTTTGAATCCAGAACTTTCCAATTCCTGGCCATGTAATCTTAGGCAAGGTATTTGCCTTATCTTGGCCTCAGTTTCACATGTAATGAATGGGATGACATGTATCATATCACAATCATGCATCACTACATGAGAACATGCATGCAAAGCACTTTATCACAGTTCCCAGACCAGAGTGAGAAATAAATGGGAGCTGTTTTGAAATACATTATTACTAATAATAACCCATGGTGTAGGGGAGAGAAGATTTTCCCTCTACCTTTGAGGGTTTGATAGTTGCATCTTTGAAATACACTGTCAATAGGCAGATTAACTGGAGAAAAAGTATACAGAATTATCACACGCACAGGGATCATAGGAAAGAAAAGGGAACACTCAAAACCCAGTAAGATTTAGGAGCTTATTGGCTTTCTTCATAAGGGAGAAGGGAACGGGGCTGTAGGCAATTTAGGACAGAGTAAACGATTTGGGGGAAAGATGAATGGGCCCTTAGGAGAACAGATGATAGTTTGTGACAAAACTTAGGGGTGGGGTGTCGACTTCCAGGCCCCTGTCCTGTGATATGCGTTAATCCTCCCGGGTTGATGAAACTCCAGGGAGGGAATGATGAGAGTTGAGCTGTTTTTGGAGGATCTGTCTTTAGGCAGTTAAAGAGGATTCAGAGAAAACCTCTCCCTACATTTGCTGTTTTTTAAGTACCCTTGGCTTGAAGTAATCAATATACCAAAGAAGCATATTTTGGGGTGACATTTCCTGAACTTCAGTAGGGAGGCCTGAATGAACGTAACAATTCAGAAATTGGGTCTTCATATGCTCACTTTGCCAGATTTGGAAGCAATACAGGGAGAAGAGGATTGCTGCTTGTGTATCTGTAGACAGGTGGTTAAATGCCTGTGAAGTGCTTCATCTGGCTGAGACACCAGGGAGGCAGGCTGCATGGCCCCTCTCCAGGTGACAGCTGTCCATCTGTCAGGTGCACAGCCCATCTGGCTGCTGGAGAGTGATGTAGGAACATGACAATGGCAGGAGAGGCTTGTGAAATATAAAAAAGGCTACAATAGTTCTGCCAGTGAACGGGCCACAGTGGTTATCAAACTTCTATGCATCCAAACCATCCAAGAGGTACTAAATAGAGCTTTGCTTGCTTGCATTCTGTTTTGTTTTGTTTTATTTTGAAGACTGAGTCTCACTCTGTCCCCCAGGCTGGAGTGCAGTGGTGCCATTTTGGTTCACTGCAATCTCCACCTCCCAGGTTCAAGTGATTCTCCTGCCTCAGCCTCCTGAGTAGCTGGGACTATAGGCGTATGCCACCACGCCCATCTAATTTTTGTATTTTTTAGTAGAGATGGGGTTTCACCATGTTGGCCAGGCTGGTTTTGAACTCCTGGCTCAAGTGAGCCGCCCTCCTTCCAAAGTGCTGGGATTACAGGCGTGAGCCACCATGCCCAGCGTGCTTGCTAGCATTCCACAAGAGCAGCTTGATTTTCCTGGTCAAAGGCTCCACGTGCGATTTAAGAGGGCAGATTGTCCTATCCCCTCAGAAATGGGAGATTTATTCTTGTATTCTCATTTATGGGGTATGGAAGTGTAAAAAACACACCTAATGTGTGTCAGTAACTGTGCTCTGAAAATGCAAAGGTAAGTAAGACGTCCATCAAGGAGCTTGAACCTGAGTGGAGAAGATCAAGAAACAGACTCAGTTTTAATACAGAGTGAAGGGGCAGACGCAAAATCTGTGGGGCCTAAAGCTTATACTATTTACTGAGGGTCTCTTAGAAATCATAACAACAAAATAAAATAACAAAATTAGGTATTAAAGTGCATGAGTAAATATTTGTTTAGAATGAGAAAATAAATCACAACAGATTCCTGGAAACTTTTGCAATGCAGATCTCTTTCTTCTGGGTTTTCTTTGGGCAATTTACCGGAAAAAAAAAAAATGTACATATAAAGTCTTGTTTATTGCTCTCTGCCTTCTCTTCCCCACTTAGAACACTCCCTCAATGATGCCTGCCACTCAAAGAGGCCCCTGTCGGGAGAGGCCCTGAGGCTTAGGCATTATTAGCCTCAAGGCCAATTCACTTCTGAGAGTGAGAGTTTCGTGTGTGTGTGTGTGTGTGTGTGTGTGTGTGTGTGTGTGTGTGTGTGTGTGTGTATTGTAGGTAAATGCAGTGTGTATTGTAGGTAAATGCAGGATGAAGCCTTCCTGGAGGAGACCAGTGAGCTGAGCTTGGAGAGATGTGAGCAATTAGCTCGGGGGATGGGGAGGGAATGAAGCTTCCAGACAAAGTCAGCAACCTATGCAAGGGGGAGGGTTGGCAAGTGGATTTGGGGATCACTGTGCTACTGCGTGTTGGTTGCTATGATCAAAAATGTGTTTGTAGGTAAAAGGGTGTTTAGAGCAAAATTTCCCATTGACTTGTAAAATTTGGACCCTGGAGCATGGAAAAGTGGGCCATAAGCATTAGAAGCAAAATGCAGCCCACCTTATTCACACGTTCCAGACCTCTAAGGTCAAAGTGCTTCCTTTTTTATTACCCAGAGCTGTTCTTCTGGGAATGTTAAGTCCCCTCCTTTCCCATATTTGGGAATGAATGCAGAGAAGGCTCCTCTCATCAGGAGTGCTTACCAGCCTGCCTCACTCCCTCTCCTCTTTGCTGCCTTCGAGTTGTGTTACTGACATTTTTGAAAGGGCAATATCTCCCTTCCTCCCTGGGCCCTGTTATTTAAAAAGAGGTATTTTAAAACATTTTCTAGCCAAACCAGCGAACTATCATGATCTGTCCTGAACACTGTCAATGCTCATTAAATATATGTTGGCGTTCGTTGCTGAGTCCTGAGTTCCAGTCCCTATTCTGTGGTTTAATCACTGGAAGGCTTTGGGCAAGTAACTTAGTTTTCTTAGCCTTAGTTTCCTTATGTCAGGAGGCTAAATGCGATATGAGTGTAAGTTGTTTATCACAGTGCCCAACACGAAGGAAGCCTTCCATTGATGGAAGCTGTAAGACAACCATTCATTCTTTCATCAGATTTGCTGAAACCTATGGGTGTGAAGATGAAGATGACAAACCCTGCTTGGGAGAAGCTCATGGTTCCATGTGAGATACCAGAACATAAATGAATGAGGACACTCTGTTGCAATGGAGCTTGGATAGAGCAGGACCAATATTCTCTGGAATAACTCCTCTTTGCACCTAAGTAGGCAATGGTTAGAGCTCCGTGCAGCAAAGGGAGTAGACATTTGCCAGGTAAATGTGTTGAAAAAGGGCGACCCTGGCAGAAAGCAAAGCATGCCCACGTTTGTGGAGGCCGAACCTATAATTATCTGATTCTGGGAGTGCAGGCAGGAGGGAGAAAATGAGATAAACAGGGGAACAGAGGACTGATGCAAAGGTTTTATATATGGGGCTAAGGAATTCAAAGTTTGCTTTATAGGACTCAAGAAGACAACACATAAATTTTAGCAGAGGAATTATTCATACAGGGTTGTGTCTTACCAAGATTGTCTTTGCTGTGCTGTGGTAGATAGGCTGATGTGTGTGTGTATGGGGGATAGAGGGAAGACCAGGTAGAAAGGCAGCTTCACTGGTGTTTCCCCAACTCTGACTTCACAGACATGCTATACAATTTACAATCAATTTATTGTTATTCATTTATAAATTCTGTATTCACTCCAGAGGTGAACAGTTAAGAAGAAACCCTAGATTTAGAAAACTATATATTTCTTTCTTTGTCATCATTTTTGGTGTGTGCTCCATCCTGAACCTTAAATCACACTCCGTGTCCTGCACATTAGCCTGGGGGCTAGCACATAAAATCCACAGACAGCAACCCCAGCTCTGAGCAATTGTCCATCTGTTTGCTCTCTCTCTTAATAATAGCAGCTGCCACTTACTCATCCAACAAATGTAAGCAGAATGCCTGCCACGTATCTGGCCCTGAATTACAAGGTAGAAATAAAAAACTGAGTAATGTAACCAGATTATCTGCCTTTGAAAAATGTGTACACTGATAGAGAACTTTTTATAGACTAGATGCATTTTTCCCCATGTGCTTCTCCCAACAATAATATCAGATGCAGATATCATTATCCCCACTTCAGAAATTAGAAAATAGTATAAGGAGGCTAGGTAACTTGTCCAAAGCATATGAATAGAATTTCTTTCTTGTTCTTAACTATTAGTCCTTTATTCTTAATCATTACCTTGCTAGAAGGGCGCCATGGTTTGAATGTGGTTTCCCCACTAAAACTCATGTTGAAATTAGAAGCCTCATGTTATGGTGTTGAGAGGTGGGGCCTAGTGGGAGGTGTTTGCATCATGAGTGTGGGTCCCTCCTTAATGCCATTCCGCAGTGGCAAGTGAGTTCTTGCTTTCTCAGGAATGGATTAGTTCTGCAAGACTGCAGAACATATTGAAGGAGTCCTCCTTCTTTTATTCTTTTGTTTTTCTAACTTTCTATCTTGCCACGTAGTCTCTTGGCACACACCTGCCCCCCTTCCACTTTTTGCCATGAGTGGAAGCAGTGTGAGGGAGGCCTTCAGCAGATGCAGCTGCCTAACCTTGAACTTTCCAACCACCAGAATCATAAGCTAAATAAAGCTCTTATCTTTATAAATTACTCAGCCTCACAAGTTCTGTTACAGCAACACAAAATGGACTAAGAGAGAGGGGAACTTATTTCCCACTCCTGAGGTCCCCTTTTATGAGGAGGAAACTCCACCAGCAAAATGCAACTGTCCCCTCTGCTCTCTCCAGATGAGAAGTGACTTGAGGAAGCAGCAATTTGGAAGGAGACACTCTCCCTATCTTACCCCTTACTCTCACCTCCTCTTGGACTTGACCAATCTCAAAGCATACCCTCTGCCATCTTCCTCTATGCCCCACCTGCCATCAAAAAATTTCATCACTGAATGTTTATGTAACTCATCCATAGTCACATGTAGACTTGGGGCAGGGAGTTTTACCTGAGTCTGCATCCTTGACCACTGCATTAGTTTTCTAGGGCTGCCGTAACAAACTATCACAGTCTGAGTAGTTTAAAAACAGAAATGTGTTTCCTCACAGTTCTGGAGGCTACAAGTCTGAGATCAAGGTGTTCACAGAGTTGGTTTCTTCTAAGGCCTCTCTCTTTTTTTTTTTTGAGACAGAGTCTCGCTCTGTCGCCCAGGCTGGAGTGCAGTGGTGCCATCTCAGCTCACTGCAAGCTCTGCCTCCTGGGTTCATGCCATTCTCCTGCCTCAGCCTCCCGAGTAGTTGGGACTACAGGCTCCCGCCACCACACCCAGCTAATTTTTTATATTTTTAGTATAGATGCGGTTTCACTTTGTTAGCCAGAATGGTCTCAATCTCCTGACCTCATGATCCCCCTGCTTTGGCCTCCCAAAGTACTGGGATTACAGGTGTGAGCCACTGCGCCCAGCCACCTCCTCTTCTTATAAGAGCACCAGTAACTCTATTAGGGCCCACTCCAATGATCTCATTTAACCTTAACTGTTACCGGGGGGTCCTTGCTCCCAGAGCTCCCAAGATGGTGGTGGACTGCTTCCAAGACGGCCGCAAGCCTCTTTTTCCCTGACCTGGGGTTCTTGGCCTCACGGATTCTAAGGAATGGAATCTTGGGCCATGCGATGAGTGTTATACCTCTATTAGAAGCCGTGGATCATGGAAGAGAACCGTGGAACCCAGTGACTAGTGTTCAGCTCGATTAGGATGAACCTGGGCACTTAGCCCTACCGGATCTGGAGGGGTGGAAGTCAGTGGTGGGTCTGCGATGGTGGCAAACAGCAGTGGTGGACAGTGAGTGAAAGTTCAGCTTGAGCCATAACAAGTCATAACAAACATGGACCAGAAGAGTGTGCAGTTGCAAGATTTAACAGAGTGAAAACAGAGCTCCCATACAAAGGGATTCTTAGTCGGCTTAGGAAATCCAGCTAGTCCTGTCTCTCATAATGATTTCTTTCTTTCTTTTTCTTTTTCTCTTTCTTTCTTTTCTTTCTTTCTCTCTTTCTTTCTCTTTCTCTCTTTCCTTCTTTTTTCTTTCTTTTTCTTTCTTTCTTTCTTTCTCCTTCCTTCCTTCCTTTTCTTTCTTTTCTTTCTTTCTTTCCTTCCTTCCTTCCTTCTTTCCCTTTCTTTCTTTCTTTCTTCCTTTCTTTCTTTCTTTCTTTCTTTCTTTCTTTCTTCCTTCCTTTTCTTTCTTTTCTTTCTTTCTTTCCTTCCTTCCTTCCTTCTTTCCCTTTCTTTCTTCCTTTCTTCCTTTCTTTCTTTCTTTCTTTCTTTCTTTCTTTCCTTTCTTTCTTTCTTTCTTTCTTTCTTTCTTTCTTTCTTTCTTTCTTTCTTTCTTTCTTTCTTTCTTTCTTTCTTTCTTTCTTTCTTTTTCTGAAACAGGCTATCACTCTGTCACCAGGGCTGGAGTGCAATGGTACAAACATGGCTCACTGCTGCCTCAGTCTCCTGGGCTCAAGTGATCCTCCAGCCTCAGCAAGTCCTTCCCATGTAGCTGGGACCACAGGCATGTGCCACCCTGCCTAGCTAATTTTTTTGACTTTTTGTATAGACTCGATCTCACTTTGTTGCCCAGGCTGGTCTTGAACTCCTGGGCTTAATCAATCCTCCAACTCAACCTCCCTAAGTGCTGGGATTCCTGGCATGAGCCACCAAGCCTGGCCCTTAATAACCTCTTTAAAAAGTCTGTCCCCAAAAACAGTCAGTCACATTCTGAGGTACTGGGGATTTGGACTCTAACAGATTAATTTGGGTGGGAGACCCAATTCAGTCTATAGCAACCACTCCACTAGACTGTCTCTTTAGTGGCCAGAAGACAATGGGTACAAAAGCAACAGAATGTAAGGGGAAACATTCTCAGGAAGGTATAAATAAATGCCTTCCTGAGATATTAATTTATAATAAATAAACTGCAACCTGAGGTTGGTGCAAACATAACTGCAACACATCTTTATTAATCAAAATAGCAACCATTACAATTACAATCAACATATTTTTGCCAATGAGAAATAAGTTTGCTTATTCCTGTAGCATAAAAATCCATGCTTAGGGTTTTAATGAACTCTTGAAAAGCATTTTCTGCGTCCTGTTGGTTGTGAAGCGTTTTCCCTGCAAAAAGTTGTCAAGATGCTTGAAGAACTGGTAGTCAGTTGGCAAGAGGTCAGGTGAACATGGAAGATGAGGCAAAACATCATAACCCAATTTGTTCAACTTTTTTTTTTTGAGAGAGAGAGTCTCACTCTGTCTCCCAGGCTGGAGTGCAGTGGTGTGATTTCAGCTCACTGTGACCTCTGCCTCCCAGATTCAAGAGATTCTCCAGCCTCAGCCTCCCAAGTAGCTGGGATTATAGGTGCCTGCCACCATGCCCGGCTAATTTTTATATTTTCACCATATTGGCCAGGCTGGTCTCGAACTCTTGACCTTAAGTGATCCACCCACCCTGGCCTCCCAAAATGCTGGGATTACAGGTGCATGAGCCACCGCACCCTAATTTGTTCAGCTTTTGAAGCATTGGCTGTGTGACGTGCAGTTGGGTGTTGTCGTGGAGAATTGGGCCCTTTCTGTTGATCAATGGCAGCTGCAGCCATTGTAGTTTTCAGTGTAGCTCATCAATTTGCTGAGCATACTTCTCAGATGTAATGGTTTCGGCGGGATTCGGAAAGCTGTAGTGGATCAGACCAACAGCAGATCACCAAACAGTGACCATGACCTTTTGTTGGGGGGTTTTGTGTGTGTGTTTTTTGTTTGTTTTGTTTTTTGTTTGTTTGTTTGTTAATTTGTTTTTTAAATGGAGTTTTACTCTTGTTGCCCAGGCTGGAGTGCAATGGCATGATCTAGGCTCGCTGAAACCTCCATCTCACTGGTTCAAGTGATTCTCCTGCCTCAGTATCCTGAGTAGCTGGGATTACAGGCACCTGCCACCATGTCTGGCTAATTTTTTGTATTTTTTTGGTAGAGACAGGGTTTCATCATGTTGGCCAGGCTGGTCTCGAACTCCTGACCTCAGGTGATCTGCCCACCTCGGCCTCCCAAAGTGCTGGGATTACAAGCGTGAGCCACTGTGCCAGGCCGACCATGACCTTTTATTTGGGGGCAAGTTTGACTTTGGGAAGTGCTTTGGAGCTTCTTGGTCCAACCACTGAGCTCGTTGTTGCCGGTTGTCATATAAATCCACTTTTCATCACAATCTATTCAGGAAATGGTTCGTTTTTGTTGCATAGAATAAGAAAAGATGACACTTCAAAACGACAATTTTTAAATTTTCACTCAGCTCATGAGGCACCCACTTATGGAGCTTTTTCACCTTTCCAATTTCTTCAAATGCAAATGACTGTATAATGGTTGATGTTGAGTTCCTTGACAACTTCTCCTGTAGCTGTAAGAAGATCAGCCTCAACGATTGCTCTCACTTGGTCATTGTCAACTTCCGATGGCTGGTCCCTATGTTCCTCATCTTTAAGGCTCTCGTCTCCTTTGCAAAACTTCTTGAACCATGACTGCACTGTATGTTCATTAGCAGTTCCTGGGCCAAAGGCATTGGTGATGTTGTGAGTTGTCTCTGCTGCTTTACAACCCATTTTGAACTCGAATAAGAAAATCACTCGAATTTGCATTTTGTCCATAGTCTAAAATCAACATAAAATCAAAAGCAAGTAATGTCATTGGTAAAAAACATAAAGCAAGAAATGCACATTAAAATGATGTGTAATGTAACCACATTTAAGAATGTATTCCAATATCAAATGGCAAATTTCAACAATGCAGAAACCGCAATTACTTTTGCACCAACCTAATACATGTGGGAATTAAGAGGAAAGAATTATCTCTAGCTTTTGAAATGTGGCAGGGACTTGAGGAAGAAACAAAATGTCCGTCAGTGTTTTTAGCCACAGCAATCAAGACCAACTCTGGCTTTCATAAAGAGATTTTTTTTTTTTTTAATTCTGGGAAGAATACCAGGAGACTCATAGAATACAAGGAAAGAATGAAGAGTATGACTTGTGAGAAAATAAATAGAAGTTTTTCCAAGAGGTCTGGGTAGCAGGAACCAATGAAGAGCTTCTTCAGAATGGCTCTTCCAGAATGAATCTGTGTGTTTCTTCTGCCATTACAGCACATCCCTTGAGAGTCACATTCCAAAGATAGGAAATTGAACAAGCCTATCTTGAGACGTGTGTCCACTCTTTGGCTTGGGGAACATAGGACACTTGGAAAAAAGGCTGTATCCAATAGCAGTAGGTGGTACCCTAAAAGATATCAAGACAGTAGGAGTAACAGCTGAACAGGCAAAGGGAGCACCACAAGTGGATATATCATTCTGATGCTAAAGCTGGGGAAACTGAGACTTAGCTTTAGGGATAACTGATATCTTAAGAGACTCAGGGCTGGGCACGGTGGCTCATGCCTGTAATCCCAGCACTTTGGGAGGCTGAGGTGGGCAGATCGCGAGGTCAGGAGATCGAGACCATCCTGGCTAACACAGTGAAACCCCGTCTCTACTAAAAATACAAAAAATTAGCTGGGCATGGTGGCGGGCACCTGTAGTCCCAGCTACTGGGGAGGCTGAGGCAGGAGAATTGTGTGAATCCGGGAGGCAGAGGTTGCAGTGAGCCGAGATCGCGCCTCTGCACTCCAGCGTGGGCAACAGAGCAAGACTCTGTCTCAAAAAAAAAAAAAAAAAAAGAGAGAGAGAGAGACCTGGGAATTGTAAGACACCTTAGACACCTTGCTAATTCCAAATAATGTAGTCTTTCTACTTACCCCATAGTGCATCAGTCTGCCCGCTCCCAGAGTGAATACATTAATATATGAGTACATATATAAATAAACAGGCAAATGCATGACTAGGCAAGAATTCCAGAATTTCAATCCACTTACTTCTATATACTCACTTTCACTACTAAATTGAATTGAAGGCCTAGGTATGCTTAATAAGAAAGCTTTCTTTATTTGGTTATCATCAATATTCAATGAAGAATTTGAATCCACATAATCCACTTATTGTAAAAGAGGTGCAAGTTCTAGTTTTTCCTCTTGTCAATTCACCTGGTCCTTGACGAGCTGAGGAGTATTTGTATGCAGCTAAACTCCTGCAGGTGATCTCTGCTTTTCTGCCATTGTCAAGCCCACCAGGCAGGGGTCAGGTCCAACTCTGTGTTCACAGTAGCACTTGATCCATTATTGTAACTAACAAAGTGAACAGCTTTGTCTTATACATGCAAGAAGGAAGACGTCACTTCCATGTTTGGGGAAAGGGGGTTGAGATGTGGCAGGAAGACAACAAGCTCTGCATCAATCAATTTATCAGGTATTTATTGAGCCTCCACCTATGTGTTCAGTGCTAAGCAAGCCCACAAGTGAAAAAGCAAATGAATAAGCCAACAGGTGCTTCTCAGGAATGCTTCATCTCTATAGCTTAGTAACTGAGACCTGAGAGCTGGCATGTTAGACAAACCCAGACATCTACAGGATACCTGACCAGTACACCTTAAGACTGCCAAGGTCATGAAGAGCAAGGAAGGACTAAGAAACCGTAGTAGACCACAGGAGAGTGAGAAGACATAGCTACTAAATGCAATGTGTTATTCTGGTTTGCCTGGTGAAATAGAGAGAGAATTGTATTGTGGTAAATAGTGTCCCCCAAAAAAAATGTATTTCCACCAATAACCTGTGACTGTGACCTTATTTGGAAATAGGGCCTTTGCAGATGTAATCAAGTTAAAATGAGATCACACTGGGTTAGGGTGGGCCATAAAGCAATATGAGAAGAGAAAATGTTGTATACAGAGACACAGACATAGGCAAGATCAGCAAGGGAAGCTGGAGACAGTGATTGGAGCGATGCTTCTACAAGTCAAGAAACAGCTGGCCGGGTGCGGTGGCTCATGCCTATAATCCCAGCACTTTGGGAGGCCGAGGCAGGTGAATCACAAGGTCAGGAGTTCAAGACCAGCCTGACAAATATGGTGAAACCCTGTCTCTACTAAAAATACAAAAATTAGCCGGGTGTGGTCATGCACACCTGTAATCCCAGCTACTCGGGAGGCCGAGGAAGGAGAATCACTTAAACCCGGAGGCAGAGGTTGCAGTGAGCCCAGATCATGTCACTGCACTCCAGCCTGGGTGACAGAGTTAGACTCCGTCTCAAAAAAAAAAAAAAAAAAAAAAAAAAGAAACAGCAAGGACTGCCAGCAACCACCAGAAGCTAGAAGAGGAAATGCGAAACACTTCCCTCGTGCCTTCAGAGGGAGCATGGCTTTCTGGGCACCTTGATTTTGGACACCTAGCCTCAGTCAATTTTTACTGTGCCAGTCACTGCCGAAGTTAATAACAGTGCTCACATTTACACTCAGACATACACACACACTAGTAAGTGTTAGTGCTTACTGTGTGCAAAGACCTACTACCTGGCTCTTTGCATGCATTTTTTTTCTTTCTGTTTTTTTGTTTGTTTGTTTTGTTTTGTTTTGTTTTGAGACAGGGTCTCACTCTGTCAGCCAGGCTGGAGTGCAGGGGTGCAATCTTGGTTCACTACAATCTCTGCCTCCCAGGTTCAAGAGATTGAAACAACAGAATAAGTTTCTGTTGTTGTTAGCCACCCAGCCTGTGGTATGTTGTTATGGCAGCCATGAAAAACTAATATAAGGACATTAATAGAAAAAAATGTTAAACATAGATAAAAGCTGGGGCTCAGTCAATAATAATGTACTGATGTTGATTTCTTTCTTTTTTTTTTTGTTTGTTTGTTTTAAGGAGCAAGGAGTTTAATAGGCAAGAAAGAAGGGGGAAGAAAGAAAGAAGCTCCCCTGTACAGAGATAGAGGGAGGGGGGCTCCAAAGCTGAGAGATGGAACCCCAGATGTTGATTTCTTAGTTTGACAAACCTACCACCATAATATAAGATGTCACCAATAGAGTAAATTGGGTGAAGATTATACCAGGATTCTGTGTGCTATCTTTACAAGTTCTCTGTAAATATAAAATTATTCCAAAAATGTTTTTAAAGTTTATTTTGGGGGAAGAAAAAGCAACACACAGGCTGTGTCATCTTTGAATGATCAGCTCCCTAAGCTTTGGTCTCTTCATGCATTAAATGGAGATAATCACAGCCCTGCTCAGAGTTGAGGGTTTTAAAATGCGATAATGCATAGAAAGTGCTTAGCAGGTCACGCCTTTTTCCATTTTGATTCTGTCACTTGGTCTATTTGCCAGCCTTTCCAAAATCATGTCACAATGAATTTGCCCAGTTCGTGCCCTCCTTCATGCTGTTGCTTAAAATATTAACAGTGAAAAGGACAGGACCCTTCAGGCTGCTGCTGGATTCAGTGGCAGCAACTCCACTGAACGAGGACAGTCTTCCAATTCGCTATGGATCCAGCAAACTCATGTGTTCCATCTCAGGTTAAAATCTAGGCACCCCATGAATCAATATTTCCCACATGCCTAGTAATTGAGTAATCTTAATAAAAAATAAGTGAAGTTACGCTAGGTCAGATATAATGCAGACAAGGAAAAATTTTTAAGTGACATAACATAATGGTTAGGTGGAGTTAGATTAACTAGATTCAAACCCTAGCTATATCACTTACTGGTGGTACGCTATTGGGTAATTCAGTTACACTCTCTTAGCCTCACTTCTCTCATTTATAAAATAAAGACAAAAATACCTTTCTCATAAGGTGTTAAAAAGATTACATTTAAAAATACGTGCCAAATGGCCAGGCACAGTGGCTCCTGCCTGTAATCTTAGCAGTTTGGAGGCCAAGGTAGGTGGATTGCTTGAGGCCGGGAGTTCAAGACCATCCTGGCCAATGTGGCAAAACCCCATATCTACTAAAAGTACAAAAATTAGCTTGGCATGGTGGCCCTTGTCTGTAGTCCCAGCTACTTGGGTTGCTGAGGCATGAGAATCACTGGATCCCAGAAGGCAGAGGTTGCAGTGAGCCAAGATCGCCCACTGCACTCCAGCCTGGGTGACAGAGTCAGACTCTGTCTCCAAAAAAAAAAAAAAAAAAAAAGCAAACCAAACGAAACCAAAACAAAACAAAAACCAGTATGTTGCAAAGAGCTAAGCCACAGGCCTTTGCACACAATAACCACTGATATTTACTAGTGTGTGTGTGTCTGAGTGTATATGCGAGCACTGTTATTAACTGGAGTAGTGACTGACATCGTAGGAACACAAAAGTAGATGTTTGAGGAAAAACCCTGTACACATGAGAACACAAGGGACCAAAGGGAGGCTGTGACTGGCCCAAGTTCATAGTGCAAGCGAATGGCAGATGCACCAGTAGAATAGGACTCATGACTCCTAAGGCAGTTACTCTGCAGGAATCTTGGCAATAATCTAACTGCTTCTTATTTTGTAAATATGGAAAGTGAATCCCAAAAAACCACATGGGATAGAGCTTATCCAGGGCACCATGATATATTAGTGGTAAGTATGACGCCCCATCCCATGTGTTTCAACTCCTGGCCCATGTTTTTCTCTGGCTTTTCTGAGTTCTCAATAGTACCTAATAAAATCCATGCATCAAGCATCCAGTCTGCAGGCGAAGAGTTGACTGTTGATATCTAGCCTCTCAAAAGCCAGGGACAGCTCTGAGAGCTGTCAGACCTTTGGGCGAGGACAGTGAAGATGAGGACAGTAAAGCTCGGCAGCTTTGATTCAAACGTAGCACTTGCAGAAAGACCTGTGGTTGTACCTTAATGTAAGTACTGAAAAAAGCACAGTAATCCCAGAGGCTTAGACAGTTTACATCCCAGCTAAGCAGTACTTTGGGCCCTTGGAAGCACCAAGAATATTCCAACCTAGCCTGGCCTCATTCGGACTGTGGACATATGAGAAAATCACTTCTTTCTGTGCTGCAGTTAATATTAGAAATAACGGTAACAGAGTTTCAAAGTGCATTGTGGTTTTTTAAAAAGACATTTTGACTGTTAGCCATTGTCTCGTTTGATCCTCACAACAGCACTTCAGGTTATTATTGTTATTGTTATATAATAGTCCCTATATTATACATAAGAAAACAGGGTCAGGGAGATAAAGTATTTAATATGGTTTTGCTCTGGGTCCCCACCCAAATCTCATCTTGAATTGTACTCCCATAATTCCCACGGGTTGTGGGAGGTACCTGGTGGGAGATAATTGAATCATGGGGGTGGTTTCTCCCATGTTGTTCTCATGGTAGTGAAAAAGTCTCATGAGATCTGATGGCTTTATAAAGAGAAACCCCTTTTGCCTGGCTCTATTTGCCTGCTGCCAATTGTGTAAGATGTGACTTGCTTCTCCTTGCCTTCTGCCATGATTGTGAGGCTTCCCCAGCCATGTGGAACTGTAAGTCAATTAAACCTCTTTCTTTGGTAAATTGCCCAGTCTTGGGTATGTCTTTATCAGCAGTGTGGAAACAGATGAATAAAGTATTGGTGCGTTTATTGACAAATATATATTATCAACAATGATAATAAGGAAAACAGTAGTTGTAGATTTTGCTGAGTATGTATCACTGTCCCAAACATTTTAAATGTATTTGTGGTTTAATTTCCACATAACTCTGTGAGATTGGTGATAACATTGTCTAGTTTTATTCTGAGACACAGAGAGATTAAGCAACTTTCCTGAGATCACACAGCTAGGAACTGGAGTCAAGATGTGATGCCAGGCAATCTATCCCCAGAGCTCTTGTTTTTACCATAAACTGTAGCAAATGTGGCCTCTTGCTAAACAATAAACTGTTGAAACGAATAAGACATAGGTGTCACGCATGTCCGTGTAAAGAGACCACCAAACAGGCTTTGTGTGAGCAATAAAGCTTTTTAATCACCTGGGTGCAGGCAGGCTGAGTCCGAAAAAGAGAGTCAGCTAAGGGAGATAGGGGTAGGGCTGTTTTATAGCATTTAGGTAGGCAGTGGAAAATTACAGTCAAAGGGAGTTGTTCTCTGGTGGGCAGGGGCAGGGGTCACAAGGTGCTCAGTGGGGGAGCTTCTGAGCCAGGAGAAGGAATTTCACAAGGTAATGTCAGGAACCGGCCATTTTCACTTCTTTTGTGATTCTTCAATTACTTCAGGCCATCTGGATGTATATGTGCAGGCTTGGGCTCAGAGGCCTGACAATAGATATAACCCTTATCCTTAAGGAATTCACAGGCCAGTTTGGGGAACCTGACATATAAATTAGATTATTACAATTCAAGGAGATAAAAAAGATAAGATGCACTATCAGAGCAGTGACAGCGGAGTGACAAAAGTCAATATGTTGGACCTTGGATTGAAACCCAGGCCTCCTGACTGCAGAGTCGATATTTATTTATTCTTTCCTTTATTCGATAAACATTTAGATTGAAAATTATAACTTAAAAAAAAGGCATTCTTCTTCCCCTGAAGAAGCAATCATTACAGCCCAGAGAAAATATTTCTCAAAACACGTTAAGCCCATCACAGCCTTAGTTCCAATATGAACACATCAAGGGTTCATTGATCATAAACTGAAGTGAGGGCTATTCAGTTCTCCACTGCTTTACCCATCCCCCACCCTGACCACTGCCATAAAGGGGCACCAAGAAACATTCCCTTAACCCATTTAGCAGTGGTGCCCTGATTTAATGTAACCTCAAGTTAAATTGTTTTCACTAATGCGAACTTAATGAGGGCCCCTTTAATCCCTTCAGGAATTTTCTTTTTAGAGGTTGGGTCTTGGCTCTACCATGAGAACTGTTCTCTCTGGTGGAGGGTCTCCAGCTTAAGTCTTTTGGGGAATTCCAGGAATGTAGCAATGATCAGCACATTCTTTAGATGTAACTAGGGGTTTTGAACCAATCCCCACAAAAGTATCTTTGAAAGATGTGGCTCAGATTTCCATACCTACTCTTTTTGGGGTCAGAAATATCTCAGAATACACTTTCCCCAATAAAAATATTTTGGGGATAGAGCAGATTAGCTTTTACTTTAAAAAGGCAAAAAATGAAGCTTTACTCCTAAAATAACTCTAAAATTTCAGCTATAAATTTCACTCTCAAGCTCAGAGTATGTGAGGTGAAATTATAAAATATGCCTGCTGCAGTGTGGCTTCCAAATATGGCTATAGCTCTGTCATTTTTTCAAATCATCACAGGAATATCCACCTAGCCTATTAACAGAAAGACACAGACTTGAGACCTTTTCCAGCAATGGCTATATAAGTATATCAGGGGAGTGGGGCTATCCATTTAAGGGGAGTGGGGCCAGGGCTGTTGTTCTGATTCTTTGCAGCAAGAAGAGAAAAAGCTGAGGTTTGATCTGTCAGCTATAATTTCTTCTCACTGCCACACTGTGACACTATGAAACTGATCCTGCCTAACTTGATATTTGATGCACCTCTACTGCTACTGAGATGACCTTGTTGATCTAAGTCATTGATCAGAACACAGAGAATCCTTGTAGTGGATGACAAACTTAGCCACTTGGCTCCAAAGCTTAACCAGTGTTCCTGGGTACAGCTTCAGCCACTACTTTGCCAAAGCCAGCTCTCCTCTTCCCCTTCCACTTAGAGCCTGGGCCACCTACCTAAGCTAGTGTTTGGGGGGGGTCTTTCTGATCTTGTCTGTCACTAGGCTTCAGCTGGATCACCCTTCTCCATCCTGGCCCATCTTCCTAGCTTCTTTTTGTCATTGGGCTTTTAATTCAAACTGTTTTTTTCTTTTCCTCTTCAGAGATCAGCTTTGCAAGCCAGGCATCTCAGTGAATGACACCATGACCAAAGTTCTGCCCTTCTCAATCACCACTTTCCTGATGGATGCCTGTTCATTCTAAATCTATGCTACTGAAGGAGTCGTTCAGTGACTCACCTGAACAAACATCTCTTTCAGGACTTCTCTCCCCACCTCTAGTTCCAGAAGAGGCTGGAATTATTTTTCAGGAGCAGCGATACGATCCTGATAGCAACAATATGTATTCAAAAAGCAACAACTATTGAAGGGTGTGAATGAGATGGGAGCCTTTTCCTTTGAATCATAACACAACATCATGTTTTGTCCTCAGAGTAACTAGAGTGACATGGAATTGACATTGGATGCACTGGTCAGGGCAGAGGGAGAAAGCAGCCGGGGTGGTAGATGGCTTTGTCTATCTTCTTCTCTTTTGGCCTGGAAGCTAAGCAGTTAGGAGCAAGTCTACCTGTCCTTATTAGCTGACCAACTGAGGGTGACCCTGGGGAACAGATGAAGAAGAACAGAAAGAAGATTCCAGGACTGGATTTCTACCCCAGCATAACTCTTGAATGGATTAAGCCAGCACCCCTTGAATGTGAACTCTTGAGACTACGGAGCGACTGTGATTGCTGCAGTGCAGAGTACAAATTCGTTCAAGAAAACTGCCCTGGCCAGGTGTGGTGGCTCAAGCCTGTAATCCCAGCACTTCAGGAGGCTGAGGTGGGTGTATCACCTGAGGTCAGGAGTTCGAGACCAGCCTGCCCAACATGGTGAAACTTCGTCTCTACAAAAAGACAAAAATTACCCAGGCACGATGGTAGGTGCCTGTAATCCCAGCTACTTTGGAGGCTGAGGCGGGAGAGTCGCTTGAACCGGGGAGGCAGAGGTTGCAGTGAGCAGAGATTGCACCACTGCACTCCAGCCTGGGTGACAGAGCCAGGCTCCGTCTCAAAACAAAAACAAAACCAAAAACAAACAAACAAAAAAAAAACTGCCTTGTTTTTCTGAAAGCCTTGGGCCCTCACCTGTGTTTGTTCTGGAGCCCCAGGCAGCTGCCCTTACCTGCTCTCTTTTTCCAGGGACCTCTGGTCAAACAAATCAATTTAAAACATCAAGTGCTGGAGGAACACAAACACAGGCAGCAGGAGAGGCCTCAAGGTGCCAGGCTCTGCTTTCAGCGGCTCTGGGTTTCCAAGCACGTTCCAAAAATATAACCCCCACTGCCATGGCAAACCTGCCTTTGATAAAACACAATGTACAATCTCTAATGTTGACACAGAACAGATGGGACTTTGATTTTTTAAAAATCTGTTCTTGATAGAAGTGAAATAGGCATAATGGATTTTTCCCTTTTTTTTTTGGATTTGGACTTCTATTTTTTTCTTATCACATGCATACCGAACACAGAATCTTTCCATTCTCTCTCTTTGTTTCTGTCATAGGTTATTTCTGTAAGTAAGAGTCTCTGGTTGACCAAGTCTTGCTTTTCTCATTAACCAAACAGGATGCAGATTACTAGCCCCATGTCCCTTTTATCTGGGGAAAAAAAAAAATCAGTCATGGGAGCCACACACCAAGGGTGTCCTCAGACTTAGAGGCAACAAGACAATGGCTTATCAACAACGATGTACTGAGTGACTGCTGAGCAGGGGGTACAGTAAGGGGAGGGGGAAGTTATCCCTCACCTACCCCACATGCAATCGTAATCTAAATGCAGAATGGACCTGCCATGCCAACTCAGCCTGAATACAAGCCCCAACAGATTGCAGCCCGTAAACCCCTCCTAAACACGCCTTTAGAGCTGCCCCCGGTCACAAAACAAGCCCTTTCCAAGCCCTCCATAACTCCTCAGAGCATCGTCTGTGCACAGGGTGTTCTTGCAGGGAGGGAGTCACCCCTCACATGATTCCATTCCCATAACAACAGTTGTTACAGGGGCAGAATGCAACAGACACTGACAGACGGATTTAGGCCCTCTACGTTAACCCTAAATTGTCTGACTAGATGATGATAGGCGTGCCTGACAGTCAGTGGCTCAAGCCACATTACACCTTACTCTTATACTTTATTTCCTTCTATCCTACAAGACTCCTGGGCAGGAGGTGAAATTTAAAGAGAGGGAAAGAGAAACGCAGCAAAGAATCATGGCTCAGGGTAGTGGGATGTTCTGCTCTATGTCGAGAGTGGCTTAGCTTTTGTTTTCAATCCGGCAGGCTTCTTCTAGGGCAGTTGGATTGATTCAAAGGGATGAAAGGCAGAGTTGTGTGGAAGAGGGAGCACAAGTTTCAATGGCCCTCCCAAGTCCGGTTCACAGTCCCACCACTCTATAGGGATTGGTGTGGTGGGAAGAGGGCTGAGGGAGATTTACTAGGTTATGAGACTGGTAAAGAATACACACTGGGAATCTTACCTCATATTCTCCTAGATTCCAATCTCTCCAACACAAATTAAATTGCCCTAACCATTTTTCTAGAATGATCTGGAAATATGAACTATTCATATTTCTTTCCCAACTATTTCACAGAAAAAATGTTTATACAGAATTTTTAAAAAAGTTACAGAGACAAAAAAGATTGATGCATTATTTCATTTTGTGAGCTAGCTACAAAAAAGAAGTCTATTTATATTTTTTATCTATTCCACATGCATTAGCAGAGCATCCTCTTGGTGGATTTCCAAAACCCGATGTTGTGGCATGCAACAAAGAGGACACTTGTCATTCTATTTGCCCTGTTAATGGTAAGTTTCATGGTACATCATAGGTGTTCAATACATGTTTTGACTTTTTAAAAAGTTTGCTTTCACTGTCATGATTTAGTTCATGAGCATTTAGTAAACAAGCAGGAGGAGAAGGATCCCCTCAACACTGATGACAACGATGATGATGATGTTAGTAATGAAGAGGAAACAAGATAGAAAAAGAACCTGTATGTAGGGTAACCTGTCAATTTTCTAATGAGCATGCCTAGGTCAAATGAGAGTGCCGGGGTCTTAATTCAAATCCCTCTTCTACCACTTAGCAGGAAGCATCAACAAGGCACAGTATGACCCATTCTCACTTTCTTTGTCTTTAACTAGAAATAAAGATTCCTCACAAGCTGTGAAAATCAAATAAGAAAATTGTATGCAAAAGTACTTTGTAAATGGGGTCATACAAATATAAGAAGGTAATTTCATTATCAATTGCTAAGAACCACATAGGCCTCTCAGGATCCATTTAAGTTTTAAGATATCTTAACTACAAACTATCTATAAAAATGCAGAATAACCAAGGATAAGCTATTCATTTTTTCATTGCTGCATAACACATGACCAAAAAATTTAGCAGCTTAAAACAACTCCCATTTATAATCTCACAGTCTGAAGGCTGGAAATCCAGGCAGACTCAACTGGGTTCTTTACTTAGGGATTCATAAGGCTGACATCAAAGTGTCATTGGTGCTGGGTTCTTCTCTAGTGACTCTGGGGAAGAATTTGCTTCAAAGCTCCTTTGACCAGAATTTACTGGCAGAATTTAACTCCTTGGACTGTAGGCCTGAGGTCCTTGTCTTCTCCCTGGCTGACAGCTGTATACCACTCTCAG
Source organism: Homo sapiens (assembly GCF_000001405.40). NCBI lineage: Eukaryota > Metazoa > Chordata > Mammalia > Primates > Hominidae > Homo > Homo sapiens. Next base: position 126,428,465 of record NC_000008.11, read on the forward strand.
CACACAGGGGCTGCCCTGTGGTGCTTGTCCCATGATCCTCCCCATCTCAGCAATGAAAAACCCCACTTACATCAAAGCCTCCCCCTCTGACTTCTTCTTCTGCTCCCATATGGAGAAACTCTCAGCTTTGTCTTTTTTTTTTAATCATTATTTTTTATTATTTTTCTCACTGCCTCTTTAGTCACTGATCTCTACTTTGAAAGTGATTAGACTTAGGTCCACCAGAATAATTGCTCTTTTAACTCAAAGACCACTGATTGATAACCTTTACTACAGCTGCAAAATCCCTTTTGCCATGAAATGCAACATAATTTTGAGTGTGATATCACATCTCATTCACAGGCCTGAGGGTTAAGGCTGGATATCTTAGGGAGGGGGAAATAGGTGACCTCATAAGAAGATGGCCCTAAATATGTACACTGTGTCTATTTTATGATAAATCTCCCCCCTCATTAAGAGTTGGGGATAGAAAGGAGGGAGGAGAAAAATATATTTAAAAAAAGATTTGGGGATAACCTCCATATACTCCCCATGTCTAACACAACTTCTAGCAAAATGTGGGTTCACACTGAATAGGGATACAAGGCTTCCTTTGGGACATCTGCTTTTCAATCTCAGGTTCCATAAAGAAAATAATATTGAAAGTATCTTTGTCTTAGTTAATTGTATACTTTCCCTGCACCCCGCTGTCTAGCAAGATACCTAGCACATAGAGGGGCAAAATAAATAAGGTTGAGTGAATACGTTAATGAATGAATGAATGAATGAATGGAGGAATTTTTCACTTAGGCTTAACTAAGGGTCTCCGCTGATATCTGCATACCTAGCTTAGTTGTTGTTGGGTTTGTTTGTTTGTTTGTTTTGAAAAAAAAATGTTGAAGAAAGCTCAGTGTTAAGATTTTGGTTTTGGTTTTGCCTTTTAGGCACTTGTTTTTTTTCTTTTTTTAAGCTTTCCTTCAGGGATTTGTTCCATATGATCAACTCACACGGATTAATGCTATTCTCACCCATCATAGCGGGGCCAGGCCCTCCCAGTCTAGAGGGAGATTTGCGTAGATAGAAGGGGAGTTCTGCCCGAGGCAACAGTGGGCACCTGAGGGAGGGCCAATTTCAAGAGCCTTCTTTTTGAAAGAATTTAAGAGCCTCATCAGTCTGCCAAGGAATTTGAGTGCACAGTGCATAACAGGCTAGATTCTAGCTCAGCAAAAAGTAAAAGACTCCTACCAAATAAAGCACAGAAAAATCTTCCAGCAACCATCCACAAAAATGACAAAGCCTTTTCACTGTTTCTTGTTTGTTTATTTTTATTTATTTATTTATTTGAGACGGGGTTTCACTCTCGTTGCTCAGGCTGGAGGGCAATAGCGTGATCTCAGCTCACCTCCACCTCCCGGGTTCAAATGATTCTCCTGCCTCAGCCTCCCGAGTAGCCAGGATTACAGACGCCTGCCACCATGCCCAGCAAATTTTTGTAGTTTTAGTAGAGATGGGGTTTCACCATGTTGGCCAGGCTGGATTTAAACTCCTGACCTCAAGTGATCCACCTGCCTTGGACTCCCAAAGTGCTGGGATTACAGACTCAGCCACCGTGTCTGGCCTATTTTTATTTTTATTTTTGAGATGGAGTCTCATTCTGTCGCCCAGGCTGGAGTGCAGTGGTGCAATCTTGGCTCACTGCAACCTCCACCTCCCGCATTCAAGCGATTCTCCTGCCTTAGCCTCCAGAATAGCCGGGATTACAGGCGCCCACTACCACACCCTGCTAATTTTTTGTATGTTTAGTAGAGATGGGATTTCACCACGTCGGCCAGGCTGGTCTTGAAATCCTGACTTCGAGTGATCCTCCCAACCTCGGCTTCCCAAAGTGCCGGAATTACAGGTGTAAGCCACTGCGCCCAGCCCTCCTCACTGTTTGAAAGCTTCCTCCTTGAAAACTGGATTGACAGATACTGGATTGAAGTGAGGCAGCTTAATGCTGAAGAGGACAGCTGGCAATGTAGCAGGGAAACAGAGCCTACCTTGCTGCAGATAAATCAATATTCTGCTCCAGGCCATTAGTGGCTGGTTATTATTTAAAAACAAAAACCTGCAAATGTATTGGTTATCCCTTGATCAGACTGTGTCTCCAAAGGATTCTTTTATGATTCTTCCATTTTCCAAGTTGCACAAAACAATTTCCCATTAACCATATCCTCGCATATTCTGCTTACTAAACCAAAGCCATTTACATAATGGGTAATTTCACACACACATTAGCTAAATATAGGTGTAAACAAATACGTTGCTAAAGTTTGGACACATTTGGAGAATGCAAAACATCTAGACTATGGGAGAGGTGGAGGATTGGAGCCAGGTACATACACGTTCCAAATTAAGGAAAACCAAAAATATATATACATATATATATTATAAATATTAGATACATATTACAAATATTACATATATGTAATACATATGTAATATACATATATATAATATTTGTAATAGCACTTGCTACACTCTTCTAAGCACTGCTCTTGTATTAATTCATTTAATCCTCCCAGATACTGTATGGTGTAATTGTACTGTTATTTTCATCTCCCACTGACAGATGGGGAATGATGATATAGAGAGGGTCAGTACTTTGCCCAAAAGCAGAACTGGGCACTGAAGCCAGGAAGACTGGCTCCAGAGTCCATGTGCATAACTATTAGACTACTGAAGTCATCCTCAGAGGACTGACAAGAATTCTCGACAGAAATATAGTTATAATTAAGCATTTATCAGGCTGTGCTTGGACCCATTTTCTGGTAACCAAAAGTCATGTAGCACTGGATACTGACCATTTGCATTCCCATTGTTCCTATAGACAAGATTTCTAATGTGAGAATTGTAAGACTTTCACTTAAGAATTGCCTAAGATGTTTTTCAGATCCTGAATTCCAGAAAAACAGCTGATGTCAACTAATGTGAAGACCCGCACAGAGGCACGGCATCGACCTGAGAGTACAGTTTCTTCATCTCCCTGTCTATGATTTTACCCCGCACTTTTTGACCAATCAACAATCTTCACACTTTGGCCCATTTCAATACTCTTAAAAACCCTAGCCCCAAATTCTTTGGGGAGATGGATTTGAGGTTTCCTAGCATCTCCTCATTCAGCGGCCCTACAGTTTTATCTCTTTCTCTATTGCAAACCAGGGTCTCTTCTAGGCATATCAACTTGCTACATTGGGCAACAGATTTGTTACAGTTACACCAATACTGCTAATCTACTCCGTGGTGGGTTTTCCAAACTCAATAACCATTTTACTATCATGTGCCTAGGTTTTGACCCTTGCTACCAGTGGGCTCCAGGTACCTTTCTCTATTTCACTAAGCCTCAATTTCCACATTTGTACAACAGAGATAAAAATAGAGCCAAGCCCAAAGGGATAATCGCAATGAGGATTATTCACTGCTTCATTCAAAAGCTATTCACTGCGCACCTACTGTGTGCCAAGCACTGTCCTGAACAACTAACAGAATTGACAAGACTTCTTCCTTCAGGGAGCATATAATAAACAAGATAGAGTGGGGAAGAGGCAATAAACACAATTGTAGCAAAACTATTATACTACATTGGAAGCTAATATAAACTATTTAAAGAAATATAAAGTATAAAAAAGAATGGGTGTGCTGGGTTGGAGGGCTGTTGGAATTTCAAATAGGGGCCGGGGTGCAGTGGCTAATGCCTGTAACCCTAGCACTTTGGGAGGCCAACGTGGGTGGATCACCTGAGGTCAGGAGTTCAAGATCAGCCTGGCCAACATGTGAAACTCTGTCTCTACTAAAAATACAAAAATTCACCGGATACGGTGGCACACGCCTGTAGTCCCAGCTACTCGGGAGTCTGAGGGAGGAGAATTGTTTGAACTCTGAAGGCAGAGGTTGCAGTGAGTCGAGATCTCACCACTGCACTCCAGCATGGGCCACAGAGTGAGACTCTGTCTCAAAAACAAACGAACAAACAAAATTCAAATCGGGGAGAGGGGCCAGGAAAGTCCTCAGTGAGGATGTGACATTTGGGCAACACCACGTTTCAAAGGGTCTCCTGTATTTAATTTGCAATTTAGGTAAAGTAAAACATAAAAATCACTTAGCTTAGTGCCTGATACAACATGGGTACTCAACAAATATGTAGTTACCTGCCCAGTAAGGCAAAATAATTATTTTTTAAATTTTTACTTAAAAACAATAGTAGGCTGGGTGCGGTGGCTCACGCCTGTAATCCCAGCACTTTGGGAGGCCCAGGTGGGCGGATCACGAGGTCAGAAGATTGAGACCATCCTGGCTAACACGGTGAAACCTCGTCTCTACTAAAAAATACAAAAAATTAGCCGGTCATGGTGGTGGGCGCCTGTGGTCCCAGCTACTCGGGAGGCTGAGGCAGGAGAATGGTGTAAACCTGGGAGGCGGAGCTTGCAGTGAGCCGAGATCGCGCCACTGCACTCCCGCCTGGGCGACAGAGCTTGACTCCGTCTCAAAAAAAAAAAAAAAAAAAAAAGTAGTTACTCTTCTTTCTAGTAGTGGAGATAGAAAATTTCTCTGGAAGAGACCTTGTTTCTGACGGAAAGACCACTGAAAAGACCCTTTTTAGTTAGGCACATGTTAAAAGTAAGTGGGCATTCCCCACACTCACACAGACATTTTTTTTTGGGAGAAGAAAGTTAATAGTAGAGTTTTTTTTCATTTGGCTGTTGTGGAGGTTTTTCTTTTGTAGCTTTGTGGGTTTAGTTATGTAGTGTTGTGTGTGTGTTTGCTGTTTCCTTTGGGGTATCGAATGATTAGGGTTCCCTTTTGTGGGAAGGCAGAGTGATGCAGCTCCTTCCTCGTGTCCCTTGCAACCTTGAGCTGTAATGTTGATGGGCACTGATGACCAAATTTATAGAGGGAATAAAGGATCTTCTAGTAGAGCAGCAATCCAGCCCTCCAACCCTACCCTTGAAATTGTCTTTGCAAAAATTATGACCGTGAGAGAAATCTGACATAGCTGACTCTATCTTGCCTCTAACATCACAAGCTAACTGCCTTCGTTAACTTTAAAACACAGATGATAACAGTTCCTTCCTGAAACCAACCTCCTCCTTATTCAGGGACTAAAACTGCCTTTGTAAGACCACAAGGTTAGGATTCCGGGAGGAACCTGAATTCTGCTGATATGTCGATGTAGTTAAACGATACCCAGCTATTGTTCCCTAGCTTGCCTTTCTATAATCACTTACTGCTCAAGAGTCATGTAGCTGGCGGTAACAAGAAGTGTAATTTCCCCAATTGCTTTTATAGATAATGTCACTATTATCTAAAGCTAAGATTGGTCTTTGAGATATTTTTCAGATTTTTGCATTCTGATGACCAACTCCACTTGGAACCCCCATGACTCATGTCAAGGAACTAACTCAACTGGTCCTGTAACTCTCACCCAGGAACTGACTCAGCACATGAAGAATGTTTTTCGACACTCCTATGATTTCATCATCAACCAGTCAGCAGCACCCATTCCCTAGCCACCTGCCTGCCACATCATTTTTAAAAACTCTACCCTCTCAGAGGCAGAAGTTGCAGTGAGCTGGGATTGCGCCAGTGCACTCCAGCCTAGGTGACAGAGTGAGACTCTGTATCAAAAGAAAACAAAACAAAAAAAACAAACAAAAAAGTCTACCCTCTGAGCTCTCAGGGAGGTGGATTTGAGAAATGTCTCCCATCGTTCTGCTTAGCTGGCCCTGCGATTATTAAACTCTTCTTTGCTGAAAAACCTGCTGTTTTCAGTGCATTTTTCTTTTCTGGGCAGCAGGCAGGAAGAACACCCTTTGAGTCTCCAAATTATTTTATGAATGTCCAGTGTATTGTAGTGGCCCTAATAGAAAACAGCCAGCAATGAAGAAAAAAGATGTATGTCTGCTAAGAAAATCCAGCATAAAGAAAGGGGAAGCTGGCATTCAGAGCTCATCACCAAAGCCTGAGTGTTCTCTCTGGAAGCAATGGGACCCATGCAGTCCTGTTGACAACAATTAAGTCTTGCTAAGTATGCAATGCTTTCTAGCAGTCAATCTGACTCAGAGAACCAAAATTATTCTGAAGATGTCCCCTGACGCTTGTCTTCTGGTTATCCAATCAAACACTAAACTGTATACTGTTGTGAAGGGACTTTACAAGTGTAATGAAGGTCACTAATCAGTTGTCCTTAAAATAGAGAGATTATCCTGGATTATTCTGAGTGGGCCCAATCTAATCAAATGAGCAGTTAAAAGAGGAAGAGGAAGGAGGAGGAGCCAGTTAGAGAGATTCAAAACATAAGAGAAACTCCACCCCCTGTTGCTGGAGAAAGTCCACCAGGAAAGTATGAGAAGGAAGGAAAGTTCACAAGGAAAGTGTGAGAAAGGCTCCAGGAACAAAAGTCCAGCCCTGGCTGGCAGCCAGGAAGGAAACTGTGACCTCAGCCCTGCAACTTCAAAGAACTGCTAAATGAGCTTGGAAAAAGATTAATCTCCAGGCCCTTCAGAAAGAAATGCAGACTTTCTGAGACCTTGATTTTGGCCTTGGGTAATGGGACAGAGAAACCAGCTGTGCCAACCCAGACCTCCGATATGTAGGACAATTAGATCATCAATTTGTGTTACTTTAAATCACTAAGTTTGTGATAATTTGTTATGGCAGCAGTAAGAAATTAACATGCCAACCTTTCAGACACATATTAGGGAAAGTGGTTCTGTGTGTGTATTTGTGTGGTATGTCGTATGTGTTAAGTACAAAGATCAAAGTGCCTTAACCAGTTGTTCTGTGATGGAGGATGTCTGTGTGAAGTGGACTCACAGTCTTTATCTTCTTCCCCCTCAACCTATATTTGGAGAAGTACTAGTAGGCAGCCAGACTATAGGGCAGTTGAAGCAGTGGAGAACAGACCTCTTCACTGGGCTAATCAGCAGTAGCCCTCTATTCTCTCTCTCTCTCTTTTTTTTTTTAAAAAAAATCAGAGTCTCACTCTGATGCTCAGGCTGGAGTGCAGTGGCATGATCTTGGCTCACGGCAACCTCCGTCTCCTGGGTTCTAGTGATTCTCCTGCCTTAGCCTGTTGAGTAGCTGGAACTACAGGCATGTGCCACCATGCCTGGCTAATTTTTGTATTTTTAGTAGAGATGGTGTTTTACAATATTGGCCAGGCTAGTCTTGAACTCCTGACCTCAGGTGATCCACCTGCCTCAGCCTCCTAGAGTGCTGGGATTACAGGCATGAGCCACTGCGCCCAGGTTTTGTTTTGCTTTTTTTTTGTTTTTGTTTTTGTTTTTGTTTTTTTAGAGGGTCTCACTGTGTCACCCAGGCTGAAGTACCATAGCGTGATCTCGGCGCACTGCAACCTCTGCCTCCTGGGCTAAAGTAATCCTCCCACCTTAGCCTCCCAAGCAGTTGAGACTACAGGCACACACTACCCACGCCGGACTAAGTTTTTTATTTTTTGTAGAAACAGGGTCTCGCCATGTTGCCCAGGCTGATCTTGAACTCCTGAGCTCAAGTGAACTGTCAGCCTTGGCCTCCCAAAGTGCTGGGATTACACGTGTGAGCCACTGTGCCCGTTCATTTCTAACTGTCTGCCTCATCTCCGTCCTCACTCACAACTCTGACTCACCTCAAGGAAAGTCACATGAAGTCTTCTTTTTTTGTTGTTTGTTGTTCTGCCTTTTAAAAAAATGCATAAAATACACATAACATAAAATGTACTATTTTAACCATTTTGAAGTGTATAGTTCAGTGGCACTAAGTACATTCATGTTGTGAAACCATCACCACAATTAATCTCCCAAGCTTATCATCAGCTCAGACTGAAACTGGTATCCGTTAATTTATAGCTACCCGTGAAAAGAAATAGATTAATCCTTGCATGAAAAAGTCATTGGTTTGCTTGAACATATCACAGAGAGAATGCTTTTACATGCATTATCTCAATTGCTCATCGCAGACTTGCAAAGTTAAGTTTTATTTCCAGAATACCACAGCCAATGGGTGATGGAGACTGTATTTTAATGCAGGTCTGTCTGTGGGACTCCAAAGTCTATAATCTTTCTAATAAGGATGCTCAATGGGTGATCATACTGTGCGTATCTTGTGTAGATGCCCAATAAATGATTATTTTCTAAGCTACCTGCAACTGAGGAATTCTCTCTTCCTTAACTTTTATTTTGTGGTTGACTTTTAGCATGACCAAATCAAATAAAAATTTGACAGAGGTAACAGTTTAACTTTCAGATATCAACTGCATAAAGAGGCTCTATCTGAAGATCTCATTTCAATGCAGAAAATTTTTCCCTCCCAGAGCTAGTGTCAAGGCAATCCATAGAAAAGGAGATCAAGAGATGCTATCCCAGGAGAGAGGGCTGATGAGACTTTTTAGCAAGACATCTGTTTGTATCATTGGAGTCTAAGTTACACTACTTAATGGCTGGATGATCATGGACAAGTTGCTTAACCTCTTTATGAATGGTTCTCACCAGCAAAATGGGGATAATAATAGTACCTGCTTCATAGAGTGGTTGAGAATGTTTCAAAGTCTCCATTTGAATGTTCAGATAGATACTTCAAATTAAACAGATCCAAACAGTTCAAATTAAACATGGTGATTCTGATTTCCTTCCCCAAACTATTCCTACCTTAACTTTCTCCATTTCAATAATTGGGAATTCCATTCTTCAAGTGGCTCAGCTCAAATACACGCATATATAAAAGGAAAGTTTCTTTATTCTTCCTTCACATCCCATATGCATTCGCAAAATTCGAACACCCCAATCTTGAAAAATATTCCCAGAATCCAGCCACTTCTCACCTTTAACCATTGGAAACCTTGTTTGAGTCACCGCAGTCTTTCACAGTGACTTTCTAATGGTCTCTTTGCTTCCACCTTTGGCCTTCTATGGTCACTTTTCAAAGCAGTGGCCAGCAGGATGCTTTGAAAGCAAATGAGCTCATGACACTTCTTTGTGCAAAACCCTCCAATGGCACTCCACTCACTCAGAGTAAGCGCAAACCATTACATTGGTCTACAAATTCTACACAATTTCTCCTCTCAGCCATCCTTCTAATCTCCCCTCCTATAAGCTCCTCAGGTCACAATGGTCTCCTTGCTGTCTCTTGAAAAAAGTCATGCATGTTGTTGGCTAGGGCCTGTCCTTGTGCTGTTGCCTCTACCTGAAAGTTACTTTTCCCCCAGATATCCACATACCTGCCTCTTCACCTCCTTCAAGGTTTTCCTCCAAAATCGTCTCTTAGGCAAGGCCTTCCCTAAATGCTTGATTTAAATTTCTAATCCCAAACCTCCACCAACCACATCCACAGACTTCCTATTCTTCTTCCCCATTTTTTTTTTTTTTTTTGGTAGTATAAAACCTTCATCGGGCCAGGCACCATGGTTCACGTCTGTAATCCCAGCACTTTTGGAGGCCAAGGCATGTGAATCACTTGAGGTTGGGAGTTCAAGACCAGCCTGGTCAACATGGTGAAACCCGGTCTCTACAAAAAATACAAAAATTAGCCAGGCGTGGTGCTGTGTAGTCCCAGCTACAGGGAGGCTGAGGCAGCAGAATCACTTGAACCCGGGAAGGCAGAGGTTGCAGTGAGCCGAGATTCCATCACTGCACTCTAGCCTGGGCAACAGAGAGAAAACCCTGTCTCAAAAAAATAAAAATAAAAGTAAAATTTAAACCTCATCAAGTTGTAATACGATTGATACTTACTGTTATTTATTTATTTATTTATTTATTTATTTATTTATTTGAGATGGAGTCTTGCTCTGTTGCCCAGGCTAGAGTGCAGTGGCGCAATCTCGGCTCTCTGCAACTGCCACCTCCCGAGTTCAAGCGATTCTCCTGCCTCAGCCTCCCTAGTAGCTGGGATTATAGATGCCCGCCACTGGGCCCAGATAATTTTTGTATTTTTAGTAGACACCGTGTTTCGCCATCTTGGCCAGGCTGGTCTCTAACTCCTAACCTCGTGATCCACCGTCCTCGGCCTCCCGAAGTGCTAGGATTACAGGTGTTAGTCACAGCACCAGGCCGATGCTTACTTTTTAAATCATTTGTTTCTGTCTACTAAAATATACGTTCCATGAAGACATAAATTTTGTCTATTTTGTTCACTGTTGCATTTCTCTCAACTTTGGTGCTATTCACATTGTGGGCAAGAGGAGTCTTTGTTGCCGGAGACTCTTCCGTGTGTTGTAGGATGTTTAGCAGCCACCCTGTCTTCTACCCACCAGATGCCAATAGCACCCTCCCAGTTAAAGTATGCTAAATAACTCCAAATATTGCCACATGTCCGCCAGGAAGCAAACTCTGTCCCTGTTCAGTATCACTGGTCTAAAACAAAGCCTAACACAAAGCAAATGCTTGGTAAGTATGTGTTGAATAAATAAATGAAAAGTAAATGTATTACTATGTCTAAAGCATATAGAACAGTGCTTGGCACATAGTAAGTACTCAAGAAATGTTAATTATGTCCATTAAGAGGAAAGTGTCGTTTTTGTTATTGTTGCTGTGTTGCTATCTACGTCTAGAATAAACCATAGAGACAACTGTTTTGTGGAGTCTTAGGATTTGATGCAAATTTCACTTTTTAAAAATATATTTGAATTATTTTAAAAACTGCCATACAAAACTCATAATTAGAAATGTTAACACATTGGATGCCACCAATTCATTAACTTGTGTTGCCACATTAACTTATTTTTGTGCAGACCTCAGAATACACCATCTTCTGCCATCTCTGTGCACACATTTTAAATGTGTTGCTGATCAGGAGGCTGTAGTTTGGCACCGGTATTTATTTTTATCCCTGTCTATGCCTGTTGGCTCATGTGAAACTGTTCAAGCAAGTATTCTATGGTAGAGTAGTATCAAACATACATTGATTTAATCTGCCCATATTCAACTATCCATGCTTGGCCAAAAAATAAAGAGAGAAAATCATAATTTTCATTGAACATGAGCCCCTAATGCAAGCCAATTACTTCATCTGGTGCTCAACTAAGGCAACAGCAATCTGTTCTACCCTGGAGGAACAATTGTCCATATTAGACTTAGCGTGAATTTGGGCTACTACACAAAACTAATATATCATATTTTATGGGCGATTTAGAATATTTTTTTGTGGGCAATTTTGATCATATATGTTTATAGTCCTTTATTATATATAATCTCAACATCCAAAAGTTATTTGAGAACAGCATTTGAAGCAACTCCTTTGATAGCAAATACTGTGAGGTTATTTACGGTCGTTGTTTTCCCTAAAACAATGAGATGTCATGAAACGCTGCCCCAGACCTCACTGAAGGTGTTAACTAGGAGAAAACACATGCATCTTATTAACTTTATAAAATACGACAATTCCGAGTTTCCAAACACATCTGACCACACAGTTTTAGAAGATGAATTATGGATTGGTAACTGGTTTTTAAATCCCTTTCTGGTTTTCGACCCTTACCCTTGAGTAAGAAGTTACTTAATAATGTTGCCAAACCACTATTCAGCACCCACTCAAAAAATGCTCCCTACCTGTATCCCTCATGTCAAAAGACTGACAGTGAATAGAAAATATATGTAGCATGTAATAATATATGGAGGTAGTTATAATGCTGAATATAAATTTGGGGTACTTATCTCACTTCATATTTACAATATCAAATAAAATTAGTTGTGATATAATCCGTATAAACTAATAAGCATGAAGAATGAATGTACTAAATACTGTGTTACTTTTTTTTGAGACAGAGTCTTAACTCTGTCGCCCAGGCAGGAATGCAGTGGCACGATCTTTGCTCACTACAACCTCCGCCTCCCAGGTCCAAGTGATTCTCCTGCCTCTGCCTCCTGAGTAGCTGGGACTACAGGTGCACCACCATGCTTGACTAAAATTTTTTTCATTTTGGTATTTTTTTTTTAGTAGAGACAGGGTTTTACCATGTTGGTCAGGCTGGTGTTGAACTCCTGGCCTCAAGTGATTGGCCAGCCTCAGGCTCCCAAAGTGCTGGGATTACAGGCATTAGCCACGGCGCCCAGCCCTAAGTGTTACTTTTATTATTATTATGATCATCATCATCATTGTCATGCCTGGTGGTTAATATTTGAAACCAAATATTACTCTTCTTCCATCACACTTCAGCAGTAGTTTATTTAAAAATAATCCTGGGATTATAAGGCAAAGTGTTAAAAGTTGTCACATGACCAGGCACAGTGTCTCATGCCGGTAATCCCAGCAGTTTAGGAGACCAAAGCAGAACAAAATATCCCACGCTCATGCACCAGAAGACTTAATATTGTTAAGATGACAATACTATCTAAATTAGTTTACAGATTCATCACAACCTCTATCAGAATCCCAGCTGACTTTTTAATAGAAATTGATGCTCATTCTAAAATTTACATGAATTTGCAAGGGATTTAGAATAGTCAAAATAATTTTGAAAAAGAAGAACAAAGTACAAGAGCTCACACTTCCCAATTTCAAAACTTATTATAAGGCAACAATAATCAAGACAGTGTGTGATACTACATTAAGGATAGCCATATAGATCAATGGAATAGAATTAAGAGTCCAGAAAGGCCGGGCACAGTGACTCACACCTGTAATCCCAGCACTTTGGGAGGCCGAGGCAAGTGGATCACAAGGTCAGGAGATCGAGACCATCCTGGCTAGCACAGTGAAACCCTGTCTCTACTAAAAAATACAAAAAATTAGCTGGGCGTGGTGGTGGGTGCCTATAGTCCCAGCTACTCAGGAGGCTGAGGTGAGAGAATGGTGTGAACCCAGGAGGCGGAGCTTGCAGTGAGCCAAAATCGCACCACTGCACTCCAGCCTGAAAAAAAAAAAAAAAGAGAGAGAAATAAAACCATGTGTTTATGTCCAACTGATTTTTGACAAGGCTGTCAAGACCATTTAAAGGGGAATGATCTTCAATGAATGGTACTGGGACAAGCAGATAGCTGCATGCAAGAGTGAAGCTGGACCTTACCTCACACCATATACAAAAATTAACTTGAAATACATCTAAGACCTAAAGGTAAGAATTAAAACTACAAAAGAAGAAAGCATAGGGTTAAATCTACATGACCTCAGATTTGGCAAAATATTCTTAGATATAAAACCAAAATCATAAGCAATAAAACAAAAATATATGAATTAGATTTCATAAAAATACAAACAACATTTGTGTTTCAAAGGATACCATCAAGAAAGTAAAACGACAACCCACAGAATGGGAGAAAATATTTGCAAATCATGAATCTAATAAAGGACTTGTATGCAAATATACAAAACAAACCTCTTAACAACTAAATAATAAAAAGGCGAATCACCTAATTTTTAAAATGGACAAAGGATCTGAACAGATATTTATTCAATGAAGATATACAAATGGCCAGTGAGTGCATTAAAAGATGCTCAATGTTATTAGTTATCAGGAAAAAGCAAATCAAAACCACAGTAAGGCCGAGCATGATGGCTCACACGTGTAATCCTAGCACTTTGGGAGGCCGAGGCAGGTGGATTGCCTGAGTTCAGGAGTTCGAGACCAGCCTGGGCAACATGGCAAAACCCTGTCTCTACTAAAAATACAAAAAAATTAGCCAGTCATGGTGGCGTGCATCTGTAGGCCCAGCTCGTCAGGAGGCTGAGGCATGAGAATCACTTGAATCCGGGAGGCAGAGGTTGCAGTGGGCAGAGATCAGGCCACTGCACTCCAGCCTTGGGGGACAAAGCAAGACTCCGTCTCAAAACAAAACAAACAAACAAACAAACAAACACAGCAAGACAGCACTTCACACTGCCAGGATGGCTGGGACCAAAAAGTCAAATAATAAAACGCGCTGGCAAAGAAGGCAGAGAAATCAGAATCATCATATACTAGTGATGGGAATGTAAAATAGTACGGACACTTTGCACAACAGTCTGGAAGTTTCTCAAATGGTTAAACATAGAGTTATCATATTAGGCCAGGCGTGGTGGCTCACACCTGTAATCCCAGCACTTTGAGAGGTTGAGGTGGGTGGATCGCTTGAGGTCAAGAGTTGGAGACCAGCCTGGCCAACGTGGTGAAACCCCATCTCTACTAAAAATTTAAAAATTAGCCAGGCATGGTGGCAGGCACCTGTAATCCCAGCTACTTGGGAGGCTGAGGCACTAGAATCGCTTGAACCCGGGAGGCAGAGGTTGCAGCGAGCCGAGATCATGCCACTGTACTCTAGCCTGGGTGAGAGAGTGAGACCCTGTTGGAAAAAAAAAAAAAAAAAACCAGCGTTACCACATGATTCAGCAATTTCACTCTAGGTATATAATCAAGAGAAATGAAGATATATGTCCACACAAAAAAAAGACACAAATATTTCCAGCCACATTATTCACAAGAGCCAAGAGATAGAAAACAATTTAAAAGTCTTTGAACCAGTGGATGAATAATCTGAAGAATGAATAAAAATTGTAGTATATCCATGCAATAAAATATTATTTGGCTATAAAAAAGAATACAGTACTGATACATACTACAATATAAATAAATCTTGAAAACATGATGCTAATTGAAAGATGCCAGTCACAAAATTCCACGTACTACATCATTCCATTTATATAGATGTTCAGAATAAGCAAAACTGTAGAGACAGAAACTAGGTTAGTGGTTGCTTAGGGCTGGGGGAATATGAGAGTCTGGGGATGGCGAAAGCTAGAGAATTTATGAAGTTTCTTTTTGAGGTGATGAAAATATCCTAAAGTTGACTGTAGCGATAAATGCTATAGAAGTAAATATACTAAAAAATCGTTGAATTGCACACACTAAATGGGTAAATTGTATTGTATGTGAATTACATATCCATAGAGGTGTTTTAAAAAATCAATGTAGTTCAGTATATTAACAAATATAAAAAAGCATAACCATGTGATCATCTCAATAGATGAAGAAAAAATATTGCTAAAATTCTTTTTTTTTTTTTCTTTTGAGACAAGATCTTGCTCTGTCACCCAGGATGAAGTGTGTTGGTGCAATCTTGGTTCAATGCAACCTCCACATCCCAGGCTCAAACAATCCTCCTGCCTCATCCTCTCAAGTAGCTGGGACTACAAGCATCTGCCACTATATCTGGCTAATTTTATTTTATTTTATTTTATTTTATTTTATTTTATTTTATTTATTTTTTTGGCGAGACGGGGTTTCTCCATGTTGCCCAGGCTAGACTCAAGCCATCTGCCTGCCTTGGCCTCCCAAAGTGCTGGGATTACACGTGTGAGCCACTGCTCCTGGCCCTCACGAAATAGTTTTTATGATTTAAAAAAAAAAAAAAAAAAGCTTTCAGCAAACTAGGAATAGAAGATAAATTCCTTGATTTCATAAAGGACATCTGAGAAAAACCTACAGTCAATATATGAAATGGTGAATGACTGAGTGATTTTCCCCTCAGATCAAGAAGAAGGGTAGGATGTCAGCTATTATATTTGAATATATCATTATACTAGAATTCCTAGCCAATAAAATATAGCAAGAAAAAGAAATAAAAAGCACACATAGTAGAAAGAAAGAAGTAAAAATCTCTTTATTTAAAGATAATCCTACAATTGCCTGTGTAAAAAAATTCTAAAGAAGCCTCAAAAACTTACTAGAACTAAGAAAAAAATGAGTTTAGAAAGGTCATAGGATACAAATACACAAAAGCCAATGACTTTCTTATGTACTCACAATGAACAATTGGACAATAAAATTTTTTTTTGTTTTTTGTTTTTTGTTTTTTTTTAGATGGAGTTTTGCTCTTGTTGCCCAGGCAGGAGTGCAGTGGCGCAATCTCGTCTTACTGCAACCTCCACCTCCCAGGTTCAGGTGATTCTCCTGCCTCAGCCTCCTTCTGGAGTAGCTGGGATTACAGGCATGTGCCAGCATCCCCAGCTAATTTTGTGTTTTTAGTGGAGACAGGGTTTCTCCATGTTGGTCAGGCTGGCCTTGAACTCCCGACCTCAGGTGATCTGCCCACCTCAGCTTCCCAAAGTGCAGGGATTACAGGCATGAGCCACTGCACCCGGCCTAAAAGTGGTTTTATTATTAAACTAAACTTAAGTTAAATTTTAAAAATCAAAATCAGAAGAAAATAATATCATTTAAACAAATACACTCTACGGCCCTAGTCATCAAAACAATGTGACATTGGCATAATGATAGAAATATAAATCAATGGAACAGAATAGAAAGTCCAGAAACAGATGGTAAATACAATATATTGTCAATTAATTTTTGACAAAAAATGCTAAGGAAATTAATGGAGGAAGGGCATTCTTTTCAATAAATGGTGCTGGAACAATTGGACATACATCCATGTGCTAAAATTGAATCTCTACTGCTATTTCATACCATATACAAATGTCAATGATAGATGGACAAATGCAAAACTTAAACTATAAAACTTCTAGATAAAAACCTAGGAGAGGCCAGGTGTGGTGGTTCATGCATGTAATCCTAACACTTTGGGAGGTGAAGGCAGGCAGATTACCTGAGGTCAGGAGTTTGAGATCAGCCTGGCCAACGTGGTGAAATGCCTTGAGACTCTGTCTCAAAAAAAAAGAAAGAAAAAAACTAGGAGAAAAATTTGTAAGATCTGTCTAAGCAAAGACTTCTTAATTAAGACACGTGAACCATAAAATAAAATTGATAGATTGAACTTAATCAAAATTTTTAAATTTCTGCTCTCTGAAAGATACTCTTAAAAGCATAAAAAGAAAAGCCACAAATTAGGTGACATATTTAGAAAATACATTTCTACTAAATAACGTGCATCCAGAATATATAAAGAACCATTATAACTTAACAACATAACAATCCTATTTTTAAAATGAGTGAAAGATTTGCATAGTCACTTCACCAAAGCTGAAATACAGAAGGTAAATAAATACATGAAAAGACACTCAATATGTTTATTCATTGGGGAATGCAAATTAATATGCCATGAGTTATTAGTACACATTTACCAGAATTGCTGAAATTAAAACAAAACAGAAAACACACAGTGCTGGTGAAGATGCAGAGCAACTGGAACTCTCATATATTGCCAGTAAGAATGCAAAATCATGCAGTCATTTAAGATAAGTTAGGCAGTTTCTTGTAGTTAAACATATGCTTGCCACAGGACCCAGGGATGGCACTTTTAGGTTGCAGCACTCCTGAAGGTAAGCCACTCAGATCTCTGTTGCAGGAACATAAATGACTTATAGTCCAGTGGCTGCTTCTCTAAACCCAATAAATAAATACAGTCACACCAATGGCACATTTCCTGTGGTCTGCTCCCAGCTCCTGCTCAGAACCCAGTGAACATATTAATCAAGCCCATTCCTGTAAGACAAAGCACTCCCCCAAATCTAAGTTTAGCTCAAAGACTCCCCATAGCCCTAGCCGAAGCTAGAGTAGAACGGCACCGATCTACATTTTTTTTTCCTGTTCAGTTTGTCTTCCCTCTTCTTATCCTTCACAGGGATCAGATTTGCATCATGAACGGAAACCTCTCCCTGCCTTCTCACTGTTCCCTCCACTTTTTATTTCATGAGCATTTCCCTAAATCTCTTGAATGTCTAACCCAGTCTTCGCTTCTACTTCTCAGAAAACTCAAAAACTATTTCATAAGCACTTACCCTCAAAATGTAAACTTGTCTACACAAAGCCCTGCATGCAAAAGTTAATGGAAGCTTTAAACATAATATCAAAACACTGGAAACAACCTGAATGTCCATGAGTTGGTAACTGTATAAACAAATTGGGGATCCATATTATGGAATACTACTCAGCAATGAAAAGAAACAAATGACTGATACCTGAAATAAAAAGGAATGACTCCCAAAAGCATCGGGAGATTCGTTTATATGATTCCATGTATTATTCCATTTATATGACACTCTGGTAAAGGAAAGCTATAGGTACAGAAATAAGGTCAATGATTGTCAGGGACTGAGAATAGGGACAATGTTGATTATAAAGGATCAGGAGAGATCTTTGTGGGGTGGGTGGAAATAATCCGTAACTTGATTGTGGTGTTAGTTACATGAATGTATATATTTTTTTTTGAAAGTCTTCAAACTTTATACCTAAAACAAGGGTGAATTTTATGATATATAAATTATACCTCAATAAAGTTGAATTTTAAAAAAGGAAAAAAGTAACTCTTTGGGAACAAAAAATCCAGGCAGAGTCCAAAATAGCAAAAATTAGTATAGAGCATAGTCCGATAACATCTAAAGAGCATTTTCAGACAATAAAGTCTAGACAGAGTGGTGAGTCTCACATTAGTTTGGGTACAGGCCCTACACAGAAGCATGAGTTCATCAAAGGCCACCTCATGGGCCTCTGTGTGCCTCGTGGGCCTGCCTTCAATTCTACCACCGTATTGGTTCTAGAAGAACACAAAATAAATCTGATTTCTGGTAGTTGTTGTTGTTATGGAGAAATATTTATCTTCCTCCTCCAGGGTGACTGCAAGAAATGCATGTATATGTAAAATGAGTCTTTTTTCACAGAATAAATGGAGCACCTTAATGTCCTCAAATAGCCTTTTTCCTTTGGAAATAATGTACTATTTCCCACATGGAAAGAGACATTTTAGTATAACAACAGAAGCATGAAAAGGAATTGAAATAAATTTCTTTTCTGAAAATAAAATAATACACAAACTTAAAGAATGTTGCTTCTGCTTCTCTTTCACCTCCAGGTCCCAAAATTTTATGAAAACTATGTCTCTTGTAGATCCCATTGTCATCATTTTAATCTGATTCCACTGTGCAATTGTTATGGATTGAATTGTGTGTCCTCCCCCAAATTCATATATTGAAGTCCCAACACCCAGTGCCTCAGAATGTGACTCAATTTGGAGATAGAGTTTTTAAAGGGTGTATTAGTGTAGTGTGCATTGCTATAAAGGAATACCTGAGGCTAGGTGATTTATTAAAAAAAGAGGTTTATTTGGCTCACAGTTCTGCAGCAATACAAGCATAGCAGCAGGGTCTGTGAGCTTCTGGTAAGGCCTTGGGAAACATTTACTCACTGGCAGAAGGCAAAGCGGGGAGTAGGCAAATCATATGGCAAGAGAGAAAGCAAGAGAAAGGAGAGGGAGACATCTAACTCCTAAATAACCATCTCTCACATGAACGAATAAAGCTAGAACTCACTAATCACTGCAGGGTGAGCACCAAGCCATTCATAAGGGATCCATCCCCATGACCCAAACACTCTCCATCAGGCCCCACCTCCAACACTGGGGGTCACATTTCAACATGAGATTTGGAAAGGACAAACATCCAAACTATATCAAAGTAATTAAGGTTAAATGCAGTCACTAGGGTAGTCCCTAGTCCAATATGACTAGGATCCTAATTAGAAGAGGAGATTAGGACACAGACATACACAGAGGGAAGACATGTCAAGAGAAGATGGCCAAGGGAGAGACCCTCCGAAAAAAACCAGCTCTGCAGACACCTTGACCTTGGTCCAGAATCATAAGGAAACAACTTTCTGTTGTTTAAGGCACCTAGTCTGTGGCATTTCATTATGGAAGCCCTAGCAGACTAATACAGTGACTTTTCCTGGAGTGTCACTCCAGGGAAATACAAGCAGAACTCTGGATTAGGAATCTATAATTTCTGTAAAGAAATTAGACATTTCTTTACAGAAAGAAATGTATAATTTTTTACCTTTTTTTACTTACTTTTTTTACAGAAAGTAAGAAATACAAGCAGAACTCTGGATTAGGAATCTATAATTTCTGGTTTGCTGGGGCCAGGCCAAGGCAAGAAACTCCAAATGTGCTTGTCCCAAAATGAGCCAGATACAACTCAGCCAAGCAGGACACCAATCTCAGGCTTCAAATCTATTTCAACAGCGCAAGTGCAGTTGTAGTGTGAGCCTTTCTGTGTGCCTTCTGGGTGGCATTTGTGCCTTGTAGGTGCCCATATTTGAAAATGAACAAAAACAGGTATTTCATTAGATATGTTTTTCAGCCTGAACAAATTCTATTCCTGAATCCAAAGCAGGCTTTGCTTCTTTGCTTATTTATTGCTACTCCAAGTGCTATAGGAAGCTAGCCTGCACAACAGAGTAATTTTAAGAAAGCATATATATATATATATATATATATATATATATATATATATATATATCAACAATAATTTAAGAATCCAAGACAGAAAGAGGAAGAGAAGGACAAGTGAGAATATTTATGTGCAATGCACACAGATTGAGTATGTTCTGTGTACCAGCCGTTGGGAATGCTACGAGACAGGCAAGAATCTGTCCCATCAAGGAGCACTCAGCATGGCGCTCCTGCATTCCCTAGGATGTCTCCTATGCAGCATAGTGGTTCACAGCAGGACTTTACAACCACAATGGCCTGGGTTTGCATTCTAGCTTTATCATGTATTACTCCTCTTTGTTTGTCAGTTTTTAATCTCTCTGGAGTCTGTTTTCTTACCTGTAAGATGGTAGTTTTATAATTGTTTAGAACGCATTTATTAATTATCATCATTCATGTTCAGAACAAACTGTTATCATTTGTGTAAGTTTTGGGCATGCCAAAGCACTTTCACGTACATTATTTTTAGTCCTAAAATGTCTCTGTGAAGTCAAGGGAGAGAATTATTACATCTGTTTCATTCATAAGGAAACTGAGTTTAAAGAAGTTAAATAACTTGACCGTGGTCACACGAAGAGAGTCTTAGACTCAATTCTGTCTCCTCTAACTCACAATTCCGAGCTCTTTCTCATCAGCACACTGCCTTCTCCCTCACTCAACATGATCTGGAGAACTTCTGATTGCTCTGGGCAAAGATTTATTTCAAAAATCATCTTCCCTCCTGCAAGTTAACATCAACGACCCATAAACCAGGCAGACTTCAACTATGCCAGACACATGCAAGTCTGCTAAATGCCTTTGCTAAGATGACTGATATAAGCAATGATGATCTTCACAAGAAATGCAAACACATCCCCTGGGGCTCCCTGCCTGGAATCCAGGTCACTTTAAGAACTCATTTAAATACAACTATGCTTTGAAAGGTAACTACTATTGGCATGCACAGAAGCACACTGTCAGAAAGCCGACCACTCCTTAAGCATTGGCTGCTGAAGGCAAGGGCCACTAACTGGCCTGTTTTTCATCACAGAATTCTCCCAGCATGGGATCTGAGTCATCTTAGGGTTGAGGGCCATTTGCCTGGGGTGTGCTCTCTGATGCAGAATTGTCTGGGCCTGGGCCTTGGGCTGTAGACAAGTGTTGCTCAGACTTTTTAAAAGGTAATCCTCAGTAAAAGAAAATAAAAAGCTATTTACATCATGATCCAGTTACAGGTGTATTTGAAAACAGTGGGTAGAGAAATCAGTTTAGTGGGAACAACCAGCAGTCTTAAGAATCGACTGGAATGGGGATAGGGTACGGTGGCTCATGCCTGTAATCCCAGCACTTTGGGAGGCCGAGGTGGGTGGATCATTTGAGGTCAGGAGTTTGAGAATGGCCTGAAACCCGGTCTTTGCTAAAACTACAAAAAAATCAGCTGGGCATGGTGGCCCATGCCTATAATATCAGCTACTCGGGAGGCTGAGGCACAAGAATCGCTTGATCCTGGGAGGCAGAGGTCACAGTGAGCTGAGATTGCGCCACTGCACTCCAACCTGGATGACAGAGCAAGACACGGTCTCAAAAAAAAAAAAAAAAAAAAAGAAAAAGAAAATAGAATAGAATAGAGAATAGAATATACAGTACATTCGATGTAGTAAGGATTAAGTATCTATCAATCACCTATCACCCTATTTATGAACTGGACACCATGTTCAATGTGTTTCTCACTGTGATGATAGTCGAAAAACTTTGAAAGACCCCTATTTAAAAGAAAGCCTGTGGAAGAGATTTGGAGTTGTTGGGGATTTGAAGAAAAAGCCAGAATAAGGTTTGGGAAGATGAGGGCATTCTGTGGCCTCCAGCTACCAACTGGGTTCTTTCAATGGCTCTTCAGCCACACCCTAAGGCCGCCCTCTTCCTTGCTTGGCACTCACTGCCATGTGACTTCTCCAGCCTGCTCATTGAAGCCTTCTTCCCTGCTGTCTTCTCCAGCCTCATGGCTCCCCGCTCCTATCCCATCTCATCCCAGGATTCAGTAACACCAAACTGTTTGCAATTTGAAGAACATTCCAAGCTCTCTCATCTTTACAGGCTTCTGCTGATGTGCTTTCTCTACCTAGAATTCCTGTTCTCATTGTGTCTTTGCCTGGGTGACTCCCATTCATACCTCCAATTATTCAGTTAAATTGCCACATTCTCCAGGAAGCTTTCATGTGTCACTCAGTGTTCATCCATTCATTTACTTGTTCATTCATTCAGCATTTAACAAATATTCACAAAACAGAGACCTTGGTACTTGAGATATCATGGTCAACAGGATAGAAGATTCTGCCCTCCTGCTCATCTAATGGGCAGACAGATAAATAAACAACCAAATATATAATATAATATCACTGAAAAAAAAATAAAGCACAGTAAGGGAAAGATCAGATAGCAAAGAAAGGCTTCACTCAAGGGGGAATTTTGAGCAGAAAACTGAATTAAGGTTGGGCATGGTGGCTCACACCTAGTTCCTCTCATGTTAAAGTAATCCCAGTACTTTGGGAGGCTGATGCGGGCAGATCACTTGAGGTCAGGAGTTCGAGATCAGCCTGGCCAACATCATGAAACCCTGTCTCTACTAAAAATACAAATATTAAGCAGGTGTGGTGGCAGGTGCCTGTAATCCCAGTACTCACAGGGCTAAGGCAGGAGAACCACTGGAACCTGGGAGGCAGAGGCTGCAGTGAGCCCAGATCACACCACTGCACTCCAGCCTGGGTGACAGAGCAAGGCTCCATCTCGAGAAAAAGCAAAACCAAAAGCAAAAAAAAAACCTAAATTAAGCTTCAGAGCAAGCCATGACTATGTTTGAGGAAGTGTTTCAGACTTAGGGAATGCAGGTACAAAGGCCTAGAAGCAGGAACAGGGTTGACATTCCCAAGTTTCATTTGTTATTCTTCCTACAGGTTCCTGAGCACCCTCTGTATACCTTTATTACACTACATTGTATTTTTTTCTTTGTTTCTTTTTCTACTTAAGTATGAGCTTTTTGGTAGCATCTAGTAACTAACCAAATGTAGTTCCCTCTACATAATCTAAGTGTGTGAAGAAAGAAATAAATCAATGATTAAGAAAGTAATTGTCCAAATTAATAAATGAAGGAAGTAATTTCCTTCCGTTTTTGGAAGAAAGACACAGAGAGAGGCCTAGCTGTCTGTGGACATGTTCGAGCAACAGGAAGACTTTGAGCAACAAACACTAGAGGGAAACTCTGGAAAGAAAAAAAAGAAACACACTTTCCCTAAAACTAACGCAGTTGGTATAAGTAAAACCAAAAGAAGAGATGAGCAGATTGGTTAATTCTATGAAAAATATATGCCCCTGTAGGCTGATCCATCCAAACTCATTAGTTTGAAAAGTAAGTTGCCTTTCAAAATATACTTGTATTAAATCAGTATTTAGAAATTCTCTTGGTTCCTCAAATAGTCTTGTGGAGAGATATTATGCCCATAAACATGTTTTCAACTGTCTAGGAAATGAGTCCTAGCATATTAGCATTAGAAGGAGAAATAAACTGCTCCAAAATTCTCATCTTATGATATAGATAGAGAGGCAGAGCAGTTGCTTGCCCAGGATGTGCCCAGGCCTGTTTCCTCTCATGTCAAGGTCTTTGCAACCCATATTACTGCCTTTAGTTTGCTCATTGAATAGGATTTCTCATCTTCAATTTTGTGAGAGAACATTTTTTCCAATTATAGGATTGGGATTTATGAAGACAGTTGAAAAGTGTTGGATTCTATTGGCCTTCTCCCAGACTCCAAGATGTGGGAGGAAATTCTAACACAATCACATCAAATTAAGCGTCAGATGAAAAGAGCTCGCAGGAATCTTAACTCCAAAGACCCATTTCTTTTTTTTGTTTGTTTGAGACTCGAGTCTCGCTCTGTCACCCAGGCCGGAGTGCAGTGGCGCGATCTCGGCTCACTGCAAGCTCCGCCTCCTGGATTCACGCCATTCTCCTGCCTCAGCACCCCCGACTAGCTGGGACAACAGGCGCCCGCCACCACGCCCGGCTAATTTTTTTTGTATCTTTAGTAGAGACGGGGTTTGCACCGTGTTAGCCAGGATGGTCTCGATCTTCTGACCTCGTGATCCACCCGCCTCAGCCTCCCAAAGTGCTTGGATTACAGGCGTGAGCCACCGCACCCGGCCTCCAAAGACCCTTTTCTATCTTGCTCTGTTTCTCTTTGAATTCCTGCACTTCAAATAAATCTTATTGGGAACTGATTTCAGAAATATCCGTTTTTCTCAGCACAGTTTATATTGGGAGATGGGAGTTCCCTCCCAGATCATGACAAAGCCTTAAAATGTGCTCAGGGAGGGTAATATGGCTTAAAAAGCTCTTAGCCTTTTACAATTCTTAACCAGTATTAAAGAGATAGAGTATTGTATGTTTTTATTCATTTAATATTGTATAATAATTTTAGCTTTTTGTTTCAAAGATAATACAGAGAGTTCCCTTATACCCTTCGCCCAGTTTCCCCTGTTGTTTACATCTTACATTACCATGGTATACTTGTCACAGCTAAACAACCAAGATTGCTAATTATTATTTATTAAACTCCATACTTTATTTGGATTTCACTAATTTTCCTCCAGTGTCCTTTTATGTTGTTGTTCTTCTAGGATCACATGCAGACAACTACATTGCATTTAGCCATCAGGTCTCCTTAGCCTCCTCTAGGCTGTGACAATTTCCTAAAGCTTTGTTTTTGATGACCTTGATAATTTTGAGGGCTACTGGTCAGAGTTCATATACTGTCTTTCAATTAGGGTTTGTCTCATATCTTTCTCACAGCTAGACTGGAGTTATTCATTGTTTTGGGAGAAGACCACAGAGTTGAAGTGCCATTATCATCACATCATATGAAGGGTACAACATGGCCAGGCATGGTGGCTCATGCCTGTAATCCTAGCGCTTTGGGAGGCGGAGATGGGCGGATCACCTGAGGTCAGGAGTTCGAGACCAGGCCGGCCAACATGGCAAAACCCCATCTCTACTAAAAATAAAAAAATCAGCTGGGTGTGGTGGCGTGTGCCTGTAATCCCAGCTACTCAGGAGGCTGAGGCAGGAGAATCACTTGAACTCAGGAGGTGAAGGCTGAAGTGAGTTGAGAGTGCATCACTGCATTCCAGCCTAAGCGACAGAGTAAGACTGCATCTCAAAAAAAAAAAAAAAAAATGGGTACAACATGCCTTGTCACTCATGATGTTAACTTTGATCACCTGGTTGAGACAGTGTTTGCCAGGTTTCTCCAGTGGTAAGGTAGTTCTTTTTCCCTTCCTATGCTCAATTCTTTGGAAGTGAGTCACTAAGTAACTAAATAAAGCCTGCACTCAAGCGATGGGGTATGCATATGTGTGTATACATGTGTATATACATACATATATATATATACACACACACACCTGCATGCATGTATATATTTGTATATATATGTGTGTATGTGTATATACATACATGCATGCATGTATATATTTGTGTATATATATACACATTTGTGCGTACACACGTGTGTGTGTACACACAAATATATACATGCATGCATGTATATATATATACACATACACAAACACACAATCCCTGAGTATGAACTGTGCTTAGTGACTCACTTCCAAAGAATTGAGTATGATTATATATGAGTCAGTGACCTGAAACTGAACTTAAGAGAACTGGACTAAGTCAGAATTGACACATTTTTTAACCATGTCACTTCATTTGCCAATACTCATCACACTATACTTTTCAGGAGTACAAAGGACATGCAGATTGCAAAATATAACACATTTTTCTTCCCTTTATTTTTTTTCATGCTGCCGTGACTTGCCTCATCTCCACTCATCCGTCAATCCATCAAAATTGTTTTTCTTTCTTTAATAAAGATGGCATCTTGCTATGTTGCCCAGAGCTGGTTTTGAACTCCTGGGCTTAAGCACTCCTCCCACCTTAGCCTCCCAAAGTGCTGGGATTACAGGCGTAAGCTACCATGCCCAGCCAGTATTCAGTTCTGACTACTTCTCCTGAGACCCTTGTTACTTATTTAGGCAGGGTAGAGTATTCTTAATCTTGGCTCAACGGCATCCAGTTCATACCATTTGCATGCTGTTTCATATGTGTTTATTGTCTACCACACCTTTCTGGTTTGTGAGTTTCTTTTTTTTGTTTATTTTTTGTTTTGTTTTTGTTTTTGTGAGACAGAGTCTCACTCTGTCACCCAGGCTGGAGTGCAGTTGCGTGATCTCCACTCACTGCAACCTCCATCTCCTGTGTTCAAGCGATTCTCTTGCCTTAGCCTCCCGAGTAACTGGGATTACAGGCGTGCACCAATAGGCCCAGCTAATTTTCGTATTTTTAGTAGAGATGGGGTTTCTCCATGTTGGCCACATTGGTTTGCAACTCCTGACCTCAAGTGATCCTGCTGCCTCGGCCTCCCAAAGTGCTAGGATTACAGGTGTGAGCCACCACACCTGGCTAACTTCTTTAAGAAGATGACTATATATTATATATTTTTATCCCTAGGATCTAGAACACAGAAGAAAATTAATAAATGCTCATTGAATAGATGATTGAATGAATTTGTGCCTCATGACACTCAAAAAGATCTTATCTTCATTTTAAAAATGGAGAGACTGAGGTTTGAAGGTATTTGATAACTTTTCTAAAGCCACACAGCTAGAAACAACAAGAGAGCCAGGACTCAGTCCTGGGTTTCCTGACTATGTCCCTCATGTCAATTTAGGTGCTGATATTCTAGGAATCTGAAACCACAAGAGTCCATCTGCTAACTACTGATGTGTGAAAATCCCTTAGTAATTACACCTTCTTAGGTATCATGCTGTGTTACTTCTTTCCCTTGGGTCATTTGCTCCCATTTGTGTGTCAACACCCTGTGTTCTGATTTAATAATGTACTTGGTATTGAAACTTAATTATGAGTCAAAATTCATCAGGTACAGTGGCTCACACCTGTCATCCTAGCACTTTGGGCGGCCGAGGTGGGTGGATCACTTGAGGCCAGGAGTTCAAGACCAACGTGGCCAACATGGTGAAACCCCATCTCTACTAAAAATACAAAAATTAACTGGGCGTGGTGGTGCACACCTGTAATCCCAGCTACTCAGGAGGCTGAGGCACAAGAATCACTTGAACCTGGGAGGCAGAGTTTGCAGTGAGCTGAGATTGCACCACTGCACTCCAACCTGGGCATCAGAGCAAGAGTCTGTGTCAGAAAAAAAAAAAAAGTAAATAAAAAATAAAAAGGATTCAAAAGTATAAACTATGATACAGGGTCTCAAGGGACTCCAAAGGCTTGCCTCTTTAAAGGAAAGTTTGCTTTAGAGTGTTCTTGATGTTGGGAGACAAAACGTGATCATCTACATTCTTTGCACTCTCTGCTCCTAATTTTAGAGAAGCAATTGTTAGTTCTAAATTGGATGTAACCGAGGGTCCTAGTTCATAAGAATTATCAAATTTTGGGCTCTTCCCTTGTTTTATAGAGGATGACACAGAACTTCAGGAAGGTTAATCACCACTGATGGTCACCCATCCCAATGGGGATGAGTGCCATGTCCTGAATCTCCTCTCAGCATCCTCCAACTGTCTCTCAGCCTCTACTAGAGTTGGCTGAATTCCAGAATACTATGTAAGTATATGAATTTGTCAAGGGATATAATGAAATCTTGGAGTTCCTAAAAAAAGAATGAAGGAAATATGGACCATAAATATAGCTCTTCTCTCATCTCTTCTTTGTCCTCATTTTGCTTCTTACTTTTCCTCCTCTTCCTTCTACTTGAGCAAGTGGGTTACAGTAAGAAAGAAAGATGTGGGCAGAGTTCCAGACCAATTATAACATCTAAACTTCACCCATAGCTAAAGAAACATATGCCGGATTTTCTAGACCAGTTCTAATTTCAGGGATTCTGTTCATTCTCCCTTAAGAAATTTTTACAATGCTAAATTCAAAATGGGAACCTCACCACTGAAGGAAAAAGTAGATAGTACTTCTGGCTATGCCAGAAAAGGTTCAGCTAAATGGCAACGTAGCTGGAGTTTTCCTTCTTGGAATTCTGTATTTTTTGTTTCGTTTTGTTTTCTCATTCATAGTCCCAGGCAATCAATCTCACTGTTAACACTCCATGTCCAACAGTAGTCATAAAACTACTACACTCCCACACTCTGCTTTCTTTTGTGTGTGTGTGGTTAAACTCCAAGCTAAGAATGGTTTTTGCATCTTTAAATGGTTGAAGATAAATAAAAAGAATGATGGTATTTTTGTGACATGTGAAAACTATAATATATATGAAATTCAAATTTCAGTGTTTATAAATAAAAGTTTGGATTTTGTTCAAAAATTGGTAGAAATTGGTTTTCTCTTTTTTTATGTAAGAACCTATATTGTATCCTCAATTTTGTATTTTGGTCCACAAAGCCTAAAATATTTACTGTCTGGCTTTTTACATGAAAAGGTTACCTCCCCTGTTACAGAGACAGATTTTAATGTCGTGGTTCAAAGCTCAGATCTTAGAATTGAGCAGTCTTGGGTGGGAAGCCCAGTGGTAGTACTTAGTAAATGGGTGTCTTTGAACAAGTTTCATACCCCTCACAAGTTTGCTTATCTAAGTGGGGAAATAGTGCACCTGCTTTGTGAGAACATTATGAGGATTAAATGGTATAACTCATGTCAGGCCTTACATGTCCCTGACACATAGTAAACAGTAAGTGTGAGCTATTATCCGTGCCTGCATTAGCACTCCTGTGATCTCTGTCATTATTAATAGAGCTTTTTTTTTTTTTTTTGAGACAGGGTCTCACTCTGTTGCCCAGGCTGGAGTGCAGTGGCACAATGATGGCTCACTGCAGCCTTGATCCTCCCGCTTTAGCTTCCCCAGTAGCTGGGACTACAGGCATATACAACCATGCCTGGTTAATGTTTTAATTTTTTGTAAAGACAGGGTCTCCCTATGTTGCCTTGGCTGGTCTTAAACTCCTGGGCTCAAGCAATCCTCTCAGTCTCAGCCTCCCAAAGTGCTGGGTTTAAAAGCATGAGCCAGCCAGGCACAGTGGCTCACGCCTGTAATCCCAACCCTTTGAGATGCCAATGTGGGTGGATCACCTGAGGTCAGGAGTTCAAGACCAGCCTGACGAACATGGTGAAACTCCATCTCTACTAAAAATACAAAAATTAGCTATGCCTGGTGTCGAGAACGTGTAATCCCAGCTACTCAGGAGGGTGAAACAGGAGAATCACTTGAACCCGGGAGGTGGAAGTTGCAGTGAGCCAAGATCATGCCCATTGCACTCCAGCCTGGGTGACAAGAGTGAAACTCCATCAAAAAAAAAAAAAAAGGGGGGGGGGTTGGAGGGATTACTGGCAAGATGGTCAAATAGAAACAGCCTCAGTCTGCAGCTCCCAGCAAGATAGATGCAGAAGGCTGGTGATTTCTGCATTTCCAACTGAGCCTCTGCTGGTGATACCCAGGCAAACAGGGTTGGGAGTGGACCTCCAGCAAACTCCAGCAGACCAGCAGCAGAGGGGCCTGACTGTCAGAAGGAAAACTAACAAACAGAAAGGAATAGCACATCCCCTAAAAGACCCCATCTGAAGGTCACCAACATCAAAGACCAAAGGTAGATAAATCCACAAAGATGGGGAGAAACCAGCGCAAAAAGGCTGAAAATTCCAAAAACCAGAATGCCTCTTCTCCTCCAAAGGATCACAACACCTCGCCAGCAAGGGAACAAAACTGAACGGAGAATGAGTTTGACAAATTGACAGAAGTAGTCTTCAGAAGGTGGGTAATAACAAACTCCTCTGAGCTAAAGCAGCATGTTCTAACCCAAAGCAAGGAAGCTAAGAACCTTGAAAAAAGTTAGATGAATTGCTAACTAGAATAACCAGTGTAGAGAAGAACATAAATGACCTGATGGAGCTGAAAAACACAGCACGAGAACTTCATGAAGCTTACACAAGTTTCAACAGCCAAATCGATCAAGTGGAAAAAAGTATATCAGTGATTGAAGATCAACTTAATGAAATAAAGAGACAAGACAAGATTAGAAAAAAAAAAAATAAAAAGGAATAAACAAAGCCTCCAAGAAATATGGAACTATGTGAAAAGACCAAATCTACGTTGGATTTGTGTACCTGAAAGTGACAGGGAGAATGGAACCAAGTTGGAAAACACTCTTCAGGATATTATCCAGGAGAACTTCCCCAACCTAGCAAGACAGGCCAATATTCAAATTCGGGAAATACAAAGAACACCACAAAGATACTTCTCGAGAAGAGCAACCCGAAGACACATAATAGTCAGATTCACCAAGGTTGAAATGAAGGAAAAAAATGTTAAGGGCAGCCAGAGAGAAAGGTCAGGTTACCCACAAAGGGAAGCCCATCAGACTAACAGCAAACCTCTCTGCAGAAACCCTATAAGCCAGAAGAAAGTGGGGGCCAATATTCAACATTCTTAAAGAAAAGAATTTTCAACCCAGAATCTCATATCCAGCCAAACTAAGCTTCATAAGTGAAGGAGAAACAAAAATCCTTTACAGATAAGCAAATGCTGAGAGATTTTGTCACCACCAGGCCCGCCTTACAAGAGCTCCTGAAGGAAGCACTAAATATGGAAAGGAACAACTGGTACCAGCCACTGCAAAAACTTACCAAATTGTAAAGAACATCGACACTATGAAGAAACTGCATCAACTAACAGGCAAAACAACCAGCTAGCATAATAATGACAGGATTAAATTCACACATAACAATATTAACCTTAAATGTAAATGGGCTAAATTCCCCAGTTAAAAGACACAGACTGGCAAATTGGATAAAGAATCAAGACCCACCAATGTGCTGTATTCAGGAGACCCATCTCATGTGCAATGACACACATAGGCTCAAAATAAAGGGAAGGAGGACTATTTACCAAGCAAATGGAAAGCAAAAAAAAGCAGGAGTTGCAATCCTAATCTCTGATAAAACAGACTTTAAACCGACAAAGATCAAAAGAGACAATGAAGGGCAAAAGAGACAAAGATTCATTTACATATGGTAAAGAAATCAATGCAACAAGAAGAGCTAACCATCCTAAATATATATGCACCCAATACAGGAGCACCCAGCTTCATAAAGAAAGATCTTAGAGACCTACAAAGAGAATTAGACTCCCACACAATAATACTGGGAGACTTTAACACCTCACTGTCAATATTAGACAGATCAATGAGGCAGAAAATTAACAAAGATATTCAGCACTTGAACTCAGCTCTGGACCAAGCAGACCTAATAGACATCTACAGAACTCTCCACCCCAAATCAACAGAATATACATTCTTCTCAGCACCACATCGCACTTATTCTAAAATTGACCACATAATTGGAAGTAAAACACTCCTCAGCAAATGCAAAAGAATGGAAATCATAACAAACAGTCTCTCAGACCACAGTGCAATCAAATTAGAACTCAGGATTAAGAAATTCACTCAAAACTGCACAACAACATGGAAACAGAACAACCTACTCCTAAATGACTACTGGGTAAATAATGAAATGAAGGCAGAAATAAAGATGTTCTTTGAAACCAATGAGAACGAGGACACAATGTACCAGAATCTCTGGGACATATTTAAAGCAGTGTGTAGAGGAAAATTTATAGTACTAAATGCCCACAAGAGAAAGCAGGAAAGATCTAAAATTGATAACCTAACATCAAAATTAAAAGAACTAGAGAAGCATCAGCAAACAAATTCAAAATCTAGCAGAAGACAAGAAATAACTAAGATCAGAGCAGAACTGAAGGAGATAAAGACACGAAAAACCCTTCAAAAAATCAATGAATCCAGGAGCTGGTTTTTTGAAAAGATCAACAAAATAGACTGCTAGCCAGACTAATAAAGAAGAAAAGAGAAGAATCAAATGGATACAATAAAAAATGATATAGGGGATATCACCATTAATCCAACAAACACAAATTACCATCAGAGAATACTATAAACACCTCTACACAAATAAACTAGAAAATCTAGAAGAAATGGATAAATTCCTGGACACATACACCCTCCCAAGTCTAAACCAGGAAGAAGTCAAATCTCTGAATAAACCAATAACAAGTTCTAAAATTGAGGCAGTAATTAATAGCCTACCAACCAAAAAAAGTCCAGGACCAGACAGATTCACAGCCAAATTCTACCAGAGTTACAAAGAGGAGCTGGTACCATTTCTTTTGAAACTATTCCACATAATAGAAGAGAGAGAATCCTCCCTAACTCATTTTATGAGGCCAGCATCATCCTGATACCAAAATCTGGCAGAGACACAACAACAACAACAACAAAATTTCAGGCCAATATCTCTGATGAACTTTGATGCGAAACTCCTCAACAAAATACTGGCAAACCGAATCCAGCAGCACATCAAAATCTTATCCACCATGATCAAGCTGGCTTCATCCCTAGGATGCAAGGCTGTTTCAACATACACAAATCAATGAACATAATCCATCACATAAACAGAACCAATCACAAAAACCACATGATTATCTCAATAGATGCAGAAAAGGCCTTAAAACAAAATTCAACACCCCTTTATGCTAAAATCTCTTAAAAAACTGGGTATCAATGGAATGTATCTCAAAATAATAAGAGCTATTTATGACAAACCCACAGCCAATATCATACTGCATCGGCAAAAACTGGAAGCATTCCCTTTGAAAACCGGCACAAGACTAGGATGCCCTCTCTCACCATTCCTATTCAATATAGTATTGGAAGTTCTGGCCAGGACAATCAGGCAAGAGAAAGAAATAAAGGTATTCAAATAGGAAGAGAGGAAGTCAAATTGTCTCTGTTTGCAGATGACATGATTATATATCTAGAAAACCCCATCATCTCAGCCCAGAATCTCCTTAAGCTGATAAGCAACTTCAGCAAAGTCTCAGGATATAAAATCAATGTGCAAAAATCACAAGCATTCCTATACACCAATAACAGAGAGCCAAATCTTGAGTGAACTCCCATTCACAATTGCTACAAAGAGAATAAAATACCTAGGAATACAACTTACAAGGTATGTGAAAAACCTCTCCAAGGAGAAATACAAACCATTGCTCAAGGAAGTAAGAGAGGACATAAACAAATGGAAAAACATTCCATGCTTATGGATAGGAAGAATCAATATCATGAAAATGGCCGCACTGCCTGAAGTAATTTATAGGTTCAATGCCATCCCCATCAAGCTACCACTGGCTTTCTTCACAGAATTGGAAAAAACTATTTTAAACTTCATATGGAACCAAGAAAAAGCCCGCATAGCCAAGACAATCCTGGGCAAGAAGAATAAAGCTGGAGGCATCATGCTACCTGACTTCAAACTGTACTACAAGGCTACAGTAACCAAAACAACATGGTACGGGGTACCAAAACAGATATATAGACCAATGGAACAGAACAGAGCCCTCAGAAATAACACCACACATCTACAACCATCTATCTGATCTTTGACAAACCTGACACAAACAAGCAATGGGGAAATGATTCCCTATTTAATAAATGCTGTTGGGAAAACTGGCTAGCCATATGCAGAAAACTGAAACTGGACCCCTTCCTCACACGTTATACAAAAATCAACTCAAGATGGATCAAAGACTTAAACGTAAGACCTAGAACCATAAAAATCCTAGAAGAAAACCTGGGCAACACCATTCAGGAAGTAGGAATGGGCAAAGACTTCTTGTCTAAAACACCAAAAGCAATGGCAACAAAAGCCAAAATTGACAAATGGGATCTAACTAAATCAAAGAGCTTATGTACAGCAAAAGAAACTATCATCAGAGTGAACAGGCAACCTACAGAATGGGAGAAAATTTTTGCAATCTATCCACCTGACATAGGGCTAATATCCAGAATCTACAAAGAACTTAAACAAATTTACAAGAAAAAAACAACCTCATTGAAAAGAGGGCAAAGGATATGAAGAGACACTTCTCAAAAGAAGACATTTGTGCAGCCAACAAACATGAAAAAATGCTCATCGTCACTGGTCATTGGAGAAATGCAAATCAAAACAACAATGAGATACCATCTTATGCCAGTTAGAATGGCGATCATTAAAAAGTCAGGAAACAACAGATGCTGGTGAGGCTGTGGAGAAATAGGAACGCTTTTACACCGTTCGTGGGAATGTAAATTATTTCAACCCTTGTGGAAGACAGTGTGGCGATTCCTCAAAGATCTAGAACTAGAAATACCACTTGATCCAGCAATCCCATTACTGGGTATATAACCAAAGGATTATAAATCATTCTACTATATATAAAGGATTATAAATCATTCTACTGTAAAGACACATGCACACGTATGTTTATTGTGGCACTATTCACAATAGCAAAGACTTGTAACCAATCCAAATGTCCATTAATAATAGAATGGATAAAGAAAACCTGGCTCATGTACACTATGGAATACTATCCAGCCAGAAAAAAGGATGAGTTCACGTCCTTTGCAGGGACATGGATGAAGCTGGAAACCATCATTCTCAGCAAACTATCACAAAAACAGAAAACCACACACTGCATGTTCTCATTCATAACTGGGAATTGAACAGTGAGAACACATGGACATAGGGAGGGGACCATCACACACCGGGGCCTGTTGTGGGGTGGGGAACTAGGGGAGGGATAACATTAGGAGAAATACTTAATGTAGGTGATGGGTTGATGGGTGCAGCAAACCACCATGGCACGTGTATACCTAAGTAACAAAACTGCACATTCTGCACATGTACCCCAGAACTTAAATTAAAAAAAAAAAGCAAGCATGAGCCACCACACCTGGCCCAATAGAGCAATTATTTTGAAGCTCAGTTCTGAAACTCCCAAATCTTTCTTAAGCAAGCCCGCTGCAGAAACTGGTTACTAGGAGAAGGCTAATAATAGGAAAGTGCACAAAATTCCCCTCCTCTCCCCTAGCATCCTCAAAGAAGCTCTGGTAACAGGGAAGCTGCATGTAGGATCTAATGAAGTTATGCACATTGTGGTGTCCATAAGGCTTAGCCCTCATGGAGAAGTCTTCAGATGTTGAAATAAGTATATAATGGAAATGAGAAATTGGTCAGTGATCACAGAAAATGAATATATATCTCTCACATTTTTGCATACAAAGCAGTCTTCCCTTAATTCTTGCCATTTCTAGCTCAGATACTTCTCAAATTCCTATTTGGGATTCTTCAGCAAACCTGCCTCTGTCTCCTCTGGCCAATGCACATTTAAATTACAAACACACATACTTTAAGTTGTCTTTGAGAAAGCTATCTACATAAAAACAGCATTACTTCATTTTGTTTTAAAATTTTTATTTTTGGCTGGGCTGCTCATACCTATAGTCCCAACACTTTGGGAGGCTGAGGTGGGAGAATCGCTTGGGGCCAGGAGTTAGAAACTACCCCGTGCAACATAGCAAGAACCTATCTCTAAAAAAAATTAAAATTAAAAAAATTGGCTGGGCGTAGTGATGTGCACCTGCAGTCCCAGCTACTCAGAAGGCTGAGGCAAGAGGATCGCTTGAGCTGGGGAGTTCAGGTTGCAGTAAGCTGTGATCACACCACTGCACTCCAGCCTGGGTGACAGAGCAAGACTCTGTCTCAAAAACAAAACAAAACAAAACAAAAAAAAAACCCTTTATTTCTCTGATTATAAGTTAGCCTTTTTCCTTACCTACATGGTTTTGTAAAATGCTGTAAATGACTAAAGAGTGCCAGGAAAGGCCCCTTCCCCTTAACTGTTGATCTTCATTATAGATGAACTTCCCTCTTTCTCTCTCACACAATGACATCACCACCTAAGGTGGGATGTTAAACACACTCCTTTAAATTGGAGAGGAAATGAAAACAAGCTGTATGGAAAAACAAACTAACTAACTGTAACTAACTGTTGTAACTCATAAACCAGGCTTGTATAGAAAATGTTATAATCCTACTACACTTCTTTGTTTTCTGCCTATATAGCATAACTTTTATTTTTTTTTTTTTGAGACGAAGTCTCACTCTTGTCCCCGAGGCTGGAGTGCAATGGTGCGATCTCGGCTCACTGCAACCTCTGCCTCCCGGGTTCAAGCAATTCTCCTGCCTCAGTCTCCCGAGTAGCTGGGATTACAGGCTCCTGCCACCACACCTGGCTAATTTTTGTATTTGTAGTAGAGGTGGCCAGGCTGGTCTCAAACTCCTGACCTCAGGTGATCTGGCCGCCTCGGCCTCCCAAAGTGCTAGAATTACAGGCATGAGCCACCACGCCCAGCCTGTAGCATAACTTTTAACGTTGGAGCACTGACCTCATTTTTCTGGAGTCTGTGTTTCCCAAATGGCTATTCCCAGCTTTTTGCTTGAATAAACTGTTTTTTTTTGTTTTGTTTTGAGACAGGGTCTCACTCTGTCGCCCAGGCTGGAGTGCAGTGGTTGGGATCTCAGCCCACTGCACCCTCCGCCTACCAGGCTCAAGCAATTCTCATGCCTCAGCCTCCCAAGTAGCTGAGACTACAGGCACACACCACCATGCCAGGCTAATTTTTGTATTTTTAATAGAGATGGGATTTCACCATGTTGCCCAGGTTGGTCTTCAACTCTTGGCCTCAAGCAATCCACCCACCTCTGCCTTCCAAAGTGCTGGGATTACAGGAGTGAGCCACTGTGTCCAGCCTTTGAATAAACTCTTAAAAGCTGGATTCTTTCAGATTGACAGTTGGGTGGCCTTGTGCAGTGACAACCTAAAACACTATACATGGTAGCCCTGGCCATATGTATACATGTTCTCCACTTCCATCCTGGAGTCCTGGCCCATGAATCACAAAATGCCAGCTGTGGACCCTTGGGACCATCATTCCACCTGTCTATCTCCACTGCCGTCTGAGTTTGGGACTACTCTAAAGATATGATAGTTGGGCCAGGCGCTGTGGCTCACGCCTCTAATCCCAACACTTTGGGAGGCTGAGGCAGGTGGATCACCTGAGGTCAGGACCAGGCTGGTCTGAGACCAGCCTGGCCAACATGGTGAAACCCCATCTCTGTTAAAAATACAAAGAAAAAAATTAGCCAGGCATGGTGGCGCACACCTGTAATCCCAGCTACTTGGGAGGCTGAGGCAGGAGAATTGCTTGAACCCAGGAGGCAGAGGTTGCAGTGAGCCGAGATCCCATCATTGCACTCCAGCCTGGGTGACAACAGCAAGACTCTGTTTCAAAATAAATAAATAAATAAATACAGATATGATAGTTGTTACACCTGTAATCCCAGC
Source organism: Homo sapiens (assembly GCF_000001405.40). NCBI lineage: Eukaryota > Metazoa > Chordata > Mammalia > Primates > Hominidae > Homo > Homo sapiens. The sequence continues at coordinate 126,465,912 of NC_000008.11, forward strand.
ACTCTGTGAGTCCTAGGTGGGAGGATCACTGAAGGTCAGGAGTTTAAGACCGGCCTTAGCAGCATAGCAAGACTCTGTCTCTATAAAAAATTTTTTGAAAAAAAGTTCTGTAAGATATGATAGTTGTATTAACGCCAAGAGGCTGATAAACAGGGGGAATAATATGGAGTCATAAGCAAAACTCAGGAGTCCAACTCCTTGGTTAAAATACTTCTCCACTACTGATGGTTATACAACCACAACAGAATAAAACTTGTGTTTGGTCTTTGCGCTGGGTTTCTAGCACAGAGATAGTAAAATCCTTGAAATTTCCTGAGTGATAGGAGTGTCTTTTGTTATTCATAATGAGCTCCTGTAAATCACACTGAGTTTACGCTAATGAGGTGATTGGTGGAGGAGGCCCCTAACAACTTCAGGATGAGGGCTGGAAAGACAAAACACATGATTAGAAGGTGAAAGCTCTCAGCCTCATCCCCTGATTCCCCTGTGGGGTGCCAGTGGCAGGAGTGAGGGTGGGGGGTAAAGGCAGAGCAGGATATTGGGTTATAAAATCTCTGAGACAAGGAGACTCAAACAGCTTCTGGGCTTGTGAATCCACTGGTGTGCCAGTAAGGTGGTGCACCCAGAGGGTACGGGAGCTCTGTGGCACTCCCCCTTTGCCCTGTGTATCTTTTCCATTTGGCCATTTGAGTTGTATCTGTTATAATACCTGGATAAATGTAAGTATAGTGATCTATTTCTCTAAGTGATTTTAGCAAATCATCAAACCTGAGTGGGGTTTTGGGGACCCCCCAAATTCATAATTGGCCAGGCAGAATTGGGGCAGCCTCGGAATCCCATTTGCAGGTGGCATCTTCAATGGGGGCAATTGAATTGTTGCACTTACTGTCAGAGAATTGAAGAAGCAGAGTGGAAAAACAACATACATTTAGTGTCGGAAGTGGTAATGCCACACAACCACCATCGTGGACTGCCATTTATAGTTCACAGAATAGGGGAGATTGCCCCATGTGGTCCAAGCATTCTCAGGGTCCCCAAATCCCACTCTGCTTTACTTCCCTCTGTCAGAGGCATTTGAACCCGAGCAACTCCAAGTTCCTCTTGAAGAGGAACTAGATAAAATGAGGCTGAGTCCTACTGGGCATTCCCAGGAGGTTAGGCATTCTAGGTCACAGGATGAGATAGGAAGCAGGCACCAGATACAGGTCATAAAGACATTACTGATTAAATAGTTTGCTGTAAAGAAGCTGGCCAAACGCCACCAAAACCGAGATGGTGATGAGAGTGACCTCTGGTTGTCCTCATTGCTCATTATACTCTGATTATAATGCGTTAGCACTCCCACCTGTGCCATGACAGTTTACAGATGCCATGGCAATGTCAGGAAGTTACCCTATGTGATCTGAAAAGGTACCTCAGTTCCGGATATTGCCCACCCCTATCCTGGAAGATTATGAATAATCCACCTTCTGTTAAGCATGTAATCAAGAAGTAACAATAAGTATAAGCAACTGAGCAGCTCATGTGGCTGCTCTGCTTATGGAGTAGCCATTCTTTTATTCCTTTACTTTCTTAATAAACTTGCTTTCATTCTATTCTACGGACTCGTCCTGAACTCTTTGTTGCGTGAGACCCAAGAATCCTCTCTTGGGGTGTGGATCAGGACCCCTTTCCAGTAACTCCACTAGTGAGAATGCAGCCATACTTATGAAGCAAAACACTCTGAACACACAACGTCCCACGACAAATTTGGGGAAAGAATAGCCCAAACCATAAGTAGGGAGAAACTAATTTTGGAAGGGCTTCACAATTTGAAAAGTCGCTCACTATCCATAGTGTCTGCAAATCACATTATCCTGCAGCGTAGAGCTTGCTCCTTTTGTTCAACCACCCCTGCTTCCAAATTGGGTCTTTTGGAGCTTGCAGGGAAAAAGAACAGAGCCCATGGCAAGAGCAGCTTCCTTTATTACTGGAAGAAAATCAGTGAGATTGCTGCTCTAGCAAAAATTCAATTAAATTTGTAGCCGAAAGCCCTCATTCTCTTTAGTTTCTATCTAGGAAAGGAGGGGAGAGAAAATTCCTTGATCTCTCAATGTCTCCAGGTCGATGAAGCTCTTAGTCTTATCAGCATTTTATTCATATTCCTGTAATGCCCTTGACATTTCAGTATTTATCTTTTGCTACCTTCTACAATTACCCCTGCCCACTCACTAAACTATAAGCCCCTCAAAGATAGGGTTGACTCACGATAGAGCCTAGCAGATTGCCTGGCCCATAGCGGGTATGGAGTAAATACATGAGTCAGTTTATGTGTGTCTTTGATTATCTGGGGTGTTTTCCAACACCAACAATCAATTCTCCAATCCTCCAGACACCAGCTGGCTGCACTAAAATTTAATTCAATTCTGACACTAACTACCTTGGAGTCGGCATCAGATCCCAAAAATTAGCAGCTCAGTCCCACAAGACTGACTCCACATTAGTTGTTAGTGAAAGTCTCTGGACCACCAGGACTATTGACCAACTGGCCGCAAATTCGCTGACATCCCTCAACCCCCTTCTGAAGCTTGATAATTAGCTATAAGGGCTCACAGCCAAATGAAAGAGATGTTGTTGAGCAGGGCAAGGTATGGTGGGGGTGGATGGGTGGTTCCAGGAGCATCCATGCCCTCTCAGAGGGTGCCACCTTCCTACTACCTGGCTACGTTCACCAAAGCAAAAGCTTAGCAAATTGTGTTGTGTTTATAGAACTTTTTAATCTTGAGGGCCCTCCTTCTGTCCCTGAAGGTTGGTGGGTGGGGCTGAAAATTCCTACCTTCTAATTACTTACTTGATCTTTCTGGTGGCCCCATCCAGAGGCTATGTAAGGGCCCCACACCAGTCACCTCACTAGCATAAATTCAAGTGTGATCCAAAGGGCTTGTTATAAATAACAAAAGACATTCTTATCACTTAGAATTCCAAGGGTTTTAGGATCTTTATAGAAAAACCAAATTTAACAAAAGGTGCTCCTGTTATCCTGATCACTCAAGAAATTACAAGGGTTTCAGGAGTTCTGTACAGAGAACCAGGGACAAAGACCAAATATATTTTGTATTCTAACACAGAGTGTGAAGAAGGAATGAATCGATAAGTGACTAAATATCTAACTGGGAGAAAAAGGCCTATCTTGCAGGATTCTTGTGAGGAATAAATTTTATTTTATTTTATTTTATTTTAGAGACAGTGTATCACCCAGGCTGGAGTGCAGTGGCACGATTTTGGCTCACTTTAACCCCTGCCTCCCAAGTTCAAGCGATTCTCCTGCCTCAGCCTCTCGAGCAGCTGGGAATACAGGTGTGCGAAACCAAGCCCAGCTAATTTTTGTATTTTTAATAGAGACGGGGTTTCACCATGTTGGCCAGGCTGGTCTTGAACTCCTGACCTCAGGTGATCCTCCTGCCTCAGCCTCGCAAAGTTTCGGAATTACAGGCATGAACCACTGCACCTGACCCTTATGAGGAATAAATGTTAAAAAACTTTGGGAAAGCACTGGGCTCAGTTCCTTGCTTCTGTGTATGATCAGTAAATGTTAAATTTCCTTCCTTCATGTTCTAATCACAAACGTCCAATTTAGTTTCTGTGGCATATGACATCATTATCATTTATATGTTGGTTTACTGTTGTATTTGGGCACATCTAAGAAGCCATCAGATCCATTTTTGTCAGCACTTGTACCTACTAGGCACGCTGTTTTATCTTGGCATTGCAGTATATTTCCTGAAGCAAATCTCTGTTTACATATTGCAAGGAAAGAGCCCCTTTGTTGAGGACAGTTAAGTACTAAGTGCAGTTCCTATTTGGGAATATGACAACTGGGTCTCTTGAAATAATAAAGAATACATATGAAATCCCAGCACTTTGGGAGGTCAAGGAGGGCAGATCACCTGAGGTCAGGAGTTCAAGACCAGCCTGGTCAACATAGTGAAACCTCATCTCTACTAAAAATACAAAAAATTAGCCAGGTGTGGTGGCAAGTGCCTGTAATCCCAGCTACCTGGGAGGCTGAGGCACTTGAACCTGGGAGGCGGAGGTTACAGTGAGCCAAGATTGCGCAGTAGCACTCCAACCTGAGCGACAAGAATGAAACTCCGTCTCAAAAACAAAACAAAAAAAAAGAAGACATATGAAAGAAGACAGTCTTTAACCTCGAAAGGGAAATGTGTGTGTGTGTGTGTGTGTGTGTGTTTGGCAACATAGTGCAAGAATCTAGAGAGAAAGTGGCCAATAGTATCTTAATTCAAAAGGAACCACCCAGCCATTAATGGAAGATAGTTGTTTTTTTTTGTTTGTTTGTTTTTTTGAGAAGGAATCTTGCTCTGTCGCCCATTCTGGAGTGCAGTGGTGCAATCTCAGCTCACTGCAACATCCGCCTCCCAGGTTCAAGCAATTATCCTGCCTCAGCCTCCTGAGTAGCTGGGACTACAGGCATGCACCACCATGCCCAGCAACTTTTTTTTTTTTGTATTTTTAGTAGAGACGGGGTTTCACTGTGCTAGTCAGGATGGTCTCGATCTCCTGACCTCGTGATCTGCCCGCCTTGGCCTGCCAAAGTGCTGGGATTACAGGCGTGAGCCACCGCACCCAGCCAGGAAGATAGTTTTTAACCTAGAAGGAAGCAAAAAAAGGATATATGAAAATATTGCAATAATTGAGAGAAAAAAATTGCTAAGAACATCTTAACTCAAAAACAGATAGCAAAACTATCCAGCCATACTAGTCTGTAAACCTAAAGCCCTTCCAGATACTACATTTGATCATTAAAAGAGAAAGCATTTTCAAGAATTAATTTTCTATTTTATTTTATTTAGTTCTGTGTGTATATGGTATTTCTTTTATCTTAATGAGAAGAAGCAAAAGAAAATAGGCTAGGAAACCACTAAGTCATGTTCATTTTCTCCCACCAGAGAATTTTTTTCAGAGAATCAGGTGTCACAGAGGATGTTTGAGATAAGTTAAAACGAGGTTTTGTTGTTTTTAATAATGCCCAACTCCCCCCCCCCAAAAAAAAACAAAAAAACCCAAACTGCTCTGCCCACTGAACTGTATAAAACTGACCTTTGGCAGCCGTAAAGCAAGCCCCAGTTCTTTCAAAGACTTTAGGGTCAAAGCTGTTTTTTCCATTGGATAGAACCACATGACCCTTAAATATGATTAACATTTTATTTGTCTTCTCCTTCCTCATGACAACGAACTTTTTGTGGCTGAGCATCAATTAAGGAAAGAATGAAGAGGAATCGTTTCTGGATCCAACCAGAACTCAAGTGGGCTCCTGGCTTGGGTGGTCTAAGCAGGAGAGGAGTCAGGTTAACGTGTAGCTTAATTTATATCCACTACAATTGCAATATGGTGTCTCTGATGCCAGTAATGATTACTTGGAAGCCAGCCATGGTTTCCTCTCTGTCTGATCTTCAGGGGCCATTCCTGCCCCAGGCTTCCTTCTATTGTCCCTAACCAAGGGGCTCTCCAATTCATGTTGCAACAAACCCAGCTCAGTACCCGTCGCCAAAGAAGAAAAGAAACAGCACATAAATATACCTGACAAAGTCATCAGGGATTAGAAAACAGATTCTGGCAATAAATATGGTAATTAGGTAATTTGAAACTTCCAGCACAGGGTTCTTTGAAAATGAAATCTCAGAACTGGAGTCCCGAGACGATTTTTGTACCATTAAGGAAAATTATGAGAAATTCAAAACTTTTTGATGGCATTTAAGTATCTGTCGTTGGCAAGTTAATAACTTTTCTGTCCACACTAGGGAAATCTTAATGATATCATCAAGCAAAAGACCCCTACTCCCTCCAAACTGCCCAGTGATGAAACTGGTAACTGCAGCGCAAACTCCCACCCCTCTGGAAGCCAAAAGAAAGTTTAGCTTGAGTATACAATGAACACTTGGTAGATGCTTAAGAATTCGATTCAGCTGCTATTTAGCGGGAGGAAAAGTGGTGTTTCTTTCTCTCATTTAATAGCATGGAGGCTTTAATTATATTTTACTATTGCACAGAGGGGAGTTTTGTATGTTTAATCAATCTGCAGGTTGTGGCTCAGCTTAGTGTATTTGCTATTAAGAAGCCTTGATATTTCAAGGAGGGCTTCCCTTTGTACTGGAAAAACAAAAAACAAAAAAACAAAAAAACAGAGAAGGCACAGCTAGATATTACTGCTTTCAAGTCTTTTACCCAAGACTGAGTTCTTAGCTCCTCCTGGGTACCACTGCATCCTGGATTTCCCCTCATCATGACAGGGATGTTTGTACTAAGATCACTGGTTTTCTTGTCTTCCCTCCTTCCCCAGCTTCCAAGCCCCTCTAAGGAAAGGCTTCTTGTTCTGTTTCCTTTGGGATCCCTGGTTCTTCCATAGGTCCTGGCATAGTGGGCACAAAACAAGTACTTACTGAAGAAATGAGGGTGTAGAGCCTGCAGGAATGAAAGCTGCTTTCATGATAGAAAAATTCAGTGTATTGGGAAGATTTTATATTTTATTTTCCTATTAGAGCGATTTGCATAACTCATTGTACTCTTCTAAAATATAATCTATGAGAGATAGAGATACAAGAACTCTAGGATAGTAGTTCTCAGCCTAATTTAATGGTGAAAATCACAGTCAAAAATTAAAATATAAATTTCCTTGTGAAATTTTAGAATGGAGATCTAAAATTCTATTGCTTCACATCATCATCATCATCATTATTATTATCATCCCCGGTTGACTCTGAAACTTTGGAACCACTGCTTTTGAAATTAGATAATCCAGTCCGTTTAGTGGATATAGGAGACCATTCACTCTGGAAAATAGAGAATGTCGCACAAGGTCACAAAGCAAGTTAGTGGCAGAGGCAGGACTTGGACCACGGTTTTCTGACTCTCAGGTTTGTGGAGTCCTAATTAGGGAAAGGAAGTCAGGTTGGTGGGAGCAGGGAGAAGCAAAAAGAGAGAGCTGATAAGATGCAAGTCTGCCTTTCTTCATGGTCCAGGACACATACGCCTCCTGCGTAAATAACCCTCAATCTTCCTGGGCGTAACTATCAGCAAACACCTGCAAGCTAGCTCACAGCAACCTTGGCATTATCCATACTGCACAAAGCCCTCCTCAATAGACAGCATGAGCACTATTCTAAAAAATGTGCAGCGAACCTTTGTTTCCTTGCAGTCAGCGCCTGCTGGCCTTCCAGTTGCCTCCTCACAGCGTGTTTTCCTACTTTCTCTAATAAATCTGCCTTTCTTCTTCTTCTTATTATTATTATTTATTGTTTTTGAGATGAAGTCTTGCTCTGTCACCCAGGCTGGAGTGCGGTGGTGTGATCTCGGCTCACTGCAACCTCCGCCTCCCAGGTTCAAGCAATTCTCCTGTCTCAGCCTCCTAAGTAGCCGGGATTACAGGCATGCAACACCACGCCCAGCTAATTTTTGTATTTTTAGTAGAGATGGGGTTTCGCCACGCTGGCCAGGATGGTCTCGAACTCCTGACCTCAAGTGATCCACCTGCCTTGGCCTCCCAAAGTGCTGGGATTACAGGCATGAGCCACCGCGCCCGGCCAAATCTGCCTTTCTTTATCTACAGCTGTCTTGGTAAATTATTTTACCCCCACACCACCAGCCCAGATAGTCATTGATCACCTGTGACAACGTTTTTTCTTTCTTTCTTGCACTAAAAGCCCTTAAGAGTTTACTGAGCACCTATTATATGCCAGCACTCTGCTGTGTGTTGGACATAAGACAGAAATAATAATAAAGTTCTCCTTTATTGAGCATTTACTATGCACGTAATACTGAGTGAACTGCTCTATGTAATATACTCCTACAACATACTTAGTATTATAATTGAATGACAGAACTTTAACTTAAAGGGGTTAACTTGTCCAACAGAAAAAAATCACTTGCTTTTAAACAGAGGGCTCTGCTGTTGAAAAATCAGGTCTCAAGGGATAGATAAGCACCTGAAAAAGTAATTATATGTGATTTGATGAAGTTTTCTCTCTCATCCATTCCGCCCACTCCCTGCCTCTCCTGGTGCCTGATGACTTTGATAATGTAACCAAAACTAGAGAGGGCAATAGACCCTCTTTAGCATGAGGTACAGAACTGTTTGCAGGAAGAAGTCTGTGGAATAAAGATCTGATTTATTTATTTTTTAAAATATAATCCAGTTGGAGACCAGAGCACTGTGAAGTCAGCTGCTTCTCCTTTCCCTCTATCCTCAAACTCTAAAGCCCCAACTAGGCTGCTACCAGCTGCAGATAAGAGAATAATTAACAATGAAGAGAGGCCTTTGCTTGAAGACAACTTGAGTAAGAACTTTCACGGGCTCGGGGTATGGATTTGAGAGAACAAAAGGTAAGTGGGAACGGGCCGAGGAGCCCACTCTGCAGATGATGAAGCTGAGTGGGGAGTGTGCTTGGGAATCCCAGGACAAAAAACTCAAGCTCATAAAATGGAGCTCAGAGACAAGATAAATGATCTTAAAAAGCCCTTCCAAAATGCTGATCATTTTTAGGATTCTCTATTGGTTGGGTTATAACAACAGGAATGTGAAATGTATTATCCAGGACTTCACATGCTTTTTGAGTTTTTCCTGCTGATACTAACATTTTATCACACACTGTTCCACCCTTCTCTTACAGAACTGAGTGACACTTAAACATAGCAATGAGTACATTCCAGAAGTCCACGGAGCCCAGATAAAAAAGCAACTAAATCTGCCAGAGGATAGGGTGGAGTGATAAAGAAAATTGTCAGGGAAGACACTGTAAGACTTTAGCTAGCTGAATAGCATCCACTAGTGTTTGTGAGAAGGCCAGTTGGTGCCTAGGGCAGGGCTTACAGGTACACAGAGGGTTGGCACTGTGTCCTGTTTTGGAAACATAGCATTGATCGGTGGTTCTGTTCTGGAAGCTTGTCGAAATGCAGATTATTAGCCTTGTCCCCGAGACAAATTCAATAGATTTAGAACACTTTTTGTTTTGTTTCATTTTTTAACTTGGTGTCACCAAAAGACAAAATTGCAACCAATTTAGTTTAAAGATTTAATTGGCTTTTATTTGCAATATTAGAATCAGGCAACACTTCATTCTATAAAATAGAATGAATATTTCACTGGGCAATGCAGAATGGTTGGTTTCTGTAAAGTGGGAACAAGGAAAGAGATTAATAAAAAAGTAGATTGTTTAAGATCAGGTTACTACAAACTACTTTTTTTGTAAGGATTAAAGCAGAGGGAACTTTCTTTTTACACTGACTCAGGTACAATAGGGTCTTTCTGATTGATTGCTGTGAATATCCTGTTTGAGGATTTACCTGTTTCCTTTCAGTTTCAGTTGGATTATGTGGCACTTAGCATGAGGGAGTCCATTTTGGTTTGGTCTGGTCTGCTGTGGCCTGGTACAGGAGACTAATCCAAAACCATGGCCTCCAGTGGACTTTAATAGTTTACTTAATTAGAACTCAGCAGGTGCCTGAACCTGGATGGAACACAATTTACATATTTATTTTCATTAACTAAACTGTAACTGAAATTTAGCATTTTGAAAACAGGTAACAAACTAGGTAGCATCAGTAGTATCTGGGATGTCACTAATAGAAAGCACAAGTATTTTGATGTCACATTACTCTTGTAGATTTCTCAAAATAACATTTATGCTAAATAATAGAAGCTATTCAACTTGATACTAAATCTTATGTGTTAGTAAATAAGCACATATATTGCTGCATCAGAAAATTAATATATAGTTTTATAGATAGAAAACTGTATAATTAGTTTTGTTTGTGATCCTATGTATTTAATTTCATGCATCTAAAAACACGGTGTGAGAAGAGATTCAAAGGCCAATGGGGTCTGTGGCACAAGGTGTTTGATTACTTCTTACCTAATGGATACAACGTACACTATTTGGGTGATGGTTATACTAATAGCCCAGACTTCACCACTCCACAATATATTCATGTAATGAAACTGCACTTGTACCCCCTAAATCTATTTTTTTAATTAAATGTACTTCCTGGATATAACTCCTGAAATACATATAGTACAATTAACTCCCTAATAAAATGTTTTTAATATTTAAAAAAGTTTAATTACTTCTTCTTGAATAAATGTCAGGAATCTGCATTATTTTAGTTTATTTAATTAATTAATTAATCTAATTATTTATTTTGAGACAGAGTTTCGTTCTTGTTGCTCAGGCTGGAGTGCAGTGGTGCGGTCTCGGCTCGGCTCACTGCAACCTCCGCCTCCCAAGTTCAAGTGATTCTCCTGCCTCAGCCTCCCAAGTAAGTAGCCAGGATTACAGGCTTCCACCATCATGCCCAGCTAATTTTTTTGTATTTTCGATAGAGACAGAGTTTCACCATGTTGGTCAGGCTGGTCTCGATCTCCTGACCTTAGGTGATCCACCCGCCTTGGCCTCCCAAAGTGCTGGGATTACAGATGTGAGCCACCTTGCCCGGCCAGAATTTTTAATATGCAAGCCTGATATTTCTGATGCTGGTAGAGTAGGGAGCAAACATTGAGAGACCCTGGTGTAGGGTATGTGTTTCTGTTTCTTTGGGTGTGTGTTTTTCCACTGTGGGGAAATTAGGGGCAAAATGAGGCACTGGGGAGCAACAATGCGTGAAAATGAGACTGGAAAGTCAGCCAGGCCTGATTTTCCCAAGAAATCTTCCCAAGAAAGTTCGTTCAGCACAACCCAAAGAATGTCACATTCTCAGACTTAAAGGTGAAGACATAAACAAGTAATGCATACCATGGAGCCACCCAACTGTAATTTAGTCTTCACTTCTTACAGCCACCGTTGAACCTTGGAAGTAAAGCTACTGCGGTTTATAACAATTGTGGATTTTTGTGCATGCTATGTCTCTTATTAGCCTGATACGCAGGCCAAGAATGGGAATAAAAATAAATGAGCTGTGAGACGGAAAAAAAAAAAAAGAAAATGCCAAGAAATCAGAGCCCTCTTGGTAAACCAAAGGTGGGGAGCTGGCAAACGGGAGCTCTGCTGTCTCTTGCTTTGCGATGATTCTGGCAGCCTGTTCCGCCACTCCGCTCTATCCAGGGAATAAGAGGCTGTGGAACCACACATGGAGATCGTAAGCAAGCCCACCCGCAGCCGAATTTCAAGTGTTTTATTCGACCTCATCATGTTTTAATTAGAAACTACATTCATCTCTGACTTTAAAGAGAACTAAGAACTAAATTTAATATCTGTTTACTCCAAGCCCGGTAATTTATACACTTGATCTCATATAACTTTCTGAAAGCTACTCAGATCCCCGTTTGACAATTAAGTGTAGCTCAGATGGATAAAGATCTTGTTAGTCAGGTGAAAAAGCCGCAAGCTATGAAGCCTTGCTGATTTTACACTTCCATGCTGCTTTTCTAATTTGTGCTGAGGAAGTTCTACAATTAGTTGGGAAGAAAAATTACATACTGTGTCTCTTTAAAAACAAAATCAAGTTAAAGATGGCAATATACATGCATTTATCTCTTCAACGATCCAAACTAAGGAAAAAGAGAGTAAAGGGATTATTTTAAGTATAAGCCCTCAAGGACAATGAGAACAGGAGAGGACATAATAGCAGCAAAATCGTTGAAGCTGCAAAGCAGGCAGATGATTGATATGACATAGTAACTGCACGCACACTGATCCCAAGCCTGCAGTGGGAGACCCAGTTGGGCAAGCTGACTTGGGCCACACACATTCCAAAAGAGTCAGAAATTGGTAGAACTATGTACCTCTGGGGACAGGAAGATTGTGGTAGGGGAGGATGCCGGGGAGCAGCTAACAACAGGAGGATTTGTGTTTGTTTGTTTGTTTTTAAGTAGGATTAAGGAGTTAAACCCCACATTTTTTTCTCTGTAAATCACAGCCTGGAGGTTTGTTCCTAGAACGGGATAAAATAAAGGGTCTTTGCCCTGTGGAATACCAGGCACAGATAAAGATGGGACATTCATACTGAAAAAGATGATATAATGAGAAACTTTATAAACTAATTTGAGATAACTCCCTCCCCACTGCTCCTCCCTCCTAACACTCCCTGTTTGACCCTTAGAACAAGTTAATATCCTGCAGAAATGCAAGAGTCTGGAAGAGCCTTCTTGGGGAATCTGACTAGCTCTATGGTAAACACAGAGAGGCACTGCCCAGATCCCTCTTCTAGGACCAACTGATTGCACATTTTAGGGGATCCCCATCAGTTCCTTCACATGTCTGGTTCAGCTGCAGACAGCGCCCTTGCCCAAGGTCATGCCCTCCCTGGGATGGCCCACATCCAACGACTGATAGAGGTGGGCATAGACAAGGCCAGTTCAGCTCAAGATGGAACACTCTGATGGACAAACCTCCCTCCAGAGGTCCCTGCCGGGGTGGCCTGCATTGCAGTTGGACATTTATTTATTTATTTATTTAGAGATGGAGTCTCACTCTGTCGCCCAGGCTGGAGTGTAATGGCACGATCTGAGCTCATGGAACCTCTGCCTGCCGGGTTCAAGCGATTCTCCTGCCTCAGCCTCCCAAGTAGCTGGGATTACAGGCGCCCACCAACACGCCCAGCTGATTTTTATAATTTTAGTAGAGATGTGGTTTCATCATGTTGGCCAGGCTGGTCTTGAACTCCTGACTTCAAGTAATCCACCTGCCTCTGCCTCCTCCCAAAGTTCTCAGATTGCAGGCGTGAGCCACCGCCCCCGTCTACAGTTTGACTTCTTGCTTTGCCCAATTCTTCCTACCCCTGGGCCTTAATGTACAGTGTTGATTCCTAAAAATCATCTTGCACTCCAATTTTGTTTCAGTGTCTGCTTTCAAGGAAACCAATCCACAGAGACACCAAGCAAAAAAGACCTAAATATAGGTGTAAGTATAGGTCTGCCAGTATAGCAGTTTCCCAACGAAATGGACAAAGCAGCACTTCCAACAGTGAAGCCCACAGTCAAGGGGCCCAATGCATGCACTCAGGGTTCCAATCATCTTTGGAGAACCACACACTTAATTATGAGACACCCAAGTATCACCTAGCATCAGAAGGAAGTCTTTAACGTGAAAAATAGAAGGTAAAACAAAGAAGCTGCACAAAACATTATATTTATCAAGATATTTTATTCATGTATCAAAAGAGGAAAAATGTCAGAGAAACATAAAAAGCTGTTGGAAATCAAAATGATGAGACCAGTAATAGTTATTATCAAGAATCTCAACCAAAGAGTTTGAAGATAAAGTTGGGTCAATTTCCTAGTATGTGGAGCAAAAAAGGAAAAAAAGAGATAAAATGAGAAAAAGTAAAACAAACAAACCAAAACATTTTGATTTGAGTCCTGAAGATCCAGCATGCTAATGATAGCACCTGCATAAAGAGAGAATTCAGAAAATGAGGGTAACAATATCAATTAAATAATTCAAGAAATCTTCCCAGAATTGAAGGCATATGTTTCCAGAGTAAAAGGGCTGCCTAATCAGGACTTAATTAATCACTCATTAATATTTTGTAAATGGTTTTTTTTTAAATGCACAAACCACCCAAATAAAGAAAAAGCAAAGCAAAGAAAAAAGATGCTACAAATTTCCTGAGAGGGTGAAGAGCAGTTTCTCCATAAAAGATCAAGAACCAAAATGGCTTTGGACCATTTAACAAGACAGACTAGAAGGAAATGCCCTCAAAATTCTGAGAAAATGAAATGATTCCTAGTGTTTTCTACACTGTGTAAGTCTAATTTAGAATGGATGTATGCCTTAGTCTACTTAGGTTATAACAAAATATCATAAACTGGGTATCTTATTAACAACAGAAATTTATTTCTCACAGTTCTGATGCTGGGAAGTCCAAGATCAAGGTACTAGCAAATTCAGTGTCTGGTGAAGACCCATTTTCTGGTCCAGAAATGGCACCTTCTAGCTGTGTCCTCCCAAGGCAGCTTTCTGGGGGTCTCTTTTTTTTGAGACCCCATCTCACTCCATGACCCAGGCTGAAGTGTAGTGGCGTGATCTTGGCTCACTACAGCCTCTGCCCCTGGGCTCAAGCGATCCTCCCACTTCAGCCTCCTGAGTAGCTGGGACTATGGGCAAGCACCACCACTCCCAGCTATTTTTTTGTATTTTTAGTAGAGACAGAGTCTCACCATGTTGCCCAGACTGGTCTCGAACTCCTGAGGTCAAGTGATCTGTCTGCCTCAGGCTCTCAAACTGCTGGGATTACAGGCTTGAGTCATGGTGCCCAGGCCTGGGATCTCTTTTCTAAGGGCACTAATCCCATTTATAAGGGCTGCATCCTCATGACCTAATCACCCCCCAAAGGTCCCATCTGCTAACCCCATCACATTAGGGATTCTATTTTAACATACAAATTTGGGGGGAACACAAACACTTAGACCAAAACAATGTGCAGTAAGATGTTTTCAGACACACAGTATTTCAAAAATGTTAACTCTCATGCATGCTTTTCTTTAAAATTTAATTGAGGATGAGTTCTGTAACAACAAAGGCAAAAAACAAGAAAGAGATTTAAGAGTTGCAATAGACTAAGGGATCTAATATCAGAGAATGTGAGGATCTAGGAAGAAGGTGAAAAGTAGGAAGAAGGATGACTGTGTCCTGGGATAAAGAAGGCTCTGAGATGGTCTTCTTAAAGAAGATGAAATTAAGAGGCCCCTTCATGTGTCAGAATAAGATGAGAAGACATATGGACAAGCAGAGAGACTTTGGAGATTACTTAGTGAGATGTACAGCAAAGGAAATAAACAAGGAAAGGCAATTATTAACTTCAGCAAAAATGAAAATCTGTGCAAGAAAGGAAGCGCAATACTAATGAACTACATGATTTACCTGTAAATACACATATTTAAAATGATTTACCTGTAAATATTTAAATATATGTATATGAATAAACACATATTTTGAATAATGTAAACACTGAATATTTGTCTCACCATAATTAGATAAAACCTGTTAGGGCGACAGGAATGGAAAAACTGTATGTGTGTAGTGTTGTTGTAGGAGAGAGAAAATAAATCCTTATTTTCTATGGTGGATAGCAAATAAATAAAACCTGTAACTAAAAAATGAAAAAGTAGTATTTAGGAACATGAAAGAATATATATGTATATGTCTGCAAAGCTTTAAATGGTCTCCGGGGGCTTAGGGAATGAGACAATGGAAGACAGCTTTTTGAGTTTGTTTTAATAAGCCTTGTAGAACGACTTGACTCCTTAAAACATGTTCACAGATCACTTTAATAAAAATAAAAACTACCAGGCTTAATGGCTCTCGCCTGTAATCCCAACACTTTGAGAGGCCGAGGCAGGAGGATCATTTGAGGCCAGGAGTTCTAGACCAGCCTGGGCAACATAGCCAGATGCCATCTCTACAAAAGTATGTAAAAATTAAAATGGCCGGGTGTGGTGGTACATGCCTGTAAGGCTCAGCTACTTAGGAGGCTGAGGCAGGAGGATCGCTTGAGCCTGGGAGTTTGAGGCTGCAGTGTACTATGATTGTGCCACTGCACTCCAGCCTGGGTAACAGGGCAATACCCTTGTCTCTAAATAATAAGAAGAAAAAGAAGTAAATTTTAGAAAGAGTGGAGCCAACCAGACTTTGCTTTCTGTGACCATCCCATTAAGGTGAATTAGGGTTGGCTTCCCACGTCTCCTCTCCCGGGCAGAGCACTTGACTGCTGGGCTCCTTAAAACCTGCTGAATCTGGAGGACGGTGATCGATGACGCAGGTCCTTCCAGTGAAATGATGGTCTCAAAAAATGGAGAGGATGTGCTGGGGATTTAGAAGGCAGGGTAGCCAGAAAGAAGCACAAATTACCCCCACCATAAGCTTCACAGAATTGCTGACGCTAACGGCCATGGGTGAGATTTTTGCAATAAGTGTCAGCCTGATGACAGATACCACAGACAGTTGCAAAAATGTCCAAGTTTCTCCTGAAGTTTTCTGGCAGGGCAGTGGGCTCCATCCTTAGGAGTGAATCAGCTTTGGTGAGTATCGTGATTGAACAGAGCCTTAACACCAGGGCCCCCTAACTCCGCACTCCTTATGTTTGCAGGGAGCTGGAGGGGGTAAGTAGGACACAGGGAGGCCGGCATTTATTGACCTCCAGCAATCCAGCACCATGCTCTTTATCTGAAATAGAAAAAAATAGAAACACTAAAAGGCCTTGGTCTCTAGAGTTTTCTCTGGACGGCAGAGAATAAATTCTTTTCATCAACTTCCTACCCCTTTTATTAGCAGATGCTGCAAATAGAGAGAATTCCATTTTGAATCTTTTTTAAGACTAGGAGAATTAAAAAAATTTTTTCAAGGTTTCTGCGTTTCTAAAAGTGAGTATGTAGGATGAATAGTTCATAAATTTAGGAAAACATTCCTATGCCCTTTTTGTTAAAAAAGACAAAACTGGGGGGAGCGGGGAGGGATAGCATTAGGAGATATACCTAATGCTAAATGACAAGTTAATGGGTGCAGCACACCAACATGGCACATGTATACGTATGTAACAAACCTGCGCGTTGTGCACATGTACCCTAAAACTTAAAGTATAATGATAATAAAAGTAAAAAAAAAAAAAAAAAAAAGACAAACTTCAGTGGTGATCTGCAGTGGGGTCGGGGTGGGGGGAGGAAGTTGAAACAGAGGGGAGAGAAAGTGCCCTGAAAAATAAAGGGGCTTTTTTTAAATGTTGACTTAAATTTCTTTTTTTTTATTTCTATAGGTTTTTGGGGAACAGGTGATGTTTGGTTACATGAGTAAGTTCTTTAGTGTTGATTTGTGAGATTTTGGTGCACCCATCACAATGTTGGTTTTTTATTTATGTTCTCTTTCCATAGGTTTTTGGGGAACAGGTGGTGTTTGGTTACATGAGTAAGTTCTTTAGTGGTAATATCTGAGATTTTTGGTGCACTCGTCACCCAAGCAGTGTACACTGTACTCAATGTATAGTCTTTTATCTCTCACCCGCATCCCACCATTTCCCCTGAGTTCCCAAAGTCCATTGTATCATTGTTATGGCTTTGAGTCCTCATAGCTTAGCTCCTAATTATGAATGAGAAAATATGATGCTTGGTTTTCTATTCCTGAGTTACTTCAAATAAAATAATAGTCTTCGATTCCATTCAGGTTGTTGTGAATGCCATTACTTAATTCCTTTTTATGGCTGAGTAGTATTCCGTGGTGTGTGTGTGTATATATACACATGTACATATATACATCCACGTGTGTATGTACACATGTACATATATACATCCACGTGTGTATGTACACATGTACATATATACATCCACGTGTGTATGTACACATGTACATGTGTACATCCACGTGTATATATATCTCTCTCACACATTTTCTTTATCCACTCAATTGATGGGCATGTGGGCTCGTTTCATATTTTTGAAATTGTAAATTGTGCTTCTAGGAATAAGCATGTGCAAGTATCATTTTTGTATAATGACTTCTTTTCCTCTGGGTACTTAGTAGTGGGATTGCTGGATCAAATGGTAGATCTACTTTTAGTTTTTTAATGAATTTTCACACTGTTTTCCACAGTGATTATACTAGTTTACATTCATATCAACAGTGGAAAAGTGTTCCCTTTTCATTACATCCATGCCAACATCGATTATTTTTTGATGTTTTGATTATGGGCATTCTTGCAGGAGTGAGGAGGTATGCATTGTGATTTTAATTTGCATTTCCCCAATAATTAGTGATGTTGAGCATTTTTCCATATGTTTGTTCACCATTTTATATCTTCTTTTCAGAATTATCTATTCATATCCTTAGCCCACTTTTCAATGGGATTGTTTTTTGTTTTTTGTTTTTTTTTATTGTTGTTGTTCTTGCTGATTTGCTTGGGTTCTTTGTGGATTCTGGATATTAGTCCCTTGTCAGATGTATATACTGTGAAGATTTTCTCCCACTCTGTGGGTTGTCTAGAATTTTTATGGTTTCAGGTCTTAGAATTAAGTCTTTGATCCATCTTGAGTCGATTTTTGTATAAGGATAGAGATGAGGCTACAGTTCCCTTCTTCTACATGTGGCTAGCCAATTATCCCAGCACCATTTGTTGAATAGGGTGGCCTTTCTCCACTTTATGTTTTTATTTGCTTTGTTGAAGATTAGCTGGCTGTTAAGTATTTGGGTTATTTCTGGGTTTTCTATTCTGTTCCACTGGTCTATGTGCCAATTTTATACCAGTACCATACTGTTTTGGTGACTATGGGCTTATAGTATAGTTTGAAATCAGGTGATGTGATGCCTCCAGATTTGTTCTTTTTGTTTAGTCTTGCTTTGGCTAAGCAGGCTCTCTTTTTTTGGTTCCATGTGAATTTTAGGGTTGTTTTTTTTTCCCAGTTCTGTGATGCAAAAATCCTCAACAAAATACCAGTTAACCAAATCCAACAGCATATCCAAAAGATAATCCACCATGATCAAGTTGGTTTTATACCAGGGATGAAACCGTGTTCATCAGGGATATTGGTCTGTAGTTCTCTTTTTTTGTTATGTCCTTCCCTGGTTTTGGTATTGGGGTGATACTGGCTTCATAGAATTATTTAGGGAGGATTCCCTTTTTCTCTATCCTGTGGAATAGTGTCAATAAGATTGGTACCAATTCTTCTTTGAATGTCTGATATAATTCAGCTGTGAGTTGGTCTGGTCCTGTACTTTTTTTGTTGGCAATTTTTTTATTGCTATTTCAATCTCACTGCCTGTTATTGGTCTGTTCAGAGTTTCTGCATCTTCCTGGTTTAATCTAGGAGGATTGTATATTTCCAGAAATTTATCCAACTCCTCTAGTTTTTCTAGTTTGTGTCCATAAAGGTGTTCATAATAGCCTTGAATAATCTTTGGTATTTGTGTGGTATCAGTAGTAATATTTCCCGCTTTGTTTCTAATTGAGCTTATTTGGGTCTTCTCTCTTCTCTTCTTAGTTAATCTCACTAATGACCTATCAATTTCATTTATGTTTCAAAGCACAAGCTTTTTGTTTCATTTATCTTTTGTATTTTTGTGTATTTCTTTCAATTTCATTTAGTTCTGCTCTGATCTTCAGTATTTCTTTTCTTCTGCGGAGTTTGGGCTTGGATTCTTCTTGTTTCTCCAGTTCTGTGAGGTGTGACCTTAGATTGTCTGTCTGTGCCCTTTCAGACTTTTTGATGTAGGCATTTGAGGCTATGAACTTTCCTCCTAGCTCTGCATTTTCTATATCCCAGAGGTTTTGATAGGTGGTGTCACTATTGTTGTTCAGTTAAAAGTTTTTTGGTTTTTTTTTTTTTTGAGACAGAGTCTCGCACTCTTGCCCGAGCTGGAGTACAGTGGCATGATCTCAGCTCACTGCAACCTCCGCCTCCCAGGTTCAAGCAATTCTCCTGCCTCAGCCTCCCTAGTAGCTGGGATTACAGGCATGTGCCACCACGCCCAGCTAATTTTTTGTATTTTTAGTAGAGACAGGGTTTCACTATGTTGGCCAGGCTGGTCTCGAATGGCTGACCTTGTGATCCACCTGCCTTGGCCTCCCAAAGTGCTGGGATTACAGGCATAAGCCACTGCGCTTGGCTGTATTTTTAAATTTCTATCTTGATTTCAGTGTTGACCCAGTGATCATTCAGGAGCAGGTTATTTAATTTCCATGTAATTTCATGGTTTTGAGGATTCCTTTTAGAGTTGATTTCCAATTTTATTCCACTATGATCTGAGAGAGTACTTGATAAAATCTCCATCTTCTTAAATGTGCTGAGGTTTTGTGGCCTATCATATAACCTGTCTTGGAGAATGCTCCATGTGCTGATGAATAGAATGTATATTCTGCAGTTGTTGGGTAGAATGTTCTCTAAATATCTGTTAAGTCCATTTGCTGTAGGGTATAGTTTAAGTCCATTGTTGTTTTGTTGACTTTCTGTCATGACGACCTGTCTAGTGCTGTCAGTAGAGTATTAAAATCCCCCACTATTACAGTGTTGCCATCTATCTCCTTTCTGAGGTCTAGTAGTAATTATTTTATAAATTTGGGAGCTCCAGTGTTAGGTGCATATATATTTAGGATTGTGATATTTTCCTGCTGGACTAATCCTTTTATCATTATAAAATATCCTGCTTTGTCTTTTTTAACTGCTTTTGCTTTAAAGTCTGTTTTGTCTGATACAAGAATAGCTATTCCTGCTCGCTTTTGGTATCCATTTACATGGAATATCTTTTTCCAACCCTTTACCTTAAGTTTATGTGAGTCTTCATGTATTAGATGAGTCTCCTGAAGACAGCAGAAACTTGGTTGGTGAATTCTTATCCATTCTGCCATTCTGTATCTTTTAAGTGGAGCATTTAGGCCATTCATCGTGCTATTTGTTGGCTGAATACCTTCTTTTTTTCATTGTGTTATTATTATATAGGTGCTGTGGGACTGACACTTTAAGGAGGTTCTGTTTTGGTGTATTTCAAGGATTTGTTTCAAGATTTAGAGCTCCTTTAGCAGTTCTTGTAGTGCTGGCTTGGTAGTGGTGAATTCTCTCAGCATTTGTTTGTCTGGAAAAGACTGTACCTTTGCTTCATTTATGAAGTTTAGTTTCACCAGATACAAAATTCTCTGCTGATAATTGTTTTGTTTAAGGAGGCTAAAAAAAAAAAAAAAAAAAAAAAACTCAATCCCTTCTAGCTTGTAGGGTTTCTGCTGAGAAATCTGCTGTGAAACTGATAGGTTTTCCTTTATAGGTTACCTGGTGCTTTTGCCTCACAGCTCTTAAGATTCTTTCCTTTGTCTTGACTTTAGATAGTCTGATGACTATGTGCCTAGGTGATGATCTTTCTGTGATGAGTTTCCCAGGTGTTCTTTGAGCTTCTTATATTTGGATGTCTAGATCTCTAGCAAGGCTGGGGAAGTTTTCCTCAATTATTCCCTCAAATATGTTTTCCAAATTTTTAAATTTCTCTTCTTCCTCAGGAACACAGATTATTCATAGGTTTGGACATTCAGCATAGCCCCAAACTTCTTGGAGGTTTTGTTCATTTTTTAAAATTCTTTTGTCTTTGGTGGATTGGGTTAAATCGAAAGCCTTGTCTTTGAGCTCTAATGTTCTTTCTTCTGCTTGTTTAATTCTATTGCTGAGACTTTCCAGTGCATTTTGTGTTTCTCTAAGTGTGTCCTTGATTTCCAGAAGTTGTGATTGTTTTTTATGTATGCTACCTATTTCACTGAAGAATTTTCTTTTCATATCCTGTATCACGTTTTTGATTTCTTTAAGTTGAACATTACTTTTCTCTGGTTCCTTCTTGATTAGCTTAACAATCGACTGAAATTCTTTTTCTGGCAATTCAGAGATTTCGTCTTGGTTTGAATCCATTGCTGGTGAGCTAGTGTGATCTTTTGGGGTGTTAAAAGACCTTGTTTTGTCATTGATATGGTTCAGCTGTGTCCCCCACCAAATCTCTTCTTGAATTGTACTCCCATAATTCCCACGTGTTATGGGAGGGACCCAGTGGGAGATAATTGAATCATGGGGGTGGTTCCCCCATACTTTTCTTGTGGCAGTGAATAAGTCTCACAAGATCTAATGGTTTTATTAGAGGTTTCTGCTTTTGCGTCTTCCTCATCCTCTCTTTGCCTGCTGCCATCCACGTTAGATGGGACTTTCTCCTCCTTGCCTTCCACCATGATTGTGAGGCTTCCCCAGCCACGTGGAACAGCCAATTGGAACAACTGGAACTGTAAGTCCAATTAAACCTTTCTTTTGTAAATTCCCCGGTCTCAGTTATGCCTTTTTTTTCTTTTTTTGAGACTGAGTTTTGCACTTGTTGCCCAGGCTGGAGTGCAATGGCACGATCTCGGCTCACTGCAACCTCTGCCTTCCAGGTTCGAGCGATTCTCCTGCCTCAGCCTCCCGAGTAGCTGGGATTATAGGCATGCACCACCACATCTGGCTAATTTTGTATTTTTAGTAGAGATGGGGTTTCTCCATGTTGGTCAGACTGGTCTCAAACTCCTGACCTCAGGTGATCCTCCCACCTCGGCCTCCCAAAGTGCTGGGATTACAGGTGTGAGCCACCACGCTGACCTCAATTATGTCTTTATCAGCAGCATGAAAATGGACTAATACAATTGTATTACCAGGATTGTTTTTCTGGTTCCTTCTCATTTGGGTAGACTATGTCAGATGGAAGATTCAGGACTCAAGGGCTGCTGTTCAGATTCTTTTGTCCCATGGGATGCTCCCTTGATATGGTGTTCTCCCCTTTCCCCTAGGGATGGTTGTATTTTTGTTTAGCATGCTGGTTTTGTGTTGATTGGCCTCCAGCCAGAGGTGGTGCTTTCAAGAGCACATCAGCTGTGGTTGCATAGGGAGGATCATGCAGGGGGTGGGGCTATAGAGCTTCCAAGAGATTACGTCCTGTGTCTTTAGCTACCAGGATGAGTCGAGAAAGACTACCAGCTGGGGGCATGGCTGAGCTCAGCCTCTCCTTGGGCGGGGCTTGCTGTGGCTGCTGTGGGGATGAGGGTGTTGTTCTTAGGTCAATGGAGTTATGTTCTCAGGGGGATTATGGCTACCTCTGCTGAGTCACACAGCATGCCAGGGAAGTGGGGGGAAAGCCAGCAGTCACAGGCCTCACCCAGCTTCCATGTAGCTCACAGTCCTAAAAACTGGTCTCACTCCCACCATGCCCTCCCAGCAGCACCAAGCCTATTTCCAGGCAGGTGGTGACCAGGGCTGAGAACTTGCTCCAGACCACCAGGCTCCCCACTGAGAAAGCAAGTGGACTCAAAGGTTTTGGCATCTCATGGACCCTACAGCAGTGATTCAGTTCCTTCAAAGGGTCTGTGGATTCTCTCAGCTTTCCTGGTATGTTGCTGTGGTAGTTCTTAGAGCAAAAGTTTATAATGTAAGTCTCCACATGCTGGTTGTCTGTCCATGCGGGAGCTGGGAGCTAGTCCTGCCTCCTATCCACCATCTTCATATAAAGGGACTTTTTATCCCACACCAACTCCTCAGCCACAGCCCAGGGTCTGAGTGTCTTTGGTTGAGATTTTGGAATTGAAGAAGAAACAGGAGAGAATCACTGCAGGGAGGAACCACTTCCTAGGAACTGCTACCAGACTGGGACCTAAGGAGAACGAGGCTGTAAAACAGCTCATCCTTGGGAATGGCCAAGGAAATTTATGAAGAATGGTATCTGATACAAACTTTAATGGATATGTCTTTTTTGTTGTAATTGCCGGATCTTATTTTTTTTAAAAAAATAAGTCAATTAAAGACAAGAACAGCCTTATGGTGGGGGTATTTGAAGAATGGAAAAGGCAAAAATTAAAAGATGATGGAAAGCTAGGATTTAAAGTCAGAATGTCGATCAGGCACAGTGGCTCATGCCTGTAGTCCCAGCACTTTGGGAGGCCGAGGCACATGGATCACCTGAGGTCAGGAGTTCGAGACCAGCCTGGCCAACATGATGAAACCCCATCTCTACTAAAAATACAAAAAATTAGCCAGGTCTGGTGCAGGCACCTGTAATCCCGACTACTCAGGAGGCTGAGGCAGGAGAATCGCTTGAACCCGGGAGGCAGAGGTTGCAGTGAGCCGGGATCACACCACTGCACTCCAGCCTGGGCGACAAGAGTAAAACTGTGTCCCCAAAAAAAAAAAAAAAAAAAAAAAGCCATAAAATAAATAAATAAATAAATAAATAAATAATAAAGTCAGAATGTTGACAGGAGACTTTATAAGTGCTTCCCTCATTAGAAATCTTGGGAGGAACACTGGACTTCTCTCAACTATGTAGAATAGGGACTTGAGATAGTTTATTTAGATATTAAAGCACAGGGTGATATGACAGAACTCAGGAACATTAAAAGCACTGTCTGTTTAATCATTAGGAAAATAAGAGGTGATGATTATCTTTTTTAACTGGAGTGTCTCTCTTTGCTGTTTGAACTATAAATAACATCCCCAAGTCTCTTCTGAGTCTGCAGTGGAATAGGAGGAATATCTGGTCTATTCCTTCCAAGGCACTAACTCTTCCCCTTTTCATGCTTGCAGGAGTCCCAGGTACTTAACATTGAGGGGAAGCGTGACTCAAAAGGGCCTATTTTATTGCAATTAGGAAGCTTTCAAGCTTAGATAACAGAAAAACTAAGTTTTTAGTGAGTTCCAGAAAAAGTCTGCGAGAAATACACAAAACAGGGAGAAGAAAACTACAGAACATAAGAAAACATTCCACTCATGCAATCACAAGAAGGGTGCAAGGCAAGAACACAGAATCTAATTCATTGGAGAAGCAGTCTCCGTGAAGACTGAGTATGCACCAGTTCTGGTTACCTTGATCACCCCTTCCTCAGAATCATGATGTTATAACCAGAAAAATCCCATGAGCGTGTGACCTAGTAAGATCCCACTGGGAGAAGGTCTGGGAGAATTTCAGGTGGAGAAGGATCGGGTTAGGTACAGAGGTCCCTGAAAGAGGAGGATCATCGGTGTTGCAGATGACTATATCCTTTGCTGACTTGGATACAGTCAGAGTACATAATAATCTAAATGTTTATGTCTCCACAGTGCTTCTCCTGCCACACCACAGGCCGCCCTGCCTGGAGGGGATTTTGCACTGAAGAGCAGCAGCCCCTGGCAGGGAATGGTGGGGACTGAAGCTTAGTTGTTTGCATTGCCTTCCCTATCTGTGCTCCACAGAGCCCAGCTCCACACCCTTTAATCACAGTTCTTTTAACTGAAAAGTGAGGATTTCAATAGCACCTATCTCAAAGTGGCTGTAGGAGAATTAAATGAGTTAGTACACATAAACACTCTGAACAATATTTGGCCCACAGTAAGGTTTGCTAATGTGTTTGCTATTGATATCGTAGCTGTTTCTTTTCTTTTCTTCTTTTCTTTTCTTTTTTTTTTGAGACTGGTGTAGCTCTGTCGCCCCCAGGCTGGAGTGCAGTGGCGCAATCTTGGTTCACTGCGACCTCCACCTCCGGGGTTCAAGCGATTCTCCTGTCTCAGCCTCCCAAGTAGCTGGGACTACAGGCGCACACCACCACACCTGGCTAATTTTTGTATTTTTAGTAGAGACAGGGTTTCAGCATGTTGGCCAGGATGGTCTCGATCTCCTGACCTTGTGATCCACCTGTCTCAGCTTCCCAAAGTGCTGGGATTACAGGCATGAGCCACCATCCCCGGTCACTATTGTTTTTTATATTATCTAGCAGAGAAAGTTGGAGTAGGACCTACAGTCACTATTTCCATGTCTATCTGGGCACAATATCTGTGATGGGAAATAGGGGGCAAAGGAGGAAAGAGTGTTGGTAGCTAAATAGAAGGTTTGGAATGGGTCAAATTCAAAATGCAGTGTTGGGTTGGAGCTCTTGGCTTCCAGAGCATCCACAGTTCTTGCCCCAAGGACAATGGGCCACTTCCCAGGATTACATGAGAAACCCATATCCAACAGGCCCAAACCTCGGGCATTATTGCTTGGTTACCAGTGCTTTCAGCAACCAAACAGAAGACATTCCCAGATACAAGGCAGATCCAGGAGGGCTCTGAGTCTGTGGGGTGTGATTCCAGCATCCAAGTAATGCCAAAGCCTGCCAGCATGCACCAAAAGCTAGGAAGAGGCAGGGAGGGATGCTCTCCTAGATCCTTGAGAGAAAGTGTGGCCCTGTTAACACCTTGACTTCATGCTCCTAGCCTCTAGAACTATGAGAAATAAATGTCTGCTGTTTTAAGCCACCAAGTTTGTGGTCATTTGTTACAACAGCCCTAGAAAACCAATAGCAAAACTTACTGTTAGTTGCCCCATTGCCTTCACCTACCTCACAGAAGGCTGTGGCCTCTTTGCTCACCAACAAACTCTTTCTAACTTGGAATTTTTGTAGAAGGGATTGGGGAAGGCATTAGTCCTTCTTCCTCAGCATACCACCTGGGCCCCTTGAACAAATTGGTCTACCTCTTCCCCAGAACTCTGCCTGTCCCAAGGAGCAGTTGGCCACAGTCCATGTGGAGTGATTTAAATGAAAATATAATTTCATTTTCACCTTTTCCTTTGGGTATAGCCATCTGACATACATCTGCATGCCTACCAAAGACCCTGCAGATCAGCCAAAGGGTGACCTTTCACCTCCACCTTTTCTGAAAGTACTAGATAACTTCTTCCGATGGCTTCATTTGTCCTTTTCACTTGGAAGAGGAAAAATAAATCAATCCCCAGTGAGTCTTTCCAATTTATTTCCATTTACTGATTAAAGAACTGAGGCTCAAAAGGTAAATCAATGTATAATGGTAGAAAATACATCCCAATGCATGTGTATTCAATTCCCAGCTTGTCTCCTTTCTATTATAATTACAACAAACTCCCTCTGTAAAATGGAAAAAGGCATGGGCTGGATTCAAGAGACCAGATTTATAAAAATGCCTTTCTTTGCATTCACTTTTTGTTGTTTCTATATGTTTATTACAGGGTATACTATAATCTTCCTGGAATAAGAATATGGATTACACAAAGTTTATACTCAATAAATACTTGAGAAGGGAAGAAAGGGACTAAGGGAGGAGAGAAGAGAAAGAGGAGGAAAAAGAAGAAAATAGGTTTAAAGGAAAGAAAGGAAGAGATGGAAAAAAAGTTTCTCACAAACACAGAGGCTCCAGCTCTGAGTTGAGGCACCAGTTGAGAACAATAGGAAAAAGCAAGTCCAAACTGGAAAAACCCACAGCAATATGTGGAACTAAACAAAGCCCAAATACCATGTCTTACATGTCTGACTGCAAGACATCACCACTGTTAAGACACACATTGCTTTAATAAAAGACTTCCAGAAAGAGATGGGAGAGTGGGGAACTAACCCTTCATTAAGTGTGCACACAGATGTTGTAGTTTCTCAGAGGTTATAATTACAGCCTTCCTGCTTTCTTCTTCTTAGTTAGTAAGCCCATTGAGAAAAATTACTAGTGTCAGCTAGGAAATAAAAAATCAACCTCATGGATGAGGTTGGGCTATAGAGCTACGGCTGGGATCTGCTGCCAAAAAGAAAGCTTTACACACTTCCTCCAGATCTAGATCTCCCTACTACCTTAAGTGGAATCCGCAGAGCAACAGGCTTACGACCAACCTATCTGGAACCTTTGGATGCAGTAGACAAGATGTCATTTCTGGGTGAAGGCAGCCACATAGGCTCATGGCTTGGCACACCAAGTAAGGGCTGCTTTTCACCCCCTGCTCGTCCTTATGAGTGACTGGGTGCTTTTGTCAGCACACAAACTGCTCAATTCTTTGCAGCTGTCCTGCCAGGAACTCACTCCTCAGTCTGCAGCATAGAGAACTTCAGTGTGGTCCAACCCTAACAGAGGAGCTGAGAAACCATAGGCCTCTGGATCTTCCCCTAGAAGAGGTCCTGGATCCAGGTGTGCCTACTTTGTTTAAGATGAAGCAAATGGAAGAAACATCACACTAACTAAGCAGCCAAGTGGCCTGAAGAAATGAAGACAGGCAGACAGTGCAGGAGCAGTGGCCAGTGAAGGTCCAACCCAGTTAATATACACCAACTAGTGCAGAAGTTCTTAATGTTTTGACCAAGACCCCTGTATTAGTCTATTTTCACACTGCTATAAAGATACTACCCGAGATTGGGTAATTTATAAAGGGAAGAGGTTTAATTGACTCACAGTTCTGCATGGCTGGGGAGGCCTCTGGAAACTTACAAACATGGCAGAAGGGGAAGCAGGCACATTTTACATGGTGGCAGGAGAGAGTGAGTGTGTGTTGGGGGAAATTTCAAACACTTATAAAACCATCAAATCTCGTGAGAACTAACTCACTATCATGAGAACAGCACAGGGGAAACCACTGTCATGATCTAATCACCTCCCACCAGGCAGGTCCTCAACACGTGGGGATTATGGAGATTACAATTTTTTTTTTTTTTTTTGAGATGGCATCTCGGTCTGTCACCCAGGCTGGAGTACAGTGCCATGATCTTGGCTCACTGCAACCTTCATCTCCCGGGTTCAAGTGATTCTTGTGCCTCAGCCTTCCGAGTAGCTGGGATTACAGGCATATGCCACTATGCACAGCTAATTTTTGTATTTTTAGTAGAGATGGGGTTTCGCCATGTTGCCCAGGCTGGTCTCAAACTCCTGACCTCAGGTGCTCCACCTGCCTCAGCCTCCCAAAGTGCCGAGATTACAGGCATGAGCCACTGTGCCTGGCCAGTATTACAATCTGAGATGAGATTTGGGTGGGGACACAGAGCCAAACAATATCAACCCACAAGAAGAGATATGTTTTTTGGTTGGTCATTTTATTCTCTAGAGCAGCCAGAAAGGCAGGAGACGTGTTTTATATCCATGGCCCAATGCACAGACACACAAACACAAAGACACATACACACACGTATACACACATGATCAAATTAAAATTGTTTTAGCAACAATAGTTACAATAGTGTCTGTATTTTATTTTATGTAGATCTCAACCTTTATTGATTTCATGACCCCTGGTCAAAGTTTTCAATTGGTCAAGATTTGAAAAAAAACCCTGAACTCATAAAGGTTCCTTAAGAAGCAGTGAGAGGGAGAAAAATTAGACATCACCTTCCTAATACTTCCAAGGGGGAAGAGATTCACATTCGAGGGGACCCAGAAATATGTGAAGAAAAAGATAGTGTGACCCTGCCCCTGAGACACAGATAAAATAGTTTTAATGATGGATGACAATTTCAGAAATACCAAAATGGTTTTAAATGCTTTTTTGAATTAAGGAACCAAAGTCTTTTTCCTGAACTGTGACTTGAATCAAAAGTATTTTGTTTTCATTTTTGTTTTTCTTTTTTTCAAATATGCCATACTGGATGGCTTCAAAGTGTGACCAAATCAATGCATTATCTAAAGTGATTCAACTGGAACAAACCAAAACAACAAAACACTCTCAGAGCTGAACCAATATTTTGTTTCCTTCAAGCCTCAATGGAGCCTGAGACTAAAGGCTTCTGAAATGCTGATCCTAGAAGCTGAAGGGCCGTCTGCTCAAGCTGCTCTGCTTCCCTGACTTGCACCCTGTGTCTTAGCCATTGCCAGAGGCTCTCAGCTCCCCCAACAATCCCTGAATGCTCCAGGTTGCAAATCTTCGCTCGTGTAGCCCCTTCTATTTGGATGGCTGTCCTTCCACCCCTTGGTCTTCTATCTGCTTGATGAGCACCTACTCATTTTTTAAAACTCAGCTCAAGGATCACTTCATTTATTCATTCAATTTCCAACAAGTTTTAATTGAAGGGTCACCATATGCCAAGACCCATGTTGGTTATTGGGGAAACCACAGGTCAACCATACATAGTCTCTGTTTTAAAAGCTTACAGTCTAGTCAAGTGTAATAGGTTCTTATATCATAATGTGGTGAGTACAATTCAAGAGGTCAGTAATTAATTCAAGAGGCCAGTGGTTGACTCCAGTAATCCCAGCATTCTGGGAGGCTGAGGTGGGAGGATCACTAAGGCCCAGGAATTTGAGACCAGCCTGGACAACATAGCGAGTACTGAGACCTCATCTTTATTAAAATAATAATAATAATAAATACATAGGGCATTATCAGAGCACAGAGGGAGAGCCCCTGACTTAATGCAATAAGTCATGTAAGGCTCCTTGAAGGAGCTGATGCCTGCCGTGGCTGGAGAGGTGAGTAAAGAGGAAAGGTTCTAGGGAACAGCAACCATGTGAGTTAAATATCATTATTTCCAATTTAGAGATAAAGAAACAGAGGCACAGAATTGCTAAATATATTTCCCAATGCACAAAGTTATCAAATGACAGAGTGGTATTTGATCCCAACACGTGCTAACTCTAATCATTAACTCAAATGGTCTTTCATTTGCTGTAGAAATCCAAATGAGGAGGAGATCCCAGTGGAGATTGGACAAAAAAGAGGAAGAAACTGAATGAGTTTGGCATGGGCTGTCAGATCCATGATGGGGCCAAGTACTAAGCCCAGAGAAGACTTACGGAGGGAACAGAGTTCGGGGTAGGGATAGGGACAAACCCTATTGTGATTTGGGACCTGTGGTAAAGCAGGTCTGTGCCATCAAGTCCATGCAGAGTATGCATATCAGTGCTACATGACAGGTCACCTGCTGGATGAGCAGTTGTGATTTCTTTTTATTTTTTATTTTGTTTATTGTTATTCTTTTTTTTGAGATGGAGTCTTGCTCTGTCACCCAGGCTGGAGTGCAGTGGCACGGTCTCGGAGATCTCGGCTCACTGCAACCTCTGCCTCCTGCATTCAAGCAATTCTCCTGCCTCAGCCTCCCTAGTAGCTGGGATTGCAGGCACCCGCCACCACACCCAACTAATTTTTCTATTTTTAGCAGAGACAGGGTTTTGCCATGTTGGCCAGGCTGGTTTTGAACTCCTGACCTCAAGTGATCTGCCCACCTTGGCCTCCCAAACTGATGGGATTACAGGCGTGAGCCACCACGCCCGGCCTTTTTTTTTTTTTTTTTTGGTACCCCAACTCATTATAGGGAATGAAGCAGTAATGATTTCAAAGTCAAACTAAGCTAGGTATAAATCTTGTCTCTGGTAGTTATTAGTAATGTGCCCTTGGAGAATGCACTTATCCTTTATGAGTGTCCTTTTTTTTTTTTTTCTGAGACAGAGTTTCGCCCTGTTGACCAGGCTGGAGGGCAGTGGCATGATCTCGGCTCACTGCAGCCTCCATCTCCCAGGTTCAAGTGATTCTCCTGCCTCAGCCTCCCAAGTAGCTGGGATTACAGGCACGAGCCACCATGCCAGACTAATTTTTGTATTTTTAATAGAGATGGGGTTTCACTACATTGGCCAGGCTGGTCTCAAACTCCTGACCTCATGATCTGCCCGCCTCAGGCTCCCAAAGTGCTGGGGATTACAGGCGTGAGCCACCATGCCCAGCTCATTTCTTTATCTGTATACTAGGGAAGGCAATATCTACCTTATGGGGCTATGATGAGGATTAAATTAAGTGAGATTACGTGTAAAAGTGCCAAGCATATTTCCTGGAACACAACTTGCTTAATTCCCATTACTTTTACTTCCATATTGCATCCTTTAGGTGCTCTCTCTCACGTTAAGGAGACATGCCTAAGTCCTTCGACTTCATCTGCCACAGACTGGGCAGGAGCCTGGAACCCAACCCCATTATGATACAATTGAGTTCCTGGCAACAACCCTGACTGGAAGTGGCTGGGGACAGAGTGTCCCACGGCCTGGAGCAGAGCTTGTTAGATTAAAGATGGAAAAAACTGGGTCCATCTTTAAGAGCTGCCAAGTGAACCAGGAACCACCCATCCCCTGCAGGAAGGAACTGTTGTGTCATTAATAATACTTAGCATTGTCCTAGTGTTTTTCCAAGCTAATTAATTCTGCTCCAAATCCCAGAAAACAAACGACTGAGTGAGTTGGAGACAGATCTCGTTTCTGAGACAGAAGGGTAGAGAAGCGTGTCCTCTGCAGTGACTGGGGGAAGAGAAAAGCCTCATCACCACTTCTTAGAGCCAAGTTACCCAGGGCAAGGAAAGGGCATTGAGTCCTGGGGATGGTGGGTACTTACCTCCCTATCTGCAAGATCTTTAAACAGGAACAGTCACCCAAAGTTGCAGATACAAGAAGGCTCACCCATCCCTAGGACACATTGCCCAGAAGTGGCAGGTGTTGGTAAGCTGGCTTCATGGTCCAGATGGAAAAGTTTATCCTTCTCTCTCTCCCTAGAGCACGGGACAAAGCTCATGTGCCAGGACATGACATGTAGCTGACTGGTCAACTCTGTGCCATTTAACTCCATGGATACTTACTTTACAGACCAGAATCTGGGAACACCAAGAATCCAACTCCAACTCCTCCCTTCATGGGAGTGCAGAGTCAAGTGTGAGAGACCAAAAAGGCAGAAAGTTTCATTGTAAAGAGAAATACTCAGATGAGGGAGTACAAAGGATGTGAGGCAGTATGGAAAGGATTCCTGGAAAAGAATATTTTGAGCTGTTTGGAAAGATGATTAAAAACAACAAAACAAAGAAATGGACAGAGGACTTAAAGTCAAGAGGCTTAAAGTCAAGAAAGGGCAAAGCACATTCAGGAACTTGAACATAGTTCCTTGGAGAGTTGGGGAATTTCAGTTTGACAATGACTCCTGTCATCACAAAGGAAAGAAAGGCTCGTGACAAGACAAACAAGTGTACAAATATGTACAGCACGCAATGAGGGCCCAGAGGAAGAAAGAAAGATTAAAGGATAGGAGAGACTACTTTTGCCTTGAGGGGAAGAAAGAAGTCAGGGGCTGGCTAACAGGTAAGGGTACTGGCTTGATGGGGCCAGATTAGGCATTTCTCAGGCAGAAGGCTGAGAAATTATTGCTACTGTTCTTGTTTCCTTTGTGGGGTCTGTGTGGTCACTGCAGAGTGCAATAGATATAAGAAATCTCAGGTGTGTAACTTTGCTTCTAATTAGGCAGAAGGCTGAGAAATACTTAATCTGGCTTCATCCTGTTAGCCAATCACTGACATCCTCCTTGCCAAAGGCTCCTATCCCATGAGATTGTATTTCAGTAGGTCTGGTTGGGGGCCCAAGAATCAACACCCTAGCAGCCATCCCAGATGACAGAGATGCAGGACACCCACACACCTTTTTGTGAAGAGTGGTGGAAAGGTCCTGGTGCCCCGGCTGGACTCAAATGCACCCTGACTTTCATCTGTTCTATTTGCAAAAAAAAAAAAAAAAAAAAAAAAAATCCCAGAAGCTACAGCATCCACTGTGAGAGGGGCATAGCACTTCAAGGGAGATTTTTTTTGTCTTCTTCTAAAGTTCTACCTTTTCAAATCCAGAAGAGCTCCTGAAACATATTTTCAAAGATTGTGTTCCTTATAGGAAGTCCTTCAAGGGAAGGGACACATCTTACTTGAAGGCACATCCTATCTCCTAGCATAGACTGGCCAGGTAGATTGCAAATGCTTGTTCAATTAATGAAGCTGACTTCCTTTTATTTTCTGAAAAGTATCCCGTGCAAATGTTCGCAAGCATTATGTTAATTTGTATGGCTACTCTCCGCCTAGGAGACTCCCTGCCCTAATTCTCTCTTCAAAAATGGGAATCCAGTCTCTAGCTGTTCCTGGATTACAATTAGCATAGGGACTAATGATTTTGTGTGTTGGTGGAATTATGTTTCCTTCGTGGGTCTGTGCGATCACTGCAAAGTGCAACGAACATAAGAAGTCTCAGGTGTGTGACTCCGCTAGTAATCAGTTCTAGAACTCTGGAAAAATGACTGCTTGGCTCCATGCTTCAATCTCCTTTTTTTAATAAAGTGAGAAAATTAGATTATTTCTTCATTGGGTCATTCAGTAACTATTTATCAAGCACATGCAGTGTGCCAAGCACTATCCTAGTTGTGGGGAGTCAATGGTCAATTAGACACATTCCATTCCCACCCTGGTGACATAATGATGAAAAATGAGACCAGCCACTATTCATACAATCACCCATATCCAAAATTTGGAAGCATCTTGGGACTGCCCTCCTTCTTAGCAATTCTATCGATTGCTAAGTCTAGATCATTCTATAGCCTAAATAATGCTGTAATCAATTTCCTCTTCTCTGTCCTTATTGCACTGAAATCCTAACCACCTCCTAAGTGGTCCCTGCCTCTCACATGACCTATTAAAGTTCATACTGTTCTGTGGCCCCCTGTTCAGCTTTCTAAAACATAAATCTGATTCTGTTACTACTCTGTTTACACATCTTTCCCTGACTCCCTGGAGTCATTAGATAAGTAATAATAGCTAATAGCCATTGTTAATTATGCACCAGACATTTATCTAAATGCCTTTACATACTTCAACTTATTAGCTCACAGCAAGCACAGAAGGAAGGTGCCATCATTGTCCTCACGTATGCTGGTTATTTGTCTGTTAGCTGTCAGCTTCATTCCTGACTTCCTATGTTCATCTTTATAATGCAGGGGGTGTGGAAGCCTGCAAACTACACTTCATAGGCTGTGATCAGCTGCCTTCTGGTTGGGCTCTGCCAGTGAAAAGCCTTGGGACAGGACTCAAATGCTGGAGGGAAGGAGAAGTTTGATTTTGCATTGTTTTGGTTTTGTTTTACCCCTGCTTTCACAAATGCCTCCCCGAGTGGTGACACATCAGCGGAAGTGCAACTTCTGGCCCCCTGCACAGCTTCAGGGACCATCTGATAGCAGTAACAGCAACTGCACCTCCAGAAGATCAGAAGCACATGCAGGCTGGGCTTCTGTCAAAGGCTGGGAAGAGCTCCCTGGCCTCTGAGTTTCTCCCTTCTCCCTTTTACTCTTCTACCTCTTCCAAAAGATTGTAACCAACTCCCTGTATTAAATCCCTCTCTGCTGGAAATACCTCCAGTGCAATCTACTTTCTTAACTGAGCACTGATGGGTACACCATTTAATGCACAAGGAGACCGAGGTACAGAGAGGTTAAGTAACTTGTCCCAAGGCAAACAGCTAGGAAGTAACATAAAGCACAGATAAAGAAAAAGAAAAAAAACAAGGTATTGAATTAAGTCAAGGTTTCTTAAGCATGTCATGCAAAGCCCTTCATAATTACCTTCCTCTCTCCATCCATATTCTATGGTCTAGCTGGAAAGTGACACCTAGCTGGAGATTGTGCTTTGTTGTTGTTTTTGTTAATGAATGAAGGAATGAATGCCAGATGTACCATACTTGTGTAAAACCCCAGCAGGAAATGTGACTGCAGTGGACATTGGATGAATCAGTGAATAAATAAATAATAAACAAATGAATAAACTCCAAGCACACAACAAATCAACCTGGGTAGCAATTTCCTGCCTCTGTGTTCCTCCCGCCCTCAGACTCAGAGCCCTGATGCATCCAAGAGACTGAATGTTCACATCACTTATACAGAGTAAGCATGCGATAAATGCATATTTATTAAACTAATGAAGAGAAGAATCCATCAAAAATGCAATCAATCAAGTCATTGCCCAGTGATGTTTAAAATTCTAGTTTATTGAACCACAAAAATCTTCCAGGAAGAAGGCACAGAAGAAAACCTTTACATTTTCCTAAAAACAAAAACCTCTACTATAACAACCAGCAAATAATTAGACGTTAATGTCTCTAACTTAAAAAAAAAAAAAAAAGTAACCACAGTTAATCTCAGGGGATATCCTGTATGAAAAGGGAAAAAACAATGAGTCATGGATTCTAACCTCCTGTTTATAACCGGGGCCCACAAATGATCTGTTGCTGAAGGAGAAGAAAGCCATTAATCTCCCAACTCAGGGAGCAATTTTATATTTTGAATAAAAACAAAATAAACAGCATTAAGGAGGGAAATAAATCAGATATGCAGTAATTAGTTTGAAGGAGCCGGATTTTCCTGCCTAACACTCTCTTTGGAACTTCTGCCTTATCCATCAAAGCAAAAGTGTATCAGATGACATGGAGATTTTCCATTCCCTTTTCAGACAAAATTAGTCAGCTGATGTGAATAGTAATTTGACAGGACCCAGAAGAGAGAGCATGAGTGATGGGATTATAATAAATGCGGGAGAGGATGCTTAATAAACTTTGGTGAAGCCCTGGATCCTGCACTTTTCCTCTCCTACCCTCTGTGTAACTCCTGATTTATGAAATTGTTACTTTTTTCTCTGTGAATTCTTAGAAGGCTTGGACTTTTTAAAAATAAAGAATCTAAAAAGGACCTTATTTATTTTCTTACCCAGTATCCTTATTTTAAAGATTTAGAAGGCTCAGCCCAGAAACAATAATTGACTTGCTTAAGTTTCCACAACAAAATCAGCTGAAGCACCAGGATCAAAAACCTGGCCACGTGCCTCCCCGCCCTCAAAGCTCAATAAAGACAAAAGCACAAACAATTGTGAAGTGGTTCCTTACTGAAGGCAATCTTGGGTCTCATGCAGCACTTTCTGGGTAAGAGCCCCCTTGATATTGTTTGGCTTTGTGTCCCCACCCAAATCTCATCTTGAATTGTAATCCCCACGTGTCAAGGGAGAGACCTGGACTGGATCATGGGGGTGGTTTCCCCTATGCTATTCTCATGACAGTGAGTGAGTTCTCATGAGATCTGATGGGTTTATAAGGGGCTCTTACCCCTTCACTCACCTCTCTCTCTCACCTGCTGCCATGTAAGTCGTACCTCTTCCCCTTTGCCATGATTGTAAGTTTCCTGAGGCCTCCCCAGCCATGGGAAACTGTGAGTCAATTAAACCCCTTTCCTTTATAAATTACCTAGTCTCGGGTGGGTCTTTATGGCAGTGTGAAAACAGACTAATATACCCTTTGGTGTGAAACCACAGAGGAAGGCTGCTCTTCCCTCTTCAGGCTTCCTTCCTCGGGCATTTCCCTCCAATCAGGCACTCTCTCCAGAGTCCTCTATCACTCATTTGCAGCTTATTCTGAATTCTAATGACTAAGTTTTTTTCTCCCCATTATTTGGGAATGTCCTGCTAGCAGTTGTTTTTTTCAGGAACAGTTTGGTAACTGATTCATTTGAAGCATAGACATAATGAATCTCTCCCGATGTATCTATAAACCCTTGCATAACTCCCTTTACTATTATGAATGGAGCTCTGCGAGTAAGTTGTCCCTTTCCCTTTCATCTCCCACCATCCCAGCTACCCTGTTTGGGTCTACACATCTAAAGTTTAATAACCCTCCAGTGGAAAGAACAGGGAGATGTCAAAAGATGAAGGATGCTCATCAATGCATTTGTTTCTAATAAAAATACAATAATTCAAAAGCAGAATATAAATGTCCATCAGTAATGAACAGCTAAGTAAATAATGATTCATTATTCATACAACAAAAATCTATGTAGCTATTAAAAAATATAGAGAAGAATATGTATTAACATAAGAAGATGTTCAGGGTACATTGTCAACATGTGTTAATATGAAGATGTTATCAAATAGCAATTATTAAATGATTTAACTTTTTACAAAAAAAGGCAACAGGTTTTTATTGAAAATATGACATGATAGTCCCAAATATGTGATATAAATATGACTTTTTATTACATTTCATAATATAGTAAACATATTCATTTTGTAAGAAAAACAACACAATGTTGTTGTTTTTATTATTTTTAACAAAATATCCAAGCAGTCACTCTGCTTAATTAGAGAAGCAATGAAAGAAATTATGGCCAAGTGTTCTCTCTGACTGTAAATATTCAGAGGGGGCCTGGGTTGCCCCATACTTGAGTCACCACTCTACTTTCTTTATTTTACCTCTTGGTTTTGTTTGTTTTTATTTATGAAGTTTCATTTGAACAGAAGTTTCTAAGGGCAGGTGTGTATGTGTGCTTTGTTCTGGTTTCTTTTTTAGTGAGTAGAATGGGTTCTTATCTGTGAATATTCTCTCATTATGGACAACAGTAGGAATGTGAACAATTATTGAGAGTCTCTAATGTATCAGATGTCGTCCTAGGGCTGTCTCCAAATGTTATCCTGTTTATTTGTCATCACTGCTCTGAGAAGCAGGTGTGACTTCTGATCATTTTAAAGCATAGGCACAGAGGCTTGCAAAGATGCAGGGACCTGCCCCAGCTCATGCAGGTGGACAATGGTGGGCTGAGAGCAGTGAGAACCAGTCCCATCTCCTCCTACCCACTGCAAGCAGGCTACCAGTTTGGCTGGGGGTTGTTGGTTGAAGTGTATCCCCCCAACACCTGCAACCAAATTCATATATTGAAGCCCTAACTGTGCCCCACCTAGTATCTCAGAATGTAACCTTAATATAACCTTATGTGGAGATAGGGTCTTTACAGAGGTAATCAAGCAAAAATGGTTAATGGGTGGGCCCTAATCTAATATGTATACTTAAAATGACTGGTAAATATAGATACTTAGTAAATATATATACTTACAGGGACTGGTGTCCTTGTAAGTAGAGGAAATTTGGACACAGACGCATCCAGAGGGAAGATGATGTGAAGACACAAGGAGGGGATAGCCATTGCAGATCAGTGAGAGAAGCCTAGGAAAGATTTCTCCTTCTGTGGACTAAAGAAAAAATGAAGCTTTTAAAGAATTAAAGGTAGGTTCATTCAGAAGCATTACTGAGGACCACAGACTGAGGCCAATAGCCCAGGAGCAGCCCTTTAGAGAGGTCCTATCAGACTGCCCCAACACAGTATTTAAGCCAATGCCCGTATACAGGTGGTGGAGGTTTAATATGGGCAAAATCACATCAAACTTGCCAAGAAGCTACATTAAAGCAGAATTACATCAAGATTAACCAGAGGTACATCAGAGTACCTCTGGTTAAAGACTACAGAGGCATAATCACTAATTCCATCAGACGTTGTTTTATAAAGTGTAGGAAAAGGCAAGGGCTAGGGCCATTTATCTTTTAAGGAATTTAGTGACTCAGGCAAGAGACGGGGTCATGTGCTCTACCCTCTTTTGTCTTCAAAGAATCCTCCCAGAGAGCTGCACTTTGTCACAGCATCAGGGGCTTTGTGAAATTATGCTAGCAAGCAGAAGTGAGCAAATACGGCTTTTTGCATTTGCTGCTTTGTCTCACACTTCACAGCCCTCAAAGGAGCCAATGCTGCAGACGCCTTGATTTTGGACCTCCAGCCTCCAGAACTGTGAGAAAATACATTTCTGTTGTTTAAGCCACTCAGTTAATAGTCCACTGTTTTGGCAGCCCTAACAAACCAATAAAATGAGTTACCTGGTGATCACATGAAACGTCAGCTGTGATGACAAAAAGGTGCCCTTAAGAACACAAAACAACTGGGGTCCACCATGTGGAAGCAGAAGCCTGCAAGGAGTGAAACTGCAGGAAAGGAAGAAATGCCCAGTAGAAGAGAGGCCCCAGGTGCTCGCTCTGGCAGTACATATACTAAAATTGGAACGATACAGAGAAAATTAGCATGGCCCCTGTGCAAGGATGACACACAAATTTGTGAAGCGTTCCCTATTTTTAAAAGTTAAAAAAAATTTTTTTTAAAAGACAGGAGGTCCCAGGAAGCCCTGCTGCCTCTCTGCCCACCCTCTCCAGGCCAACCCTGCTACCAGGAAGAAATTCACAGGGCCAAATTACTCAGTCATGTGTATTGAGGCCAGAAATGCATTATTTAATTTTTTGCAGCAGATGTACCTTTTTAATACTGTTTTGTTTCAGGCTAAAATTACAATATTAAAATTTAATATTCAAACATTAGCATGAGTTTGCATTTCTTGAATGTCCACCCACCTTTTTCCTCCAGCATATGTGGAATGGCAACAGGGAAGGGGTGGGAAGAGGACAAGGCTGTGGCTGCTGGTCTTAGCTCCGCATCTGAGTGGCTCTGTGGCCTTGATCACATTGCTCCACTCCTCCAGGGTTTGGTTCCCTCCTCTCTCAAATGATGGAAATAACCTGGGTGTTCTAGAAGGCTCCTGCACCTCAAAGTATTCCCAAGTCTGTGTATCTCTGGAGACTGGAGGGAGCCAAGAAGAGATGGACAACAGATGCCTGAGCAGAACTGATATGTATCTGCACTTTTGCCGTCATCAGATGTTGGAGGGGTCTTGGAGAGAGCCATGAACAAGAGCATCTCCCAGTGTTGATAGGGTCCCTCCAGACTTTTAGGGAGAAAAGTAAAGAAAAATTCCTAGTGGTTGTTCCTATATCTCTTGCAAAGGATAAAAGGTAAACATTATATGTATACTTTTTTTTTTTTTGAGACTGACTCTTGCTCTGTTGCCCAGGCTGGAGTGTAGTGGTGGGATCTTGTCTCACTGCAACCTCTGCCTCCCAGGTTCCAGCAGTTCTCGTGCCTCAGTCTCCTGAGTAGCTGAGATTACAGGTGTGCGCCACCACACGCAGCTAATTTTTGTATTTTTAGTAGAGACAGGGTTTCACCATGTTGGCCAGGCCGGTGTCGAACTCCTGACTTCAAGTGATCTGCCTGCCTCAGCCTCCCAAAGTGCTGGGATTACAGGCTTGAGCCACTGTGCCCAGCCTCATTACATGTATTCTAAAAATTAAAGATTTTCTGACTGCAAAGTCCTGGATTATTATACTGCAAAGTCCTGGATTCTGTGACTGTATGTGTCTGACAGTATGTGTGTGTATGTGTGTATGCCTATGTCACACACTCATGTGCCTCGGTTTCCCTGGTATCCCAAGAAAATTTTTAGTTTTTCTTTGGGGTAATTACACCTTGAAAAAGCAGGTATTTCAGGACTCCTTCCTTTTCTGTACTCTGAAGTCCAGCTCTTAATTTCTACTATTGGTGAGAGTGCAAGTCGATGTCACCTGACTTAGTACATGGGCGTGCTCTCTAGTCTCTCAGGTTGAAAGTCTCTCTGCTGTGACTCATATCCTCACTCTATGCAGGAGGAATTTTTTTTTTTTTACTAGACCTTTACATGAAATTAGATAGAGTTAACTTATCTCTCTCCTGGCACTTCTTGTGCAGGTCCGCCAGTCAAATCCAGCAGACTGCAAAAATACTAGACTTTCTCCACTGAAGAGTCAGGTAATGCCAGAAGAGTATTATGGCACAGCAATACTCCTCAGAGCAAACGTTGGCTTTTCAGCTAACTTAGAAGTTCCCTGGAAAATGCTTCTTAAGCCTTAGAGAAGAGAGACAGTCTTTTTCATATAACATAGCCAAACCAAGGGCGTGACACTCCGTCACCGTCACCATACTCTGCTGATTAGAAGTGATTCACAGTTTCTGCCCACAATGAACAGAAGAGGTAAGTCACTGCGGGTCACCTTTAGGTGTGTCCACCACACCATTCTTCCCAAAATTTTGTAAGACTTCTTGCACATGCCAGGCATGGTAGCTCACCCCTGCAATCTCAGCACTTTGGGAGGCCAAGGCAGGCAGATTGCTTGAGGTCAGGAGTTTGAGACCAGCCTGGCCAACATGGTGAAACCTCATCTCCACTAAAAATATAAAAATTAGGCCTAGTGGTACACACCTGTAATCCCAGCTACTCGGGAGGCTGACGCAAGAGAATTGCTTGTACCCAGGAGGCAGAGGTTGCAGTGAGCCGAGATCGCATGACTGCACTCCAGCCTGGGCAACAGAGCAAGACTCTGTCTCAAAAAATATATAAGGAAGCTTAGTAGGGCATGGTGGCACACACCTGCAGTCCCAGCTACCCAGGAGGCTGAGGCAGGAGGATTGCTTGAGTCCGGGAGTTCAAAGCTGCAGTGGGCTATGATTGTGCAGCTGTACTCCAGCTTGGGTGACAGAGCAAGATCCTGTCTCCAAAATAATAATAATAATTAATAATAATAATAATAATTGAAAGAATAAAAAAAGATGGGGATAGAGATGAAACAAAATTGGCCATGAGCTGATAATTTTTGAAGCTTTGTATTTAGTTATGCAGTAGGTCTCTGTATTATTCGGCCTACTTTTAAATACATTTAATTTTTTGCATAATAAAAAAATAACCGACAAGAAACAGTGATCAAGTTAGTAATAATCCTTACCATATTTCAGCAATTCTACATGCCAGACTCTATGCTAAGTGCCTCATTTACATCATCTCATTTGATTCTCACAACAGCCATATCAGAAAGTATTAATAGTGTATTTATAAATAAAAAACCTGCTTCTCTGGTAGGTTAAATGACTTGCCCAAGTATTTCAAGAACCAGATGCTGTGTTCTCACTTATGAGTGAGAGCTAAATGTCAAGTATATATGGACACAAAGAAGGGATCTGCAGATACCAGGGCCTACTGGAGGGTGGGGGGTGCATGGAGGGTGAGGATCAAAAAACTACCTATTGGGTACTCTACTTAGTACTTGGGAGATGAAATAATCTGTACCTCAAACCCTTCTGACATGAAATTTATCTATATAATAAACCTGCACATGTACCCCTGAACCTAAAATAAAAGTTAAAAAAAAAAACAATCTGCCTACAAACTCAAAACAAACAAACAAAAAACAGATGCTGAATCCAAGTCTCCTTTGATTTCAAAGCCCATATTCTTTTTTGTTTGTTTGTTTGTTTTGTTTTTGAGATGGAGTCTCACTTTGTTGCCCAGGGTGGAGTACAGTGGCACAATCTCGGCTCACTGCAACCTCCGCCTCCTGGGTTCAAGTGATTCTCCTGCCTCAGCCTGCCAAGTAGCTGGGATTACAGGCATGCACCACCATGCCTGGCTAATTTTTGTATTTTTAGTAGAGACGAGGTTTCACCATGTTGGCCAGGCTGGTCTCAAACTCCTGACGTCAGGTGATCTGCCCACCTCGGCCTCCCAAAGTGCTGGGATTACAGGCATGAGCCACCACACCCGGCCTCAAAACCCATATTCTTAATTACTATTTCAAGTTAAGTCAGCAAGTATAGGTTAAGTGCCTATAATGAAGCACTGGGAAGGTGACAACAATTAGAAGATGTGACGTTTGGTCTCAAGGAGATCAAGGCCGAGAAAATATTTATTCATTGCAATTCTGGCCCTGGATCAACCACTTACAAATGAGGAGAGGCAAATTATCTCAACACACCAGAACTTAGGCCCTTTACCTGTTTGATGAGATCGTAGAATCCATCCTGCGAGTCACAGAGGA
The DNA here is from genome assembly GCF_000001405.40 of Homo sapiens. Lineage (NCBI taxonomy): Eukaryota > Metazoa > Chordata > Mammalia > Primates > Hominidae > Homo > Homo sapiens. Next base: position 126,508,471 of record NC_000008.11, read on the forward strand.
CAGTAGGGAAGATCAAATGAAGTCATGTAAATAAAAGCCACGAGGAACAGTAAAGGGCTGTATAAGTAAAAAGGACAAAATGAAGCAACAGTAATGGCACTATTGTGGTTGAAGATAAGAAGCCTTTAGCCTACTTAGATTTTTAGTGTTCTAAACCCATCTGTCCTCAGCCCTGTGGTTTTTCCTTCATGAGAGCTCCTCAACAAATTCATGTATAGGGAGGTTGGCCCTAAGAACACCCAGGACAGTGACATTTCAGAGGCATTGTAGAGAAGCTCAGTTATCACATTGCAGTGTCTTCCTCTCCCGGACTGTGCTTAGCACACAGGAGAGCCACATATGGGGACTGGGAATTATTTCTGATGTAGCGATTGGGAAATCGTGACAATGTATACTAATGAGGTGACAAGAAAGACGGTGTCAGATGCACATTAATCTTTAGCCTGATGTCCTTCATGATGTCCAACCTCCAGTTTCATCTCCTGCCACACTCATCCCCCATACTTCCACTCTTCACACTGGCCTTACTCAAAATGCAGATTCCAGGACTCAGGCTATCTCACTGCCTTCTTACTTACAATTCTTATACCAGAACACCCTTCCTCCTCCCCTCATCTGAATCTTACCTGGTTTTTGAAATTTAAGTCAGGGCCTTCTTAGGAAGATTTCCCTGATTCAGATCCAAGTTGAATTATGATAACCCTCCTTTGGCTCCCATAAAATCTTATAACTTCCTAACTGTGTTTTATGAATAGTTGTCTAGTTTAGCACTATGTCAGGAGCTATTGACAGCAGGGCTGGGCACAGTGACTCACAGCTGTAATCCTAGCCCTTTGAGAGGCCAAGGTGGGAGGACTGTTTGAGGACACCTCAAGCCCATCCAGCCTAGGCAACAGAATGAGATCTTGTCTGTACAAAAAAACAAAAGATTAATTGGGCGTGGTGACGTGCACCTGTAGTCCCAACTACTTGAGAGGCTGAGGCAGGAGGATTGCTTGACCCCAGGAGATCGAGGCTGCAGTGATCCATGATGGTGTCACTGCACTCCAGTCTGAGCAACAGAGCAAGACCCCACCCCCCAAAAAAGCTATTGAGGGTAGCAGTTTACTTTCATTGCTCTACCTCGAGTGCCTACAGAAGAGCAGAGCACATTTAGGTACTTTGTGTGATTACTTATTGAATAAAAGGATGGTATATCACAGAAAATAATTAACCTATTTCTCCTTTTAATGGTGATGGTTCTTTATCACTAAGTGTTCTTTGCTGAGTACTACATTGGTTTTGAGTGTGCAAACATGGAAACGGCTGCCTCCAGTCTACACTGTTCATTGTAATTAAGAGGAGAGAGATTTGGAGGACCGAAAAATCAGAAATGGTGGAAGAGGAGTCCTTAAGGGCATGGCCATATTATTTTTTGTAAGCCTGGCCGCTATCATAGATCAACTTTGGCCGGGCACGGTGGCTCACGCCTGTAATCCCAGCACTTTGGGAGGCCGAGGCGGGCGATCACCTGAGGTCGGGAGTTTGAGACCAGCCTGACCAACATGGAGAAACCCCGTCTCAACTAAAAATACAAAAATTAGCCGGGTATGGTGGCGCACGCCTGTAATCCCAGCTACTCAGGATGCTGAGGCAGGAGAATAGCTTGAACCCAGGAGGCGGAGGTTGCAGTGAGCCGAGATCGCGCTATTGCATTCTAGCCTGGGCAACAAGAGCGAAACTCTGTCTCAAAATAAAATAAAATAAAATGACAACATAGATCAACTTTGACATTTCATTGGCTTAATGAAATGAAAGTTTATTTCTCACTTATATGAAGTTCAATTCTCCTTTTTTTTTTTTTCACCCGCGTAAGCCCCCAAAAGATGATTCTGACAGCAAGGGGTAGAGGTGAGGATTGCTGTTTGGATTTGATTGGCTCCCACAGTCATACTGGGAGCCAGGTTAATAGAGGCTTCAGTACCAAGAGTCCCTGAGCTTCAATATCCAACCAGCAGGGGGAGAAAGAGAGAGAGGGGATTGTCCATGGAAGTTTTCATGGGCCAGGCCATGTCACTTCTACTCATGTTCCATTGAGTAAACTCAGCCCTACGGTTACATCTAACTGCAAAGGCATCTGGGAAATGTAGTCTAGCTACGTGCCCAAGAGCAAGAGAAAACCACCTTTGCGGATCACATAATAATTTCTACTGCAAAGGTTGAGAGGTGGGGAATGTCAAAAATGAAGAAAAGCAAAGGTAAGATAGGAGGGAAATAGGGGAAGAAAGGCTAAGGGAGGAAGGCAGAAGAGAGGAGGCAAAACAGCACGGAGGAATCTGAAGGAGTCTGTGGTGAGTAGTGTTATACAGCCTCTACTCCAGTGTGCTGAAAACAACCTTCAGTGTACTACATTGCTTAGTAATGATTGTGAGTAGATATAGTTGGGAAGGGACTAGCACTGAAGAATAAGGACAAAGCTAACATGTGGGTGATAGAATGAGCTATCAACACAATTGCATGCTTCTTCCAGTATGATTTCGTTTGTCGAAACATGACTGACAACTCCTTTTGGGTAACTCCCTCTAGAAGCAATTCCCAGCCTTCCAAGAAAATCTCCGACTTTTTAAAAAAGGAAAAGTTACTAAATTTAGTCCCTAGTAATGGCATGGCCAAGATTAAGGCCCAGTCTGTAAATCCCATTGTCTCTCTACTCTACTAGTGGAGTTAAATGTGAGAGAAGAAAATGTGAACCCTGAGCCACTCAGGAATTGAGAAGCTTTCATTTCTCTCATGTCTATTATGCACTTGCTTGCTTTCACTAAAACCTCCTAACCTCTCAGTAAGGCGTCATTATCTCTACAGATGAAGAGGCTGCAATTACCAAGGCCACGTCGCTGGTAAGTGGCAGTACTAGGAATAAGAATTCAGACTGCTAATTGTATCAACAACATAATAAAATTTAACATTTATTTATTTAGCATTTCCTATGTGCCAAACAGAATACCAAGAACTTTACCCGCATTATTGAATGTTAATCCTCAAGACAAACCTATGAGAAGTACTAGTAGTATCCCCATTTTCCAGATGAGAAAACTAAAATAGAACGGACATTGTTTATCCAGGTGTTCTTAGCTTCTGACAGTGGGGCTAGTATTTGTACACAGGTGTTCTGACTGTGAGTCCGTTGGACTAGCCTCCTCTCTTCCCACTGTCCTGCTCAAGCTCTGTCAATTATACCCCACTGCTTCCTGAAAACATATTTGCTATATGCAACCCCCACCCCCCGCCCCAAGAAGAGAATATATTTTGGAGTCTTTATGTCTCAGAAGATCACTTTAAAGTCCCTTTCATATGAGTGACCAACTATCCCGGTTTGACTGGACCTGTTCCAGTTTGGCTCTTAGAGCCTTTCGTCCTGGGAAACTCTTCAGTCCTGAGCCCACTGGGACTGTTGGTCAACCTATTTCCCACTCTGAAATCTGTGAGTTTATACACTTTTTGCAAGACCCTCTGTTCTACCCTGGAAAGAGAAGGATCAATTGTGCACACCCTCAGAATTTCACCTCTTCTCTCAATTAGTCAGACTTAAGTTATCTACCCTGTTTTTCCCCTTTTAACCTACTCCTATAGCTGCCTAAGAAACATGTGAAAAATTTGACACCCTTGGCAGAAATGAGGGTCTATAATATACTTCATGGGTTATGCAGTTTTATTGTCCATGAAGACTTTAATGAGGGATCAGTCTTCATTTTTAGTAAGTCATCTAAGCAGTGCATTTGAGACTGGGTACCACTAGGAATCAGCAAGTCCCCCTGTGGCCTGTGCTGTTTCTGAACCAAGAGAACTAAGAGAAGCCATGACCAGAAGCTGAGATAAGAAGCACCTAGTGAGATCCAGGACAACTTTTCCAAAGACTACATATCTTTAAACACTGTTTGAGGCATAATCCTAGATTGTTGATTCAAATGTGGCACAGGAGTAAGTTAGCTTTAGAGATGTCATAGTCTGAAATAAGAGCATGTTAGCAGGCCATCTGTAGAGGAGAAGTTTGCCTGGGTGGGATCTGAAATATGAACAAAAATTCACCATTACCATTAACCAGCTGCCTCACTTTCCTTTAATTTCATGTTAGGGTTTTGTTTCTTTAGCTTGCCACCCATAACAAAGTATGTCATCCTGGGATCTTTTTTTTTTTGAGATGGAATCTAGCTCTGTCACCCAGGCTGGAGTGCAGTGGCGCAATCTCCGTCTCGCATGTTCAAGCGATTTTCCTGTGTCAGCCTCCTGAGTAGCTGGGATTACAGGAACCTACCACCACACCCGGCTAATTTTTGTATTTTTTTAGTAGAGACAGTGTTTCACTATGTTGGCAAGGCTGGTCTCAAACTCCTGACCTCATGATCCACCCACTTCGGCCTCCCAAAGTGCTGGGATTACAAATGCGAGCCACCGCACCCGGCCCATTCCGGGGTCTTAATCAGCAATAACAAAGTACCACAAATAGGGTGTTTTGGGTGGCTTAATCAACACATTTTTTTCTCACAGTTCTGGATACTAGAAATACCAGGATCAGGGTACCAGTATGGTTAGGTTCTAGTGAGAGCGTTCTTGCTGGCTTGCTGATGGTGGCCTTCTTGCTGTGTGCTCACATAATGGTGACAGAGATAGAGCTCTGGTAACTCTTTAAGGCCCCTAATCCCATCATGGGGCCCCACTCTCATGACCTCATCCAAATCTAGTTATTTCCCATAGGTCCCACCTCCAAACACCATCACACTGGAGGCCTAAAATTCAACATATGAGTTGGGATAGGGGTTAGCACAAATATTCAACCCATGACACCCTGTGTCAGGAGCTCCAGAGTCTTCTTTACTCCAATCAGAAGCAAGCCCCTACCTGTGCAGAATCATCCCAGACGCAATGACAGATAATGCTCTTATTCAAGGGGGAAAGCAGTTTTAATAAACTTTATATCTTGAGATAATTTTAAATTAAATATTAAATTTACAAAACAATTTTAAAGATTAACTTAACAAAACAATTGTAAAGATAATGGAGCACTCTTATACTCCTCACCCAATATCCTTTATTGTTGATATCTTCCGTTACCATGGCGCATTTGTCAAATCTAAGAAGCCAACAGTGGTACATTATTTTTAATGGAACTTTAGATTTTCTTTGGATTTTACCATTTTTTTCCACAAATGTCCTTTTTCTGTTCCAAGAACCAATCCAGGATAACACATTGTACCTACTTGTCACATCTCTTGAGTCTCCTCTGGTCTATATTGAGATGGACTTTATAATCTCAGTCTTTACTTGTTTCTGATGACCTTTACAGTTTTGAAGAATATGAATTCAGTGTTTTGTTGAATGTCCCTCAATTTGGGTTTGTCTGGTGAAAAACGGCTTTTATTTAGCAATAGATCAGACTAGATTTTGGTTCTAATCTGACCAGATGATTCATAGCATAAATAGGATCCTGCCTCATTTCTGTGAATAAGCACCTGCTTTATATATAAATGTCTATAATTGACTATTGTCTCTCTATCCTTAGTCTCTCAATAATGGAGAGTAGCATTAGAGCCATAAAAATCTAGATTCAAATCTTGACTTCATATATATAACTTTGATCTAGGACAAATCATTTAACTTCTATGAGACTTGGTTTATTTTTTAACATGAGAATAATAAAATGTTGAGTTTATGGTACTGTTGTGAAGATTAAATCAGCTATGCATGTAGCACTTAGGATATTATATAGCACATGTGAATGTTTAATGAGTATCAGTTTCCTTCCCCTAAATTTGTTCTTTTTAGTCACCCCAGAGTCTGCCTCTGAAGATCATCTGTTGCCATTTTTTCATAACAAGAACGTATGAAAAACGCAGACTGGAGTTACTGCCCAGCTCATAATATCCTCAGTATCCTAGTCTATGCAATTCATTCCTTTCTTACAGTAACTGTATTCGTCCATTTTGTGTTGCTATAAAGAAATACCAGAGACTTGGTAGTTTATAAAGAAAAGAGGTTTAATTGGTTCACGGTTCTGCAGGCTTTACGGAAAGCATGGCTCCAGCATCTGCTGGGCTTCTAGGGAGGCCTCAGGAAGCTTTCAGTCATGGCAAAAGGCAAAGGGGGAGTAGGGGTGTCACATAGAGGGACCAAGGGAGGAGGAGCCAGCCTCCTTTAAACAACCAGATCTCATGTGAACTAACAGAGTGAGAATTCACTCTTCACCAAGGGGATGGCACTAAGCCATTCATGAGGGGCCTGCCATTCATGAGGGGCCTACCCTCCATGATACAAATCCCTCCCACGAGGCCCCACCTCCAATACTGGGCATCACTTTTCAGCATGAGATTTGGAGGGGACAAATATCCAAACCATATCAGTAACAAACTGTGTCTCCCTGGTTATAGGAGGAACATATGACCTAAGTGGACCAATCATAGGGCCTCACTTCTTCAGTTATATGGATTCATCCAAATCCAGCCAATTAGAATCCTTCCCTGTAACTTTTTTCCTCACTGGAGTTGACAAAAGAAAGTTCTCGGCCGGGTGCAGTGGCTCACGCCTGTAATTCCAGCACTTTGGGGGGCCGAGGCAGGCAGATCACCTGATGTCAGGAGTTCAAGGCCAGCCTGGGCAACATGGTGTAACCCTGTCTCTACTAAATATGCAAAAATTAGCTGGGCATGGTGGTGGGCGCCTGTAATTCCAGCTACTCAGGAGGCTGAGGCAGGAGAATTGCTTGAACCCAGGAGACGGAGGTTGCAGTGAGCCGAGATCGCCCCACTGCACTCCAGCCTAGGAGACAGAGCAAGGCTCTGTCTCAAAAAAAAGAGAAAAATTCTCTTTCCTTTCTGGTCATGCAGTTGTAAAGGTGAGGGGCTTGTAGTAGTGCTTCCTGCCATTTGGAGAGAGCCAGACTGAGAGCAGGACACCAGCAAGCATGAAGAAGGAGAGCTGAGAGATGGAGACAGCATTCAATGGAATTCTGCCTAGTTCTTAGGTCCAGTGATTCCTGAGGTCAGTCTACCTCTGGCCTTTCCATAGATTGATGAGTTGAGCAAATCAGTTGGCCTTTTGCCTTAAGCTATTTTGGGTTGTGTTTTTATAAAGTACAATTAAAAGGATCTCAATAGATCACTTTTCTCGATTTTGCTGCTTGCTGCCACCTACCACCTATTCTAGGTGCCCCGCTCCACAACCTGTTATCTTTTACTTGCTTCTTCTGTGGCATGGTTGGCACCAAAGGGGCCTCTTTCTTTGACCCTTTTTCCAACACTGGCTGTAAGTTAACTGTATAAATTACTCCATCCGACTGATTATTAAAAGTGCAAGAATCAAAAGGTGTAGAAGTTAGTCTGTGAAAACATGCTGAAAAGAAATGAAGCCACACATAATATCAATTATGTAGTTGTTCAGAACGCAGACTCTGGAGTCCATTAGATCTGCATTCATATCCTGCCTCTGTCACTCACGAGTTGTATGACTCCAGGCACCTACCACTCTGAACCTCAGTGCTCTCATTTGATAAATGAGGATAGAAATCCCTTTTTCATATAGTTTTTGTGTAGATTCAACAAGATAACATGTTTGATGCCAAGCAGAGCCCCCACTATATTGCTGATCCTTAACTTCATAATAGCATTTTTTTTTTTTTGAGACGGAGTCTCACTCTGTCGCCTAGGCTGGAGTGCAGTGGCGCCATCTCAGCTCACTGCAAGCTCTGCCTCCTGGGTTCACGCCATTCTCCTGCCTCAGCCTCCAGAGTAGCTGGGACTACAGGTGCCCACCACCACACCCGGCTAATTTTTTTTTTTTTTTTTGGATTTTTAGTAGAGACAGGGTTTCACCGTGTTAGCCAGGGTGGTCTTGATCTCCTGACCTCATGATCCACCCGCCTTAGCCTCCCAAAGTGCTGGGGTTACAGGCGTGAGCCACCGTGCCCAGCCCATAATAGCAGTTATTAATAATGATGATTAAAATTTTCTTAAGACACCCAAACCCACCAATCATTCTTAGCCTCATGAAAGGTGCGATAGTCATGCTAATTTTGTGTGTATCCCAATATGCTTTAGTGTGAAACACACAGCACCACTTGTGAAGTGTCTTCTTGCCAGAACATTTTGAAACAAGCTGAATCTTTATCAAATCCAGCCACGAGAGCTCACTTACAAGAAATACAGCATGTGATAAACAAGTTAATTAAACTACAAGAAAGCAAAGAGATATATCCAGAATGTGAGACATACTAAAGGACAAATGATTTGATTTCAACAATAAATCAATAGCAGGGAGAAAACCAAAAGAGAGGTAGTGAGAGATGGAGAGGAAGGGAGAAATAGAGAGAAAGAGAGAGACTGTGAGAGAGACAGAGAAAGACAGAATAAATTGTGGTTATCCTATTATCTCACCATGTTGTATTCAACTGAGGGGTTCTTGAAAGAGAACTGGATTCAGAGCCAGATAATCTGGATTTATATTTTCTTCAGCTACTGTCACTAAACAAATAAACTTGGGGGACTCATCAGGGAGTGATAATTGAAGAGTTGATTTGATGTTTAAATGGGACCTTGTATACAAAAATGTGTAAAAAAAGTGTTGTATGAATTGTCTCATTTAAATACCTATGCAGGGAGCTATTGCAGTGCACACCGTTTCTCTCCCTTTGCTCATACTGTCCCCATGCACGTCAAACCTATCTTCCCCATCCATTAATTCATTCAGCCAATGTGCTTTTACTTAAAAGCACATGTGACTGTCCCACATGTGTGCTTGGGATGGAATCATTTATAACGACAGTAAGAAAAGTCCCTTATGAAGAGTGTTTACAATGCAGAGAAAGTGTCCCAGCCGCATAACAAAATAAGGGCAGAGCCAACAAAATGCAGCATAGAGTTTGGGGCAGGCAGGCACAGATTGAAAACCCAGATCTTCCACTCCTGGCTGAGTAAGTCAAATCCACTCTCTACCCTTCATTTTCTTGCTCTCTTCTCTGGGAGACTGACCTGTAGAAAGAACTTCAGGCTCTAGTACCCTCTAGCTCCACACTAGGTTTGGCTCCCAGAAGACAGTGGAGGTAGAGAGGAGAAGTGGGAAGTACAGCCTCCTCCCTGAGTTCTGATTTAGGACTGGCTTCATCCTACAACCTGACTCCTCTCAAGGTGGCCTTCTGAACACAATTCTCTCCTTCCCTTCTCTCTTTAGTTCTTCGTTTCTAACTAGTTCTGGACTATGGCACCATCCCCTGTAGCTTCCTAAGGCTGCCCACACATTTTTAATAATCCTTTGTTAAATTGATTGTGAAGTAGCCTCCTCTGTGTGAGCCATTCAATTCCTATAATCCACAGGTTAATCTTGGGCAAGTCTCTTAAACTTTTTCAGCCTATGTTTACTGTCTGTCAAATGGAATTAAGTGTAATTCCTCTCTCATGGTCCTAGGCAACTTCAGTTAAGAAGGGTCCTCTGGAATATGAAAAAGACTACCTGGGAGAAGGACCAGGTCAGGGTTTAAATCTGATTTTTGTTCTTATAAACTCAGTTACCTTGAGCATTTTGCAACAAATCTCTTTGCAATTCAATTCCTTGTGGGTAAAGGGATTATAACAAATGTTTAATAGGATTTAGAGTTTTGGCTTAGACCCTAAAGATTGGAACATAGCTAAGTAGCTGTGCATTCTAAAGAGAGGAGGTAGACCACTCTGGATGAGAACTGCCAGCCCATGACCAAATCTAATACTTTCAACAGCTTGTTTATGGGAAGATTAGCAGCTTCCTTAGAGGGAAAAAAATTCTTTCTAAGAGGCTTGTAGTATTGCAGATGGTTTGCTTTCATTCACTCCCAAGCAAAGTGAGGTAGTGTGACGCAGTATGAGATAATCCTGGAGAGAGGATTTATGGCAAGATGGTAGACTGGCATCACACTCCCAGGCTGGATGCTTGCTGAAACACAGAGATGCAGAAGCCAGTCCCAAGCTACTCCAGAGGGTGGAACATCATGGAGTTCTTAGGAGATCTTAAAATATATTCTCTTGACATTGAAAGCATAGTTTTTCTTCCTAGTGTTCACCTGGAGAAGACTGAGGTTGGAGCTTGGCAAAGCTACCCACAATGGCCGAGCAAGTATGTGTGCATTTTGCCAGAGCAGGCAAATGCCACAAAAGGAAGCCAGCTTAATTTATCTCTGCTCAAGGGGACTTGTGGTACCACCAGGGGCAGGAGTTGAGAGACGTCACAGGTTTCACCTAGCCCATGGCCAAGTCAGGGTCTCTGAAGAACCCCCACGAAAAGTGCCAACTGGAAGAGCCAACATTTGGATCTTACCATTTGGAAGGCTTTCAACAGTCAAGAGAGCATCACAGCCAGCATCTGCCTCCATCTCTCATCCCTCCACAGCTATTATATTGGAAAATCCATCAGCAGTTAGGTGAGTAGGGTAGGAAGTACAGCGAAGAGCGAAAGAGCAGATCCAGCGTCTTTACGCGTTTCCTGGCACCTGATCCTCCAGACAAGCCCCAGCTGAGCAGAGGGGAGAAGGCTTAACCTGAATGTGAGATTAAATTTGATTTAGATTGAACTGGACTTTTAAAATACTTGCAAGTGGGCTGGGTGCAGTGGCTCATGCCTGTAATCCCAGCACTTTATGAGGCCAAGGCGGGTGGATTACCTGAGGTCAAGAGTTCGAGAGAAGTCTGGCCAATATGGTGAAATCCTGTCTCTACTAAAAATACAAAAATTAGCCGGGAGTGGTGGTGCACACCTGTAATCCCAGCTACTCAGGAGGCTAAGGCAGGAGAATCACTTGAGTCCAGGAGATGCAGGCTGCAGTGAGCCGAGATTGTGCCACTGCACTCCAGCCTAGCTGACAGAGCGAGACTCTATCTCAAAAAAAAAAAAAAAGAAAAAGAAAAAAGAAAAAAAAAACAAACTTGCAAGTGACTGGGAAGCTACAGAATATTCTCAATGTGTCATCAGGAAAGGCGAAGGCAAATGCAACTATATACATTTTGAAGGCAATAGGCAGAAAAGCAAAGCTATTGCCTGATGGTATCACCCAGGTGCAACCTATTTTCAAGAAATTTACTTTGCAGAGTATTTGTGAAGAATAACTAAAATAACATAATGCAATACCTAGAATAGTACATCTTAGGATAGTAATATGTCCTCCTCATCATCATTACTAAAGATTTCACTCTATACATTGAACGTGCAAGTTAGGAACACATGAAGTGTTCACGTTCCTACAGAGTCAGTGTAGAAGGGTGGTTGCCCTAGTGGGCTTCAAGGCCAGTAATCTGTTTTTAGGGGACCTCAGGCCCCAGTGTGAACAAAAGGCCAAGAGCAAAACACAAAAAGCCCGTAGAATCATTCATGATGATTGTTGAACCAAAGTCTGATTGAAACCCACATCATCTGTTGGTTGCTGGACTATCAGGGTCACACAATATTTTTCAAATCCTTAAAGCAGGCCAGGTGCAGTGGCTCACGCCTGTAATCCCAGCATGTTGGAAGGCCGAGACGGGTAGATCACCTGAGGTCAGTCGTTCCAGACCAGCCTGGCCAACATGCCGAAACACCATCTCTACTAAAAATACAAAAATTAGCTGGGCATCGTGGTGCACACCTGTAATCCCAGCTGCTCAGGAAGCTGAGGCACAAGAATCACTTGAACCTGGGAGACAGAGGTTGCAGTGAGCAGAAATCGTGCCACTGCACTCCAGCCTGGGCGACAGAGTGAGACTCAGTCTCAAAAAAAAAATAAAAGAAAAGAAAGGAAAGGAAAGGAGAAAAGAAAAGAAAAAAGGAAAGAAGAGAAGAGAAAAGAGAAAAAAGGTGCTGGACGTAAAATTTTCACTATATTTGCTGTGCGTTTTCCTGCAGTATAAAGTGATGTTTACTAATGCTGAGCATTTCAGGTAAGTTTGCTTTGATCCCATCTTGGATTCATGACTGTGATTCACATTGATAAGCATCATTATAGTGTACACTATAGACCAGATACCTTTGTCATCTGATGTATTTTATAGGTACGATTCTTTTTTTTTTTTTTTTGAGACAGAGTCTCACTCTGTTGCCCAGGCTGGAGTGCAGTGGCGTGATCTTGGCTCACTGCAACCTCCATCTCCTGGGTTCTTGTGCCTGAGCCTCCCTGAGTAGCTGGGATTACAGGCGCCTGCCACCATGCCAGGCTTATTTTTTGTATTTTCAGTAGAGACGGGGTTTCACCATGTTGGTCCCGCTGATCTCGAACTCCTGACCTTGAGTGATCCATCTATCTCGGCCTCCCAAAGTGCTGGGATTACAGGAGTGAGCCACTGCACCCAACCTAAACATTAAAATATATATATGTATATTTGGCTAACCTCTTAAAGGAAAGTTGCTATATACCTTGTATTCTATGACTCCTCATTCCAGTATCCTTTCTCCTCCCCCATCATCCAGGTCACATAGGAGAGTGATCAGCATATCTTGGGAGCACAGTAGACACAGGTTAAGGAGATCCCCTGCCTGCAGTGTCCCAATCAAATCATAGGTAGGTATCGAGTAGACAGCAAGTTATTTTTTGTTTTTATTTATTTATTTATTTTTGGTAGAGATGGAGTCTCCTACACTGCCCGAGCTGGTCTCAAACTCCTGGCCTCAAGCAATCCTCTCACCTCGCCTCCCAAAGTGCTGGGATTACAGGCATGAGCCACCATGTCCAGTAAGAGCTAGTTCTCAGAGCGAGAGGGAGTCAGACAATTGTTCTTTCTATTAAATGTTATCTTAACTGATCTTATCGCTAAACATATCAATTTTGGAGAAATAAGTGGCAGGAGATACGGAGACAAGAGTGAAGTTATGGCCCTCTAATGGTGAGAAGAAGGGAAGCAAAAAATTCTACTTTTTTTTTTTTTTTTTTTTTTGAGAGAGAGTCTCGCTCTGTCACCCAGGCTGGAGTACAATGGCGCGATCTCGACTCACTGCAAGCTCTGCCTCCTGAGTTCACGCCATTCTCCTGCCTCAGCCTCCCAAGTAGCTGGGACTACAGGTGCCCACCACCACACCTGGCTAATTTTTTGTACTTTTTAGTAGAGACGGGGTTTCACCGTGTTAGCCAGGATGGTCTTAATCTCCTGACCTTGTGATCCACCCGCCTCGGCCTCCCAAAGTGCTGGGATTACAGGCGTGAGCCACCGTGCCCGGCCTACATTTGTTCTTTTTTTTAAAATTTTTAAATACTTCAAACTTGCATAAAATTACAGACAGTAAGACAAACATCCACAGAGCACCCACTCCCCAGATTAAATAAATGCTAACAAACGCAACCTCACACATTTGCTTCACTTTCTCTGGTTGAGGCAGATCCAGAGACTTGAGGCCCACCAGACTTCCAGGGGCCCAGGATGATGTCCATTTGTCTTTGCTGTCTATGTCCACCTCTCTATGCCTGGAACATCGTTACCCACATTCTCCCCCAGTTCAGCAATCCATTCCCTTCTTCTCCAAAGGGAACCCAGTATGGTGAAAGACAACATCAAAGTTCGTTTTTGCTTCACTCAGAGCTGTTGAGGTTTTGTTTTTGTTTGTGTGTAAGAAAAATTCTGCTTTGAGCCTCAGAATTGAAATAGAAATTGGCCTGTAACTAGACTAAAATTGTGTGTACCCTGTCACATGAAGGCCTTAATAATAAAAGCTCTGTTCTTTGAAGCCCTGATATGTACTAACCCATATATTGTATTATTATGTATTTGTCTTCCCAGGAACACTGTGAGACTCTGGGGTGAGCTTGCATTTGCAGACAGGAACTGAAGGGCTGGAGAGGTTACACTCACCCAGGTGCAGTTGCCCAGCATGTGAAAGAGGAGACATTCTAAACCCTGCACTTAAAAAATAAATAAATAAATAAAGTTACAGACTGTCTTTTGTTTTGCAATATCTAGGTTAGTTCCCTGTAGGCCTTTTCTATGTTCCAGATAGCTGAGGTTGAGAGGTACATGACTTCCAAATTAGTGGGGGAAAGCGGGACTACTTTACTTAAATGGATGTTTTTTACAGCAAGGTCTTTAATTCCTAGATGTAATTTTTATTTTATTTTTTAATTTAGATATAGGAAGGGTATAGCAGACCTTCTTTACTATTAATACCACTCTTAGGTCAGTGACTTCAAAGCAGCACTTGACACTGATTTTGATTGCATGTGATTCCCTGGGGGAGGGCTCTCAGGAGGGAGGATACGCAGGAGGTAGAATGGAAAGGTGGCTAAGCTGGATGTGATCTCAGCTGCAGTCTAGCCCTAACCTGATTGCACAGGGAGCTCTGGAGCATGAAATACACCTACCACGTTTGTTTCCACTTTGAAACATGGGGGCTAGCCTCTGTAGATGGTGAGACCACCTTCCCACAGCAGCTGGGGAGTTTGTGCAGGAGCCAACTAAAGAAAATCTGGAGAGGGAACCTACACCCCAGCTCCACTGTCCTCAAATGTTTGGACGATTGACTGATGAGGGCTATCAGCAGCTATTTGCATTACTATAGAAAGACACAGACGAATAATTAAAAGGTTTGAATTGGCACCATAGAAAACTCATTATCATTTAGATAATTAGACACATCGAACCAGGAGATTGAGCATAGGGAGGTAGAAGGCTGGCCTTAAATGGTTAATTTCTTCTAGCACATGCAAAACCATTAAAGTGAGTGAGTTTGGTTGACGGCTGACTACCTTCAGAACCTTCTGCTGTTCTTGCTGATGATGTCTTCATTGAGGCCCCACTGCTAGCCTTGAGATTGCTGATTTCAAGGCACTTTCAAGACAAAAATAAAAATTCCATTTTCTTTCTGCAGGAGATGACTGTGTGCTCCCTTTGAGCTGGCCCAGGGGGAGCATTCAAAATACATTGCTGAAAGTAAATGGAATTTTACAGTTATGTAAATTGCAACTCACCCCTGAAAACTCCATTTTATCAAAACTCCTGGTTAATACTGTTTTTCATGCTCAGGTATTCTCCCCAATCACACAGGCAGGGAATGCAGGAGCCCAGGAGGAGACTATTTCAGAGCAAAGTCCCTTAAAGAGGCCTCGGGTACTAATGTCCTCAATGTCTGCCTTGCAACAAACAAAACACAGACCTTTAACCTGGCAGGCAGGTGTGGGGGCAGAACAGAGGCCACCCTACTTAGATTCAGAAGAATTACCTTGCCTCTTACTAGCTATGTGCCCATGAGCAAGCCATTTCCCCCCAACTCCCCAGAGTGTGAGTAGATCCTGTGAATATGGTAAGATGGTCATTCCCATGATTAGTTTATATTATGTAAGATTTGATTTAGGAATGAATTAATGGCATTCATAGTGACCTGGATGAGATTGGAGACTATTATTCTAAGTTAAGTAACTCAGGAATGGAAAACCAAACATCCTATGTTCTCACTCATAAGTGGGAGCTAAGCTATGAGGATGCAAAGGCATAAGAATGACACAATGGACTTTCAGGACTCAGGGGGAAAGGGTGGGAAGGGGGTGACGGATAAAAGACTACAAATAGGTTGCAGTATATAATGCTCAGGTGATGGGTGCACCAAACTCTCACAAATCACCACTAAAGAACTTACTCATGTAACCAAACACCACCTGTTTCCCAATAACCTATGGAAATAAAAAATTAAAAAAAAAAATCGGCCTGGTGGGGTGGCTCATGCCTGTAATTCCAGGACTTTGGGAGGCCAAGGCGGGTGGATCACCTGAGGATCAGGAGTTCGAGACCAGCCTGGCCAAGCTGGTGAAACCCCGTCTCTACTAAAAATACAAAAATTAGCTGGGCATGGTGGCTCACGCCTATAATCTCAGCTACTCAGGAGGCTGGGGCAGGAGAATCTCTTGAACCCAGGAGGCGGAGGATGCAGTGAGCTGAGACAGTACCACTGCACTCCAGCCTGGGCAACAAGAGCAAAACTCCATCTCAGAAAAAAAAAAAAAAAAAAAACAGAATTGATTATATCAGACTAGAGAGAGATTCTTCCTGCTCTCTTTGAAGAAATAAGCTGCCAGGTCATATTAGATACTAAGGGAGGCCTCTAGGAGCTTAGATTAACTGCCAGCCATTAGCAGCAGAAAAACAAGGGCCACAGTCTTACAACTGCAAGGAAGTGAATTCTGCCAACAACCTGATTGAATATGAAAGGAGACTCCTGGGTTCTAGAAGAGAACGCAATTCAACATAAATATTGGTTTAAACCTTGTAAGACCATGAGCAGAAAATCCAGTTACTCTGCATCCAGACTTTTGACCTACACAAAATGAGATAATAAGTGAGTGATGTTTTAATGGTTCAGGTTGTGATAATTTGTTATGTAGCTTTAGAAAACTACTATACAATTGGTTGTTCTGAAGAAGCATGTAGAGGACCTCCAAAATTCACTCTCCAGGAAAACAATGAGAACACTGTCAAAATCAGCTTTTCAATGGATTAAATCAATTACCATAAATGTTCAAAGAACTAAAAGAAACTATATGTAAAGAATTAAAGTATGAAAACAACGTGTCACCAAATAGAGATTATCAATAAAAAAACAGAAAATATTTTTAAAAGAACCAACTAAAAATTCTGGGAGTTGGAAAGTACAATAACTGGAATGAAAAATTAACTGGAAAGGCTCAACTGCAGAGCTGAGCAGATAGAAGAAAGAACCAGTGAACTTGAAGACAAGTCAATTGAGATTACTCATTGTATTACAAAAAACAAGAAGAATAAAGAATAAGTGAAAATAAACAGAGCTCAGAGACATCATTCTATGAGGCCTTCATTACCCTGATATCAAAAGACAAAGATGTCATAACAAAATAAAAAACCAGATCACTATCCCATGTGAATATAGATGAAAACTTTTCAGAAGGGTACTAATAAAATGAATACACTAACATATCAAAAGGATCATACACTATGAGCAAGTGTATATGCCAGGAATGCAAGGTTGGTTTTAACATACAAAAATCAATTGATGTAAAGGAGCATATTAATAAACTGTAAAGTTTGAAAACCACATAATCATGTCAAAAGCAAAAAATATTTTATAAAATCCACCATCCTTTGATAATAAAAACACTCAAAAAATTAAGAATATAAAGGAATTTCCTCAACTGATAAAAGACATCTATGAAAAACCCACAGTTCTTATCTTAACAATTAAAGGCTGAAATTTCTTTCCCTAAGATCGGAAACAAGACAAGATGTCCACATTTTTTTTTTTTTTTTTTGAGACAGTGTCTTGCTCAGTCACCCAGACTGGAGTGTAGTGGCACAATCATGACTCACTGTGCAACATCAACCTCAAGTGGTCCTCCTGCATCAACCTCCCTAGTAGCTGAAACCATAGGCCCCTGCCACCATACCTGGTTAATTGTTTTTTGTTTTGTTTTCTTTTGTTGTTTGAGACAGTTTTGTTCTGTTGCCAAGGCTGGAGTACAGTGGCGCAATTATGGCTTACTGCAACCTCCACCTCCCAGGTTCAAGCAATTCTTGCGCCTCGGCCACCCGAGTAGCAGGGATTACAAGCATGTGCCACCACGCCTGGCTAATTTTTGTATTTTTAGTAGAGACGGGTTTTCACCATGTTGGCCAGGCTTGTCTTGAACTCCTGGCCTCAAGTGATCCGCCTGTCTTGGACTCCCAAACTGTTGGGATTATAGGCATGAGCCACTGTGCCCAGCCTTGTTTTTTGTTTTTTTTGTTGTTGTTGTTGTTTTGTTTTGTTTTGTTTTGTAGAGATGAAGTCTCCCTATGTTGCTTAGGGTGGTCTCGAACTCCTGGGCTCGAGTGATCCTCTGGCCTTGGTTTCCAAAAGCGTTGGGATTATAGGTGTGAGCCACCAAGCCTGACCAATGCACTCTTGCAACTAATATTCAATATTGTGCTGAAAGTTCTTGCCAGTGGCCAGGTGCGGTGGCTCCCGCCTTAATCTCAGCACTTTGGGAGGCTGAGGTGGGCAGATCACCTGAGGTCAGGAGTTCGAGACCAGCCTGGCCAACATGGTGAAACCCCGTCTCTACTAAATATACAAAAATTAGCCGGGCATGGTGGCACATGCCTGTAATCCCAGCTACTCGGGAGGCTGAGGCAGGAGAATTGCTTGAGCCTGGGAGACGGAGGTTGCCATGAGCCAAGATCATGCCACTGTACTCCAGCCTGGCCAACAGAGTAAGACTCTGTCTCAAAGAAAAAAAGAAAGTCTACTATGTGGTGGTCATATTGCTAATCATTTGACTTCAGGAGAGTTCTTGAACACCCCACCTAAGACCTACATGGCTTACTTAGGACACAAAATGCCACTTCCGGCTTTACTGATTTTCCTTAACTTTACGTGATGTATAACTTGTCTACTTTGTGCCAGATATGTGCCTTGCCATTCAATTTCTTCCCAAATCTAAAGAAAGTAGTATTCCTGGACCTGCTTTACAGATGGAGAAACAGATCAATCTCCTGCCCAAGGTCATAGAGGCAATGTCTAGACTTGAACCTCAATCTTATAACTAAGATAGATGCTTTTCCCCACTGCTGCCTCTGCTTCTTGTCATTATTTTGGGGTTTCTGTTGCTACTAGAGAGAGATGCATGATAATAAGCATAGCCCTCTAGTGAGATGTTCCCTGATATTTTGGTTCAATTTCTGAAATGAAAGTTGGGTGGCCCAGTCAACTTGTGAGCATCTCCCAGGAAAGGGGATGAATCTGAGGATGGGTCTATTTTCTTTGACCTTGATCAGCTAATGCTGGGCAACAAATCACTCCACAATCCAGTGACTTGAAACAATAAACATTTATTTCTCACCTGTGGATCTGAGGGTCAGCTCCAATTCGCTGGGCTAGAGTAGACTTCAGACTCTGGTGTGTAGATTGGGCTTAAGTCTGTGCTATTGGCCTCTATATCCTCCTTGGACCAGCAGGTGCCCAGTGTATGCACTTCTCATGTAGGTTGTGAAAGAGAAAGATGCCAGCCAAAGAGTGAGAGTACATTTAGGTCTCACATCACATTTATTAACATTCTATTGGCCAAAGCATGTACTTTAAATAAGCCAGTGATAATGGGGTAAGGAAATATACTCAGCCCACTATAGTGCACTGCAAGATCACAGGATGGCAGAGGGAAGAGAATAGAGAACAAGAATCAAATCTACCATGGTCACTTAGGACAACATGAAGCTACTTATGACTGGGGCAAAGACAGGCAAACTAGGCTCCACTGTTCACATCAAGCCACTGTTTATTTTTGCAAATAATGCTTTATTGGTAAACAGTCATGATCATTTTTGTATGTATTATCTTTGGCTGTTTTTATGCTTTAATGGCAGAGTTCAATTGTTGCAAAAGAAAATGATCATACAACTACAAACCCTAAAATATCAATTGTCTTTACCTTTTCAGAAAAAGTTTGCTAATCCTTGTGCTAGGATATACAGTAATTTGTGAGGTATTTTAAAATTAAGTAAAACAAAAAATAACAAACCCATTTTTTTTCTGAGTGCCTATGTCTTAGTTCAGGCTGCTATAACAAAACACCATTAACTGGATAATTTATAAACAACAGAAATTTGTTGCTGACAGTTCTAGATGTTGGGAAGTCTAAGATCAAGGGATTTGGTGTCTGGTGAGGGCATATAGATATTCTTCATAGATGGTCCTCCACGTGATCTCACTTGGTGAAAAAGGAGACAAGCTCCCACAGGCTTTTTTTATAAGGGAACAAATCCCATTCATGAAGGCTCCATTCTCACAACCTTCTAAAGGCCCCACTTCTTAATACTATTGCATTTGGGGTTAGGTTTCAACATACGAATTTGAGGGAGATGCCAACATTTAGACCATAGCAGTCTACTATGCCCCTAAACTCTTATAAGCCAAGAAGCAGTAAAACACATACTTAGTCACTATGTGACCTTAAACGAGTTATGTATATTCTCTGAGCCTCAGAATCTGTATTAGTTCATTCTCACACTGCTATAAAGAACTATCTGAGACTGAGTAATTTATGAAGAAAAGAGATTTCACTGACTCACAGTTCCAAAGGCTGTACAGAAAGCATGGCTGGGAGGCCTCGGGAAACTTACAATCATAGCAGAATGCAAAGGGGAAGCAAGCACATCTTAACTATGGCAGAGCAGGAGAGAGAGAGTGCAGGGGAAAGTACTACACGCTTTTAGACAACCAGATCTCATGAGAACTCACTAGCACACAAGAACAGCAAGAGGGAAGTTTGCCCCCATGATTCAATCACCTCCCACCAGCTCCCTCCCCTAACATTGGGAATTACAAGTCAACATGAGATTTGGGTGGGGACACAGAGCCAAACCATATCAGTGTTCTCGTCACCAGAATGGGAAGAATTACAATATTATCTGCTTCACTGGGTTGCTGTGAAGATTGGATGAAGTAATATACATTGTTATGTGTTAAATTGCTTCCTCCAGAAAAGATGTATTGAAGTCCTAATCCCCACTATCTCAGGATGTGACCTTAATTTGGAAATAGGACCATTGGAGATGTTATTAGTGAAGATGAGATCATACCAGAGTATTGTAAGCTCTTATCCCAATGTGACTGGCGTCCTTACAGAAGCCAGCCATATGAAGACAGGCCTGCAGGGGGAATGCTATGTGATGATGGAGGCAGTGATTGGAGTTATGCTGCCACAAGCCAAGGAACACTTGGGGCTACCAGAAGCTGGGAAAAGACAGAGAATAATTCTGCCCTAGAGGCTCTGAAGACAGTATAGCCCTGATAACACTTTGTTTTTGGATTTACAGCCTCCAAAATTGTGAGAGAATACATTTGTGTTGTTGAGGCACCCATTTTGTGGTGTTTTGTCATGACAGCCCTAGGAAATTAATACACATTTGAAGCTCTAAGAATAATACCTGCAATAACTCCACAACTCATGTTACAAAACAACTCACGTTAGAAATTATTCTAGGCCGGGCGTGGTGGCTCACACCTGTAATCTCAGCACTTTGGGAGGCCAAGGTGGGTGGATCACCTGAGGTCAGGAGTTCCAGACCAGCCTGGCCAACATGACGAAATCCCGTCTCTACTAAAAATACAAAAATTAGCCTGGCATGGTGGCACTTGCCTATAATCCCAGCTACTAGGGAGGCTGTGGCAGGAGGATTGCTTGAACCTGGGAGGCAGAGGTTGCAGTGAGTCAAGATCATGCCACTGCACTCCAGCCGGGCAGCAGAGCGAGACTCTGTCACAAAAAAAAAAAGAAAAAAAAAGAAGAAGAAGAAATTATTCTAGATATTTTGGCCATGTGCAGTGGCTCACACCTGTAGTCCCAGCACTTTGGGAAGCTGAGGCAGGTGGATCACTTGAGCTCAGGAGCTTGAGAACAACCTAGGCAATAAGGTGAGACCCTGTCTCTACAAAAAATACAAAAAAAATTAGCTAGGCATTGTGGCATGTGCCTGTGGTCCTGGCTATTCAGGAGGCTGAGGTGGGAAGATCACTTGAGCCCAGGCAGTAGAGGCTGCAATGAGCTGAGATTGTGCCACTAAACTCCAACCTGAGTGACAGAGTAAGACCCTGTCTCAAAAGAAAAAAGAAACAAGAAATTTTTCTAGATATTTTTACCTTGTTTCTGTTACTCTTTATAATAATTTTATTAGGTAGGTGTATTAGTCTACTTTAGCTGTCACTGACAAAATACCATGGACTGGGCAGCTTAAATAATATATATTTATTTTTTTCACAGTTTTGGAGGCTGGAAGTCCAAGTTCAGTGTGTCAGAATGATCAGCTACTGGCGGGCGCCTGTAGTCCCAGCTACTTGCGAGGCTGAGGCAGGAGAATGGCGTGAACCCAGGAGGCGGAGCTTGCAGTGAGCCAAGATTGCGCCACTGCACTCCAGCCTGGGCAACAGAGTGTGACTCTGTCCCCCCCAACCAAAAAAAAAAAAAAAAAAAAAAAAAGAATGATCAGCTACTGGTGAGGGTTTTCTTCTTGATTTGCAGATGGCCACCTTCTTGTTGTGTCTCCACATGGCCAGGAGAGAGAGCAAGAGCAAGATGTCTCGTGTCTCTTCTCACAAGGGCACGAATCTTATCCTAAGCGCCCCACCCTCATGACCTCACCTAACCCTAATTATCTCCCAAAGCCCTGCCTCCAAATACCATCACACTGGAAGTTCAAGCTTCAACATACAAATTTTGGTAACTACCACAAATAATAATACTTATGACTGTTCCTTGTGGTAAGCATTATTATCCCTATTTTATTGGGAAGAAGACTGAGTCTCAGTGAGATCAATACTCAAGAAAAATAATAAAGGGGTGATGGTATTAGAAAAACATGATTTCTATAGATGTGAGAATTTCTTTGGGGAGTTTTCATGCAGTACCATGTATACTCCATAAAGACAGTGGTATTGTGGGCTCTGGAATCAGGTCACCTAAGTTCAATTTTAGCCTCTGCCATTAATCAACTCTGGGACATTGGACAAGTTACTTAGGAGTTTCAATCTCCTTATCTGTAAAATGGATGATTCCTAACTGATTGGAGTAGTTGTCACTTTTAAAATGACAAAATATATGTAAAGAGGATCCTAAAATGTCTGGAACAAAGGAGACATGAAATAAAAGTTAAAACTTCAGAGATCAATATACACATATATTCAATGCAGCCATAATTGTTAAAACAGATTTGGACAACTTCAATATCCAACAATAATTTAAACTAGGATTCATTCATATTAAGAAATGCTATGCAGGCATAATACTAAGATAGAAGTGTATTACCTTCCTGGGTTCTTTGCCTACTGTGTGACTTTAGGCAAATGATTTAATCATTTTGGGCCTCAATTTCCTCATATGAAAAATGTAAATAAAGGCAATACCTATTTCAAAGGGTCGTCATAAGGATTAAACAATATATAGTCCACACAAGATGCTTAAAATATTCCTAGGCACATAGCAGACACATGATAAACGCTAGCAATTATTACATTATGATTCCATTTGTATGAAAGGAAAGAAAGCTAATTAGCTAATTTCTGGAAAGAGATATAAGAATCCGCTCACTAATTGTTTCTCTGGGGAGTGGAGATGAGAGGCAGGAGGGATAAGGGCTTTTCCTTTCACTTTACCCATCCTGTGCCATTGGAAACAAACCAACCCCCAAGTTATTAGCTGTCTCTTGTTGGTGCTCTTTCTCACATAATGAAGAGTAGCTGAGCACTTTCTTCTACTGCCGGGCAGGGTTGCTTCTCAGATATGTGGGTACAGCTGCTAAAAGATTTCCATAAAGGTTGGTAAATAAGCGAATCCTTGTCCTCCATGATTCTGCAAGGTAAGGGTTAACTCCTTGCATGCTAGAAGCCTCTGAGATGCTGACTCGTAGTGACCCTGTTTGGTTTGTTCCCTGTTTCTGTAGTCCAGGTCAGTAAATATTTTGACTTTCAATCCTGGTGCCAGGCACTGACCTCAGAGCTGTACACCCATTGTATCTCACTGTAAACCATTCTTCAAGGCACTCATTCTTATTTTCCAAATGGTGAAGCAGAGGTTACTTATTACTTCTTATGCCCAATAACACAGAGCTCATGCAAGAATTCTGTCTGGCCCTTAAGGCTATGTTTCCTTCTCTGTGTATCTTTGCTTTCATTAACTCACATTCCCTCTCTAAAAATGTTTATATGCTCTGCTTCAAAAAATTATTCTCGAAAAGGTTGTTTTTTGTTTTTTGTTTTTTTTACCAGGTTTGTATTTCTAACTTGTCTCAACTGGTTTAACAGTTTCAAGAGAAGAGCAGAGTTATCAACTGTGTGAATAATTAACAAGTTGAGTTTGATCTCTGGGCAAAAATTGACCATTGAACTAGATTATTTGCCCTTAACAAAAAGGCAAGGAAAATTTCTCTATATAGGCATTGTTCAATGCCTGTATAGGCAAAGAAGCCAAGAAGACTTATTCTAAACTTGCTCTGTTCCTCCTACCACAGAGCAAGTCCCCCCTGCCCAAGGGTACAAGGCCTGAACCAGTCCTGGAAACAAGGACTCTGACTCCAGGGAGACTAGAAGTGGTTTTGGAAACTGTACAGCCTCAGGTTTAAGTCATTATTAGCTGTATGACCTTGGGCAAGGTTACCTAATTCCCTCCTTCATTTCCTTTGTCATTTGTAAATGGGGGTGACGGTGTTTATAGGCATTAAGCTAATATCCAGCAGGGATATTAACATTTTCCAGCACTCATCAACCAATCAAAAAGCTGTACATGGAACTGCAGCAGGGTACTGAGGCCTCAGCTCTGCAGGCATGTAGCATTTGGTTGTATTGTGGAGATATCCACAGGCTTCCCACGGGAGAGGCCAAGTGGACAGAAATATGGGGGTGCTATGGTAATGAGAGGTGAGTTTCAGGGAAGCCACTCTTCACCAACTGGTGTGGAAGTGTTCCAATAGTCTAACAACTAGTACAGCTGTGCAAGTGATTGTAGGCTAGATATGGGTCCTTTGCAAGCGAGATTGCATTTCTAGGGGAATTTACTCTGGGCTGGGTACTGTACCTGTCTTAGACAGTTTGAACCACTATAAAAAATTGCTGCAGACTGGGTGGCTTACAAACAGAAATTTACTTCTCACAGTTCTGGAGGCTAGAAGTCTGAGATCAGGTTCTGGTGAGGACCCTTTTCTGGATTCCAGACTGCCACTTTCTAGTTGTATCTCCATGGGGTGGAAAGAGGGCAAGAAAGTTCTCTGGGTTCCTTTCTAAAGACACATAATCCTATTCATGAGCGCTCCACTCTCATGACCTAATTACCTCTTAAAGGTACCACCTCCAAAGATGATCATATCTCAGAGGTTATGATTTCAACATGGAAGTTTTGGAGAAACAAAGCATTCAGTCCATCTCAGTGGCTAAACTCTCTCACATGATTCCATGTAATCATCACAAACATTTAATTAAGAAGATGTTACTTCAGGCCCACTTTTCAGATGAGGAAACTGCATCTTCAAAAGTTAGAATGGCTAGTAAGTGGGGAAACAGTAACCCAAATCCAAGCTGAGTAGTGGGAAGGCCAAACTCTTACCTGCCATGGGAGAGAGAAGGAAATCCTGAGCAACGATGAAACATCAAAGTTGAGAACTTCGCGGGGAAAGGATAAACATGGGTTCTGGGCTGTAGGACAATTACATGAGGAATTGAAAGGCTGCTAGGCATAGAGTCCTTGGACAAGGATAATATTAAAAACACTTCTTCCATTTGCACTTTACAAAATGCTTACAAAAGATCAACCGGTGTAAAGGGTAGGCAGAAGTTCTTTGCACAATGCTTATTCATCCAAGTTTGAAATCATGCCCAAATAAAAAGTTCAAAAAAACCCAAAGCCCTTTACAAACAGGGGCCCAAGCTCTCTGTCATCCCTCAGTTGGGTTTTTTCAATGTCTTGTCCTCATCAACTCATTTTTCAGAGTAACAGAGGCCACTGAAGAAGATCTAAGTCTGGAAGTCTCATAGTCTTCCACTCCAACTCTCAGCAGCACTGTGGCAAGCTGAAGAGAAGCCTTTGGGGTTATGTGATTTGGGAAATGCTTGCAAATGAAATGCATGTAACTGCTAGAAATAACCATAATGCCACAGGAGGAGATTTGGTCCAGGAGTCAGATAACTGGGGATTCCATCCTAATGGTGAACCTGCCCCTATGAACTTCAAACAATTATTCAGGGAAAAAGAGAGGGGGAGAAATAAACATAAACCAAGTTTGCAGCATGGTCAGCATTAATCCTGAGGTCAGCTCATTCTCTGACCTGCTTCCTCATAGTTGTTCGGTGCCTACTTTCTTAAAATCATTAGACCCTGTTAGGAGATTATAGTTCCCTTATCTGCTCTATACATAGCAACTTGATTATGAAATGTTAAGTCTTCCCTTTGAGATACTCCTTCAGGTCCTGCAGACAGATGAATTTACTGACTCAGCTAGTCTGAAGAACCCCACTGATGCCAGCTGATCTGAAGGACTCCATGAGGAGCTGACTCACCAAAAAATGCAGTTTCCACATCCCGATGACTTCATCCCCTTGCCTTGATTAATGAACAACTCCAATTTTCCAGCCCTTCAACCTCCACAATCCCCTTAAAAACCTTAACCCAGAGCTCCTTGGGGCGATAGATACTTGAGGTTCTCTTCTCATCAACTTGCTCACCACCCGTGATTATTAAACTTTCTCTGCTACAAACCCTGCTGTCTCAGTGTAATGGCTCTGTTACTGCCCAGTGGGCATATAAGCCTGTTCGTCCTATAACAGTGGGTCCATTTCACTGCCCAGTGATCATACACAAGCTATACTTCCTCTGTAAAATGGGAATCACAGTGGCAACCTCCAAGGTTATGCTGATGATTAAATGAAATAGCATTTGTAAGGTTCTAAGCACGGGACCTGGCATTCAGGATATGCTCAATAAACATTTTATTTCCCCTTTCCTGAGGCTCAATTTCCACACTTATTCAAGGAGGAGAGTAATAATACCTTAAAGAGAGGGCACAAAGGTCAAATGCCATAACCTGTGAAATGTGATTAGGAAATGCATCATTTTACGAATGAGTGTTGCCTTTACTGCTGGACATGACAAAGAAGGCCCAAACCTACTCTCACCCCTAACCACATCCCACAATTGAATGTGTCATACTGCCTTTATTACTCTCAAGTAACTTTTGGCTCTTTAACCCAATCTTTGCAACAAGCACACAACTAGTGAAGCGGTACTTATACTTCTGAACAGAGTTGATATTTCCCAATATGTCTAACCCAGAGCTGTGGATCCATCAAATGTTTGGTGAACATTTGTGGTTGAGATCACCCCTTGTATTCATTCTTGAACTTCCTCAACTTTCCCTTCTCTGCAACATCAACTTATCCTCCACCAAGTTAACTTCTTCACTATCATTTACTTTCTGAAGTCAAAAATCATTCTTGACTCTTTAATTTCCTTCACTCTGGGCCCCTTACCCTGAATCATAATCCATCTGGAAGTCTACCTAGAGAACATATCTCAAATCTGTCTACTTTATTTACCTATTATCCTAGTCCTAGATATCATGTTCTATCCTAGAGCTACTTGAAAAGTCCTTCATTTCCACTCTTACACCTCTTATTTCCCTGCAAATCCATTCTACACACAAAAGCTAAGGTGACCTCCAAAAATCACAATCAGATCAAATTGCGCCCCTGCTTAAAACCTTTCAATGATTTCTCATTTCATTCCAAATAAAATTCAAACTTTACCGTGGAACCCAATGACCTATATGATACATCCCCCAATTACGTTCACTCACCAACAAATGTGTATTGAGTATGTGACAAGTGTTGGAGACTTAGAAACAAATTTTGAAAACAGGTGGAAATCCCTGTTTTCATGGAGGTAACATTTCTGTGCAGTGTTTTCTTACTTTTTCTTTTTTTTTTCTTTTCTTTTTTTTTCTTTTTTTGACAGAATCTCTCTCCGTCACCCAGGCTGGAGTACAGTGGCTTGATCTTGGCTCACTGCAACTTCCACCTCCTTGGTTCAAGTGATCCTCCTGCCTCAGCCTCCTGAGTAGCTGGGATTACAGGCATGCACCACCATGCCTGCCTGGCTAATTTTTGTATTTTTAGTAGAGACGGGGTTTCACCATGTTGGCCAGGCTGGTCTCAAACTCCTGACCTCAAGTGATACACCCGCCTCAGTCTCAGTCTCCCAAAGTGCTGGGATTACAGGCATAAGCCACCGTGCCTGGCCTTCTTCTACCTTTTTAACCTCAACCCACAGAAATACATTTTACATCCCGTCCCTATACCTACTAGAAGTATTTGTAAAGGAAACAATAACAAAAATCATTAAAAAGAAACTTACCCTTACTGTTAATACATATAATAAAGTAAAAACATAACAAAAGTTTAACCCAGTAGAATCCTTGCTAAAGATATGTGTACTTCACTCTAATATTTTCTTATCCAATTTCATATACACACACACACACACACACACACACACACACACTATCTGCTTACAACAATCTAAGTTGATTTCTTGACTCCAAAAAGTAACCTCCACTGTGAAAAACACTGTTCTACCCCAGGCCTCCTGCTGTAGATTTTGTGACCACAAGACAGTCATCTAAGTTTTGCCAGCTATCAAATAGTGAGAAGCCTTCACAATTAGGTGAGTTAATTCATTGGAATGCACATTGACACTTGGCATGCGGAAGAATCTCACCACATGCCCATCTTTTCTTGTGCCATTCTTTGTTTTGTTTCGTTTTGTTTTGGAGACAGGGTCTTGCTCTGTCACCCAGGCTGGAGTGCAGTGGCATGATCTTGGCTCACTGGAACTTCCGCCTCCCAGGTTCAAGTGATTCTCCTGCCTCAGCTTCCTGAGTAGCTGGGATTACAGGCACCCACGACGATGTCTGATTAATTTTTGTATTTTTATTAGAGACAGGGTCTTGCCATGTTGGCCAGGCTGGTCTCGAGCTCCTGACCTCAGGTGATCTGCCCACCTCAGTCTCAGTCTCCTAAAGTGCTGGGATTACAGGCGCGAGTCACCGCGCCTGGACTTGCCATTCTTCTAGTACCCACTTCATTTCTGGTCCTCGAACACACCACCTTCATCTTCTTGGTGCTCTTTCTCCCAGAACTTCACCTTCCTACCCCTTCTCGTCATGTAAGTCTTAGCTCAGATGTCATTTCCATGAAGAAGGCTACCACCCCGAGTAACTAGTGACATTTTAAATCCCTGCTTTAATTATCTTTAATTACCTGTTTAACAAGTTTCTAGTATTTTCTTGTTGATTCGTTTTCTGCTGCCTCACTAGAATAGGTAGATAGCTCTTATGAAAATGGGGTCTTTGCTTGTCCTTTTCACAACACTGACACCAGCACTTAAAATAGTGCCTGACAAAAAGTAGTTGTTCAAGAAATACTTGCTGATGTATTTCCTTTTCCTTGCCTGAAAATAATAACAACAATAATAAAGATGTCCAGGCACAGTGGATCAGGCTTGTAATCCCAGCACTTTAGAAGGCTGAGACAGGAGGATCACTTGAGCCCAGGACTACGAGACCAGCCTGGGAGACATAGCAAGACTCTGTCTATATAAAAATATAATTTTTTTTTTTGAGACATAGTTTCACTCTTGTTGCCCAGGCTGGAGTGCAATGGTGCGATCTCGGCTCACCGCAACCTCTGCCTCCTGGGTTCCAGCGATTCTTCTGCCTCAGCCTCCCTAGTAGCTGGGATTACAGGTGGCCGCCAGCACGCCCAGCTAATTTTTTGTATTTTTAGTAGAGATGGGATTTCACTATGTTGGCCAGGCTGGTATCGAACTCCTGGCCTCAGGTGATCCACCTGCCTCAGCCTCCCAAAGTGCTGGGATGACAGGCATGAGCCACTGCACCTTGCACAAAAAATATTTTTAAAAATTAACCAGGCATAATGACATATGACTGTAGTCCCATCTACTTAAGAGGCTGAAGTGGGAGAGGCATTTGAGCCCAGGAGGTTGAGACTGTAGTGAGCTGTGATCACCCCACTGCACTCCAGCCTGGGTGACAGAGTGAGACTCTGTCTCAAAAAAAAGAATACGTGTTGAAATAAATGAGTGGTCCAGAGACTACACCCTCACTAGAGTCAACTAGCAGGCAGATGTAATCATGTTGAAATATTTTTCCCTAAAGAAAACAGGGGATTTGGAGTTAAAATTTCTGAACTTCAGGACTAGCTCCTCATTTATTAGTTCCCTAACTGTGGTGGGCTCAGTTGCATTCCCCAAAATTTATACATGGAAATCTTAACCCCTAGTATTTCAGAATGTGACTGTATTTGGAGATAAGGCCTTTAGATAAGTAATTAAGGTTAAATAAGGTCATTAGGGTGGGCATTAATCCAATATAACTGGTGTCCTTAGGAGAAGACAGAATTTGGGCAAAGATATACAGAGGGAAGGCCACGTGAAGGCATAGAGAGAAGGTGAACATTTACAAGCCAAGGAGAGAGACCTCAGAAGAACCCAACTCTGCCAATACCTTGATCTTGGATTTCCCAGCCTCCAGAACTGTGAGAAAATAAATTTCTGTTATTTAAGCCCTGTAGTCTGTGGTACTTTATTATGACAGCCCTAGCACACTAATGCACTAGGCTTGGGTGAATCATGAAGCATCTCTCTCTGTTTTTCACTTGCAACATGAGGACAGTGCTTCGCTCAGGAGCTAATTTACGTAAAAGCACCAGCACAAATCCAGGCATACAATAGGATCTTTACATATGTCTATTTTCCCCACAATATTTTTCTTTACCACTAATTTATTTATTAATATTTATTATTTATTTATTTTTGAGACAGTCTCACTCTGTCACCCAGGCTGGAGTACAGTGGCGTGATCTCAGTTCACTGCAACCTCTGCCTCCCAGGGTCAAGCGATTCTCCTGCCACAGCCTCCTAAGTAGCTGGGATTACAGGCACCCACCACCATACCTGGCTAATTTTTGTATTTTTAGTAGAGACAGGGTTTCACCATGTTGTCCAGGCTAGTCTCGAACTTCTGACAGGTGATCCACCCGCCTCGGCCTCCCAAAGTGCTGGAATTACTGGCATGAGCCACTGTGCCTGGCCTATTAATTTAAAAATAGATGCAGGCCGGGCACAATGGCTCACACCTGTAATCCCAGCACTTGGGAGACAGAGGCAGGAGGATTGCTTGAGCCCAAGAGTTTGATACCAGCCTGGGCAATACAGAGAAACCCCATCTCTACAAAAAAATCAAAAAATTAGCCTTGTGTGGTGGCATGTGCCTGTGATCCCAGCTACTGGGGAGGCTGAGGTGGGAAGATTGCTTGAGCCCAGGAGGTAGAGGTTGCAGCGAGATGTGATTGCTCCACTGCATTGCAGCCTGGGTGACAGAGCAAGACCCTGTCTGGGGAAAAAAAAAAATGTAGATTTTCATGAGTTCATTGAAATTTGCAAAATCAGACTGAGCAATACCTGAGGTCAATAGTATCTTATTTGTCTTTGTAGTCCCAGGACATAGGACAGTAGCAGGTTGAATAGAGGCAGAGCAGGTATGAACCTCAGTTCATAAACTCATAAGGGGAAGAATTATCACTGATATTATTTTCCTGAAGTAACTACAGTCACAGTCCAAACCCCCAGGCTTCCAAGATGGAAGAAAGTTCAGTCTTAATATTTCTTGACTTTCTATCCTATACTCTGAACTACGGTTTTGGGGAGGTCTGTATATCAGTCACTTTCAGGTCTTGCAGCCCTGCAATTTCTCATCTACTGCTTAGGGGACTTAGGGATCTTTGGCAAGGTAGGGTGCCATATACCTAGGCTCTGATCTCCTGGGTCCCCATGAAGCCACTCATCTATGTCATTGCTACGTCCCCAGTGGCCTGCCAAGAAGCCCTAGTGTAGGTCATACGACCTCTATATTCTTGGGTTCTCTCTGTCCCCAGCCACAGAGAACTTCATCTCTTCTCCCAGCTTGAGCTTCTCGGGGCTGCTCCTCACCCTGGATAGCTCCAGAGCCCTCTGGTGGGTTTAGACTCCTTCAGAAAAGAACAGTTGACAACAGATTTTCACCAACTGACAGCATCGCTTTGGAAAAACGTTTACTTTTAAGGCCCATAATATCCTTAGCCTTTTCTCCTACCTCTGTATGCCATCCCCTACCCATGCTGATATGCTTTAGCTTTGTGTCCCTACCCAAACCTCATCTTGAATTATAACCCCCAGGTGTTAAGGGGAGGGACCAGGTGGGAGGTAATTGAATCATGGAGGCAGTTTCCCCCGTGCTATTGTCGTGATAGTGAGCGAGTTCTCACGAGATCTGATGGTTTTATAAGTGTCGGGCATTTCCCCTGCTGGCTCTCATTCTTTCTCCTGCAGCCCTGTGAAGAGGTGCCTTCTGCCATGATTGTAAGTTTCCTGAGACCTCCCCAGTCATGTGGAACTGTGAGTCAATTAAACCCATTTTCATTACAAAATACCCAGTCTCAGGTATTTTTTCATAGCAGTGTTAGAAAAGACTAATACACCTGCCATGAGTTTTTAAATTTTTATTTACTTATTTATTTATGTTGAGACAGGGTCTCACTCTGTTGCACAGGCTGGAGTGAAGTGGCACGATCACAGCTCACTGCAGCCTCAACCTCCCAGACTAAGGTGATTCTCCCACCTCAGCCTCCTGAGTAGCTGGGACTACAGGTGTACGCCACTATACCCAGCTAATTTTTATACTTTTTTTTTGTAGAGACGGTGTTTCATCACGTTGCCCAGGCTGGTCTTTGAACTGAGTTTAAGCAATTCACCCACCTTGTCTTCCCAAAGTGTCTGGGACTACAGGCATGGGCTACCATGCCTGGCCCAGATTTTGTAATTTCTTAAGTACTCTGAGAACCCTGATGCAATCATTGTCTCTTAGTTGACTATTTCAGTCATTTGCAAGTAAATTGGAAATGATGGAACATCCAAAACAGTTGCCAAATCCTTACGATGAAACTCTCAACATTAGAGTTAGCAGATTTAGCTATTGAAAATACAAGATGCAATATTTGGGACATACTTGTACTAAAAAAATGTATTCATTGCTTATGTGAAATTCAAATTTTACTGGATGTCCTGTATTTTATCTGGCAACTCTAATTTAACTCATAAGGAAATCTCTTGGGGCAGTGCTTCTCACACTCCAGCTGCATTGGGATCACCTGGAGGGCTTCTTAAATCAGGTGGCTGGGCCCTGCCCCTAGAATTTGTGATTCAGTAGGGCTGAAGGGGGCCTGAGATTTGCTTTCCTAACAAATTCTCAGATGATGTTGCTATTGCTGGCACGGGAGCCACACTTTGAGAACAATTGTCTTAGGAAACAGTCAAGGAATCAATTTCATATGTGCTTAGCAAATTTCATGACCTCTCTGTGCTTCCATGACCTTAACTGTAAGATGGAGAGATTAATAATAAATACCTCAACCTACTTCTTAGGGTTCGCTGCAGGATTAAATGAGTTTACATATAGAAACTGCTTACAATAGGGCCTAGCACTTTCCTGTGCTATATAAGTGTAAACTTGTTATCATCAATATCATTATTATTCCCTCCTGCCTTCAAATTAAAAAGCTGAAAAAACTCTGCTTTTCATTGATCTTAATAATGACCATCCAGAGTTGTCAAAAACATGCTAAAATGATGCAAAGAAGTTTAAGAAAACAGGCAGCATTACATATTAAAAAATACTTAATGAAAAATGGTAAAAGATAATGGTGTAGCTGCTGTGAAGAACAGTTTGGCAGTTCTCCAAAAAGCTACCATAGAATTAACATGTGATCCAGCAATTTCACTTTCAAATATATTCCCAAAATAGTTGAAAACAGGAACTTAAATACTTGCATGCCAATGTTCATAGCATTATTCCCAATAGCCAGAAGGTGTAAACAACCCAAATGTCCATGAACAAATGAATGTTTAAGCAAAATATGGTATATACAAACAATTGAATATTATTCACCCATAGAAAGGAATGAAATACTGGCAGGGCATGGTGGCTTACGCCTGTAATCCCAACACTTTAGGAGGCCGAGGCTGGCAGATCACTTGAGGTCAGGAGTTCAAGACCAGCCTGGGCAACATGGTGAAACCCTGCCTCTAATAAAATACAAAAAAATTAACTGGGCGTAGTGGTGGGTGTCTGTAATCCCAGCTACTCGGGAGGCTGAGGCAGGAGAATTGCTTGAACCTGGGAGGCAGAGGCTGCAGTGAGCCAAGATGGCACCACTACTGCACTCCAGCCTGGGTGACAGAGTGAGAATCTGTCTCAAAAAAAAAAAAAAAAAAAAAAGGGAAGGAAATACTTACACATGCTATGTTTTAGATAAACCTTGAAAACATTATGTTAGGTAAAAGCAGTCAGTTCTCTCATCCTCCTGCCTCCCTCTGGTAAAGAGGCTTGAGATTACATTTGGTGCTCCCGCATAATTTAGGCTAATCTTTCCATCTCAAGATCCTTAACTCAATCATACAAGCAAAGTCGCTTTTGCCATGAAAGGTGACATATTCACAGGTTCTGGGGATTCAAATGTGGATATCTTTTGGCAGAGGGGACAGTATTCTGCCTACCAAATCATCTCACCACAGGATTGGAAAAGCTGGCCTTGGAATCTCAGTCTTATCATTTAGCAGCTGTGCCACCCTGCTTACCTAACCTCCTCAGCAGCACCCTTAAAATGGCCATAAATGCGGCCTTGCTGGGCCATAGTGAGAATGATGATAACGAGTCGCAGGAGCTGGGCCCAAGAGAGCCCTCAGTGTGAACAGTCAGCATTATTATTATGATCTTAAGACCTCTAGTTTTTCCAACAGGAGTACTATAAGGTTTAGACTTAAGTGAAATTGCTGGGTGAAATGCTAAGTTCTATTCAGATGTTGGTTATGATATTTTCTCAAAACAATCAACCTACACGTTTCCTTTATTTTTCATTTCATTCCAGGTCATTTGGGGATGAAGAGGTGGGTAAGGCTAGCCAAGCAGTCTTCCCTGCAGTCCCTACTCTTAGCATCATACGTAACTGTGTCTGGAAATAGAACATGCACTGTCACTTTTTGATATCTTATTTTAAAAGGCAAAACTAGGAAGCTCCTGATGAAAAACCAATGTGAGAAAATGTTCTATGATCAAAATTAGCAGGGTATATGAATGTGCTGAGCTATGTAACAACATCTCAGAGCGTAAAAAACAAGCATCTCTTTATTCATTCAGAAGTATTTATTGAGCACTTACTATTGTCCAAGTACTGTGTTAAGCACTGGGTATACCGTGGTGATCAAAGCAACTGAGGTCCTTGCCCTTATTCTAGTGGGAAGAGGCATACAATAGGGGGATAAAAAACTATGGGGCTGGGTGCGGTGGCTCATGCCTGTAATCCCAGCACTTTGGAAGGCCAAGGTGGGCTGATCACTTGAGGTCAGGAGCTCAAGACCAGCCTGGTCAATGTGGTGAAACCGTGTCTCTACTAAAAATACAAAACTTAGCCGGGCATGGTGGCAGGCACCTGTAATCCCAGCTACTTGGGAGGCTGAGGCAGGAGAATTTCTTGAACCCAGGAGGCAGAGCCTACAGTGAGCCAAGATCACACCACTGCACTCCAGCCTGGGCGACAGAGTGACACTCTGTCTCAAACAAAAAAGAAAAAAAATTCAGAGTGAATCCAGCAACTAAGTGCTTGGGACTGAATTCAAATGTCTGCCATAGAAGAAAACTGGTGACTCACTGATTTGAATTTTTGAATTTTTGGCAGAATAAATGAGTCTCGTTCAGGTTGTAAAAAATAAAATACTAATAGAAACTTAATATATTATTTTTTGCTTATGAGTAGGCAAATATTTTCAAACAATTGAGTATGTTATTAGCATTATTGAAAATTGGCACCATCTTTTATAGAGGGCCATACGGTTGTTCCTATCAAAATTTGACGCTGGGTGCAGTGTGGCTCACGCCTGTAATCCCAGCACTTTGGGAGGCTGAGGAAACGGGTCACCTGGGGTCAGGAGTTTGAAACAAGCCTGGTCAACATGGCAAAACCCCGTCTCTATTAAAAATACAAAAATTAGGCTTGGTGGTGGGCACCTATAATCTCAGCTACTCGGGAGGTTGAGGCAGGAGAATTGTTTAAACCCAGGAGGCGGGGGTTGCAGTGAGCTGAGATTGCGCCATTGCACTCCAGCCTGGGTGACAGAGTGAGACTCCATCTCAAAAACAAACAAACAAACAAAACAAAACAAAACAAAATTTAATTGTGCATGACCTTTATTTAGAAATTTCACTTCAGTGATTATATCCTTCAGAAATACATATATGCCAAGAACAGGTATAGCAAGATGTTTGTAGTATCATTTGTAATTAGGAAAAGTTGGAGATGGCTTACATGGGCATTAATGAGACAATGGTTAAATAAGAAACAGAAGCTGCTTTCCTATAATAGCCAGCTGTTAAAAATGTTCCAGACACTTTATGTACTAAAATAAAAGTCCTGATTTATTGACGAGGTTTTTTAAAAAACATGGCAGAGAAATATGGGTAGCAAGATGTAATTTGAGAAAAAAGAAAAAAAACCTGGGTGCAGTGGCTCATGCCTGTAATCCCAACGCTTTGGGAGGCTAAGGCAGAGGGATCTCTTGAGGCCAGGAATTTGACACCAAACTAGGCAACATAGTGAGACTCTAACTCTACAAAAAAAAAAAAAAAAAATTAAAAACTACCCAGGTGTGGTGGCTCATGCCTGTAATCCCAACATTTTGGGATGCTGAGGTGGGCGGATCACTTGAGGCCAGGAGTTCAAGGCCTGCCTGGCCAACATGGTAAAACCCTGTCTCTACTGAAAATACAAAAATTAGCCAGACTTGGTTGAACCCAGGAGGCGTAGGTTGCAGTGAGCCAAGATCGCACTGCTGTGCTCCAGCCTGGGCAACAGGGTGAGACTCTATCTCAAAAAATAATAGTAATAATGTAATCTAATTGGCTGAATCTATATCAGCAATATGAAAAAAGGGAGTTACTAATCAATTTCTAGTATTGTCTCCCACGTTCCACTCCCTATCCCACTCCAGTTGTCACACACGTGCAAGGACAGATATGTGTGTTTCACCATTAAAATAAAGGGCTGATAAGATGGGAGCAGGATTATGTTGGAATCTTTCTCTGATAAGACATGCCCTGCCTGCTTAACCTTCCCCAAGAAGTCTATTGCTTACCCCTCCCTCTTCCAAGAGGTGGGTGGTTGGGGTGGGGGAAAGGTTAGCTGACCCCACTCAGTGGCGCCCTAGGCCTGGGGCTTTCCCGAACCTTATCATCACACTCTATCACAGGCATTGCATCTACTATCAGCCTGTCTGTCTTCCTGCCAGGGAATGTGGGCAGACACCTGAACCACGTGGTATTCCTGTTTTCAGACCCAGTGGTAGAACAATGCTTGGTGGGCTTTCATAAACACTTAAGGAATGAACAGACATGGCTGTAGCCAGGAACGTCATTTGGCTTGGCGAAAGCAGCAGAGGGGCCTGCCGACAAGTGTCTCTAAGGCCAGATAAGAGCAGCTGAAAATAGTCCAACTCTCAGCCCTGGCGGAGGAGGAAGGAGAAATAGTTGCACGAAAAGTTATTTTCCTGGATACTGTAATAGTGGATTTGTCAAAAACCACAGAATGTACAACACAAACAGTGAACCCTAATGTAAACTATGAACTTTGGTGGATAAAGACCGGACAATGTCAGCGTATTGATTGTAATAATTGTACCACACGGATGCCTAATGTTAATGGGGTAGTAGTTGTGGGGAGAGGGGGAGGAGGGTCATGTGGGACCTCTCTGGGAACCTAAAACTGCTCTAAAAAATAGTGTCTTGGCTGAGCATGGTGGCTGACGCCCGTAATCCCAGCACTTTGAGAGGCTGAGGCAGGGGGATCACTTGAGGGCAGGAGTTTTAGACCAGCCTGTCCATCATGGTGAAACCCCGTGTCTACTAAAGATACAAAAATTAGCAGGGCATGGTGGTGGATACCTGTAGTTCCAGCTACTCAGGAGGCTGAGGCAGGAGTATCGCTTGAACCCGAAAGGCGGAGGTTGCAGTGAGCTGAGATCGTGCCACCGCACTCCAGCCTAGGTGACAGAGACTCTCAAAAAAAAAAAAAAAAAAAAAAAAGTTTTAATTTTTTAAAAAGTACCAAAATAAATGTCAGCACAAAAAGCTATCACCATTTTGATGTTTTATGGCTTTATGGACAACTCTGCTATTTCTGAACTATGAGAAGAAACAGATCCTCTCAGAATACATCAGAATAAAGTGTGCATATCCACTGAGATACACAAGCATTCTCTCCACGGGGTGTGATGTGTTGCCTAAGAGTAGAGTCAGATGGTAAAGAGAAATATACTCTGAGATGGAAAACAAAACACAACAAATCATGAATGAAGCAAAATTTCAAACAAATGAAAACCCCTGAACATGCTTTCTAAAATAAACGAGACATGGATTAATTTGCTTTTTCCCTAGCCACTGCTTAGGTTTGGTTTATAATATTAAACATAATGTCAAAATTTGCCAGTTCAAAAAAAAATTTTGGGGATAGTGCCAACTTTTCACAACAAAAGCACTTCCTGAAATTCAGTCAATTATTATCATTATTAACCATTTTTTTTTGTTTTTGTTTTTGTTTTGAGACAGAGTCTTGTTCTGTCACCCAGGCTGGAGTGCAGTGGGTCACTGCAACCTCCGCCTCCCAGGTTCAAGAGATTATCCTGCCTCAGCCTCCTGAATAGCTGGGATTACAGGCTCCTGCCACTATTTAGTAGAGATGCAGTTTCACCACGTTGGCCAGGCTGGTCTCAAACTCCTGACCTTAGGTGGTTAAGTGCTGGAATTATAGGCGTGACTCACCATGTCGGGTCCTGTTTTTGCACATGAATGAGGTTTAGGGTGAAGGACAAGGAACAAGTATTCATTAAAACAAAGAGCAACATCTTACAGCCATCTCAAAGGATAACATTACACCTGAAACCTTGCCACAGATTGTGCTGTGTGCTCCACACACACAGACCCGGAACCAAGTTCCTAGCATGGTAAAGGGACTTGCTCAAGGCCACACATCTCAAATCAAGCCATTTGCAGTGGAGCCAACGCATAGGGTCACCATGCCACACCTAAGTGCCCTGTGATGCACTAAGCTGTTCATGTAAGTCAATGAATAGCTTAAGGGAGTAGGCACTCCTAATAGCCTTGGTTTTTAGATTAGTCAAGGTGGCTGAAAGAAGTTACTAACTTGCCCAAGGTTACATTGGAGGTCAGGGGTTGGAGCCATGATGAGAAGCAGGCTATGTGGCCTGATGTCTATATGTACTGGGGGGCGCTAAAGAAGTCACGCAAAGACAGAGGAGGAACAATAGAAGGAGAGACTGTCACAGTGCTTGGCAACAGGGAGGGTGGGGTGATTACCCTGGGGCCTGTTACTGTTACCCATAAGAATGCAAAGTCCTTCTGGATGAGTTGCCTCTCTTGTTCCTGCTTCTTCTTGCCTCCAGGGTTGCTTCAATAAAAGTGGAAGCATAAATGCTATTCAGATAATGCGTCATGCCACTTGTTGGAGCAGAAGAGGGTTCCGAGTACTCTCCATGGGGTGACAGGAAGGGCAGGGAAGGGGTGATCAGGTGATCTTTCAGTGTAGGAAGAGTAGCCTGGGGCTTTGGAGACCAGCTTTCCTGTTCCCGGCCAGAAGTTGTCATTTATTAGTTATGTAATTTGGGACAAATCACTTAATTTCCCTAAGCTTCTTTCCTCAACTGTAAAATGAACATAATATTAGTATCTGTTCAGAAACTCTGTGGTGATTAAAGTAGGACAGAGTGGACAAGGTGACATCGTCATTGTTTATGTTATTACTGTAAAATCCCTTTTTGTCCCTCCCTGACTACCCAGAGCCCAGTGTCTTAAAAATGCTCAGTAACGGGTGCATGCTGGGTAGTCCCAGCTACTTGGGAGGCTGAGGCGGAAGGACTGCTTGAGACCAGAAGTTCAAATCCAGCTGGGCAAGATAACTAGTCCTAAACAAACAAAGTGCTCAGTAAATATGTGTTGAATTAATTAGTATACATATTTAATAATATGTGTAAACAGAGTAAATGGTTAATCTACTAAAGAGCGATGGTCAAAAAATGATTTCTTAAAAAAATTTTTTTATTGTTTTGGTGTTTTGTTTGTTTGTTTTTGAGATGGAGTCTCACTCTGTCGCCCAGGCTGGAGTGCAGTTGCGCCATCTCAATTCACCGCAAACTCCACCTCCCAAGTTCAAGCGATTCTTCAGCCTCAGCCTCCTGAGTAGCTGGGACTACAGGCGTGTGCCACCACACCTGGCTAATTTTTATATTTCATCATGTTGGCCAGACTGGTCTCAAACTCCTGACCTCAGATTACCTGCCTGCCTTAGCCTCCCAAAGTGTTGAGATTACAGGCGTGAGCCACTGTGCCTGGCCTTATTATTATTGTTTTAATGAGATGGAGTCTCACTGTATTGCCCAGGCTGGTTTCAAACTACTAGACTCAAGAGAGCCTCCCAATTTGGCCTCCTAAAGTGCTGGGATTACAGGCACGAGCCACCTCACCTGGCCAAGAAATATTTCAAACATTACGGCATCTGCTAAATAATTGAAGTATTTACTAGTTATCTCTTTCTTATCTTACCAAGTTCTCATGCATAGCTAAGAAATTCTCCAAGACCAAAGGGAAGACCTCGCTCTCCCACACGATAACTTCATTTTGACTAAGGCTTTTGAACACAAACAATACCCCAGATTTCCCTAGTCAATCATACTAGTTTTTTTTTCTTTTCTTTTTTTAAGAGGGAGTCTCACTCTGTCGCCCAAGCTGGAGTACAGTGGCGTGATCTCGGCTCACTGCAACCTCTGCCTCCCAGGTTCAAGTGATTCTCCTGTCTCAGCCTCAAAGTAGCTGGGATTACAGGCACACACCACTATGCCTGGCTAATTTTTGTATTTTTAGTGGAGATGAGGTTTCACCATGTTGGCCAGGCTGGTCTCAAATTCCTGACCTCAGGTGATCTGCCTGCCTTGGCCTCCCAAAGTGCTGGGATTACAGGTGTGAGCCACCACGCCCGGCCCATACTAGTTATTGATCTGAGATTTACATGCAGTATTCCATTTTGTCCTCACAAGCACCATTTTAAGGTAGATTTAGTTCAGTTATATTATTACATATTATATACTAGTTGTATTACTTTACTAATGCAACCGAAGTTCAGAGAGTGAATTGGTGGATGCCATTAACTCGTTATAAGAGGAAGTGGGTTCCAAGAAAGTAACTTCTGCCAAGGTTACTGGCCTAATAATAAGCGAAGGCTGGAGGAGAGAAAACCAGGTCGTTTGACTGTAAAGCCTTAACCACTATTCAATATGGTGTGCCCAGGTCAGACCCTCTACCTGCAGGTTAGCTTTGTCACTGAGAATTCTCCAAAGTAATGAGTTTAAAAAGAATGCACTGACTATCAAGACAACTAGATTCTTGGAGTTAACTACATTATATAAGTTTTCCAAAGAAAGTATCAGAGTGTGCATCTTTTGAGTCATTTATGGTCACACTGGACAAGACACTAGGTACTATATTATGCCAATGGCTTGCCAACTGAACAAAATAACCTGTTCCCCAATCACAATTCCAAGGCTGTGGCAGCCAGGTTATAAACCCTCCTGCTCCATTTTACTACTGCTCTTCCATCCAGCCTGGCCAATGCCACTTGTCCGTTGATTTGCACCCAGGCAAAGGCCCGACTTCACAATCCATTCCATAACCTGGCTGGCAATATAAGTCATCCTTAGCACCCTTCCACCCAGAACAACCTCTAGTTGCCTTCTGTTCTAGAGGTTGTCTTCTAAGAGGAAGGGAAGATGGAGTCACTTACTTGCTCTCCCTGTTCAATGCACCCTAAAAAACACTATCACGTTCATTCTTTTCAAACCAGTCGCAACATCATCTTGAGATAATCTAGGGGCTTTTTAGTCTGGCAAAGTCCAAACTCAAAATTCATTTACTCAAACTATTTTCAGTGGGGGTTTCTTTGCCTGGTACTGTGTAAGTGTTGGAGATACATGAACGAGTTGGACAACTTGTTGTAGAAGAGAGCCCCAAGGAGAAATGGGTGTGTACCAGGAGCATGAAGCAAAGGCATTTTGAGGGCACTTGAGGTCCATTCATTCACTCTCCAGCCTTCCTCCCTTAATGTAATCAGTACCCATTCTGAAGCCCCTGGCTCCCTCCTCCACTTCTGGGGTGCAGCAAAAATACTTCTTCAGGGAAGATTTTTTTGACTCATTGATGGGGAGAGATTCTCCTATACACCCTGTACATTTCCTTCATTTCACCTATCACAATTTTGATAAGTAGTTATCTGTCTCACTTAATTAGAATGAAAGTTACATGATGATAGTAACTATGGACTTGGTTTATCTTTATTTTTCTATTTTTATTTTTTGAGTCAGGATCTCACTCTATCACCTGCCCAGGCTGGAGTGCCATTGGCATGATCTTGGCTCATTGCAGCCTCAACCTCCTGGGCTCAAGCGATGCTCCCACCTCAGCCTCCTGAGTGCTGGGATCACAGGCATGTGCCACCACACCTGGCTAATTTTGTTTATTTTTTGTAGAGACAGGGGTCTCACCATGTTGCCCAGGCTGGTCTGAAACTCCTGGGCTCAAGCAATCTCTTTGCCAAGGCCTCCCAAAGTACTGGGATTACAAGTGTGAGTCACTACATCTGGCGAGGATTGGCTTTATCTTTGGATGTTAGGCACAAGGAATTGAAGAGCCTCCAGGTTAATTGTTTAGTGAATATTAGTTATATTCGTTACTTCCTTTTCTCCATCATTTGTATCTTCATGCATTTGGTCTACCCGATTTCTCCACATGCCCAATACGTTTTCAAACTCTAAACTTTCTCATATCTGTTTTGAGTATCTACCAACCATCCATACTTTACAGGTCCACCTTTTATTATAATCTGTCCTGTATGTACGAGTGAAATTGATTTCCCCTTAGAAATAGGCTCAAGGGCAGGACTATTTCTCAAGGTTCTTGTTTTTCGACCTCTTTATTTCTAGTTCCCAGGCTAGGGCTCAGCATCTTCTAGCCCTTCATAGACAGTACCTTACTGCAATTGCAAATGCAGACACTAGCCATTCTTGCATCTACTCTGCAGATAAAATTGCTATTTGTTTAATGAGTAGTTTCCCCAGAAAACTCAGTAAAAGGAAATAACGCTTTTCTGCACATATCCTGGGCCTGTTCATTTCGGAAGTCGCAAACATGTCATTTTCCTACATTAAGCGAGCTCAGTCCACATAGGAGAAATAGGAACCACAGCCTCCGTCAAAATCACCCAAGAATAAATGCACATTGTGTACTAAGTACCCCTTCCCCTGCTTTCTCATCAATGAGAGCTGAGAGCCATGATACATTAGACTTCTGCTTTAGGGATAAATGGCCTCATTGCTGCTTGGGCTCCCTATAACCTTCATTCAACTTTCTTCCTATTAAAAATTATCACAGGAGACTGTTTTTTTTGTTGTTTTTTTTGAGACGGAGTCTCGCTCTGTCGCCCAGGCTGGAGTGCAGTGGCGCGATCTCGGCTCACTGCAAGCTCCGCCTCCTGGGTTCACGCCATTCTCCTGACTCAGCCTCCTGAGGAGCTGGGACTACAGGTACCCGCCACCAGGCCCGGCTAATTTTTTGTATTTTTAGTAGAGACGGGTTTTCACCATGTTAGCCAGGATGGTCTCGATCTCCTGACCTCGTGATCTGCCCGTCTCAGCCTCCCAAAGTGCTGGGATTACAGGCGTGAGCCACCGCGCCCGGCCATGGAGCCTGTTTAAAAGCCCAGGCATTTGAACCCCACAGGATTGTGGTGGTGGCTTCAGGCGCTGGCCTAGGAAGTGCACCCAGTGGCATCCCACACACCAGTCTGATGCCACATCTGTTCTCTTACCAACCACTGGCACCTGCATCCCTTATGCCAACAGTGCCGTGCCACTATGTTCACCCATTTTCTGTAATTATGTGGCAAATACGTTCCCTTCATCTGGAACTCTGAAGCCACTTAAGATGCAACACAGATTCCCGGTGGGCTACTAAACAGACTGCCCAGTGTAGACTCCATAATGAGTGTGGTTTCCAACAATTTTTGCATGGATTCTGAAAAATCACTATGTATTGAAAATTTATGTTCATAAGTCATTTTTCATGAACACTGATAGTTCAGCAATAACTGATTTTCACAAAGTAGATGCAGGGTTTTCAGTCACTAAATGAATTCAACAAAATGTTTACTGTGCAATACAAAGGTGATGCACGCTAATATTCTCAGAGAAATTATAGGAAACTGAGTAGCTTGAATTTGGACCAAAAATGTCAGAAAAAAGGTATTCAAGTGGAAAAAAATCCAGTGAACTCTAATAGATGGTTTATTGGAAACGCTCATAGCATCTTTTGAAAAGAACTTGACAGGTTTTATTTTAATAAGACATAGTGAAGAGGAAATGGCTTAAAAGATATCATCAATCTTTTATTTAACTAAGCACTGCCCTTCATTTTGAAGGAAATGATACAATTTCAAATCGGAACTTCCTTCTCAAGAAGTGATATAAGAATGTAACATTGATTTAACATACAACCTTCAACAAAAATAAAGTTTATACAACTCACTGGGAAATAAAATGCATGTGGAATTTATCCTGTTTGTCAACATAATTCTTCATGAGTCACAAGTATTATAGCCAAGAACAAAACAACAAAAAGCTGAATCAGTTGATAGTTACTCTGATTTAAAAAACATTTCACAAATAAGATGTAGCTTTCCAAACAAATCCATTCGATGACCATTATCACAACTATATTTTATTCTAATTTATAAAACAAAAAATGGTTAGACAAGCACATGATATCAAGAGTCTTCAACACAGTGGATTCCATTTTATTAAGAAAAAAAATAGAAAACAAGTAGTCCTTAAATTGTCTTAGCTCTCCATAG
Organism: Homo sapiens; assembly: GCF_000001405.40. Lineage (NCBI taxonomy): Eukaryota > Metazoa > Chordata > Mammalia > Primates > Hominidae > Homo > Homo sapiens. The sequence continues at coordinate 126,553,027 of NC_000008.11, forward strand.
CATACGTTATATAAAATTAAAGTTTTGCTTCCAAAAATATGTTTCCATGTGGTCGTGGTGTTGTCCAGTGCTATTAGGGCCAAAGCACCAAAGACATGAGAAGTTTAACCATCGACTTGTCATTTTTCATAAAAACTAAACATTTCCTTATAGGTCTGGAGTAAAATCTTCTAGGCATTTTAGTGCTAAAAGTCACTTTAAATTAAATGTGAAATAAAAGCTACAAAAAGTATGAGTTCTTTCAATACAAAAAGTTGTGTAGCTGAAGTTGTGGGCTCCTTTGACATACATAAGCAGTTTCAATAAAATATTTGCTCAGGTAAGAAAATAGAAATTTGTCTGCTTTCATTTAGCATACGTTCCAGTCGATGTCCTGCTTATCCCTGCCAGAACTTCTGAAGAACATTAGAATCGATATTTCTTTCCTTCAAAGAGCATCCGTAATTCACAGTACAAAACAGTTCTACAGTCTTATTCCTAAGGAGAAACAAAAATTATTAAATATGTTTATTTTTTCTAAAGTGTCAAATGTAGCCACTGCCAGGGCATTAAAAACTCACTTATCCACAACACTGCCGTCTTCAGGAAAGAACCAAGAGTTGATTCATTCCCCTTTCCTGGAGCTGTTACTAGTTGGTTGTTGCTTTAAGTGTAATAACCCTAAGAAAATTCCCAATAAAAATCACTGTTCTTAAGTGTCACATATTTCACACCTCTGGTACCCTGTAGAAACGCTTGTATTACATGGGAAAGCAGCATCTGAAAAGATCTATTTCCTATTCTAGTTCATTTCCAAGCCCTGTTATTGAAAACCTCTTCTCTAGAAGAGAGAGTCACTGCTCTCTCTTAACACAGTCGCTGCTATACTTCAGCGTGACTGACCATACATCATTTTCCATTCTGGGACAGAGGAAGAAGACGGGTGGGGGAGTTGATCTGGCTAGCCCAGAGCTGGACAGTGCCATTCTATTCTTCCCTCCCACTTGTCTACACGGTGGTTATTACTACTTGCTCTGCTGCCCAGGCTGGAGTGCAGTGGTGCGATCTCGGCTCACTGCAACCTCTGCTTCCCAGCTTCAAGCAATTCTTCTGCCTCAGGCTCCCAAGTAGCAGGCATTACAGGCGCCTGCCACCACGCCCAGCTAATTTTCTGTATTTGTGGTAGAGACAGGGTTTCGCCATGTTGGCCAGGCTGGTCTCGAACTCCTAACTTCAGGTGATCTACCTGCCTCAGCCTCCCAAAGTGCTGGGATTACAGGCATGAGCCACTGTGCCCGGCCTACCTTCTATTTTCACTACTGTGTTAAGCATGAAAGAAAATCCAACTGGGTTAGATACAGCAGGTTCTCCTAAATGTCTTAACCCATGTTTATCTTGTTCTGCTATTCCATGAGCAAAGAGAATAAACACAAAGCTGTGAGAGTATTAAATATGGACACTAGATTTACATTTCCAACAAGAAATTCATCTCCCTCCAAAGTCCCAGACCAGGGCTAGAATGTGGTTCATTTTTAACAATCAAAGTGGCAAGATCTGTTTGGTGATCACTGTAAAAACAGGAAACATAGCTAATGCCCTTTCATGTTGAGGTGCTACAAAGGTCCAAGCTTTTAAAGACTATGGCCTCAACGTCCATGTGTGAAACAAGTGTATTAGAAAATTCTTTAAGTCTTGTTGCCTTAACTTAGAGATCTCCAGGCAACAGGCCTGACGATAGCCATGGCTGTACCACTTAACTATGATTCTATTCCAACTGTTCAGAATCATATCACAAAATGACTTGTACACAGTAGTTTACAACGACTCCCAAGAGAGGAAAAAAAAAAAAAGACGCCTCAAAATTCACTCAACTTTTGAGACAGCAATGGCAATAGGCAGCAGAGAAGCTATGCTGCAACTGAGGGCACATATCATTGAAGATGTCACAGGAGTTTAAGAGACAGGCTGGAAAAAATCTCATACTAAGCAAACAGTAGTATCTCATACCAAGCAAAACCAAGTAGTATCTGCTCAGCCTGCCGCTAACAGATCTCACAATCACCAACTGTGCTTTAGGACTGTCACCAAAGTCAGATTCGGTGCTAACCAGGTGGCATCTATGATCAACGTCGCCCCTCTTATTTAACAAAGGGCTCTGAAGGAGGTGTTCTCCAAGCAACAAGGAGACTGCTTCAGTACAAGACTTTGCACCTTGAATTCAATTGCATCAAGTGTGGATAGCAAAATAAGTATCTTACCATTGAAATATGTGTTCAGCCTAAGATTTTACCCACCAGCAGAACAAAAGTGAGGGTGAGAGGGATGGGCCAGTGAGGGGATGGGGGAGAAAAAAAAATCACAGGATTACCACCAAAGCCTTGTTTTAAAAGGGCTCCCTTCACTATTCAGGAAGGGAAGTGGAAGGAGAAATTAACCAATTCCTGCCACAGCAGCCCTTTTTGGCTGCTTCCACAATAGATACTTTATGGAGTGGCACAGCCAACCCTATCTGTGACCTGCCCTGCGGATAAACACAGCCAAGCAGGTTTAATTAGATCAAAGACACAAAGGGCTATTCCCTCCTTTCATAACAACGCAGCTGTAAGTGCCTACAACAGCAGGGGAGAAACAAAGGCAGCAGAACAGAACCTTAATTGAAACCTTCCCCTGGCTGGCCCTTGACAATGATTTACTTGTAACCTAGGAAGGGGCGGGTGGAGCAGGAGGTAGCAGGAGCCTCAGCTAAGAGCCAGCTCCAGAAGGCTAATTACTTGGGGGTTGTGGAGGAGGGAGGTAGCAAAGTCTTTGTTTGTAGCCCGAGTTTGCTTAACTATTTGTTACACTTAATAGGAGGCTGCTGTGGTTTTGGTCTGCTGCTCCCGGACCTTGTCATGGATTCACCAGCCCTGCGCTCCAGGAATCCCATAAAATAAATCACCCCAGCCTCCTGGATCCCATACACAGCTCAGCTCCGCCAAAGCAGACAAGCAGCTTTCGTGCTGGTCCCGCAGTGGCGACTCCACAAACCCACTCTGGCCTTTCTACCAGGATTCTTCCAAGCCCAGGATAGGAAGCAACGGCAGGAATGGGTACTCCGAACTTTCCCCCAACCCCACGTGCTTAAGAATGGCCGATTATAAACCCAGATCTACCAAGGTTTAAGTGCCAGGCAAGTCCACAGTTTGCTCCACCGCGGAGAGGAAGACAGACAGGGGGCCAGAGGGAGACGCCCCCCACCCCCAACTAAAGTGTTTCCTACCTGCTCCCTCTGTCCCCTTCCTCCTCCCCCGTCCACAGCCGGCTGCGCATTTCACCAACTCTTTTCCAAAGGGCCCAGGAATCCCAGATGGGGCCCAGACAGTGGCAAAAGAGGGAGGAAGAGAGGGAGAAAGGGAGCAGCGGCTGCTACTGCAAACAGTTCCCCTTCGCAGCTCTGCGCTCAGCTCGCCCATCAGTGTGCCACTGCCTCTCCGTCCTCCTCCTCGGAGCTGGGCGCAGGGGGGCGCCCGGGAGGCGGCGTAGTCCGCGCCACGTTGCTGTCGCCCTCCTCCGGCTCCGCCGGGTGCAGGTGCGTGGCGAGCTCCTGCAGCACGGCCGCGCGCCCGATCTGGTCGTTGCGTCGCTTCTCCATGATCAGGTCCTCTAGACTCTGGAACTCGAGCGTGTGGCTGCGCTGCGCCGACAGCTGAATCTGCAGCCGGTAGGGCTGCTTGCCGATGCGCAGCTCGCCGCCGATCTTGAACTCGCGCTTGCCGTAGCGGCACCAGGCGGCGAAACTCTCCGAGTTGCGCCAGCTCAGCTCGCGCTCCTTGGCACCCACGTGCGCCAGCGCGTTGCGCACCACGGCGCTGGAGCTTAGCGGCTTGTAGCGGTACAGATCGTTGACCACGCGGCCGCGACGGCCCTGGCTGGCGTCAGTCAGGAAGCTGTTAATCACCTCCAGCCGGTGCAGGTGCACCACCTGGAAGTTACCCACATATACGGCCCAGTGCGGGTACTGAGCCTGCGACACGAACTCCACCAGATCGCCCGGCTTGCACTTGTTGAGCAGGTTCTCGGGCGTGTAGGTACTCAGCGCCGCCGAGCCCGGCGCGAAGCTCTTCTGGTAGATGCATTCGTCCCGGTAGAACACGGAGCATTCCACCTCGTGCAGCCGCGGATCGTAGGGCTGCGGCTGGGGCGGCGGCGGCCCGTCCCCACCGTCGGGCAAGCCGCCGCCATCTGGCCCCTGAGGCGGCGGCTGCGGCTCCACGTCCTCATCGTCATTGGAGAAAATGTAGGAGACCCCAATGCGGGGCCCGTCGTCCCGGTCCACGCCAGTCGGGTCGGCCGTGGGAACTTCCTTGTAACTTAGGTGGGTCAATTTCTCCACCTGGTTGCCCATCACGCTGCGGACACACGTTCACACCGCCGCAAGGGGAGAAAGCGAAACCAACTCCAGGGTCATTTGCACAGGTCCCCGGACAGGGGCTGAGGCTACCTGTTGGGAGAGGAAGGCAAGAAAGCCATGCAGGAGCCCCTCCGTGAAAAGGGCGTTTTGTTCCGAAAAAGAATCGGTGGGGGCTCAGCACCTGGAGCCATTTTAGGGGGAAGTCTCGGGTGTAGCGAGCTTTCCCTCGTTTCTCCACCTGTAAGGTCACGGTCACAGGAGACTGGGCAACTCCTGTTCTCCCTGTCCCCAGCCCTTCGCCTGGCCCTGGCAAAAGCCCATTGCATCAGCAGCTTCTACTGCTTCCGCCTGCGCCCTACCTGCCAAGCTTGGGCAGGAAGAGGGAAGGAAAGAGAAACTTTACGCCAATCCCCCCCCTCCTCTGCTAACTTCCCCTCCCACCCTCGGGCCCTAACTAGCCCCGGGGACGCCTCCTCCCCACCAACGCATCCATCCCCAGAGGAACAAGCGAGGATCTCAGAGCGCGACCTGGACAGGTGAGTCACCCTACCTGGCTCACCTGCAGCGCTACCTCCTCCCGGCTCGCCCGCCCTTCCCCCGCGCCCGCCCTCAGGCTCGGGTTACCTGCACAAACTCACCCGCGGAGAGGTGAAGGCCGTGGGGCCTGGGGAAGGGCTCCCTGCCGCGCCCCGAGACTTCTAGGGCGAGTTTGAAGGTGTAGGCTCGGCAGTCCCTCCTCTCCCGGCGCGGGCGGCAGCGAGGCTGGGCAGAGGGCAGCGCAGCGGGCAGACTAGGGGCATGTCTTTCCCCCGCGGCTGCGTAGCGCCCCGATACTTGAAGGCGGGGGGCAATCCCTGTTCACACCGCGCTTCCTCCCGCCAGCTGGGGCTGCTGCCCCTCCTCAGCCAGCTCTCGGGGGAGGTGGGGCGCGAGGAGGAGAGGACGGCAGCCTCGCAGCCTGGCGGCAACAGCTCCCGCTTGGGCCGGGCGAGCAACAAGCACCGGAGCTGGAGGGACGGGATTGTAGATCCGGCTCCGGGCTCCCGGGCGGGAGCGCAGCCCGTGGCATTTAAAGAGACAGGCGCTCACTCCCCGAGCTCGGGTCTTTTTCACATTGCGCCGAGCGGCCGGGAGCCCCGCCCCCGCCCCGCCCACTCGGGCCTCGGGACTCCGCCCGGCCACGCCCCCGCGCCGGAGCGGGTTTAAATCCCCCTGTAAATAATCCACCCGCCGCCTGGGGCTGGTGCTGTGAGCTCTGCTTGCCTTCCGAGACAAGTTAGAAGGCAAACACAACTTGCCAGTGTGGAAATGAGAAAGGGAAGGAGAGTTTGGTGTTTGCGCCTTTTCCCTTTGACCTGTTTTTTCCCAGAGTACCTGGAGAAGGAGGAACAGTCGTTTCTTTTCTTTCCTGGAACATATTTCTTGCCCTAAAGGTCACAAGAAAGGATTCTTCACCAGGACAGCTCGAAGAGTGCGTCATCCTAGAGGTGTTTTCAGAGTTAGTAGTGGGAAACTTTGGGGTAGAAAAGAAAATCGCAGAAAAGAAACAGTATAAAACAGAACGAAGACTTATTCACTGACTGGGTCCCAAGACCACCGCTCTGTTTATTAGATACCCCTGGAAGTTAGTACAAAGTTCATAACCTCCGTTATTTCCAGAGAGGTACCAGTTCGTTGGATAGTGAGAGAAGCGTGCAGCTCTGACTGCTTTTTTTTGGGGGGGTGGGGGGTTAGGGGATGTAGGAATTGCCTAATTCCTACATCCTAATTCTAATTGTCCTTAAATTAGAAACAAATTAGCAGAGGCCCTAGTGGATATATTTCCTTCCTGTTGACTTAGGGAAGTGACAGGAGACCAGTAATGCCTACTAACCTCCACCACAAAAGGACACTTCCACCTCTCCACTGGTTTCGTTTCTTTTACCTAAATGTAGGCTACCAAAGTGTTTTTTTTGTTGTTGTTGTTGTTTATTTTTTTAAAATAATGGGTCCGGTGAGGGTGGAGGATTAACAGCTCTGTTTACAATAAACAAGTTTAGGCACTACTGCAAGCACCCAGACTTATTCGTAGGGGACTTAAGAATGCGATTCAAGACCTATATTCTGTCTTCAGTTGCTTTCTTTTGACTAATTTTTTCCAGCATGTATAACCAGCCAGTGGAAACAGGAATATACTAGCACTACTGTGATCCTTTCTAGTTTAGGAGAAAAAAATAAAAATCATTCTACTTATGTAATTTTGAGTCCAAACAATCAATATTGGCAGGGCTGTGATAGAAATTAGTCCTTCAGCAAGTCTGAAGTATAAGTTAGATCAACATGAGACTACTGTGTGCTGTGCGATTCTGTTTCAATAATTTCAGACTGGCTGGCCTCAGGCGCATGTGACTGAATGAATCCAACACACCCCAGTCCTTTTGATAGCAAATGGTGTGGGGGGCTGCTGTTACCTGAGTGATATTTGTTGCCATCATATGATCACCATATTATAGACAAGAGTTAGGCTTATAGAGATTATGGCTGGTCATCCTATGTTCATCAGATTGGGAGACCTCTGCTACTGCCTGATTTGGGAGGCCACTTTGCTCCTAGGTGCTACTGGGATGGCTGGGAATGGGAGAATTGAACTGAGAGGACACAGTTGTAGGACAATTTGCTACCAGCACTCTAGGTCAGAGATCTGGTGGGTGAGGAAGCAATGCCTAGCTGACTAGGTGTGTCTCCTTTTGTCTTGATGAGCTGTTCTCAGGTGCACAATAGTGGCTCAACAACATATCTTGAACTGACCAACTATAAAGCCTCAGAGGGAACAAGCCCTGATCCATTTTATATCTGAATGCCTGGCACTGAGTGGGTACTCAATAAATGCTTGATGGATGCCTTAGGGGAAAATTTGGCCACAGGTCAAGAATTGCTTCCTGGTTTTATGGGGCTGTGAGTGAGTGAGTGAAGAAATGTTGCCTTTTGATAGCTGGCGTCTAGTGTAGATTCTTCCATGAATGCCTGTTGAGGGTTCAACATCCGTCTTGTCACCTGGAACATTTGGTCAGAGATTACAACATGGCTCTCAGACATGCTTTGCTCATTTCAAATAGTTGTTTAATAAATTTAAGCTTGTTGTCAACAATTTGAAAACTTGGGAGATATTAAAAAATTCATATTCCCAGTTTCATTTGAAAAATCTAAAGATATGAGACTTGGCTGGGCGTGGTGGCTCATGCCTGTAATTTCAGCACTTTGGGAGGCCAAGGCAGGATCACTTGAGATCAGGAGTTCGAGACCAGCCTGGCCAACATGGTGAAACCCCATCTCTATTAAAAATACAAAATTAGTAGCCGGGAGTGGTGGGGTGCGCCTATAATTCCAGCTATTCAGGAGGCTGAAGCAGGAGAATTGCTTGAACCCGGGAGGCAGAGGTTGCAGTGAGCCGAGATCACGCCATTGCACTCCAGTCTGGGTGACAGAGTGAGACTCTGTCTGTAAATAAAATAAAGATATGAGACAATCAGACCCATATTCCAGGATGGCAACAAATTGCTGGAGAGAAGTGGTAGTTGCCTTGCGGGTGAACTATATTCTCCAGTTGGATCCAGTCCCTGTCCCCCACACCTCACGTACCTAGGTCCCTTGCCTGGTCCAGGAAGCTCTCTGTTGGCCACCTTTGCCATCCAATACCTGTACTACACATTTTATTACCTGAATATGTGTAACTCAGCACTTGATCATATACTATCTGGTATTATTCTCTAATTCATGTATTAAAGTTCATATTCTAATTAATATATTTATTCATGTCTTTTCTAAAGAGGACTTGGTTCAAAATACATTTCATGAAGACATACTGGGTGCCTGCTAGTCTTAATCACTGTGCATCCAATTCTACAATGGGCACTGTGCTAGGTTTCTTAGATGTTCGTGTCCCCAGGTAGTCACCATATTGGAGGAGACAGAGAAATAAATAGACTCTTTGGGACACTGTGACATGTCCTGTAATAAGACATAGAGGATGCTGGGGCGGTAAGGTGATGTTTCAAGGCATGGTGGATACAGAGATTAATGACCAAGTGCCTGCCAACAGGGTCTTGGGCTCATCGGGGAAACACAACTCTAAAATTAATAACTCCCATGGAGTGAGCTCTTGATTCTTTTATAAAGGAGAAGAAAGGTTAGAGAGGCCATGGCTTCTCCCAGCTGGTAGGTGGAAAGATCACACAAGCCCACTTTACTTCCAGGCCCATGCTTTTTGTTTTGTTTGTTTGTGTGTTTGTTTGAGATGGAGTCTCACTCTGTCACCCAGGCTGGAGTGCAACGGCGTGATCTTGGCTCACTGCGACCTCCACCTCCCGAGTTCAAGCGATTCTCGTGCCTCAGCCTCCCGAGTAGCTGGGACTACAGGTGCCTGCCACCACACTGGGCTAATTTTTTTATAAGTTTAGTAGAGATGGGGTTTTGCCATGTTGGCCAGGATGGTTTTGAACTCCTGACTTCAGGTGATCTGCCCACTTCAGCTTCCCAAAGTGCTGGGATTAGAGGCATGAGCCACTGTGCCCGGCCAGGCCCATGCTTTTAACTTCTTTGTTTTAAATAGAATCCAACAGATTCTACAATATTTAACAAATATTTGGGTGTCTGGGTTTACCAGACTCCAAGGATACAGTTGTGGATGTAGCAAGCAACGTCCCCGCTCTTATGGCTTTTACATGTTGATGAGAGGAGGCAAATAATAAATAAGTAAATGAATCAATGGAAATATCTGAGAGAGAGAGAGCAGGGCTATGAAGAAGGTAAAATAGGGAAATGGGATTGAATAGCTGTCAGTAAGGAGAGGGTAATGGGGGTGGCCTACTTGGGTTAAGATGGTCAGGGAAGGGCTCCTGAGGAAATAGAAATGAGCAGAGACTTGAAGGATGAGGAGCCAGCCTTGATATTACCTCCAGAGGGAAGACCAAGAGCAAAGGTTAGAGGGGGAAAAGACTGGAAGTGATTAGGAAAAAGGAAAGACTACAGTTGTGACCAGAGTACAGTGAGTGAATGTAGCTATGACAGGAGGTGCAGGTAGAGAGGTGGGCGAGCCTTTGAGTTTAAGGGCATCCAGGCAGCTGCCCTACAGGAAATGGACTGCAGGAGCAAGAAAGGAAGCAGGTCCCACAGAGGCCTGGGCTGTGGGAGGAAAGGCATCCCAGGCAGATGGAGGCTGGAGGAAAGCAAAGAGCAGGCTGGGAAAATGCCTTCCCCAAGAGCAGCAGTTCGATAAAGAAATATTAGTTGGGTTTGAATTCTCAGCCATACGGCAGCTTCATCCCCCCAACAGTGACCCGAGTGTCACATCCCACACACCTCTTCGGAGGAGGCACTCAATAAAAACAAGTTGTGTTGAATGCCAGTTAGTCACTCTCACAGTACTCCTGTCTAGACCAGTGGGGAATAATTGAGAACTGACATTTCTGCCTGACAAGGCGTCGGCCCTGACTCTGCAGGTGTGGTAGAGATCTCAGTTTAAATGGCTTGCTCCAAGAAATACAAAACAGGAGCACAAGGGCAGAATTATCTTGATTAGGCAATCTGGAACTCTGCCTGTTCCCTAGGCTGGGCCCCAAGCTCATGGCAGCAGCAAAGGGCTGAGCGAGTTTGCTGGGAAACAGCTCCCTCCACACCTTCCTTACAGTGGGAAATCCTTAGACTTACCTGCACCTCTTATTCACTGCTGGGGTTTTGTTGTGACTTTTGGAGGTAAGCAATAGCAAATGGAGCCAGATGACCTGGGCTAATCCTATTTGCCAACTGCATCATCTCCGAGATGTCTCTTCTCCACTCCGGGCTTCTTTTTCCAAACTCTAAAGGGAGGCTGATGATACTGTTTGCCTCACTTGTGAATCCTCAGATGAAACCCTCTATATGGAAGCACCTTGTAAATCCTAAAGGCTATGTAGATGCCAGGCATTATTGACACTCCAGGATAATGATTTTAAAATGAAGACAATGATTTTTGTTTTTTTTTTTTTTTTTTTTTTTTTTTGCGACAGAGTCTCATGTTGTCACCCAGGCTGGAGTGCAGTGGCGCTATCTCAGTTCACTGCAACCTCCACCTCCCAAGTCAAGTGATTCTCCTGCCTCAGCCTCCTGAGTAGCTGTGACTACAGGCGTGCGCCACCACACCTGGCTAATTTTTGTATTTTTAGTAGAGATGGGGTTTCACCATGTTGGCCAGGCTGGTCTCAAACTCTTGACCTCATGATCTGCCTGCCGGGGCCTCCCAAAGTGCTGGGATTACAGGCCTGAGCCACCATACCCAGCCTAGATAAGATTTTGTAATGGGGAATAAAAAGGTAACCAACCATTTATTGTGGGCATCCTCTTACAAAATCTCCCTATCAGTCCTATGGTTGACATTTCCCAAATAAGAATACAAAGGCCCAGGGAGGTCAATATGAATCTTGCCCACTGCAAGGGGAGAGGCTGGATTCGAATCCAAACCTGGCTGCTTCCAGGTCTGTTTTTCACACTGTCCAGCAGCCTCAGGGAACACCAGCATATATGTTTGTTTGCTCAGCCAGAAACTGACAGGTCTGAGTGACCAACATACTTAGTTGGCCGAAGACTTTCCTGGTTTTAGCACTGAAAGGCCCACCACATTCTAGGCAAACTAGGACAGCTGGCCACCCTGCTCGGGTGCCTCCCTGTCTTGGTCATTGCTCTCCCTAAGCCAAGGGCTGTCATGAGGGTGAAGCTGGGGATATTGCTAGGATAGAGCAGGAAAGGGGGAGAAGAGCAAAGAGAAATTGATGTTTTAGTCCAGTCCCCACTCTTACAACGAGCCCCCATTGCCAGGCGAGGTTATACATACAGCAGCAGCTGCATAGACAGGGCCATCCAATAAAAGGGACAGTACATATTATAGCCTGCTTTTGGCATTCATTTTTATTTTAAAATCAGACTCTTCACAATAGGTGAGGCCTGGGCCTGTCTCACCTTTGAGAGCTGCTGGCCTGTAACTGCTTTCCTTAGCCCTCCCAGCCTGCCTGCCTTTGACTGTAAGTCCTGCATAAAGAGTTTCACATTTTGGCTGAATTATTACTTGACCTTCAGATGAAGGAAGGAAGCCCGGAGGCTGTGGAATGACATCCTTTTCCTTGGCTTCTGCATTTTATTTGCTTAGATCAACAGAGCAGATTCTGAAGCTGTCTGGGCAAGAGCTAGTTTACCCTGTGGGTAGGGGTGAAAAGCAGGTACTCTGAGAAGGGGTCTGAGGCTGCAGCCCACCCCAAACCAGCTCTCCATGTATTAATCCTGCAGCTAAATTGTCTGTGAGGAAGCTTTTAATCTTTTCCTGGAAGAAGGTACATGGGTGGGGAGACATTGAAGCCAGTCCCTGCTGGAGGCCTGCTGTTTTAGGAGGCCCTGACATCATATTGTTTATGTTGAACCAGAGTTTGATTTGTGCTTGGGAGTCTGAGCTTGTAGCTGGGCTCCTGCAGAAACCTCATGAAAGATGCATTTCACCAGGCAGTTCCAGGGGAGAGACCAGCTTAAATTACAGCTCGACAAATCCAAATATTGGCATATCTGCAAATCCAAATGTGGGGATTTCAAAATATAATCTAAATTCTAAGAGTCTTATTTTGCACTTCTTCTGCAACAAGAAGAGGATGAGATATTCGGAGAGGACACAAAGCTGTCAATAATGAGAGCGGCTTCAGCAGAGCAAACCTGACCTCCTTTTCTTTCCTTGGGCATTCTTCATGCTTCCAGGGAAGAAACCTTCAGACATGAGAGAGGAAGACAGTATTTCTTCAGCGTGGCTTTCTGCAGGACAAATGGGTTGGGGGGACCACCCACCCAGCATTTAGGACACAGGGCTCAACAAATGCAGTTGGTCATTCCTATCTGGCCTGGGGCGAAGGGATCTCCGTGGATTACTCACTCCACTAAAGTCTATTCACAACACAGTAGCCCCAGGGATCCTGACAGACTGACAGCCAAGCTAGGTCACTTTGCTCAAAACCCTACCATGGCTCCCCATCTTCCTTGCAGAAGGGCCAACTTCCTACAATAGCTCCTAAGACCCCACTCCCCCATAACCTCTCTGACACCTCATCATTTACACCTCCAGACATACTAGCCCCTTATTGTTTCTCCCCCATGGCTGTTCCTTCTTTCCTTTTGCTTGGAGTACTTCCCCTCCTCACCAAGTTCCTCCCCAATATCTTCACAGAGTGCTCCTTTAAGTCTTTTTTTTTTTTTTTTTTTTTTGAGACAGGGTCTTGCTCTGTCACCCAGGCTGGAGTGCAGTGGCACAATCTCAGCTCACTGCAACCTCCACCTCCCAGGTTCAAGTGATTCTCCTGCCTCAGCCTCCTGAGTAGCTACGATTATAGGTGCCCACCTCACTAATTTGTGTATTTTTAGTAGAGACAGGGTTTCGCCACATTGGCCAGGCTGGTCTCAAACTCCTGATCTCAAGTGATCCACCCACCTCGGCCTCCCACAGTGCTGGGATTACAGGTGTGAGCCACCGCACCCAGCCATTCCTTTAAGCCTTGACTCAGATATTAGCACCTTGGTGAGTCTTCCCTGAAACCCCTATTTAAAATTCTAAGTGTTCTCACATATATGCTCCTTATCCCCTTTCCTGCTCTGTTATCTATCACTTATTCTACTCCCTTATCACCTTTTAGTATTCTGTATAATTTGCTAAATTATTTTTGTTTATTGTCTCTCCTAGTTAGACTATAAGCTGTATGAAGTCAGAGATTTTGTTCGTTCACTGGAGGCATCCTTAGCTCCTAGCACAGTGGTTGACACGTGCTAGGCTCAATAAGCTATGGTTAAATGAATAAATAAAAGGGCTTTTTATGAGCCACCTCTATTTGTGCTCACAACAGTCTTAATGGTATAGAATTATTCTTAATTTACAGATGAGAAAATTAATTCTAAATTACTAAATGCCTATGATGTGTCAGGCACTGTAGACTAGGCAGTTGAATTTCAGAGAGGTTAAGAAATTGGGCCCAGGAAACACAGCCAAGTTCACCAAGAAATAACAGCTCTGTAGCTCAACATGGCAGCCGCTGGTCACATGTGGCTATTGAGCATCTGCAATGTAACTAGTCTGAACTGAAGTATGTCATAAATGCAAAATGTATACCAACTTCCAAGACAATACAAAAAAGTAAAATACCTTACTAATTTTAAAATATTGATTACATGTTGAAATGACAAATTTTGAATTTATTTGGTTAAGTGGAATATGTTATTAAAATTAAATCACTTGGTTTTTTTTTTTTTCCACTTTTTAAAAATGTGGCCACTATAAAAATTTAGATTATGTATGTGGTTTGCATTTGGGCTTGCGTTATATTTTTAATGGGCAGCCCACTTCTAGCAATTTCCATTCCACCATGCATATCTATCTTCAAAAATATTATCTGTTTGGCTCTTGAGGGCAAGGATGCCGTGACCTTGTCTTTTCTGTAAGAATAAGATCAAAGATACATAGAATACATCAGTAACTCTCAAAGGCATTAACATGCCTATCTTAGTTTGTGCTGTGATAACATAGTGCAATAGACTGGGTGGCTTATAAATAAGAGAAATTTAGTTCTCACAATTCTGGAAACTGCAAATCTGAGATCAAGGTGCCAGCATGGTTAGATTCTAATGAGTTGCAGACTGCCATCTTCTGGTTGCATCCTGTCATGGCAGAGAGAGGGCAAGAGAGCTCTCTGGGGTCCCTTTCATAAAGGCACTTATCCCACTCCTGGGAGCTCCACCATCATGACCTACTAACCTCCCAGAGGCCTCACCTCCTAATACCAATGAGGCAGGATAGGTAGTCAATGTTCTCCAGACGCAGCAACTGTGGTGACCCTACAGTCAACACAATAAGCCTCAGCATTCACATTGTAATTGGGCACATTCTAGCAATGCTATCTTCCCGTAGGAACTTTCCCTTCTAGATAGCCTGTGCATTTTGATTTTACCTGTCCTCAAACTGACCCTTTGCTCATTATAATAGTAAAAACACCCCCTTGGGTGGAGATTTAAGATGTTAACGAGACATGCGGTATAGAAGCAAGCATGAACAACTATTGCACATGAGCACCCAGAAGACCATCCACAACATGCTTACTAGTAACACCTCTTTCCATCTCTTTATAATCGTGTAAGACTCCCATAAAGGGAGTCTCCCTAGTGCCAGTCTTTGCTGTCTCATACTTACAATCAGCCCACTCTGAATCCTCTATCTTTCAGGGTGCACTATCTATTCTGCACTTAACTTCCTTCCTTCCTTCCTTCCTTCCTTCCTTCCTTCCTTCCTTCCTTCCTTCCTTCCTTCCTTCCTTCTTTCCTTCCCTCCCTCCCTCCCTCTCTCTCTTTCTTGTTCCCTTTCTTTCTTTCTTTCTTTCTCTTTCTCTCTCTCTCTCTTTCCTTCCTTCCTTCCTTCCTTCCTTCCTTCCTTCCTTCCTTCCTTCTTTCTTTCTTTCTTTCCTTCTTTCCTTTCTTTTTTTTTTGAGACAGAGTTTCACTCTCATTGCCCAGGCTGAAGTGCAGTGGTGCAACGGCATGGTCTCGGCTCACTGCAACCTCCGCTTCCCAGGTTCAAGCAATTTTCCTGCCTCAGCCTCCCAAGTAGCTGGGATTACAGGTGCCCGCCCCCATGCCCAGCTAATTTTTGTATTTTCAGTAGAGCCAGGGTTTCACCATGTTGGCCAGGCTGGTCATGAACTCCTGACCTCAGGTGATCTGCCCTCCTCGGCCTCCCAAAGTACTGGGATTGCAGGCATGAGCCACCGTGCCCGGCCTCTGCACTTAACTTTCAAAATATTCTTTTGCAATACATTACTCTGTGCTGCACCTCCTTTGCTGTGTGTCTCTTATTTAAATTATTTTACACTAAGAAGAAAAGAACCAGCCAGGTACAGTGGCTCAGGCCTGTAATCCCAGCACTTTGGGAGGCTGGCCGGGGGAGTGGATCACCTGAGGTCTGCAACCAGCCTAGCCAACATGGTGAAACCCCGTTTCTACTAAAGATACAAAAATTAGCCAGCCATGGTGGCATGCGCCTGTAATCCCAGATACTCAGGAGGCTGAGGCAGGAGAATTGTTTGAACCCTAGTGGCAGGGTGGGGCGGGTGTGGGACAGCTGTGGAGATTTCAGTGAGCTCAGCCAAGATCGCACCCCTTCACTCTAACCTGGGCAAAAGAGCAAAACTCCATCTCAAAAAAAAAAAAAAAAAAAAAAAAAAAAAAAAAAAAAAAAAAGAAAAGAAAAGAAAGAAAAAAGAAGAAGAAGAAGAAGACAAGAACTGAGGTATCAGATCAGCTGTCCACAGCAACACATTGGAGGTTAGAATTTCAACATGTGAATTTCAAGGGGACACAAACGTTCTGTCCATAACAATATCTAAAGAATGAATGTCTCTTTCCAAAAAGCAGTCTCCAAGAGAAGCAAAAAGAGGGTGGAAGTGGCCTCCAGGGGTAATGTGTCTTCCGTGCTTTCCTTTTTCTTTTTTTTTTGAGATGGAGTCTCACTCTGTGGCCCAAGCTAGGGTGCAGTGGCGCTATCTTGGCTCACTGCAACCTCTGCCTCTGGGACTCAAGAGATTCTTGTGCCTCAGCCTCCTGAGTAGCTGGGACTACAGGCACACGCCACCATACCTAGCTAATTTTTTGTATTTTAGTAGAGACAGGGTTTCACCATGTTGCCCAGGGTGGTCTGAGCTCAGGTGATGCACCTGCCTCGGCCTCCCAAAGTGCTAGTAATCAGTAGCACTTTACTTGTGTTAATCAGTAAACTGGCAGTCTGGTTTTATGTATCTGATTCTGTGGGCTGGGTACATGTGACTGTCTACTTTCCATGAGTTGACAGCTGGGTTTTTGAGCCTGGGAGCTTGAGGATTACACCTCAGATGATAGAGAATTCACAAATTCTAATAAATAGAAGCAGCTAACATTTGTTGAATGCTTAGTGTATCCAGTACCTTTCTAAGAGCTTTATATGCATTCATTCATGTAACCCTCACCTGCGAGGTAGGCATTATGATCATTATCCTCATTTCACAGATGAGAAAACAGAGGCATAAGAAGCTTAAGCATCTTGCCCATGGCCACGCAGCTAGTGATTTGCAGAGCCAAGAGTTAGACTCAGGCAGTGCCATGGAGTGGGCGTAACCCCGGCCACCTATCTGGCCTAGACGTTGACCACGATGGCTGAGTTTCTTTGTCTTCATATTCCACATGCCTCTTTGACCCATCAGTGGATGATGAAGCCGTCACCTTGCAGCTCCACATCCATTCATGAGCCTGACTCTTCACCATCCTTCCAGCCTCATCCCTTGCCAGCCTCCCAGTTGCCCACTGAGCCACACCAGTCCTTGGCTTCCTGCCTATACCAAGCTCATGATAACCTCAGCCTGTGACATGACCATCCCCTGGACCTGGCATGCTCTTCATCTCTCTCTTCTCAAAGCTAAATATTTTGTGTTCTTTATGCTTCAAATTAAGTTCATGAAGGGGCCTTTGCTAACTAGCTGGTTGCCCCACTCAGCCGTTTTTGTCTGCTGCATAACACTGATCACAAGGGTGATTTCGTTTGCTCATTTGGTCGTCATTGCCTGTCTCGCTACGAGCCTAGGCTTTATTGTGCCAATATAACTCCCCCGTTCTCCAGTGCAGTGGCCTCCTTATGGTACATGCCTAACAATTACCTCTGGAGTAACTGGATCTCTCTTTGGAGGAGTCTGAAATTCATATTCTGGAGGAGGGGAGTTAAGAGCACCACTCCTTCAAAGAGTGATTTTTTTTTTTTTTTTTTTGAGACAAGTTCTCACTCCATCACCCAGGCTGGAGTGCAGTGGCGTGATCTGGGCTCACTGCAACCTCCACCTCCCAGGCTCAAGTGATTCTCCCACCTCAGCCTCCCAAGTAGCTGGGATTACAGGTGCCCACCATCATGCGCGGCTAATTTTTGTATTGTTTGGTAGAGATGGGGTTTCACCATGTTGGCCAGGCTGGTCTCGAACTCCTGACCTCAAGTGATCCGCCTGCCTTGGGCTCTCAAAGTGCTGGGATTACAGGCGCCTGGCCAAGAAGTGATTTTGAATTTCAAGTATGTGCTCAGGTTTGCAAAGCGAATGAGTTAACCGGAGCCAGGAGGACGCTGACAGGGTAAAGTGTGGGTTAAGGAGGAGAAACACGCACACATAAAACAAACAAAAAACTTTACAAAGTTAAACATTTGTAAGCACCTGTTAAAAAGAGCAAACTTCAAGAAAGGATGTTACTAAGGCTGGTTGCACAGGGCATTAACTGCCTGTTTGCTGAATGAAAGATCTGGCTGGATTGTATGAGTGAAAGGGGAAGTTCTTGCTTCATATGGTGAGGACTTACCTTTGCTCTAAGGTGAGAGCCCTGCCCTAGGCTCTGTGGTTGCAGCCCTGTGTGTTTCACTGTACACTGCTGCTCAGCTGACCCTGGCAACCCAGCTCTAGGAATCCTTAGTGAACACCTGCCCTGAGTACCTCTGCTCAGTTGCTCCCCTGTAGAGACTCACAGCCTGTCACTCTGACTAGAACTTAATAGGTGTTCAGCAAGCATTTTTGAAGTAATGGATTAATGAGGGCATAGAATGAAGCTTCTGTCTTAAGGGCACAAAAAGTAGTTGGAAATGCCAGACAAGGGATATTTAGGGCCTGAGCCAAAAGTATAAGTATAAAAGCTATATTTACTCAGCTTTTGCAAATCAGAGTAGCTGTCACCACTCTGCATAGCCATAAGCCAGCAAAAAGATGAAGCCTTGTTTCTGAGACAGTAGTAAGATTCATTCTGGGGCACATACTGTGTTACCTGGTTCATCCTCCATAAACCTCACAGGGCAGGTTTTGTTATTCTGCTTGTACCCATTTTATAGCTGGGGAAAGTGAAACACCAGGAGGGACTTGTCCCCATCCAGAGCCCACATATCAGCCAACCAACAGGGCATGGACCCAGGCAGGTCTGACCTCAAGCCCACTGCATATGGCGCCTTCACTGTCTGGCCACGGTTGTCCCAGGGATATCACAAACCACAACAGGAAGGAGCTTCTTGGTGAGGCAAATGCACCCACTGATCAAGTGTTTATTTTTCCTCTTCCTCCTCATCTCACTGGAGTATGCTTCACCCTGAGCAGCTAGCCCCAGGGTTTCAGATGGATTGTTTAGATTTCAGCATATCCAGACAGATTTCAGGAACAGATTGATAGAAGATGGCTCCACTGGGGAAAGGAACTAGAATTTTCTTTATAGGGATAGTCCAGTGCGAGGGTGGAGAGAGAATAATCTGGGAACCCTGACTAATTTGACAAATGGATTTATTTCCGTGGGAGGATCTGAGCCATTAAAGCATTGGGGGCATACCAACAAAGATAAATAAATCAAATTTCAGTGTTCTCTTCCGTATCCCTACACCCCTGCAGGCACGTAAACACAACGCCAACCTGGGCGTGAAGAGGTCTGTGAGTTTGGCAAGGTAAAAAATATTCCCATTCCTACCAGGCAAATTTCTTTCCCCTAGTGATTAAGAAATTTCTGCCCAAATCCTCAGGGACTAAATCAACATTTCCCAAAGCCATCCTCTGCCCTTTTCCTTCCATTATCCCCAAGCCCCAGGGCTGCCAGCCCCCTGAGTCATTATGTAAATGACTCACCAGCAAACCCTAACAGCCATTCACTAGGAATACTCCACCTGTAAGGTCTCTAGTTAACTGAATTTCTGTTAAACCGAAGGTTAAATAAAACCTGCCTTTTTGTATCCCTGGATATTGAAAATCTTTCTAAACTGTGTTAGTTCACTCACCTTTCTAAGTTTCTGGAGCAGAATGAAAATAATTACATTTTTGCTTGGTGATCGGGCATCTTGCATTGCCATGGGGCATTGCTCTGCCTATCAGGATTAAAATTTAACTCGAGTTTTAGACTTTGGTGAGAAGTTAGGCTGTAACCATTCTGAGTTGAAGAGGAAATTTGTCTAATTTTGTTGAGAGAAACACAACCCTTTGCCTTCCTAGTGCCTAGCAGAGAGTCGGGAGCTCCTTTTCGAAAATGCTGATGGAGTTGATGAATGACTAATATTATATATTTTTTTTGAGACAGAGTCTCACTCTGTCACCCAGGCTGGAATGCAGTGGCACGATCTTGGCTCACTGCAACCTCCGCCCCCTGGGTTCAAGAGATTCTCTTGCCTCAGCCTCCTGCGTAGCTGGGGTTACAGGCATGCGCCACTATGCCTGGCTAATTCTTGTATTTTTGGTAGAGATGGAGTTTCACCGTGTTGGGCAGGCTGGTCTTGAACTCCTGACCTCAGGTGATCCGCCCACCTCAGCCTCCCAAAGTGCTGGGATTACAGGCATGAGCCACCGTGCCTGGCCTGAATTTCTTTATTGCAGTGTTTCTTCCTCATGATAATTGTGTCTGCCCTTTATTGATTGCTAGTGCTTGTTCTGGGTGTTGTGCTAAGTGCTTTGCAGGCTTAAGTCATTACATTTGAGTTGCCACACAGTGAGTGGCACGGGGTCGGTGGGCTTTACCTTCATTCTGCGGAGGAGAAAATGGAACCTGCAAAAGGCTGAATGACTTGGCCAAGAGATTCTGAAGCTAGAAAGTGACAAATCAAAATTCACATAGCTTGAGGGGTTTGGGCAATGGCAATCTTCATCCGATGGGGCTGGATATACAGGGGCACTGCTAAAATCATGAGGAAATGCAACCTATAGGAAATGGGAATTGAGTGGGACACACACATGCATGTGTGTGTGTGCATCTTGATAGCCCTAGACTTCCCTTCAGTTAGGGAGCAAGTATGGTGTAGTGGTTTTAGAGAAGTGATTTCCAAATTATCTGTGGGAAAGAGTAGGGGCTGTTCATTTTATTTGTTTGATTTATTAATAATGTCCAATATTTTGTAAACCGATATATTTGTAAAATACCATAGACATAAATTACTAAAGGAATGAAGTAAAAAATAATAATAAAATGACATTCACGCTTGCTATGAGCTGACTGTGATCCGCCCACTTCAGCTTCCCAAAGTACTGGGATTACAGGCATGAGCCACCAAATTTTGTATGCTGCACCAAAATTTGTATGTTGAAACCTGATCTCCAATGTGACAGTGTTAGGAAGCAGGGCCTAGGGTGGGTGGGGTAGTCAGATCATGAGGGTGGAGTCTTTATGAGGGGGATTAGTGCCCTTACAAAAGAGACTTCAGTGAGATTGCTCCCTTGCACCATCCACCATATAAAGACAGGGTGAGAGGCCACCATCTATGAATCAGGAAGTGGGTGCTCACCAGACAGTGAATCTGCTGGCATCTTGATCTTGGACTTCCCAGCCCCTAGAACTGTAAGAAATAAATTTCTGGGTTTTTCTTTTTTTATTTTTTTGAGAGGAAGTCTTGTACCCAGGCTACAGTGCAGTGGCGGGATTTCAGCTTGCTGCAACTTGGCCTCCCAGGTTCAAGCAATTCTCGTGCCTCTTAACCTCGAGTGATCTGCCCACCTCGGCCTCCCAAAGTGCTGGGATTACAGGCATGAGCCACCAAATTTTTGTTTTTTATGAGCCATCCAGTTTATGTTTTGTTAGAGCAACTGGAATGGACTAAGACAAAGCCTCAGTTGTTTGTTGTAACTGTTTTCTAGATTTAACAGGCACAAGGGAAGCAAATGGGGAGCCGGTCAGCAGTGCAAGGGACTTCCAGAGGCCTAGGGACTAGGATTCTTTTTTTTTTTTTTTTGAGACGGAGTTTCACTCTTGTTGCCCAGGCTAGAATGCAATGGCGCCATCTCAGCTTACCGCAACCTCCACCTCCCAGGTTCAAGCAGTTCAAGCAATTCTCCTGCCTCAGCCTCCTGAGTAGCTGGGATTACAGGCATGTGCCACTATGCCCGGCTAATTTTGTATTTTTAGTAGAGAAGGGGTTTCTCCATGTTAGTCAGTCTGGTCTTGAACTCCCGACCTCAGGTGATCCCCCACCTCGGCCTCCCAAAGTGCTGGGATTACAGGCGTGAGCCACCATGCCCCACCCCATCTAGGATTCTTGAATGGCCAGGCCAGCGGGATAGAGAACACATTGATCCCCAAAGATGGGTGTGGCCAATTTGTGTTCACAGTAAGGCAGACATGTGCGTGTATGACTTGCACGCATGCACAGAGATGCAGAGACCATAATCAAGGGAGCATTTGTGTATAGCCAGAGGCACAGGACAAGATCCTTTTATTTTGCAGATAATGTCATTAGAACGCTCAGGTTTCCCCACTGTAGGACTTTGCAGATTATTAAGGTCTCTTTTTAGTCAGCCTCCCTCTGTCCCGTTGCTTTCCATATTCTTGGTGCAGATAGCATAGGTAATAATATATTAATTACATTTTGTGGAAAACAGTGAGAGAAATATATCCTGTATACTATATATATTTGTATATATATTTATGCTTTTTTCCTCTTGATTTTTCTGCATACTCTATGGTCTATTTCTAGAAGTTTATCCAAAAAGCTGATAAGCATGGTTGCCTCTGGGTAGGGATTTAAGTTTCAGAGGTAGGAAAGAGAATAACTTTGCATAACATCCTCTTGTATAGTATTTGAATCTTTTAATCATAGGTATGGATTCCTTATTCAAAATGATAAACTAAAAAAATAGCAAACCATGTCAAGTGTCTGTCTTATAGTTGGATGTTTCTGAATTGCGTCCTTTCCACGAACAATTGTTTCTGAATGTGATTAACTCTGAATGTATTTATGATATGGTTAAAGGCTGTTTTCTCACTTAATGGAAAGAAGTGGACTGACAGAAGACCTTTGGAGGTAAAGAGGATAGAGGTGCTCAAGAGGTGGGCAGTTCCTCTAATACAAGCCAAAAAAGGGCCATACCAACTACTGGGGAGTGATGACTGCCAATAATTTCAGCAAATCAGCTGTGAAGCTATGAAGAGCTGTGCTCTTCATGTTGACACTTGGCTGAAGTTGCAGTATCTAAGAGTATTGAGAGATTTGAATTGGACTTAGGAAACCGATTTTTTATTTATTATTATTATTTATTTATTTTTGAGACAGTGTTGCTCTTGTCACCCAGGCTGGAGTGCAATGGCACGATCTGGACTCACTGCAACATCTGCCTCCTGGGTTCAAGCGATTCTCCTGCCTCAGCCTCCCAAGTAGCTGGGATTACAGGTGCACGCCACCACCCCCAGCTAATTGTTGGTATTTTTAGTAGACATGGGGTTTACCATGTTGGCCAGGCTGGTCTCAAACTCCTGACTTCAGGTGATCCACCGGCCTCGGCCTCCCAAATTGCTGATATTACAGGCCTGAGCTACTGCACCCGGCCTGATTTTTTATTTTTGGAAATGAAATGGCTGTATACTTTAGGATGTTTGTTGCTGGGATGACCTGTGGCCACAGAGCTACTAAGCTGACTTTATGTAGAGAACCAGCTGACTTTCTTTACTACCCGCACTGGGACAGGCATGGATGGCATGTTGCCAGTCTCATCTCATTTAATCCTTAAAAAATCTTATCAAGCAATATCCCTTTTTACCCATGAAGAAATTAAAACCTCAAGGTGTTAGAGGTTGATCAACTGGCCCAAGATTGCACAGCTAATAAGGCAGAGTCACCGTATAACATCAGGTTCTCTTTGGCTCCAAATGCTCAGCCCTACCCATGATCCAGCACTGCCTTAGAAGAGTAAGAACTAGGGCTTAACTGTCCATCAAAAATTGGCAAATAATTTTCTTAAGATAGTGGCTCTCAAACAGTGGCTGCATCAGAATCACCTGCAGGGCTTATAAAACACACATTGCTAACGCCGCTTGTAGAGTTTCTGATTTAACAGATTTGGAGTGGGGCCTGAGAATTTGCATTTCTAACAAGTTCTCAGGTGATGCCCTTGCTTCTAGTCAGGGGACTACACTTTGAGAACCACTATGTGTTAGTCAATTTTCACCCTGCTCTAAAGAACTGCCCAAGACTGGATGATTTATAAAGGAAAGTGGTTTAATTGACTTACAGTTCCCCATGGCTAGGGAGGCCTCAGGAAGCTTATAATCATGGTGGAAGGCAAAGGGGAAGCAGGCACCTTCTTCACAAGACAGAATGAGAGATACAGAGAGCAGAGAAAACTGCCACTTACAAAATCATCAGATCTTGTGAGAACTTCCTCGCTATCCTGGGAACAGCCTGGGGGAAACCATCCCCATGATCCAGTCACCAACCACCAGGTCCCTCCCTTGACACATAGGGATTACAATTCGAGGTGAGATTTGGGTAGGGACACAGAGCCAAACCGTATCACACTATCCTAAAGAGATTAGAGTGGGGGCTCACAAAGCATGTTTGGTAATTTCAGGGCCAAATGTGATAGGAACACAGCAGTTTAATGCTGTTTATGGTGTTTGTCATTATTTCTCTCATGCTCTTGCTTGAGTTTTATTTTATTTTCATTTTTATTTTTTTGGAGATGGAGACTTGCTCAGTCACCCAGACTGGAGTGCAGTGGTGCAATTATGGCTCACTGCAACCTCTGCCTCCTAGGTTCAAGCAGTCCTCCTGCCTCAGCCTCCCAAATACCTGGGACTACAGACAAGCACTACCACGCTTGGCTAGTTTTTGTATTTTTAGTAGACACGGGGTTTCACCACGTAGGCCAGGCTGGTCTTGAACTCCTGACCTTGTGATTTGCCTGCCTCAGCCTCCCAAAGTGCTGGTATTACAGGTATGAGCCACCTTGCCTGGCCTTGCTTGAGTTTTAATAACTTTTAAAAAGTATCCATGTATCTCACTGATTTTAAAGTGAAAGAGGGAAATAAGTTTATGTCTGTGCATGGGCTGGAAAGAATGGGGGATTGGTGTACTTTACAGTATGGCATGCAGCGGTGATCACAGAATTCTCCAATGGGAAGACCAAATCATTAATCACAAGTCTTCTAGTCACAGGGACAGAAATCTATCTCAAGTCATTTCTTTTCAGATTGTATTTGGCTGTATGCAACAGGCTCCCTCTGACCCCGCCCAACACACATATACACACACACACACTTTTTTTTATAAGACAGGGTCTGGAGTGCAGTGGTGCGATCTCAGCTCACTGCAACCTCTGCCTCCTGGGCTCAAGCGATCCTCCCCTCAGCTTCCAGAGTAGCTGGGACTACAGGCATGTGTCACCATGCCCAGCTAATTTTTTGTATTTTTTTTGGAGAGACAGGGTTTCACCATGTTGTCCAGGCTGGTCTCGAACTCCTGGGCTCAAGCAATTCTCCAGCCTTGGTCTCCCAAAGTGCTGGTATTACAGGCGTAAGCCAATGTGCCCAGCCAGAAACCCACATTAAAGAGGTGTCTTGGAACCAAGTTTCTGTAGTTCTTGTACATTTCTGGAGTAAGATGGTCACTGTATTATTTTGTTGAGCTGTATTGCTTTTGCAGCTCAACAATATCAGGTCTGGCATCTCTGTAATTCTTTAAAAACTTTCTCTTTTACTCCCATTCTGAAAACAGCTGCTGTGGCTCCAGTCATCACATCTGTGTTCTAGTAAAGAAGGCAGAAAGTGAAAAGAGTGTGCTCCATTTTATCAATTGTTCATAACCTCTTTGTAGCTTTAACTGTGTCATATAACCATATCTAGCAGCAAGGAAAACGGACAGGGTAAGTATTTGCTTGTGTAAATTGCCTCCCTATACCAAATTAGGATTTTTGTTGTCAAGAGAGAAATGATTGGATATGAGGAATGCCCTTATGATCTTGCTTCAGCAGCATGGGCAAATGCCTTCACAAAAAAGACAAGAATGGATGGCTTTAAGAAAGTGATTTGAGTTAGCTTTTCCTGCATAACAAGCCATTCCAAATGTGGTGACTTTTTACACTTCCAAGTTTAAACAAACATCAATTTGTTTATGAAAGTGTGGATTGGCAGCTTGGACTGGACTCATCTGGGAGACTTATTTCTGCTCCCTTCAGGGTCAACTGGGCTTTGTGTTATATCTGTGACTTCAGCCAGATGGTGGGGATAGGTGGAGTGGTTAGAATATCTGGGCCTTTCTTTCTACATGGTTTCTTCTCCTATAGTCACCTTCTTCACATGATGGCAGAAAGGTCTCCTATTATTGAGTGACGAATGACTCCAAAACTTGATGGATAAGCTGCCACCATTTTATTTGCTCATAACTCTGTGGGTCATTTCGGTGAAGCTCAGTTTGATGGTTCTTCTTCTGGGCTCTCCTGGTGTCTTCCATGTGGCTTAACTGAGGCTGAATGGTCTATGATGCTCTTACTGGCCATGGTCCATTGACGTCTGGCACTTGGTGCTGGGTATTGGCTGGGTCACCTGTTCCAGCAGGCTAGCCCGGGCTTCTTCATGTGGTGAAGAGGTTCGAACAGCAGCAAGAGAAAAGGTAAGTTTCAATGCCTAAGTGCTTTTCAAGCCTCTACTTGCATCATATTTGCTGATGTCCCACTGGCCCAAGCAAGCCACATGGCCAAGCCCAGAATCGACGTGGGAGGGGACTATGCAAGGGGGCATTTACAAGGAGACCTACTTTCTTGGGGACCATTATTCTACCAAACCACCACATAAGCCTCAAACCAATGACTTGAATGTCTACAGGGATCTCCTTGTCATTGCTTTTCTCTGCAAGTCCTCTTCATTCCTTTAGATACACCCCTTTCCCCAGGGTAGGAACCACAGCTGCCCTTTGCTCTAGAAATCACTTTCTCAGCTTCCGACTCAGGTGCTGGGAAGCACACTGACTAGCCTGACACGTTCTGACGCCTGTCCTGAGGCTAAGTAATCGGGATACTATTATCACCAATTTCCACTGTAACTACACGTTTGGATGGGGTTGTAGAAGGAGCAGTTTTGGAGCCACCATCCTAAAAATGAGGTGGTGCCCTGGAATAACAAAGACATACTGGCCAGACAAGACCGACAGATGGAGTTAGGGACCATTTGAACAGGAAACGTTACAGACTGTATTTCTGGAGGTTTTTGTTTTGTTAGTTGGTTGAAAGGATCTGGTTTTAAAAAGAATTGAAGCTAGTTTAAATTCAGTTTCTATCATTTTCCAAAACGTTACCTTATTAAACAAAGCTACACATTTGAGTTATTTATTTATTTATTTTGGAAAAAGATGCAGACTAGCATCTGATGCTGGCCCCAACGGGAAACCTAGCTGGGTGTTCTTTGTGGCCAAATATACAATAGTGATTGTGTTCTTGTCTCATTCTCCCTTTCCTGAAACTGTGCTGGGAAGACAGAAAGGAAAAAGGCATTAATTGGCATTAATTGGCACATCCATCAAGGCCTGAACTGGCACATCAGTCACATCAGGGAGGGTTTATTTCTTCCTCCAAAGCTGTTAGAAGTTTAAGAGCATGCGAAGGATGTTCCACCTTGTGCTCTGTGGATATGTGGGATTTGTGGCAAGCAGAAATGTCTGGGATGGCCTCGGCCACAGGGCCTCTGATAGAGGCCTTTCTGCTGCATCTCATTGAGGTTCCCCATCAATCACGGGCAGTGTCAGGGCCCACCCTTGCCTTAATTTAACTGGGATGAAGGAAAGTAAAGAGAGAGTGCCTGAGAGTGAAGGAATGCTGGCCTTGGGGTATGCGATCCAATTCCATAAATAGCAGAGATTCCTGAAAGGCTTTGAGGCAAGCTCTGAGAGGTAGCCATGGCGATGAGGTACCTCTTGGCTCCCTGCTGCCAGAGAGAGGCTGCTTGCTGTCTCTTCCCAGGGGCCTGTGCTGGCATGCCTGGGCTTATTTCAGAAACTCTCCTAGACACAGCGACTGCTCAGAAGCATACCCTTAATTGGTGGAGCTGGCTCTTCTCTGACTTGGTGCCCTGCAGCATTTCACTGGCACCCTTCTGCCCAGCAAACACTTGCCAGTAATTGTGGGGCCGCCACTGTTAGTGAACAGGCTGTGGTTTGCCTTCAAGGGGTTAGTGAGTTCTTCTTGGGTTCTTTGGTGACAATTAGGGTGTGTTTATCAGCAGGATGCCTGAGGGGTCTTCTGTGACTTTGGAAGATTAAGGCAATCTGACTTCACCTATTCCCAATTCAGAATTCTGGCTTCCTCCTCCCTGCACAACTGGGGCTTGCATCCCCACTGGTCCTCAGTGGTATCTTGGGGACCTGGGAAGAGGAAAGTGGGATCTGAGATGTGTCTGTGGGTGCAAAAGTGGGTGGATTAGGACAGCACTCCTACTTCAACTGGCATCCCTGTGTTTTTTTTTTTTTTTCTGAGACGGAGTCTTGCTTTGTCACCCAGGCTGGAGTGCAGTGGCACTACCTTGGCTCACTGCAACCTCTGCCTCCAGGTTCAAGTGATTCTTGTGCCTCAGCCCCCCAAGTAGCTGGGACTATAGGCATGCACTACCACATCCAGCTAATTTTTGTATTTTCAGTAAAGATGGGGTTTTGCCATGTTGGCCTTTGCTAGTCTTGAACTTCCAGCCTCAGGTGATCCCCCCGCCTCGGCTTCCCAATATGCTGGGATTACAGGCATGAGCCACCACGCCCAGCCTGGCATCCCTCTGAGAGACAGGACTAGCTGGATTTCCTAGGCCCTAAGCCTAGCTGGGCAGGTGACTGCATCCATCTTTATACACGGGGCTTGCAACTTAGCTCACACCTGACCAATCAGGTAGTAAAGAGACCTCACTAAAATGCTAATTAGGCAAAAATGGGAGGTAAAGAAATAGCCAATCATCTATTGCCTGAGAGCATAGCAGGCGGAACAATGATCAGGATATAAACCCAGGCATTCGAGCCAGCAGCGGCTACCCTCTTTGGGTCCCCTCCCTTTGTATGGGAGCTCTGTCTTCACTCAATTAAATCTTGCAACTGCACACTCTTCTGGTCCCGGTTTGTTATGGCTTGAGCTGAGCTTTTGCTCTCTGTCCACCACTGCTGTTTGCCACCGTCACAGACCCGCTGCTGACTTCCACCCCTCCGGATCTGGCAGGGTGTCCACTGTGTTTCTGATCCAGCGAGGTGCCCATTGCCACTCCCGTTTGGGCTAAAGGCTAGCCATTGTTCCTGCATGGCTAAGTGCCCGGGTTTGTCCTAATTGAGCTGAACACTAGTCACTGGATTCCACGGTTCTCTTCCGTGACCCATGGCTTCTAATAAAGCTATAACACTCACCACATGGCCCAAGGTTCCATTCCTTGGAATCCATGAGGCCAAGAACCCCAGGTCAGAGAACAAGAGACTTGCTGCCATCTTGGGAGCAGCCGCCACCATCTTGGGAGCTCTGGGAGCAAGGATGGGTTCAAGTGATTCTTGTGCCTCAGCCTCCCAAGTAACTGGGACTACAGGCATGCGCTACCACATCCAGCTAATTTTTGTATTTTTAGTAAAGACAGGTTTTGCCATGCTGGCCTTGCTAGTGTTGAACTTCTGGCCTCAGGTGATCCACCCGCCTCGGCCTCCCAAAGTGCTGGGATTACAGGCGTAAGCCACCATGCCCAGCCCGGCATCCTTGAACCTGGGAGGCAGAGGTTGCAGTGAGCTGAGATTTTTGGCCACTACCCTCCAGTCTGGGTGACAGGGTGAGACTCCATCTCAAAAACAAAACAAAACAAACAAACAAAACAAAAAAACCCAGAAAAACACAAGAGTTTATAGTTTACATTAGTATTTGCTCTTGATGTACATTCTCTGAGTTTTGACAAACACATAAAGCTATGTATCCATCATCACAGTATCATACAGAATAGTTTTACTGCCTTAAAAATGTCCTATGCTTGGCCTATTTACCCCTTCCTCCTTCTCTATCAGCTCCTGGCAACCACTGATTTCTTTCCGTCTCCATAGTTTTGCCTTTTATTTATTTATTTTTTTAACTTTATAATTTCAAACTATATTTAAAGACTATGGTAATGCAAACAGGATGGAATGTGCAAAAAATATACAAAAAAACCAATGGAACAGAAACCACTACTGACACATTTCAGACATGATGCAAAAAGAGAATGTAAAAAATAGTTCAACCTAGAGTTTCTCAAAAGTATGCAGATATTTGTGTGTTTCCCAAAACAACGGAAAAGCAGTCAGATTGTGCAGTCTCTTATCTACCATGAGGAGGATTTTTGGCTCTCACCGTAAACTTGAAAGAAGATCACCAAAGGGAAAGTAGAATTCTTAGAGAATTTAAAAGCATAAGACAGAAGATGCCCTATGAGAAAGCAAAATAAAAAAACTCAGGCTTCCCGGACATTATTTTCTTTGGAACACAGCTTCCCAAATCACATTTTAAGGACTGGCTTTCTCCTTGACCTTTGGACTTCTCATCTGTGTTGTCTGTTGTATTCACTTTTGCTCCCACCCGGTGGGGCTTTGGCTACCATCTCATGTCCCTTCATATTCCAGGGCTCTTTTTTTTTTGGCTCCAGTCAAGTGATCAGGTCTGGCTTAGAGACAGCAATACCCAGGAAGACCAGGTTTCTGTAGTCCATTAACGTCGCATTTCCGTATAAATTCCGCTGTGCAGTGTCCAGGTATTGCCACTCCTCCAGAGAAAATTCTATGTCCATAAATGTCGATGGTTCCATTTCTAGGCTTCCAGGGGGTCCTGGCATCTTAGCTGTGGATCTCCCAATACCTGCTGGTAATGGAGCCACAATGGAGCCACAGAGGCTGGGCCTCTAGGAGCAATCAGTTTTGCCTTTTCTGCAGTATTATATAATTGCAATTACTTAGCATGTAGACTTTTCACACTGGCTTCTTTCACTTAGCAATTTAAGGCTCCTTCATGTCTTTCTGGCTTGCTAGCTCATTTAAAAAAATCATTAATATCCTAGTGTATGGATATACCATCATTTTTTGGATGTAGATTATTAAAAGAGGTTTTCTACAAAAAGTACATTTAAAAATTGTCAGTTTAGTGTTTATGGTTTTCTTTTATGAGGTGGCCAGGATGTGGGATAGGTCAACCTTTATGTCTAGTGCCCATGGAAACAATGTGGGGGTGGAATGAGAATGATTGCTTCATGGGAAAAAAAACAGAACAACAATACACACACACACACACACACACACACACACAAACCCCATCCACTTAAAATGGCTGGTATTAGGGGAAGAACAATGGACCAAGAATGAGGATGTGACTCAGTGTGATTTAGCAGAGACTGAAAATTTGTTCATTCATTCATCACTAATTTATTCATTCAACACTGATTTACAGAACACCTGACTCTATGACGTCATACTTGGCCCTAGGAATGGAATAATGAACACAGCAGATAAATGGAACTGATAAATGGAACTTTCGAGAGAGTCAGGCATTCGCCAAAGAGTCACACTAATGAATATGTAATTACAATTGGAGTAAAGTGCTCGGAAGGAAGGAAAACTTGGCCTCTCTTGGAGGGTCAAGGAAAGTTCCTAGAGGAAAGAGCACTTGAGCTGAAATCTTAAGGTTGATCAAAAGTTGACTTCGGGGATGGAAGAAGTTGCTGGACCTGTGATTGGTTCAACCAGCATCTTGCTTAACAGCCCCTTCTCCATTGTCTTCTGCATGGGGCAACTCTATTGTGGAATGCAGCTCTTCTTAGAATAACTGAAGCATACGGTGGTTATTATCCTCTAATACCAACCCAAATTGCTGCCAAAGTATCTCCAAGCAATACAGGAAGACAAAAGGGCAATAGTTAATGAAGCTCTATTTATTTATTTATTTATTTATTTTGCTACATCCTCTGTTTCCAATTTCCTCCAACACATATTTTGAGCAGTTATGATGTTTCAAATATGGGGTTTTTTTAAATTAAATGAAATATGTAGTCTGTCTTTGAGTCAACATATAATTGCATAATGCACTCTCTTGATGGCAGCTCTCCCAGGGTCCTCTGGGGACATCCATGTGTCTGTTCATCCCGCAATATATATTGACTGCTGTGTGCTGGGCCAGGGACGTGGGGATGAAAGAGACACATGATCCACCTACAAGTACCTTACTTTCTAGTGCAGGGGACAACCTGTAAACGTAATTCAGTGCAGTGAGCTCTAAGAAAGAGACAAGAGGTAATAGAACTGTTTGGAAGAAGGCACTGTGGAAAGGCCTTGCCTAAAATCTGTTTTGCTTTAAGCAGAGGAAGTAGACCTCTTCCTATTTTACAGGAAAATCATTTATGGAAATGTATGTAACTATTTTAGCTAAAATATTCTCTTTCAATTAATCTGAAGCCTGAGATGATAAATTTCTCACTGTGGAAGAAGCTTCAGTGTCCCAGCATTAAATAAAGATCATTCAGCTTCCCAAAGTGGAAGTCAAAAGCCAATATGCAGAGGTCAGTCTAGCTCAGATGCAAGCCACATTGTTATTTATTTCTTGCTGTGGATTCTCTTGGTGTCTTGTGAAAAAAAATAGATATTTGGGGAACTTAAGTATCCCGGATTTTTCTTTTGAACTAAAGTCAACCACTGTCTGCCCTTGCTATGTTTGGTTGTTTTAAGTAAGGCTCTGTCTCAATGGCATCACCTCTAGACTCAGCCAGGGCAATTAGAGAAATGCCTCTGGGGCCTTGGAATGCATTTCCAAACAGGATTTGAATGTGGGTGAGATCTGACAGCTCCTCACAGCCTCTTGGTACCAGCAGATGTTCTGTCCCAACAATACAGGCTGACTCCAGGATGACAGGGCAGCAGGTTCAATGAAAATGCCCGTCTTCCCTCCTCTCCTTCCATCTGCCTTATAAAGAGGTTGACAGGTGGGCATTGACAGTGGCAGCAAACCACCCACACCGTTTAGTTCTGCCCACTGCACTTTTCCACGAGGAGTCCCTCAAGGATGCAGCTCCCAGGCCTCCCAGCTTGTCTGCCTTGTCCAGAACTGTTTTTTGCTGCTCAGTGTAGCAGCTAAGAACTTGAGCTCTGGATTTTGACAAATCTGGCTTTGAAATCCAGCTTTGCTGCTAACTAGCTGTGGGGCCTTACACAAGTTGCTTTATTTCCCTGAATTGCCTATAAAATGGGTATAATAATAGTACCTATATATCAGGATCCCAATAGGAAATAGGAACAAATTATAAATGTGTAGAAGTGGTTGAGAAAACCACGAAAGACAGTGAGATACCCAGGGTTAGAGCAGCAGATCTGTTGGCTTTCTCTAAGCCAATATCTAAGAGGGGAGATGGAAATTACAGGAACCCAGAGAGGACAAGAGGTACTTAGAAAAGCCCTCTTTGAGAAAAGCCATGGCTTTTATCAGAAATGACCTTACAGAGGGGAAATCTGACCTTATTTTACTTTCTTTCTCCAAAATCCTGCTCTCCTGAAGCTCCCTGCTGGTCAAACCCAACACAAAGCCAGAGGGCATGGGAGCAGGTGATACAGTCTGTACAGAGCAGCCTCCCAGGGTAGAGTGAGACAAATAGAAAAGGGTGGAAATGGCTGTGGAGGGCAAGTGGAAGACATCCAGCACAAACCAACTCACAGCCTTGCTGAGCTGATTAAATAATGTAATGACATTAAGGGCTTAGCACATTTCCTGTCACCAAGTATTTAATGAAAGTTAGCTATGACTTAGCATTGCTGTTTGCTGGATCTAAGTGAGTTGTCAATGCTTTAGGGTTAAGGACATGAAGCAGGACTTAACTGGAACAACAGAGGGCCGTACATGTGGCCCCCACACAAGCCCAGGTAATGACAAGTCTGTGCTTCTTTTGGTATCAAAATAAAATTAGGTTTGCGGCCGGGTGTGGTGGCTCATGCCTGTAATCTCTGCCACTTTGGGAGGCTGAGGTGGGTGGATCGTTTGAACTCAGGAGTTTGAGACCACCTGGGCAACAAGGCAAAACCCTGTCTCTACGAACAAAAAAAAAAAACACCACAAAAATTAGAAAAATTAGCTGGGTGTGGTG
Source organism: Homo sapiens (assembly GCF_000001405.40). Taxonomy (NCBI): domain Eukaryota; kingdom Metazoa; phylum Chordata; class Mammalia; order Primates; family Hominidae; genus Homo; species Homo sapiens. The sequence goes on from NC_000008.11 coordinate 126,586,292, forward strand.
GCGCGCACGTGAAGTCCCAGCTACTCGGGGGCTGAGGTGGGAGGAACACCCGAGCCTTGGGAGGTCGAGGCTGCAGTGAGCTGTGATTGGGCCACTGCACTCCAGCCTGGGCAACAGAGTGAGACCCTGTCTCAAAAAATAAAGAAAGAAAATTAAGTTTATTTCTCCTCCCTTGAGAAATGCTCAAATATTTATTTCTTCCACTCTTTTCCACGTCTTTCACCTGTACCATCTTTTCTTGTCTTTCCTGTTAGCATGTGAACATGCTGTTATGAAGAAAATGTCCTTTAAGCTACTATTCACCAATGTAAGCATTCTCAAAAGAGTAAGCGTTCTTTGGATTATAGGAGGGACAGGAAATGGGGCCTCAAAGTGCCAAGATGCAGGTGTGTGTGGGATGTAGACATGAGTTGTTAGCACCATGGGGGCTGATATTTTAGAAACAGGTCCACTCCTGACCTTGGTATTAACAGACTTTCCACATGGTTATCTTTCTGCCCTTTACTTTCTGTGTGACCATGAACAAGTCCTATTACCTGGATTTCTGTAAATTGTCAGCCTTACTTCACAAAATATTCCACTGATTAAAAATGACACAAGACATGTGGGTCTTTTTGCATGAAGAAGGTAGCTTGCCTTCCTACTGCCTGTATCTATTTTCTGGGCTGGGAGGCTGTCTGGACTGCCATGGGGAAAAAAAAGAGGGTCAGGAGAGCAGAAAGAATGGGAGGAAGAGAGATGCTTCAGATAGATAAACCCATGGGCCTCAAGGCGAGCGACACAGAAGAAAATGGCTGGAGAAGAGAGGGCAGGGAACATATTGAGTTGAAATCTTTCAGTGGCAGGCAGCTACGGCAAAGCAGAGAAGCACAGCCTTTGGTCCCATTAGTCCAGATGGGGTTACCACCCAGTCCCGCCTCTTATTGGTATGAACTTGGATAAGCTGCGTCATCTCTTTGATCTTCAGTTTCCCTGTTTGTTATGATGAGATAAGAAAAAGAAAATTACTTATGCAAAAGGCTAGTGGATGCTCAATAAATGGCTCTTCCTCTTGAAATCCCTTTTATTTTATTTTACTTTATTTTAAAAGCATCCATTAATGCACCCATAATAGGGAGCCAGAGATAGTTCACAGGATTCTCTGATTTATTAAATCAACACCAACAGAAAATAGAAATCGTTCCCAATTCTTCTACACTCAAGTGCCATGGCAAAGCACATCTCTGAAAATGTCCTTTAGGTTCCCTGCTCCGTGCATGGCTCCTGCTGATCCTCTCTCTGAAAAGCTGCCTTCCCACCTGTCTGTCTGTTGCCATCAAATCCTCCCTCTCATTTCTCCTTTGTCTATCATTCTGTAGAGCTGTGTTCATATCTGCCCACAGGCTCCCAGTTAGGCTGAGCCCTCTCTGCAGGTAGCATCTGAGCAGACACATGTATAGAGCTTCTGGGTGCCAGACACTGTGTCACTATGCTTTCTATACCTGCCATCTCATTGAATCCTCACATCTGTACTGTTACCTCCACTTTAAGGATACAGAAACTGAGGCATCCAAAGTTTTAGCTTTTAGCCTGGGCAACATGGTGAAACCCCATCTTTATAAAAATAGAAAAACTGTCTGGGCATGGTGGTGCACGCCTGTAGTCCCAGCTACTTGTGAGGCTGAGGTTGGAGAATCACTTGAGCCTGGGAGGCGGAGGTTGCAGTGAGCCGAGATTGCACCACTGCACTCCAGGCTGGGCAACAGAGTGAGACCTTTTTTCAAAAAGAAGAAGAAAAAAGTTTTAGCTTTTTACCTAAGGTCTCAAAGGTGCAGGTAGCATAGCCAGGCTTTGAACCTGGTCTGCCTCAAGAGTCTGTGTTTCTTTTCCCTCCACACTAGTTATGTTGGTGCAATACCTGCCTCATAGTGTGTCTTCAAGAAGTGCTTATTGGATTAGCTGAAATAAACATGCAAAGCTATACTTAGAAACTTTTAGCTTTATGAACTATATATTCTTATTTGAAGAAAATGGCATTTTAACAAATTTGAAGAGGTATAAGAGAAAGCCAGGCTTAACACTTAGTCATCTTGCTGTTATATATAAGACAGTTTATATAGGATCCTTTTTACATGTGGAAAATTACTTCACCACAGATAGAACATACAATCACATGCACACCACACTACACACATGCTGATGTTCCTTTTCCTAGGTAGAGATAAACTGGGATCTGTTGGGGAGTAAGATGCCAGCACATCTCTCTGCGCTGATGTAAGGAAATTCCAATAACTCACATTTAGAATGTTGCGTTGGGTGGGAAGCGGCTGAGGGTTGCACAGAGGAGTGAGATAAATGTTACCAGCAACGGACTTGACTGCAGTTTAACCCAAGGTCACTGGGAGGCCAGAGCAGAATCAGGGAAGGAATGTTGGCCCCTCGAGCCAGCTAAGCCTCGGGCAAGCTCCTATCTTTCGGCCTTCCCATGCAGTGGAGCTGTGAGCTGTGACCGTCCTTAGCAACCCTGCCCTGTTCCTCCTCAACAGGAAGGGAACGATCTTGCTGCCAGGCAGGCAAGCAACCCTGGAGTGACCCTCGTTCCTCCTTGTCCACACAACCCACCTCCCCAGTCATACAAAAGAGGCTTTCAGAACCTGGTTACCTAGAGTTGAACTTTTCAACAAGGCTTTTTTTTTTTCCCCTTTAAGCTCCACAGCTAAAATACCAGAGCTCACGGTTGCTAAGATTAAGGATTTTCTCCTCTCTTTTCTCCCTCAGCTCAGTTTCCGTTGACTAGGAAAGACCAAGAGATGGATTACTGTTCCCTTGCCAAATGGAGAGGGGTGCTTGAGCGTCCGGGGGCTTTCAGTGGGATTAGACATTATTCAGGCCTGTGCTAATAGTCATTATTTACTCCTCAGGCTCTCACAAAAGTCACCGCGTTTGTGTAGGTAACTAAGGCCTACCGAAACCAGTCAGCCCTAAGTGCACACAGGAGAACCATGGAGTTGGAGGAAAAGGTAATTTAACATGAATATTTATATACTCTACAAACCACGTGCCATGATTCACTCAGCTTATTTTCATTTTATGCATTTTCTTCCCATTTGCAGTCTTTATTTATTGCAAAGTTAAGGCTGTTAGCAAAATAACACATTGGGGTAGGTTTTCTTCTTCTTTTCTTTCTTTGTTTCTTTTCTTTTTTTTTTTTTAATTTCCTGCTTTCTAATGTATCTCTGGGAAAGTGAGCTAATATAGCAGCAAAATTGGGCAGCACTGCTAATCCCCGAGAGCTTGGCAGTGTTGTACTGGGCCCAGTATTCTTGCGAGGCCTTTACTACAGATCACAGTGACTGTGTAAGCCCTGTGGCCACGGAACCGTGGCAGCTCACATTAGTCACCATTTAGTAACATGGGTGATTTAGGAATAACTCGTGTCTCTAATTTTCAAGGTAGGAATGTAAGCACCAACTTTTCTAGAGGGTTCACCGGGTGCCCATGGTCTGGAGCTAGAGACTTGGGTTCATGGCCCAGCGTTGCTACTTGCTAGTTCTATGATGTTGGGCAAATAACTTCAAAATTCGGAGCGTTGCTACCTGCTAGCTCTGTGATGTTGAGCAAATAACTTCAAAATTCAGAGCCTCCGTGTCCTCTTATATAATATAACGTATGCATATTAATGGAATTTTCTTCATAAAGGTAGGTGCATGTTAAAATGGATAGCATTGTATAAGTACTTAGCTTGACACATGACAAGCTTGAAATTTAAGTGTCAGCTCGAGTTAGACCCATGTAGTCTTAACAGTAGCTCTGGAGGCTGATGAGGAACTGCCTGCCCTAAAGAGGTTAGCTCCTTTCCTAATGCACATGCTTAGTACGTTTCAGAACTAGCTCTCCAATGCAGTTTTGGTTTATTCCAAAGTGTATGGTCTATTCATGATGAAATACACCTCAGTATCTCTTGCTATTTTTTGCTAGACGTATTTGAAATCTAGCAGTGTTGAGCTTTTGGGGGGCCTTGACTTGGATACAAATGATAAGAACAGGTAAAAAGACTCAGGTAGAATTTTCCTCATATTAATGCCTGTGTAGAGTTTAACCTTTTTAGAAAAGTTATATTAATGGTGTGATTCATGGCTGGGTTCCATTTCAGTGGGAGCTGCAATTCTCAGCAGTAAGCTTCGCTGGTGCCATTAGAGTCTTGACTACTAGTTTACTGAGAAGCTCATCTCTCAACCCTGAGGAAGTATCCTGTCCAGCTCCCGATCTTATTTCCAAGAGAAACCAAGACACATTGGGTGTGGCCATAAGAAGGCCACCGGGGTGGTGAGGGCTGTGAAGACACTCGCTAAGAGGGATAGGTGTTAGATTTGGTGTGAGAAGGTCTGATGTGTGAAGAAAAAGGATTGCACTTTAACGTCGAGGCTCCAGACAGCAGGTCTTGGGATAGGTGTAAGTTACTGGGAAGATTTGGGTTCAGTGAAGAGAGTATTAAGCCTAAAAAGAGTTTGGAAATAGAATGAGCTCTATGAGGGCATGAGTTGTTTTCCGTATCTACAGCTGTGACTAATGAACTGAGAGGAAATTTTTAACCATGTTCTTCCAAGGAATTATGCATGGATAAGATAAAAAGTTCCTTCTCACTCTAAGTTTCCATTACTGTGATGTATGTGGTGCCTGTTGATTTGCAAAAGGTTTTCTTACCTCTGTTTCTTTCACTCCCTCATGCGCAGTTCTTCAGTTGACCAACAAATAGCTATTTGCTCTTATTGTATGGCACTAGGTACCAAGTACGCAATAGGAAACAAGTATTGCTCTCAAGAACCTTACTGTCTTTTTGGAAAAATTGACAAGAAAACAGATATTTGTAATAGAGCATGGTATGGGCTATAAGGGGAAGGAAAAGAACACAGAGGAGGAATACCAGCCCTGCTAGAGGTGAGAGAAGCAAGGCTTCCTGGAGGAAGGGATGTCTAGAATGGTCCTTACTTGGAGCTGAATAGTGATAGAAACCTGGCAGGCAAGGCTTTAGAATGGGCAAAAGCCTGGAGGCCTGAAAGAACAAGATAGGGTAGGGGAGCTGTAAGCAGTTCTGTTTAGTTGGAGCAGAGTGTTGGAGGTGAAGGTGGAGACACAAGGAGATGCTACTGGAGAAAGAAGTCATTGTAGATGGCAAAAATAGCCACAATTTTTTTTTCCCTTTCCTCATCAGGGAAAGTCTGCTTTCTTGTTTCATCCCTTCAATCTGAGTTGGCTACAGGACTTGCTCTGGCCATTGAGAAATTAGCAAACATAATGCAAGAGGACACTTGGAAAATGCTTGCAGGCCGGGTGCGGTGACTCACGCCTGTAATCCCAGCAGTTTGGGAGGCTGAGGCAGGCAGATCACCTGAGGTCAGGGGTTCAAGACCAGCCTGGCCAACATGGCGAAACCCCATTTCTACTGAAAATACAAAAATTAGCCAGGCGTGGTGGTGCACTCCTGCAGTCCCAGCTACTCAGGAGGCTGAGGCAGGAGAATCACTTGAACCCGGGAGGTGGAGGTTGCAGTGAGCCAAGATGGCACCATTGCACTCCAGCCTGCGCAACAGAGTGAGACTCTGTCTCAAAAAAAAAGACCAAAAAAAATGAAGGCCGGGCACGGTGGCTCATGCCTGTAATCCTAGCACTTTGGGAGGCCGAGACAGGTGGATCATGAGGTCAAGAGATCGAGACCATCCTGGCCAACATGGTGAAACCCCGTCTCTACTAAAAATGCAAAAATTAGCTGGGCATGTGGTGCATGCCTGTAGTCCCAGCTACTCGGGAGACTGAGGCAGGAGAATCACTTGAACCCAGGAGGTGGAGGTTGCAGTGAGCTGAGATCGTGCTACTGCACTCCAGCCTGGGTGACAGAGCGAGACTGTCTCAAAAAAAAAAAAAAAAAAAGAAAAAGAAAAGAAAAATGCTTTCCCATGGGAGCTTCTTGCTACTGTTTCAACCTGACACTGACATTTTTGTAAGTCCAAGGTAGCCTGCTGGATGGTGAGAGACACTTGCCTCAGTTTCTTGGTCATCCTAGCCTACAATCAGCTGTTTTCAGAAACAGAGTTGCCTAGCTGACCTGCAATTGACCATGGATGCACGAGTGAGCCCAGCTGAGCTTAACGTAAGAACTGCCCAACTGAACCCAGCCCAAATTGCTGATTTATGGTATTATGAGCTAAATAAAAGGCTATTATTTTAATCCATGAAGCTTTTGTGTGTGGGGTGGGGGTGGTGGGGTGTTTGTTTGTTTGCAGTAGTAAGCTAATTGGTATGGCAGTCATGGAGACTTACGAATTATGTTAATGCATTTGGACTTTCATCTGCAGGTGTGTGGCTATTTCAAAGGGTTTAAGTCATGAAACTGGTAGTATCAGATTTGTGTTTTAGAAAAGTCACTGTTGGATACAGCCAATGACATCATGTGTGGTTAAGTATCTTGCAAGTTGTAAATAGGTGTGCAAATAGAGTTAATGAGTAAAAACTGTACATACACATAACCTGGAGATGCTTGGGACAAAATTTCAAGGCAAACCCTCTGGTCAAACCTCTGGAAACATCCAGTAACAGCATGCTTTCACTAATATCACATCTGGCTATAAAAAAATATTATCTCCCAAGTACCCTGCCTCTGATATCAAGCCAAGGGCCTAGAGGAACTGGCCAAAGCAGAATGGCTTGGAAAGATGGTCAGAATGCACCAAGACCATGAAAGTTTCACTTCTCTCAAAGAGAGACCTGGAACAGCAGTTCTTCAGGCTAATGTGGTCCCTGTATCACAGACCTGGTCATGGACTCTCAAAAACACCTTTTAAGAGATTCCCATAAGGAGATTAACAGAGACGTGCACAAAGATGAGTGTGTTTCTTCTTTAAGGCATACTTATAGTGTGAAAAATGAATATTATAAATGTCCAACAATAGGAAAATGATGATATAAACTTTTATACAACTACATGGCTGAAAACTATGCAAATGTTATAAAGTAGTGTTTTCAGGATGACCACAAAGAGAAAAGTTAACATTTTAACAAAATATGTACAGAGTATGGGAAAGACAAGTTTTCCACCAAAATCCATTCTCCCCTTTTAATAATAGAATTTAATTTCTTAAAATAATAGATTTTTTTAAAGAATAGAAATCCAGATTTTTAGCTGGACACATGGCTACACAGCTAGAAACCTCATTTCTCACCCTCCTTGCCTGCTGGGGCGTGTCCATGCATCTGAATTCTGGACTGTGGAATGTGACCAGGAGTGATGTGTGCTATTTCCAGATTGTCTCCAAGTAGTTGGCTGCTGGGTATGATTATGAAACTGAATGATGGGCCATGGAGTGTTTCATGCCATTTCCAGATTGCCCCCAAGTATTTGTGGACATGTTCACACATTTATCTTGTCCCCACGTATTTGTGAATGTATTCACATGTTTCTTTTGCCCATTCTTTACCCTGAAGGTTGAGTTGCAGATGTGATTATGGGGTCCTAGAAGATATATCTTGGAGCCAGAGCTTATCTAGGGTGTAGTTGTCTCTTGTGTTGATGAAAGTGCTGAGCAGAGAGAATGGCTCGCCAAAGCACAAGTGACCCATGAGCTACTGTGTGTTGAAAGGACACTCATTTGAAGGTCACTGCTAGGTGCTCAGGGGGACAACACAGAAAGCTCACACACAGTCTGCAGCAGAGTAATGGAAAGCCAAGTCTTCACACTTTTAGCCCAGCATCTTATCTCTTAGATTAACTGTGGCATTGTGAGGACTGCAAGTGGTTTGCTTTGGGGTCATGTCTTCTTTTGCCCATTTCTGCTATCTCTGTTAACTCTGGGCTCTTCTACTATATATATATGATTTGGCTCATGCAATTATGGAAGCCAAGAAGTCCCACTATATGCTGTCTGCAAGCTGGAAAACCAGGAAAGCTGATGGTATTAAATCCAAGCTCAAATGCCAGAGAGCTAGGAGCTCCACTGTTCAAGAGCAGAAGAATGTACATGTCCCACCTCAGAGAGAGAGAGCTAATTCACCCTTCTTTCACCTTTTTGTTCTATTCAGGCACTCAATGGATTGGATAATGCCTGCCCACATTAGTGAGAGTGGATATTTTTACTCAGCCTACTGATTCAAATGCTAGTCTCTTCTGGAAACATCCTCACAGACACACTCAGAAATAATGTTTTACCAGCTATCTAGCCATCCCTTAACCCAGTCAAGTTGACACATAAAATTAACCATTACACCCTCCAAAATATTCTTATTTTGAAATTCTCGCCCCCAGTACTTCAGAATGTGATCTTATTCTTTAAAAGGATCCTTGCAGATGTAATGAAGTTAAGATAAGCTCATTAGGGTGGGCTGTAATCTAATATGGCTGGTATCCTTATAAGAAGGCACGTAGACACACAAAGAGAAGATGGGTGTATGACACAGGACACAGAGATTGAAGCGTAACAGTTGCAAGCCAAGGATTGTCAAGGATTTCCAGCAAGCAACCAGAAGCTAGGAAGAACCAAGGAGGGATCTCCCCACATGAGCCTTCAGAGAGAGAGCATGGCCTTGCCAACACCTTGGTTTTGGACTTCCAGCCTTCAGAACTGCGCGATAATAAATTTCTGTTGGTTTAAGGTAACCAGTTTGTGATGGTTTGTTATAGCAGCCCTAGGAAACTGATACAGTCTCTCTGGACAGCCTATGTCTATGCAGAAATGGCCACAGTAGGCAGAGCTGTCCAAGCAGTGAGCATATATAGGGCTCTGACCCCTTACCGAGGGCCCGGCTGCAGCCCTGACTTATAGGGTTCCTTTAAGCAATGAAGTCAGAATGGGCCAAGACAAGAAAAATTGCAAGATTCATTATTTAACACTGACTCCTACCAGGGTTATGGGGAAAATAAACACATCAATGGTACCTAGAAGATCTTTCTGGGTGGCCAAGCTAATAGAATAAGCCGTATTCTTCATCTTCTCTTTCATGGTATCATTCTTTTTCTGCAACAAAACTCCTCCCAAATTGTACCTAGAATTCCTGAAAAAGTGGAGCTAACTAGATAAATGTGAACATCAGTACCCCCCCCAAAAAAAAATCATGTTACTTCATTTGCATGTGATATTCTCATTTAAATTTCATTACCATAAAGTGAGGGTTCTATTACCAGGGTAACCAGTAATAGAAAAGGAGCAGTATGGCTTTGACAAATGACTTACTCCACTTTGGCTCATTCCTATTGGGTTCTTGGTTACCCGCTTGCTTGTGATTAAAAGAACACAAACCATTCCATACTTTTGTCTTTTTCTCACCTTGTTTTGCTTTTCTCTTCGCCTAGAATCTCACTCCTTACCTTCCAGTTAAACCTTATTTGTATGTAGAGTTTCTACTGAATTTGCTAATTTATCGTTTTCATTTCTTCTAGCTGAACTTGATGTTGTTTTCCCATCTCCTGCTCAGCAACCTCTCCCTCTGATAAACACTCCCATGACTCCCAAAGTTCCCATGACTGTGTTCCCAGTGCCTGACATCCAGTCACATGATCTATATGGCATGTCTGGAGGTTGAATTTCTGCATGGCCGTGAATTAACTCCATGACCATGTGGTAAATTTTTCAATATTTCCAGGAAGCAGGCTGCTTATCTGTAAAATGAGATGCGCTACTTTATGAGAGCTAAATTTCACAATGTATTTGAAGCCTGACGCATATAGCCTTTGTGTTACTTATTTATCTGATGCTGCATAACTTAGTAGCTTAGAGCAGTAATAATCTATTATCCTTCACAGTTTCCATGACTCAGGAATTCAAGAGTAGCTTTGATGGGCTGTTTAGGCTTGGAGTTTCTCATGAGTTTGCAGTGAGATATTGGCTGGACCTACAAGTATTTGAAGGCTTGATGGCAGCTGGAGCATCCACGTTGAAGGTGGCCCTCTCACATGGCCCACTCACATGGTGCTGGTTTTTGGTGGTAGACTTCATTTCTCTTCATGTGGGCCTCTCCATGGGGCTGAATGGATGTCCTCATGGTTTGACAGCTGTTGTACCCCAGACAGAGCAATGATAGAGAGAGAGAGAGAGAGAGAGAGATGCTGAATCTGGCTCTGTCGCCCAGGCTGGAGTGCAGTGGTGCGATCTCGGTTCACTGCAAGCTCCACCTCCCGGGTTCCCGCCATTCTCCTGCCTCAGCCTGCCGAGTAGCTGGGACTACAGGCGCCCACCACGGCGCCCGGCTAATTTTTTTTGTATTTTTTAGTAGAGACGGGGTTTCACTGTGTTAGCCAGGATGGTCTCGATCTCCTGACCTCATGATCCGCCTGCCTCGGCTTCCCAAAGTGCTGGGATTACAGGCATGAGCCACCGCACCCAGCTGCTGAGTCCTTTTTATGACCTAATCTCTGATTTCTCATAACATCAACTCTGCCACATTCTTTTTGTTGAAAGTGAGTCACTAAGTCACTAAGATCAGCCCACATTCAAAATGAAGGGATTTAGTTCCACTATTTGAGTGGAAGAGTGTCAAAGAATTTACAGGCATATTTTAAAGCCATGACAAACACTTAATAAATGTCAACTTTTATTATAAATATAGTAGTATATATTTTGGGGATATAAATATATATATGTATACGTGTACAAATATTTGTGTATATATAATCCGTATGTACAATCTATCTATCTATATCTGCATTGGTAGTAAAAAAAAAAAGTGCTGTTTTTAGAATTTATTTCATCTTGCTCTGGTACCCTCTTAACCACTGATGCTGAGGAGTATCATGGAGTGGTAGAACAAAAATTTGGTAACTAAAAAGATCAATCTCTTCCTTTTTTAAAAAACAGTTTTTTGGCTGGGTGCAGTGGCTCATGCCTGTAATTCAAGCACTTTGGGAGGCTGAGCCGGCAGATCACTTGAGGTCAGGAGTCCGAGGCCAGCCTGGCCAACATGGTGAAACCCTGTCTCTACTAAAAATACAAAAATTAGCTGAGCATGGTGGTGGGCACCTGTAATCCCAGCTACTCGGGAGGCTGAGGGATGAGAATTGCTTGAATCCAGGAGGCAGAGCTTGTAGTGAGCCGAGACTGTGCCATTGCACTCCAGCCTGGGCAATACAGCAAGACTCCATCTCAAAAAACAAAAACAAAAAATAGTTTTTAAAGATCCTCTAAGGTAAATAAGCTGTTGATTAAAAGCTCAAACTCCCTTTGGGCCTGGTGTTTTCCCTCTTAGGAAGTTATTCCTTTCTTCTTGGAAGGAGAACACTCACTCACTTTGGCTGGGCCTGTTTCTACAGCTTGGCTTTGCACACAGCTTTCTCCACCCTACTTCATGTTAGCCCGGGCTAGGCCCCCATCTTTCTTCTTTGACTTCTCAATCTAAGTCATCCTTCACTGTCAAGTAATGATGGGAACTGAAGATACATTTTTTTTTCCCCTGAAATTTAGATTTCTAGGCAAGCTGCCAAAGGGTCATTTCTCCAACAGGGTACCTGATATCTGGCAATTCAAATTTTTGGAAAAGTAATAATGTTATCAAATAAATAATTGTATAAAACAGAACAATATATTTTTATTTATTAATTTTCTTAAATTACTGTACAGAAAAATTAACTTTTTGGTATATGATTCTATGAATCTTAACACATGTATGCTTTTCACAACTAGGATACAGAACAACTACAGCACTCCCAAAACTACCCTGATACTTCTTTACAGCCACATGCCCTGCACCCATTCTAAACCCCGGCAATCTGTTTTCCATCACTATCATTTTGACGTTTCAAGAATGTTATATAAAATGGAAACTTTTGAGATTGGCTTTTTCCCCCCACTTAGCCTAATTCCTTTCAGATATATCCAAATTGTTTCATGTATCAACAGTTCGTTCTTTTTTAATGTTGTGTTGTATTCCATTGTATGGACATACCACAGTTTGTTTTTCCACTTACCAATGAAGTATTACTAAAATACCAGGGGTTTGTCTAGGTCTCATTTCTCAGTGCACAGAAAGCTAATCACTGGGACAAAGAGTGTTACCAGGGAAGAAGGCTTTATTCGGGTGCTGCAGCCAAGGATATGGGAGTTGAGTCTCAAGTCCATCTCCCCAATCAGCTAAAATCAGGGGTTTCTATGTAGGAGAAGGAATGTTGTTAAATATGAGAAAACAGGAATTAGGGAAGGATAAGGAAGAGGAGATGGTAAACAGGAATTAGGGGGAATAAGGAAGAAAGTTGATAAACAGGAAATAGGGAAGGCTAAGAGAATCATGTGAAACAAGTGCAGTGGCTCACACCTGTAATGCTAACACTTTGAGAGGCCAAGGTGAGAGGATCACTTGAGGCCAGGAATTCAAGACCAGCTCTGGTGACACAACGAGACCCCACCTCTACAAAATAAAACAACAACAATGACAACATGATACATAAGGGGTCTGGCATCTCATTGTCTGGATGCAGTGATATGGTGAGTTTCAGTGCCTCAGTTTCTTGTTTGAGGTCTGGTTTTCTGAGGAAGAAACTTAGATGATAAGACAAATTTAATTTTCAAGTTTTAAGACTGGAAGTGTCAATTTCTATGTTTATTCAAAAAGCTGCAAATGTCAGTTCTATGGGACATTTAAGCTGGTTTCAGAAGGACGTTGGAGTTATTTCCAGTTTTTGGCAATTGGAAATAGAGCTGCAATAAACGTTCATGTACAGATTTTTGAGTGAGTACAAGTTTTCCTTTCTCAAAGGGGAAATGCCCAGCAGTAGAAATGGTATCATATGATACTTGTATGTTTAACTTTATAAGAAACTGCCAAGCTGATTTAGAAACTGGCTATATCATTTTCCATTCCGATCAGCAATATGCAAGAGTTTCAATTGCTCCAAACCCTCACTAGCACTTAGTTCTACTAGTATTTTTTATTTTAGCGATTCTAATACATATGTAGTGGAATCTTATGCTTTTAAATTGCATTTTTCTAATGGTTAATTATGTAGAACATCTTTCCACATGCATGTTTTCCATCCCCGTATCTTCTGTAAGCAAGTGTCTGTTTGCCCATTTTCAAATTGGGTTTTTGTTTTCTTGCTATTGAGTTTAGAGAGGTCATTATATATACATAATGAGTTCTTTGTCAGATATGTAATTAGAAGATATTTTCTCCTAGTCTATAGCTTGTCTTTTCACTTAATAACGTCTTTCACAGAGCAAAAGACTTTAATTTTAATGAAGTCCAGATTATTTTGTTTTATTTATTTATTTTCTGAGATTGGGTCTTGTTCTGTCACCCAAGTTGGAGTGCAGTGTTATGATCACAGTTCACTGCTGCCTCCAACTCCTGGGCTCAAGACATCATCCTGCCTCAACCTCCTGAGTAGCTGAGTTTACAGGTGCACACCACCATGCCTGGCTATATTATTCTGTTTTCTCGTTGCTGATAAAGACATACCGGAGACTGGACAATTTACAAAACAAAGAGTTTTAAGGGACTTACAGTTCCACGTGGCTGGGGAGGCCTCACAATCATGGCAGAAGGTGAAAGGCAAGTCTCACATGGTGGCAGACAAGAGAAGAGAGAGCTTGTGCAGGGAAACTCCCCCTTACACTAACCATCAGATCTGTGATACTTACTATCATGAGAACAGCACAGGAAAGACCTGCCCCCATGATTCAATTACCTCCCACTGGGTTCCTCCCACAACACGTGGGAATTCAAGATGAGATTTGGTAGGGACACAGCGAGACCATATCACAGGCTAATTTTTAAAAAGTTTTCTGTAGAGGTTAGGTCTTGCCATGTTGTCCAGGTTGGTCTTGAACTCCTAGGCTCAAGCAACCCTCCCACCTTAGCCTCCCAAAGTGCTGGGATTACAGGTGTGAGCCACAAAGCCCAGTCAATCAGTTTTAAAAATGGTTTGTGCTTCTGTGTTATTTGTAAGAACTCCAGGCTTTCTATCTTCTAAGGTTTCTGATAAGAAATCTGTCATTCAAGTTGTTCCCCCATAGATAATGCATTATTTCTCTCTGCTTTCATTCTTTTCTTTCTTTCTTTTTTTTTTTTTTCTGTTTTTCTGTTTTGAGATGGAGTCTCCTGCTGTTGCCCAGGCTGGAGTACAGTGGCATGATCTTGGTTCACTGCAACCTCTGCTTCCTGGGTTCAAGCAATTCTCCTGCCTCAGCCTCCTGAGTAGCTGGAATTACAGGCACCTGCCACCATGACCAACTAATTTTTGTATTTTTAGTAGAGACAGGGTTTCACCATGTTGGCCAGGCTGGTCTCTAACTCCTGACCTCAGGTGATCTGCCTGCCTTGGCCTCCCAAAGCACTGGAATTGCAGGTGTGAGCCACTGCACCCAGCCTCTCTGCTTTATTTCTTTATTTTTTTGTCATTAGTTTTCAGCAGTTTGATTACCTTGGTGTGGATTTTTTTGGCGTTTATTCTGTTTGAGTTTTACTTAACTTCTTGGACCTATAGTTTTAATCTTTTGCTAAACTTGGGAAGATTTTAGTCATTGTTTCTTTAAATATGTTTTCAACACCATACTCTTCTTTCTCTTTTTATGGGATTCCAGTGATCTTAATTTTCGATCCTTTTTATTGCCCCACAGTTCCATGAGGTTCTGTTAATTTTTGTTCAATTTTTTTTCCTCTTTGTTCTTTGGATGGGATGTTTTCTATTGATCTGCCTTTTGGTTCAGTAATAATTTTCTCTCTTTTCCAATCTGCTATTGTGCTCAATTAGTAAGTTTATTTATTTATTTTGTGTTTATTTGTATTTTTTATTTCTAAAATTTTAATCGTATTTTTCTATATGTCGTTTAGTTCTTTGTTGAGATTTTCTATTTTCCCAGTTGTTTCAAGAATATTTACTATTACTTGTTATGGCATTCATATAAAAGCTACTTTGAGATTTGTTGGAAAATCCAAGCACAGTAATACACACTGATATTATAAGGCCACTGACATGGTGGCTTAAACAACAGAAATTTAAAATGTTAGCAGGTTTTGTTTCTCCTGGGACCTGTCTCGTTGGTTTGCAGGTGGCTGTCATCTCTCTGTGTCTTCACATGGTCTTTTCTTTGTGGGTGCATCCTTGGTGTCCCTTTTTGTGGGTCCTCTAATCTCCTGTTTTTATAAGGACACTATCCATATTGGATTAGAGATCACCCTAATGACTCATTTTAACTCAATTACTTTTTCAAAGGTCATATCTCTAAATACAGTTGAATTTTGTGTGACTAGCACTTCAACATACAAATTTTGGGGGGGCACAATTCAGCCCATAACACTGTGTCATCTTGATGTTGCTATCTGTTGAGTGTTTTTTCTTATGTAAATTGAGATGTTCCTGTTTCTTCATGTGCTGAGTAATTTTACATTGTGTCCTGCACATTTTGACTGTTATAAGACTCTTGGTCTTATTCAACTCCTACTGAAAACACAGATATTTTTGTCTTAGCAGGTAGCTGACCTGGTTAGGTTCAGGCTACAAATTTTAACCTGGCTTCTGTGGGCTGTAGTTCTTTTTTTTGAAGACTGTCTCACTCTGTTGCCCAGGCTGGAGTGTAGTGAAGCTCTTTCAGCTCACTGCAACCTCTACCTCCCGGGTTCAAGCGATTCTCCTGCCTCAGCCTTCCAAGTAGCTGAGATTACAGGGATCGCACTGTCACACCTGGCAATTTTTTTTTTTCTTTTTTTGTAGAGATGGAGTTTTGCCATGTTGGCCAAGCTGGCCTTGAACTCCTGACCTCAGGTGATCTGCCTGCTTTGGCCTCCCAAAGTGTTGGGGTTACAAGTGTGAGCCACAGTACCCAGCCAGTGGGCTATAGTTCTGATGTCAGTTTCATTTCTAAAGGCTTCACAGTTAGAATCATATCTGTCTCATATGTGCCTCACTTAGGAGTGGGCTTGTGACTTGGGCAATGTCTATCTACATGTCTGGTTCTTAAACTTGTTGGTATGTTGATTAGGGCCAGACCCATGCATACGTAAATTTGAGGTAAGCCACGGAGTTCATAAGCAAGTTTATGGGGTTTCTTTCTTGATATCCCCTCTGTTTGCAATCTGCTGGTACTTGTTCCATGGGAGTCTCTTTTTGGTTTCTTCTGCTAGAGTGGAGGCTTTAGTTTTCCCACTCTGCTACACATATCCAGAGCTAACTGCTGGGAGGATAAAGAAAAAATAAAAATTAAGGGAGAGTCACTTCACCTCTTTGGAATTATAGCTCCACTGATCAGAAAGGAAGATCCCCCAGGACCCTCCCCCTCCAGCAGGGCCCCTATTGGAGGCCTCTGCCATCACTGCTGTGGAATTGCTTGGGGATCATGGTGTGAGAAAACAGAAAGAATGAAAGAAAGGGAGGGAATTACTCACTCTCTTACATGAATGTTAGGAGTTTGCCTTTCACACCTTGAGGCAAAAAAAGGGTTTCCCCTGGAGCTCTCTGGGTGTTCTGGTGCTCCTTTATGGGTTTCAGGCTAGAGAATACCAGAAAAGAAAAAAATAAAAATTCATCACAGGTTTGGTGGTACTTTAAAATTTAGGGTGCCTTCCCAATCTTCTTGCTATTTATTTTTCAGAGTCCTCAGGTAGCTGTTCCATGCAGCTAGCATGTTCTGTCCAGGTTTCATAGCTGCAGTGAAAGCTGTCAGTGCAAGAGACAGGGTAGACTGTGCTTATCCCATCTTACCAAGAACTGGAACCTCCTGAAATAAAGCAACATTAAAATTGAATAAAAAATAAAGTCAAAACTTGCTTTTGAATGCTAATTTTTTTTTTTTTTAAACAAAGTCTTGCTCTGTCACCCAGGCTGGAGTACAGTGGCATGATCTCAGCTCACTGCAACCTCTATCTCCGGTGTTCAAGTGATTCTCATGCCTCAATCTCCCAAGTAGCTGGGATTATAGGCACCCCCACCACACCCGGCTAACTTTTGTATTTTTAGTGGAGATGAGGTTTCACCATGTTAACCAGGCTGGTCTCAAACTCCTGGCCTCAAGTGTTCTGCTCCTGTCAGCCTCCCAAAGTGCTACGATTACAGGCATGAGCCACTGAGCCCAGCCAAATGCTTGAATCCAATAAATATAATTAAGAGAGGATGAATATATAGATAGAAGTTTAAGTAAAAAATAGTAATTCTGACGATGTCTAAACATTTACAAAAGCTTTTGAGAATACGGGCACTCATTGTGTCTGATTTTAGATAAAACTGTATACTTCCAGCTGGGCACAGTGGCTCACACCTGTAATCCCAGCACTTTGGGAGGCTGAGGCTTGAGCTCAAGGAGTTAAAGACCAGCATGGGCAGCATAGCAACACTTTGACTCTAGTAAAAAAAAAAAAAAAAAAAAAAAAAAATTAGAAGTGGTATCACAGGCCTGTAGTCCCAGATACTCTGGATGCTAGGGTGGGGAGATTGCTTCAGCCCAGGAGCTGGAGGCTGCAGAGAAAGACCCTGTCTCAAAACAACAACAACAAAAAAACAAAGAATAAAGAAACAAAGAAAACATGGAGGTTTTCAGACAAATGACTAATACTATCCTTGTGCTTATAAAAATGATTAATTTTTAAGTTCATGAGAAAAAGGAGTAGGGAAAAGGAACATTTATCAGTAATATAAGACTGAAACAAAATAAATGGAGTTTAAAAGGATGTGTGTGTGTATGTTAATATGTTTATGTTTAACTGAAGTAAACAGTAAAAGACCATGGTAAACAGAAGAGGAAAGCCACTGTGTATGACAAAAACACACATCATGCTATTCTTTGCTGACCACGTGGTGGCACTGTTGACATGAGACAGTTTAGTGGATTTGTTTAGTAAAATGGATTTGCACGCTATATTGCTGATTTTAACTAAACTAATCCTCTTAAAATACACAAGTCATTAAAAAATATTTCCTGCAAAGAAACTTCAGGTTAAGATAATACTAATAATTGAAGCTGCAGATAATAACAAAGAAATGGAAGAACAAGATGTCTCTCTTCCTGGTTTGAACACTTTTTCAGCCACATTGTGAGAAAACAATCAATGGCTATTGGTGATATATTACTTAGCAGAATTTTTAAAAATAATATATATCCATTTACTTGATCCCTTTTAGTTAAAAGTAATATTTTTGATAATAAATAAAAAATAGTATTTTGAAGAAAACTCATGCTTTTAAAAATTTTGAAATGTTTAAATATATTTATCATTATGAGATTTTCTCCCTGAGACTACAACTGCTATATATTACTTATAGAATTCTAATATTTCAACACTAAGTCTTTGAAACTAAATTTTCAGTTTAAAAACCTGTCAAATGAATAAGTAGGTTTCGAAACAATTTATAAAACAATTAATAAATACCTTCCATTAATTTGCAAAATGATTTACATTACATAATATGGAAATTTATTGGTCAAATATCAACATAAAACTTGGAATTACTGGTAGATAGGGCCAAAAAGTAGGGATGATATTTAATAATTAAAGCTAATATGATAACTTGTATGTGGATATGCTTTTTCCATATACCTGTGCTTCTTTGTAAAGTATGTTTTTAACTATGGCAGTCATTAAAATTACAAAAATAAAAATACATTTAGAACTAGGCTCTCAAATCATTTTATCACAAAATGTTGTTTCCAGACATTTAAAGACAGTAAAGCATACTGAATCATGTCTCTCTTGCTAAAATTAATATTTTTAGTTAAAGCAAAGAAGTTTTTTATTATTAATAATAAACTAAAATGAAAAAATTAAGTTTAAAACATTTTATTTTTGGTATGTTTTATAATGACACAATCAATAATTATATGTGACACTTTATACATTTTACTGTATACCAGACACTGTTTCATTTATTTCCTTTTTTTTATTTATTACTAAGACACCACATGACCATGCATAGGCACTGTTTTAAATGCTTTACATATAGTAATTATTTTAATTCTCATAACACATAATGATGATTATATTGGTCTCCCTATTTAACAGATCAGCAAAATGAAGCATATAGAGTTTAAGAAACAAACGTAAGACCAACTAGCTAATAAGTGACAGAATCAAGAATTATTACTACAGTAATGCATACATTTAATTTACATATAAATTACTCATTTCCAAACCAATAAAAAGGCCAATGAAATTATGAGATCAAAGTTTGGAGACCATTTGTCTAAAGCTAATAGGCGTGGTGGCAAGATAAAAATACATTCATGCAAAGCTCAACCCAACATTTAGTATAGCATATTAGCATTTATAAACCATGTGCACGATTTTATTTAATTTCCACAATAACCTTTGAAGTAGTCATGTTAATCTCAGAAACACAGCATAATAAAGATAATGTCTAATGGAGCCTGACAGACCTGAGTATAAAGTTTAACACTACCACTCACCACATCCATGATTTAGGGTATTTCTTAACCTCTTTGAATTTCATTTTTTCTTATCTTCAAAAGGAAAACACACACACACAAACACACATGCACACACATACACACACATCTTATAGAGTTACTGTAGGATTAAATAGCATAATATAATAGAGGGTAATAGTTAAGAATGTAGATTCAGGAGCTGGACTGTCTGAGTTTGAATGCTACCTGTACAACGTATTAGTTACAACTTTCTTTGTTTAGTTATAAATATTCTCTCTGCCTTAGTTTTCTCATCTGAAATATAGGGCTAATGATACCACCCACCTTACAGAGTTTTTGTATGGATTGATTGATATAATTTATTAAGGACCTGGAACCTAAGAAATAATAAATGATGGCTATTATTCATAAATATAAAATGCTTAGCCTATGGTAGGCACCCTAAATAGCAACAATTTGTAGTCATTATACCTATTGAGAGCTTTACTCAAGATTACGCTATTAAGAAGCATCCAGGTCTCTTACCTCTGGATCCCATGCTATAAGCAGCTAGTGTTTTCACGCATGGATAATTCCCTTCTGAGGGATGTAGGCAAAATGTGTTCCCAGGGAGAGAGCACTTAGGCTTGAGCTCATCAAGAAACGCTTCAAATTAGTACTGAGATCTGAGCAGGATTTGGAGAGGTAGAAATCATGGAGGAGGTAATTCCAGCGGGAAGGAATTGTGCAAAGCCAAAAGACAGGAGCTGAAAAGTATGTCTGAGGGAGAGTGAGTAAAATGTTTGGCCTGGGGCTGGGTGCAAAGGCTCTCACCTATAATCCCAGCACTTTGAGACTGGGGTACCACTTGAGTTCAAGAGTTCGAGGCCAGTCTGGGCAACATAGCAAGACGCCATCTCTAAAAAAAATCAGAAAAAGTTAGTTGGGCATGGTGGCATGTCTGTAGTTCCACTTACTCAGGAGGCTGAGGTGGGAAGCGCACTTGAGCCCAGGAGTTTGAAGAAGAAGTGAGTTATGATCATGCCACTGCACTCTGACCTGGGTGACAGAGAAAGACTCTGTCTCTAAAAAAAAAAAAATTATCTCTATATATGTATATGTATATACATGTTTTTATATATATAAAATAAGATGTATTATATAAAACAAGATGTATAATATATAAAACAAGATGTATTTTATAGATATAAAACAAGATACATATACACACATATAAAAAACAAGATATATAATTATATATATAATAAAATTTTTGGCCTGGAGCAGACCTACATTTTAGAAAAATTAACCTCGTAGAATTAGAATAGAAAAAAAAAAGGGCCGGGTGTGCTGGCTCACGCCTGGAATCCCAGCACTCTGGCAGGCCGAGGCAGGCGGATCATGAGGTCAAGAGATCTAGACCATCCTGGCCAACATTGTGAAACCCCGTCTCTACTAAAAATAAAAAAATTAGCTGGGCATCGTGGCCCACACCTATAGTCCAAGCTATCCAGGAGGCTGAGGCAGAAGAATTGCTTGAACCCGGGAGGCGGAGGTGGCAGTGAGCCGAGATCGCGCCACTTCACTTCAGCCTGGCAACAGAGTAAGACTCTGTCTCAAAAAAAAAGAAAAAAAAAATACCCACAAGAAGTGAGGAGAGGAAGAACGTTATTGTGCCCATCTGGACAAGAGTGGTAAGGACCTAGAACTAAGGGAATTTACTGAGGGAATGGAGAAGAGAGGACAGGTGAAAGATAACATTTTAGGAGAAAAGTCAGAAGAATTTGGAAACTAAAGGAAGGATAAGCAAATGAAGTAGACAGAATGATAAGACACCAGTAATCTCATTGTGGTTGGTGTGGTATAGACGATGACATTGAGAAATAGGAAAGTAACTTTTAGAGGGTCAATGATAAGTTAGACTTTTTAACATTGAATTTGAATCAACAGAGAAACATTTGAAGTAAACATGCTCTGGGACGTGTCCTGGAAAACTTAGATTGCTCAGGTCTCAAGCTAGGGAACTGGAGGTCATCTGGAGAGAAGAAATAATTGAAGGAGTTCTTTGTTACCCAAGGAAGATTTAGAGTGGAAAAGGCCATTTATACAAATCCATTCAGAACAAGACCAATATTTAACAATCAGTAGTGAAAAACTGGTGAAATTGGGACTTAAAAGGAGACTAGTAATTATGATTGTCTGTATTTTATATTTAAAACAATTTGTATTTATATTGTAATTTCAACAAGCCACTAATTCTTTTTTTTATTATTATTATACTTTAAGTTTTAGGGTACATGTGCACAATGTGCAGGTTTGTTACGTATGTATACATGTGCCATGTTGGTGTACTGCACCCATTAGCTTGTCATTTACATTAGGTATATCTCCCAATGCTATCCCTCCCCCTCCCCCCACCCCAGGACAGGCTCCAGTGTGTGATGTTCCCCTAACAAGCCACTAATTCTTATAGTGAACAAATAATTAATTTTTTGTAGTTGGCACGATATAACCAACAAATTTGCATAGTAGTCTGTTATGAAAATCTTCACTCGTTTTACTTTCAAACAACAACATATAGGAGCGTATTTTTATATTGATTGGAGTTTTGTCTGGACTTTGACACACAAACCTCACAGATAGCAAAGAAGCCAGTTTCAGCCTCTTCAAAGTGGAGTGAAAAATGTAAAGACTTTTAGCAAGCAATCTGGAAAAAAGCATAATATCTTTTTATGATTTTATGATTTAAAAAAAAGCTTTTTTAAAAAAATTGTGGACCCGCCAAGTGCAGTGGCTCACGCCTGTAATCCCAGCACTTTGGGAGGCCGAGGAGGGTGGATCACGAGGTCAGGAGATCAAGGCCATCCTGGCTAACACGGTGAAACCCCATCTGTACTAAAAATACAAAAAAATTATCCGGGCGTGGTGGCGGGCACCTGTAGTCCCAGCTACTCGGGAGGCTGAGGCAGGAGAATGGCGTGAACCCGGGAGGCGGAGCTTGCAGTGAGCCAAGATCGCGCCACTGCACTCCAGCCTGAGTGACAGAGCGAGACTCTGTCTCAAAAAAAAAAAAAAAAATTGTGGACCAGCCATGATAGCTGACGCCTGTAATACCAGCGTGTTGAGAGGCTGAGGCCAGGGGATCCCTTGAGTCCGGGAGTTCAAGACCAACATGGGCAACATAGTGAGACCTCATCTCTACAAGAAATTTTTTAAAAATTTGGTGGTGGGAGAGTTCTATAGTCCTAGTTAATCAGGAGGCTGAGGTGGGAGGATTGCTTGAACCCAGGAGGCTGCAATGAGCCATGATTGCATCACTGTACTCCAGCCTGGGTGAGAGTGAAAACCTGTCTCAAAAAAAAAAAAATTGTGGTAAAATACACCTAACCTAAAATTTACCATCTTTACTATTTTTAAATGTACAATTCAGTAGCATTAAACATATTAACATTGTTGTGCAACCAATCTCCGGAACATTTTCATCCTGTAAAAGTTAAACTCTGTACCTGCTAAACAACATTTACAATTTTCCCTTTACTCCAGTCCCTGGAAACCACCATTGTACTTTCTTTTTTCTATGAATTTGACTACTCTAGATACCCACTTTAAGTGTAATCAATTATATAGTATTTGTCTTTTTGTGACTGGCTTATTTCATTTAGTATACTATCTTCTAGGTTCATCCATTTCGTAGCATGTACCGGATTTCCTTCCTTTTCAGAACTGAATAACAGTCTGTTGTATGAATAGACCACATTTTGTTTATCCATTGGTATTTAGTGGGCAAAGATGCTAGAAGCTCTGGGCAGGTTTGCACAAAGAATTGTCCAGCCCCAACCAGTGCTGCCTCCACTAATAAACAAATGCTCGACTGTGAATAACACTAGAAGCAGCCAAACTGATAGACCTGCGTTGTATTAAATACTTTATCTGCATTATCTAATTTAACCTAACCATGACATTTTGATAGATATTACCTCCGCTTTCATGAATACCCTAAAGAGCATTAAGGATTCTCTCAAGATTACATTGCTAGTAAGTAGCAGAACCAGATTTTCAACAGAGTCCTAGGCCTCACTCCAGTACACACAATCCTAATCACTAAACAACCTCTTAAAGTAAAGGTAAAATAGAACCTACAGATCAACTTTGAGCAGCTAGAGGGCAAAAACAATGATTCATTCACCTTTCTTCCTTTTACCTAGTACAAAGGTTGCAATGCCTTTAAGTGTAGTTTTATTTAATCTAATCCTTCTCATTTTTACAGATAAAACTGCAGTTTGAGAAGGTTAAATCATTCTAGTATGTGGCAGATCTGAGATTAAAATCCAAGGAAAGGAGCTGAGAATTTGTAAATGACCAACTACTCTACCAGCCTATCTTAGTTTACCCATTTTCCTGATCTCTCAGATTGTGGCATCTATTTATGCCAGAGGTTGGCAAGCTTTTTCTGCAAAGGACCAGATAGTAAATATTTTAGGCTTTGCAGGCCATATGGTGTCTGTCACAACTACTCAGCTCTGCTCTTTTAGTAAAAAAGTAACTATAGACAATTCCTAAATGCATGGGCATACCTGTATTCCTATTAAAATACTTTTTATACAAAAATAAGTGATGACCAGATTTGGTCCATGGACCATATTTGGCTGACCCTTGTTTAATCTCCAGGGGTGAACTTTGTCTTTTTAGATTTGTCTATACTTGTATCATCATAGGTAGCTTGGAATAAGACTGGTGAACATTTAAAGCAGTATTCCTCAAGCCGATTGTTTACTGCATTACTGGAGAATGGTGTTAAAAATAGATTCCTGAGTCTCACTCCTAGAGATTCTGATTCAGAATGTCTCAGGAAGAGCGGTAGCATTTGTATTTTTTGCCCCTGGTTCTGATGCAAAACACAGTTTGAAAACCAGAAGTTTATAGCCTTGGTAGATAATTTTGCAAATAAATAATGTTAAATAAGTATCTGTGTAATTTCCGTGTGACCCACAATCTAGCTCCATGCCAGAACTCTGATTTACTGAACAGAATGTCCATTTCATCTTTTTTATTTTAATTATTTATTTATTTATTTTTGTAGAGACAGGGTCTTGCTATATTGCCCCAGCTGTTCTCAAACTCCTGGTCTCAAGCGGTCCACCTGCCTTGGCCTTTCAAAATGCTAGGATTGCAAGCAGAAACTACTGTGCCTAGCCTGTCTTTCTTTTTTATTTTTGTTTTTCTTTTCTTTTTCTTCTTGAGATAGGGTCTTGCTCTGTGGCTAAGGCTGGAGTGCTGTGGCACAGTCACAGCTCACTGCAGCCCAGAATGCCCAGGCTCAAGCAATCCCCCAACCTCAGGCTCCCCCATAGCTGAGACCACAGATGTGGGCCACCATGCCCGGCTAAGTTTTGTATTTTTTGTAGAGAGGGTGTTTCGCCATGTTGCCCAGGCTGGTCTCGAACTCCTGGGCTCAAGTGAGGCAATCTGCCTGCACTGGCCTCCCAAAGTGCTGGGATTACTGGCCTGTCTTAAAACCTTGTATCATTCTGCCCTTTCTCCATTTATTCAGAGGCAGACACATATAAATAAAAACCGTCGCCATTGGAATTCTAATGAGCCATAAGCTAATGTAAGGATATTTATTCAGTTGACTGCAGGTACCAGTAAAATCTTGTTTCCAAAATGGTGTGAGTATAATCCAATTTACGTCTTTTAACCCCTGGTGATTTTTGTTTCATTTTGTTTTGTAATGGGTGGAAACTAGGCATGGTTGCTGGGTACTGACAAAGCAACAATAAGAGGGAAATAGCATTGCCACCACCACAGGCAATTTTCGGTTGCAATGAATCACTAAATCTCCATAACCACGGGGTGGCTCTACATGATTCTGTTGTTAATTGAATTTTTTCCCCAAATAGAATGAGGGCTTATTTTGCATCAACATGATTCTATTACTTGATGATTGTTGACACAGTCAGCTAAATTCAAGTTATTTCAGCTTCCACATCATCCACAGGTATCCCTATGACAAAGGAGTAATAGTGGCTAAATGAATTCTTTTCCAAGAAAAGGCAGAAAAGATAGTCCCAAACTCACTGCATCAGTGTGAAGGAGATTGTGGGGAGGACCTCACCACAGAAATGATGTTATGACCTTCTCAGTGCATTGTGTCGGAGGAAGGTACATAATGTCAATACATCTTATTACTGTTGAGGTAAACTTTGATCACTCGGTTAAGGGGGTATCGGCCAGCTTTCTCCACTGTCATGATTTAAATTTTAATTTAAATTTTTCCTTTGTAATTAATAAGCATCTTGTGGGGCCATACTTTGAGGCTATGCACATTAATTCAGTCGTCTAAATTGTTCCTACTCACAACACTTCTGACATCAAATATGTGAGGTATTTTTTTAATATCAACAACCAGTTCTCCAACCCTCTGAACACAGCTGAGTGTCCTACATTTCAATTTAATTCTGATGGTAACTACCTGAGGTTTGTGTTAGACCGGAGGTCCCCAGTCCCTGGCCAAAGACCTGGAAGAGTCTGTGGCCTGTTAGGAGCTGGGAAGCACAGCAAGAAGGGAGGTGGGACAGCGAGCATTACAGCCTGAGCTCCGCCTCCTGTCAGATCAGCCTCAGCATTAGATTCTCATAGGACCGTGAGCCCTATTGTGAACTGTGCCTGAAAAGATCTGAGGTGGAATGGATTTTTTTGAGACTGAGTCTCGCTCTGTCACCAGGCTGGAGCACAGTGGTGCGATCTTGGCTCACTGCAACTTCTGCCTCCTGGGTTCAAGTGAGTCTCCTGTCTCAGCCTCCCAAGTAGCTGGGACTACGGGCACGTACCACCATGCACAGCTAATTTTTGTATTTTTAGTAGAGACAGGGTTTCACCATGTTGGTCAGGATGGTCTTGATCTCTTGACCTCGTGATTTGCCCACCTCGGCCTCCCAAAGTGCTGGGATTACAGGCATGAGCCACCACGTCTGGCCTGTGGAACAGTTTTATCCCGAAACTATCTGCACCCTGTCACCCCACCACTCTCCCACTTCTGCTCCCCACTCTACTCCCCCAACTCCTTCCACAAAACCAGTCCTTAGTCCCAAAATCGTTGGGGACCACTGTGTTAGATGACTTACTCCCATAAGACTACCCTCACTTCAGATGCAAGTTGAAAATATTGGCTCCCCAGGGTACCCACATGCTGTCTGTCTTGGTTACAAAGTCAGGAGATCCCCCCACACCACCTTCAGTTTTGATTATTTGCTAGAATGACTCACAAAACTCAGAAAAACAGTTTACTTATTATTTTTAGTTTATTATAAAGGATGCAATTCAGGAACAGACAAATGAAAGAGATGCGTAGGGCAAGGTATTGGAGAAGAGGCACAGAGCTTCCATGCCCTCTCTGGGTGCCACCCTTCCAGCACCAATCAGGGATCTCCCCAAACCCCATTGCCTGGGGATTTTTATGAAGGTTTAATTACATAAGCATGATTGATTAATACATAGACCATTGGTGTTTAACTCAACCTCTAGGACTCTCCTTTCCCTAGAGGCCCAAAGAGAAAAGTTCAAACCCTCTGATCACATGGTTGGTTCCTCTGGTAACCAGACCCCACCCTGAGGCTATCTAGGAGACCACCAAAAGTCATCCCATTAGCATAAGCTCAGATATGGTTGAAAGGAGGTTAAAATGGATAAGAAAAGATGCTTCTATCCCTCTCATCACTCAGGAAATTACATGGGTTTTAGGAGTTCTGTATCAGGAATGGGGACAAAACAACCAAATATATATTCTTTATTATGCCATGGTTGGTTTTGAGGAAATATGAAAAATAGACACATTAAACTAGGTGCATATAGATGGGGGTGTATCGAAGAAATTGATGGGTGAAAGTGATTTTGCCATAAACTGATCCCAAAACCCCTCACTTAAGACAGAGAAAATGGCTCACCTAAAGGCTGTTAATAAATAATAATAATTGAGAGGCTATTAGGCTGAGATGGCTTCTGATATGGCTTGGCTATGTCCCCACCCAAATCTCATCTTGAATTGTAACTCCCCCAATTCCCACATTTCATGGGAGGGACCGGATACGAGGTAATTGAATCATGGGGGCAGGTCTTTTTCATGCTGTTCTTGTGATAGCGAATAAGTCTTACGAAATCTGATGGTTTTAAAAAGGGGCATTTCCCTGCACAAGCTTTCTCTTTCTTTGCCTGCTGTTATCCACGTAAGATGTGACTTGCTCCTCTTTGCCTTCTGCCATGGTTGTGAGGCCTCCCCAGCCATGCGGAACTGTATGTCCAATAAGCCTCTTTCTTTTGTAAATTGCCCAGGCTGGGTTCTGTCTTTATCAGCAGAATGAAAATGGACTAATACTAGGCACAACTCATAGTGAATGGATATAGACTAGGAAAACAAAACTTAAGCTTAACCAATTAGAAACTGCCAACTAAATTCTAACTAGGAACTTTCACATTAACCGATTAATATTTTCTTTGCCTCACTTCCATGCACACCATATGAAAGAGTCCTCTCACACCCTGAACTGTTCTTGGTGCTGCCTGATGCATGTATTCCTGTCTGCTTAATAAATTCTACTTTAAGACTATGCAAACATCCTGTTTCTCGTCATACATTTGCCCATTAATTTCATCATGCATCAATGATTTTTCTCTGCAACAATCATTGCTGAAAAATTTTAATGCACCTAAGGTTATTTTCTAACAAGGCCAACCAAAACTTTAGTCTCAGAATATGGATGACCTTCAGCCAGCTCATTTTCTCACTGCAGATTGCTTTACTCCTTCCTGATCACCCTTACAATTTATTATCTATCCTTAGATTGTGGTCTTTTGATTATGTTTTTGTTCTAGAGCCATAATTTATTCATGTCTTCCTCTTCTTCCATTCATGAAAATAATTATCCTTGGTAAATCAGCTTCTCTCTTTCTCCCACTCTCTAATGAGAGTCTGTTTTCACTTCTCAGCTCATGGATTTTCTGGGATACAGAATCGTAAGAATGATTTGAGAGACAGGAATGAAGCAATGAGCACAAAGGGAAGGGATTCTTGTGTACTGAGTCAGTTTCTAGGCTGTCCTTTGACAAGAAAATTAAGAAGAAAAGAAAAAAGTGTCAGAAATGCTGTCAACATAAATAATAAAGAGCTAACATTTGAGTAGCAAGTAAAAAAAAAATGGCTGATTAACTTAATACCTTGTAGACCATTTAGAGAGTGTATGTATGTATGTATGTATGCATGCATGCTGTGGTTTCAATGTGTCCCCTAAAGCTTATGTTTTGGAAACTTGCTTCCCAATGTGGTGGTGTTGGGAGGTGAGGTCTAAAGGGAGGTGTTTGGCTCATGTGTGCACCACCCTCATGAACAGATTAATGTTGTCATTGTGAGAGTGAGTTCCTTATCGTGGGAGTGGGTTCCTTATATAAGAACATGTTTGGCCCCCTTTTGTGTCTCTTTCTCACCCTCTCTTGCCCCTTTGCCATCTTCCATGGGATAACACATTAAGAAGGCCTTTGCCAGATGCCAGCATCTTTTTCTTGGACTTCCCAGCCTCCAGAATTGTGAGAAATAAATTTCTGTTGATTATAAATTACCCAGTCTGTGACATTCTGTTATAGTAGCACAAAATGGACCAAGATAATGTATTTAACTTATTTGGAAATAATTTAAGACTTACAAAAACTTGAAGAATAGTACAAAATTCCCAAATACTCTTTGCCCAGTTTCCCCTAATATTGACATTTTATATGTTACAATTATTGAAATCAGGAAATTAACATTGATGTAATATTATTAATGAATCTACAGACCTTCTTTGCAATTTATCAGTTGTCTCTCTATTGCCCTTTCTCTGGGCCAGGATTCAATCCAGAATTCCACATTTACTTTGTTTTCATATCCCTCGAATCACTTCAGTCTGTGACAGTTGCTCAGACTGCCTTTTTCTCTCTCTGTTTCATGATCTTGACACATTTTTTTTTATTTTTATTTTTTGAGACAGAGTCTCACTCTGTCATGTAGGCTAGAGTGCAGTGGCATGACCTTGGCTCACTGCAGCCTCTGCCTCCTGGGTTCAAGCAATTCTCATGTCTCAGCCTCCTGAGTAGCTGGGATAACAGGCGTGTGCCACCACAATCAGGTAATTTTTTCTATTTTTAGTAGAGATGAGGTTTCACTGTGTTGGGCAGGCTAGTCTGAAACTCCTGACTTCAGGTGACCCACCCGCCTCAGCCTCCCAAAGTGCTGGGATTGCAGGCGTGAGCCACGGCGCCCGGCCTTGACACTGAAATAAACTGTTTCCTTTAGGAATTTATTTAATGTGTACAGACTGGGCCACATGGGCTCCTGAAATATAGACATTTTATCTTCTTTGATTTAGTATCTGTTAAAATATTTTCTTGCTTTGTTCTTCTCTGTGTGTAAGCCAACAGTTTATTAATTGTGACCTTGGGCAAGGCACTTAAACTCACTCAAACATGAACATAAAATAATATAACTTACCTTTAAAAATTATTTTCAATAGTAAATGAGATTGTGTATCTAATGAGCCTGGCAATAAATGAGTGTAGACTGTGTTAAGTTTAATAAATCTTTAGTAAAGTAAAGGATTTTATTTTCCTCAGACATCTTTGCTGAGCACAAATATTTAAATAAAAGTGGCTCTTCTTCATGCTTGCTCTTTCTTTTCTCTTTCTTTCTTTTCTTCTTTCCTTCCTTCCTTCCTTCCTTCCTTCCTTCCTTCCTTCCTTCCTTCCCTCCTTCCCTCCCTCTTTCTTTCTCTTTCTTTCTTTCTTTCTTTCTTTCTTTCTTTCTTTCTTTCTTTCTTTCTTTCTTTCTTTCTTTCTTCCTCTTTCTTCCTTCTTTCCTTCCCTCCTTCCTTCCTTCCTTCCTTCCTTCCTTCCTTCCTTCCTTCCTTCCTTCCTTCTTTTCTTTTCTTTGTATTTGAGACAGGGTCTCACTTTTTCTCCAAGAGTGCAGTTGTGCCATACTGGCTAACTTCAGCCTTGAACTCCTGGGCTGAAGCAATCCTCTCATCGCAGGCTTTCGAGTATCTAGAACCACAGACAAGAACCACCGTACCTGGCTAATTAAAAATAATTTTGTTTTTAGAGACAAGGTCTCATTACATTGCCCAGGCTGGTCTATAACTCCTAGACTCAAGCAATCCTCCCACCTCAGCCTCCAAAGTGCTGAGATTACAGGCATAAGCCACCATGCTTGACCCTGTCTTTTCTTTTCTATGCCTCCTCCATGACCTTAGGTTTGAAGTGCAAAATCTATGTTTTGGTTATCCTTGTTTCATCCAGCACATGGTAGTGCCATAATCCTGTTCTATGGCAGTCTCCTTAGCCAGACCTTAGCAATGCTATGTCAATCACTGAGAACTCACATAGAGCCTGATCCATAGAAAATGATCAATGCACAGTGCTAAGCATATTTTCTGTTGGCCATGGGTCAGTCCAAAAGGAAGTTCCAATTTCCTAAAGGCAGAAGCAGCTTGTACCCTGCAAGGCACCGGGCCTCTTCTCTCGATTTTAGATTTTATTTCTTCCCTTATCTTTGAGGCTGTACTCAAATCCCAAGGCCAGCTAATTGTACTGAGAACTACAGTGCTGTGTTATGTGCTGCCTTAACAGGAGCTCATCAGTGCCTCTTTAACATGAAGTGTTGGAGTTATTTTAGTCTTGCTAGTCTTAGTTTATTTTGAGTAGTCATACCAACACTGATCCATGTGTCTTACACCAGTGGTTCTCATTTTTTTTTTTCCCCAGTGTCTTGCCTTAGACGACGTTTGAGAATTTGTCAGAACAGGGCCTGGAGGGAATAAAAAGGAGGTGAGAAGTCTCTGTAGAGATCATCAACATGGCCCATCTCTCCTTAAAAGTAAGCCAAGTAAACTCACTTATTAGAAGAATGACATCATCAGGACTGTTTCTGAGAAAGCCTACTTCTGCTCCTTACCATATGTAGAAATATAATTTCATATTAAAGACCAAGAATTCAGACATCATCCTGGTGCATACATCAGGATTGCAACGATAAATGCTTTGGAAATGTCATTGGAGGAAGGTAATGTTTGACATAGGAAAGAGAAGACTTGTGGGAACATGGCTGCTGTTTCTAATATTGTGTTATGAAATTGGGAGCAAATGTGTTCTTTGCCTCTAGAAGGTGAAATTAGGGCCCATGAATGGGTGAAAGAAGCAAGAAGATTTGGGCTCAGACCAAGGGGAAGAATAAGTGTCTACCATGCTTAGCCTTAGTGGGTAAGATAGTTCATTTTTATACCACTACATCCCTATATGTTAAAGATTATCATTCTTTTTTTTTTTTTTTACATATAAGGAAAGCAAGACTCAGGGAGTATCCTGCCCTGTTCACAGGGGCAGAGCTGGATTTGAGCCCAGGTCTTAGAAGACAGAGGCCGTGGCCTTTTCCCTATGCCTTTCTGCCTCCTGGACCTGTGGAGCAGAGATGTTCACTCATGCCTGGGCCATTCTGTGCACCAGTGCCCCTCTCTTCAGGGAAGATATTCAATCAGAGTGTGTAGCCCCAGTAATTCTGGCATTGGGTGCAAGGTTGCACAAGATGACTTTTAAGACCCCATCCAAACGTCAGCTCCTATTCTTCCAATTCAAACAGGAGTAAATGAACAGATCGCAGTTTAAGAGCTTCATGGTGTCTTTATATTCTTCCTGCCGCTCTGTGCCAATCAGCATGTCTGTTCTTTCAGGACTGCATGATAACCTTCTTGAAAGACATCTCATATTCCACTCCAACTCCAAAAATTTTAGTAGCTCCCATTTGCCTATGGAATAAACAAAATAATATGGAATGAATGAAGAAACAAACAAACAATAAAGACACATTTTCCTTTTCAAAACTTGTCATATTATTTTGAGCCCATGTTAGCCCCCTTTGTAGAGTCTTTCCTTCTGGGAAACCCGTCTTCTTACATTTCCATGCTCTGTCTTCTGTAACCAGGCTGTTCTCTCTGGCTAAAATGTGCTCCTCCCTGACAGCCCTACTTTAATACTTTCCCTCTTCTAAGGGTCACCTCTAGTGTCACCACTTCTGGGAAGCTTTTCCCCGGTGCTCAGCCAGAATTGGTCTCTGCCATTTGAAACTAAGGCATGAATATCTTGCATCTCCTGTAGAGCATGGACCCCAGTCTGAGTGGTTTTAAGATTGTGTGTGCCCTTGTCCTGTCTCCTCACTAAATTGTGGGCTTCCTAAGGGCAGGGCCCGGTTCAGAGTCATTCCTGCCTCTCCCCCTACAAGCCCTCAGTGTTCCAGCGTGGGGGTCCAACATGCATCATGTAATCAAAGCTGAATGGGATGTGTTGAGCTGATAGCAGAACTGAGTCATCAGGTTGACTCTCAGAGCAAACCTTTGTAATATGTTGTAGTGTCTGGGGTTACCATGGTTTATTAGAGAGAAAGAAGAGGAACATATTTTACCTGTTAATTCTTGCTCCAATGTTTTTAGACTTCTTATGAAGTATAAAAAGAAGAAAAATGTGAGAGCTTTGTTGACAGTGAAAAAGCAGAAATCTATTATCTTCACCAAGTTTGTGCTCAGTCTTCTCAGAAGGAATTTAATTTGTCTTTTATTTTTTAACATCCCTGTAATTATTTCCTTTTAGAGAATTTCCATTTTGAAAAGAAAATTCAGTCTCAGAGAGGTTAATTAATTTGCCCAAGTAAATGGCAGAACTGTCTAGACCCAAAGATTTTGCTTTTCCTCATATTCCGCTCGACCTTC
Organism: Homo sapiens; assembly: GCF_000001405.40. Taxonomy (NCBI): domain Eukaryota; kingdom Metazoa; phylum Chordata; class Mammalia; order Primates; family Hominidae; genus Homo; species Homo sapiens. The sequence goes on from NC_000008.11 coordinate 126,619,383, forward strand.
TGACCCCTGCAAACTGTGATGATGTGTTGAGGGCATCATCAGTGGCTTTGGGAGGTACTTGAGCCAACGCCTACTCCTGCATGTCTTGCATAGCATTTTGCAAATACACAAAATAATAATGCAACTAGTACTAAAAGTTAGCAGATTTGACTTTTTCTGATATTTGTCTCAGATGATGAGAGAATGAGCGCTAAAGAGCCATTTGATGTCTTTAATTTATCACTGTTTAATCAATTATTAGTATATTTTTACAAAAAAATAAGAGGTAAGAAGCAGTGTCTCATCAGTCTGTAGAAAACTAAAGAAAAAAATCAGCTAAAGATATGTATGTATACAACATTTGCTTTATTTATATACACCAAGCTATGCAATTTTTTTAAAGGTAAAAATAGTAGGAAATCATGCCATAATCTAAGATTCTCTTTTTAGCATGAGCCTGTTTGGTCTAGGAAATCAAATGAGTGATCTGCAGAGAGCTGTCCCAATTTCTGGAGTATTATTTATCAGTGAAAGAAAGGACATTGGGCTGGTAGTTAGGTCCCTAAGCCTGACTCTACCACCATTCTGATGAGTGAGAAATTTCATCTCTTCAGTTCTCAGTTGTTTTCCACTTACAAAAGGATTACATTGAATTAGAACAGAGGTTCTCATCCTCGGCAGTGTTGATATTTTGGGCTGGATAATTCTTTGCTGTGGGGGGTTGTTCTGTGCCCGGTAGGATGTTTAGCAGTATCCCTGTCCTCTACCCACCGGATACCTCTAGCAACCCTATCCACAGTTGTGACAATCAAAAATGTTTCCAGATTGCCAGATGTTCCCTGGAGGGCATGGTTACCCCTGGTTGAGAAGGGGCTGGAAGCTGATTTTATATCCAGTAAATATTTTTTGAGAACATCACATTGGGAAGGCTCTGGGCTGTGTGTCAGGGACACAGAGGTGAAAAGAGTCAATGCTCTTCTTCATGAAGCTTCCAATCTAGTGGAGAAAGGATGTCATCAGCCTGTTTTGAGACACTAAGACAGGTGTTGTAATCAGGCAAGTGTTGGAGCCAGGCATCTTCTGGGCCGTTATTCTGGGGATACATAAGCCCCTGATAAATCAGTCTCTTCTTAAAAAATGATGTCTTTTATTTGGCTATTGGCTCTTAAGATGAATGGGGGAAATGAACACTCATTTGGGGAAGGAGAGCTATTGCAACACAGCCTCACAAATAGATGGGAAAATGATGAGTAAATATAAAATGGGCACTGGAGCACAATGATTCTTAGCACTTAATTCCCATTTTCTCTGGGGTAATAATTTGGGTGTGTTTTCCCCTCTTGGATGCCTTCTCACAAGAGGTAAGACCCGATGCCTGGTGTAACCTTTCTTAACCCTTAATTTTCGCATTCCTCTGGGATATTTATATTGTAATGGGACTATCGGGACATTCTAAACACAGTTTTCTTTGAGAGTGAAACCGCCTTTGCAAAGATTATGACAGCAAGAGAGGTCTAGAAGGGCTGGCTGCATCTTGCTTCTAGCCTCACAGGTTGGCTGTCCATGCTCATTCCTGGGCATAGACCAAGCTAACCATACGAAGAGTTTAGTTTATGGTTTAACTTTGAAGCAAAAATGATAATAGTCCCTCTCTGAAACTGACCCTCTCCTTGTTCGGGAACTGAAACCGCCTTTGTAAGACTAATGAAAAGCCACGAGGTTAGGATTATAGGAGGGACCGGAATTCTCCTAAAATGTAGGCATAGCTTGCTTTGCTATTATGGGTTACTGTGCTGAAGGTCACAAGCTTTGTAACTTCCCCAGTTGCTCCTGTGGATAACATTGCCATTGCAGAACCTTCGATTGCTTTTGAGATTTTTTTCAGACTATTGCATTCTGGGGACTGACTAACCCATCTGGACCTGTGACTTATGACTCAACTGGTCCTACACCCCCTGCTGAGAGACTGATTCAGCACACAAATACCATCTTCCATATCACTATGATTTCATTCCCAATCAATCAGCAGCACCCCTTCCCTAGCCTACTGCCCGTCAAATTATCCATAAGAACCCTAGCCTCTGAGTTCTCAGGGAGGATGATTTGAACAATAAACTCTGTTTTCTGTTTGACTAGCCCTGGATTAATTAAACTTTTTTTAAATTACAAAAAAACTGCTGTTCTCAGTGCATTGACTTTTTTGGGCAGCAGACAAGACAAACCCACTGGGTGATTACAAAAGGGAGAAGAAAAAGTCATATTTAGAAGATGGTTCTTTTGCTAAAAGGAATGCATTGGTAGAATATAAAATTGATAGGCATCAAACACACAGAGGTTAAGATCCAGGCTTAGGGGTAGAGTATTTGTGTTCAGAGTCCTGGCTCACTCACTTACTAGCTGCGCAATCTCGGGTAGGTTACTTGTGCTCTCTGCAGTTTGGTTTGTTCCGTAGTAAAATGGAGATAAAGTATTCACCTCCCAAGATTGTTGTGAGGATTAAAGGAGTTTGTGCTGAACCTGGCACATGGAAATCACTTATAAGGTTTTTTTGAGATGGAGTTTCACTCTGTCACCCAGGCTGGAGTGCAGTGGCACAGTCTTGGCTCACTGCAACCTCTGCCTCCTGGGTTCAAGCAATTCTCCCTGCCTCAGCCTCCTGAGTAGCTGGGATTACAGGTGCCCGCCACCGCATCCGGCTAATTAAGATTTTTGAAATAAATTCTGACAAGTCTGGGAAACACTGGGTGACCTCGATAAGGAACTGGCTGTTAGTTCATGAGCAGATTTTTTTGCAAAACACTGTGTTTCGAGGACCAAGTTACACTCTTCTTAGCCCCTTCTTACTCTTCAGACTTAAGCACAGGCTTAGTACTGGCTCATGTTATTTATAAAATGGGGAAAATTAAACATTACCTATCCTAGGGCAGGTGTTTGAAACAGAAGATTTCTGGAAAATCCATCCCAGCTCTAAAACCTCTGATTCTGAATTGCGCTGGATTCTTACAAATTCTCTTTAGCTTCTTTGGCTCTGTAAAATATAAAACATTGATCTTATCCTCACTATATTAGGATTTAGGAGAGATGCTCTAGCTTATTGGGAGAAGAAATACTTTTTAAGTCAGGAATAAAAATGTACCTAGATTGACTAGTTAAAAAGTATTGGACTTACTTTTCTTTCTCTTTTCAGATTTGTTCTCTTGTTATGCCTTTCTCCTTATTTTCTCCCTTCCCTAATTCCTCAAATCCCAGTAAATGTCCTTTAGAATATAGACTTTGTTTATGTTTCTCTGCCAGAAGCGAAACATTCAGTTCTCACTGCACATCAACCCTGCAATGTGTATGGTGAGGGAGTCATCAGAAGTGCAAAATAATGATCTTTTAAAGTTGGACATCTCCCTGCCCATCATCCTTTCCCTTATCACCCTTTACCTTGACTAGTACAGACAGCCCATCTCTGTTGATTGTTGGCTGATGGCTTCTAAAGGGAAAGCCAGAGTTATCTTCAGCTTCCTGATCTGCCTTTGCCTTGCCCATAGGCATCTTATGATTGCTTAATCCTCTTAGAACCCAGTTTAGGGAACTCAGAACTCCCATGGTCAAACTAAGCAATAAATATTCACTAATTGACTGTTCCTGAAAAAGCATTTACCCAGAGGACAGGAGACCAACACCCTTGCACAACAACATCAAGACCCATTTCCCTGTGTTATTGGGGCACCAGGCTCTGCACCAGGTGCTGGGGATGAGAGTGAGAAAGTCAGTCAAGGTTTCTGTCACCATAACCCTTATAGTCTCTTGGGGACTTATTAAGTAATTATACAAATGCTTATCAAATTGCAATGGTATTAGGTGCTATCAGAGAAAAGTTGCACAGATAAATATTTAATGAAATTGATGTGGGATGTTAAGGAAGATTACAGGATGATTAGTCTGACTCCTTTAGTTGTACTTACCCAAAGGCCTCACTCACACCCACAATACAAAGTTGCAACCTTGTTTCCTGTTTCTGGAATCTTTGCAAAGGGGATTTAGATCACAGAGTCTAGATAAAACGGGGCTTGGGATTCTAACAAACAAACAACCTGGAGACCAGTGGGAAAGAATCTTCTTCCTTTAAGCCGATGCTTCTGAGTGATTGGTTTAGCTTCTGGGGATTAGAGAAGCTCAGAGGATGGACAGTGATTGACATCTCTAGACTCATCAGATTCACACATGGCCCCAGGGAAAATCTTTGGAAGTTTGTGTAGGGAGAATAGTAAAAAGAAGGCTGTTGACTGAAGAGCTAACATCTAGCTTGAATGGATAGCTTCCCATACCTGGCTTGCAGCTTTCAAGATGGACATCTGAGAAAGGCTAAGGAAGGAAGGTGCACCTTTCCAGGTAGCCCAACCAGGCAACCGATCTGGACGGTGGCAGATGTTGCAGTCTCTCTTTCGGCTGACCCATTGAACATCAGTAATGGAAAGGTCCTAGAGCTGACTCAAGTTAGTGATTCTCATACTGGGAACCAGAATCACCTGGAAGCCAGCAACAATAGAGAAACCCAGGGCATAGATTTATTTATTTTTATTTTTTATTATTAGTTTTTTGAGACAGAGTCTTGCTTTATTGCCCAGGCTGGGGTGCAGTGACGTGATCTCGGCTCACTGCAACCTCCGCCTCCTGGGCTGGAACTATTCTCCTTCATCAGCCTCCCGAGTAGCTGGGACTACAGGTGCTCACCACCACACCTGGCTAATTTTTGTATTTTTAGTAGAGACGGGGTTTTGCCATGTTGGTCAGGGGGTTGCGAACTCCTGACTTCAAGTGATCCGCCCGCCTCGGCCTCCCAAAGTGCTGGGATTACAGGTATGAGCCACTGCGCCTGGCTCAGGGCATAGATTTATAAAGACAGAATGAGGACAGTCTCAAGGGACAGAGATGGGGATGGTGAATCTGTATATTTTTAAACATCTAGGCTAAACCCCATGCAAAGGAGTCCATGGGCAAGCCTGAGCCAGTCAAGCCTTTTGTAGTGGATGCCATCATTCTGTTCATTATTTTAAATATAGTAGTCATTTCTGGAATCCTCCTTAGAAAATCATGATTTCAATATTTTAATTTATGTAAATTTATGCTCCCTGGAACCAGGTCAGAATACTTTTAAGATTGTGCCTCTTTGGGAAATCAAATGTCTGTTCTTAATCTTAGAATGAATATTTAGTTAAGGTGCTCATTCCTGTGAGGAGTGTGTGGGTATCAGTGAGCCATCAGTCAACAATCAACAGAGATGGGCTGTCTGTGTATGTGTGTATGTGTATAAGCATGCTCACATGGTGTTTTCAGTAGGTGTTTCCAGAGTGTTAACGGTTGAGACATAGTAGTCTCGGATGTCATTTGATATGACCCAGTATGAAGGCCCAATCTCTCATTTCTATTTTGATCACACACATGTGACACAGAGCACCATATAGATGAGATGCTTTGTTAAGTGTTTAAGGCTATTATTATTTACCTAAAAAGGACACTATTTGCCACCATGACTTTTGTGGGGCTATTTTAAAAGACATTAGTTCATTTCATCTACAAGTAGTTACATGCCAGAACTGTACTAAGTTGATTCAGAGATAACAAGGGCCTCATAAGTGACCACAGAGTCTTTGGGTTTAGTTAGGCAAACATCTAGGTTAAGAGACTGTGGCTCCAATGTCATGTGATAAGGGATTTGTATTCAATTCTCTAACCCCCGCAAAGTGCCTGACACTCACAAGGTGTTCATTAAATGTGAAGGATTCTCCTGGAGTAGGGTGGACCAGCACCAAAAGACTTAAAATCTCTTCCCTGTCCCTATTTCCCATGGGCACCTTGACTACTAATCTAGTTTCTATTGCTTCTGCAGGGTGGGGCTGGGAGCTTCTGATTCAGCCGTGTGTGCTGTTTCCATAGTTATATGATCAGAGTGACTAATTCATCGAAGATAAGTTTCTAAAGCCTAATGGAGTAATATCTCTGCACTGATACACTCTTTCTTCCTTTAAAATTGGTGTGTGTTTTCTATGTCTTTTTATAAAACACCCAAAATAATCCAGAAGGTCTTTAAGCGTCATTCAATTCATTACCATTTATTACTATTCTGTGCAAAAAGAATATGCTAAGCGTTTTACATACATAATTTTAATTTTACAACATTCATAGAAGGTCTTTATTGTCTCCATTTTACAAAGGGAGAAATAGAAGCATAGATAGCTGAATCATTAATTTGCCAATTATTAACTTGCTAAGTACGTAATCAGAAAATAATGGAGTTAGGATTGAAATCCATGTTTGTCTAATTTCCAGGTTCACAAAAAATTTCTGTTTCACTGTCTTTATATATATATAGAGAGAGAATATATATATTATATATAGAGAGAGAATATATATATTATATATATAGAGAGAATATATATATTATATATATAGAGAGAATATATATATTATATATATATTAGAGAATATCTGATTTTGAATCTGTAAGATATAGCCTCTCTATAAAGATTTTGATTTGTCTTCAAACACACAAGGATTTGCTGAGCATGTGTTTGACCATGTAGCAAACACTAGAGATACAATAGTGAGAATACAGATACAGTCTAATAAAACAGAGAATTGTAAAAATCAAATTAAGTAATCGTAATTCAGCGATTGCTGTGAAAGGTAAGTCCTCACTTCTCAGCCCTGGAAGACCCTGATGAGCAATACAAGCTGTTAAAATGTACAGTCCAATGGCTTGTACAGAGTTGTGCAACCATCACCATAATAAATTCTAGAATCTTTTCATCAACTCACAAAGAAATCCTGTACCCTTTAGCTGTGACTCCCAAACCCCCATTCTTCAGTTTTTGAGGCAAAGTTTGTGATAATTTTCAAAAAACATTTCTATTTCTGTGCTTCCCTAGAGCTTTGGAAATAACTGCATTATAACACGTATCACATTGCAGGGCTATTATTTGTTCCATTTTCTGTCTCTCATATGAATCTGTGACTTCCTTGAGGAGAAAATATTGTGCGTTATGGAATTTTATACTCTCAGCCCAATGACTGGTACATCTCGGGCTTCAAATAAGGATAGAAGGGAGGAAAGGAGGAAGGGAAGGAGGGAGGGAGGGAGGAAGGAAGGAAGGGAGGGAGGGAGGGAGGAGAGAAGGAAGGGAGGGAGGGAATTTCATAAACAAATATTTAGATTATAGAATATGGTCCAGAGAAAATATCTCCATGGGCTACTTTGGCAAATCTTCATCAGGGAAGAATAGCATTTTTTTAAGGAAAAGAAAAATCTTGAGTTTTGAACAGAAATCTTTCTCTGAATTAGCACCATCCTGGAAATTCTCAGATGTTTTCTTCACAATCTCCACAGGATTCTCCACCTAGATCACCTTGTATTAGTTCAGATCTATATCTGGCTACAATCACAGAAAGACTTAAAAGCAACTCATACAAGCTAAAACTTTATTATTCTCTGACATAAAGATTGCCTCAGAGATGGCTGAGAACTGATAGGGAGGCCTTGCTCTACAATATTGTCTAAGAAACTTATCTTGGGCTTCATTATTCTCCAGGATTCCATCTTCAATTGTGCTGTCTAGTATAACTTCCCAGTATTTCTCCATTCTAGCCAACTCAAGGGCAGGGGCTACAGCCTTAAGGAAAAAACCTGGAAGTTACACACATCATTTCTGTATGCACCCCATTGGCATATTGAATCATATGGCCATACCTGGTTGTACAGGGGCTGTGCAACAGACTCTTTATTCTGGCTGACCTTTCATCCAGCTGTAAGTTAAGTGTTAGTTTCTCTTTCTAAAGGAAGAGGGGAAGAATGGATTTTAAGAGACAGCTAGCAATGTGTTTCATACTGCTATTATAAGTACCAATAGGCAATGTAAAACAGTTATTCTTAATTTTTCTTGTTTTATGTATTAACAGACCTTGACCCCAAAAAGTTATTGTGAGTTTTAAATATATTTTTGCCATATTCTCCATGTTTAGATATGTTTTATGGCATTTAAAAGAAAATGGCACCTTCATAGCATCATTTTCTACTTTCATAATGGCAAGTGTGTTTCAGCTAAATTACGGAATCAGTAGGTTTTGGTAAGCCAGCCTGGAAAACTTACAATCACTTACAGTATTGTTTCTATGGGAAAATGGCTTCGACTTCTTAAGACAATCTGACAAAGAAGTGTGCTTTTGGAATTAAACCCATTTGAAAGTTGGGAACTGCTAAATGCACTAAGGTTTGCACACATGAAATAGCAGATGAGATTTACTGGAATGTTTTCTCAGTAACGCCTTACGCAATGCTCCAGAAGCTTCTGTGCTCAGCCAAAACAAGTCCAGCAAGAGTCCCTTCCTTTCTCCATATGTTCCTCAGGCACACAACGGTTGGAGTATCTTTTTCACTTCAAACATTTAGCTTTTCATTGGAAAGTTGTTTAGTCGGGAAGTTGTAGCTAGAGTAGCTGGGTGAGGATATATTAAGATGTTTGGATTATGAGCTAGATCAAGGCTTTCTTACTCTGGGAATTAGCTAGAAATAAAATTGGGGTCTTTTGAAATAACACTAAGCATTTATGTATAGTAACATTAAATAGCTGTTTATAGGATGGTTTGATTCCAAAGTTCTGGATAAGTTTATTAAAGGATTTTTATAATGCTTTTAAATGTTTTTTTTTTCTTTCCCTACTGCCCTAAGCACATGCTTAGCCTGAGAATTGGAGAGTTTAACATTGCTTGTATAACTTAACTCCCAGTTCAGTCTCAACCAGACCAAAACATTCTCTTTCATGCACTTAGCCTGTTAATGAAGTACTTGAATGACGTACTAGGCATCAGAAAATAGATGTTGAGTGAGACGGTCTCAAACCACGCTCTCAAGGAAGATTACCCTCTATAGAAGAAGACATACATGGAACAAGCAGTTATAACAAGATGTGAGAAGGGTCGAATTTGGGGGCGTGCAGTGTGTTGTGGGAACAGATTTCAGGGACAGGGATGGATGCCCCAGTGTAAAAGTCATGAAAAGCCTCCCTAAGGGAGAATGAGGAGGTGTGAGACACAGGCAGAGGCAGGGAGAAGATTACGACATGTCTCACTCAGGTGATTATTACATCACTGGGGAAGCGGGGTACCAGAAGAAGAAAAGAGATTTACCCTGACACCCATGACTTCTCTGTGAGAAAACAGCTAGCATAGAATTTGACACATAAATGTCAAAAATAAATAAATCCACGATTGGTGGAATTTCAGGCAATCTTGCTGATAGCAAGGAAAAGTTTTCTGCCTATCCTAAGGAGTAATGACCTAACATATAACCTTCTTCCAGATAAGACTAATGCTTCTAAAATTGCTTAGCGACAGCTACACTGGTCAGCGGTTGAGGGATTTATTTTAAGAAAAAAAGCACTGGTAAAGAGATTGGAATGTAGTGAAGATATGAGATCATAAAATCAGTGTCTGAACCAACAGAGCTCCAGAGGTAGTTGTGGTCATATCTTCCATTTTAAACGTAGGAGGTCAAGTTTCTGAATGTGCGCACTCGTGTGTGTGTGTGTGTGTGTGTGTGTGTGTGTATGTGTGTGTGTGTGAAATGAGTTTACAAACTTCAGAGTGGAGAGCTCTGGAAAGAGTCTTCTACTAACCAAGGAGGTCTTTTCACAACTGAGAAATAAAACAAAAATGATGAGTTAAAAGTTTTGGCCAGAGAGAAGTGTGTTGGAATGTGAACTGAAGAATGCTGCTGGATTAAATCCAAGGAGGAAATCAGAAATGGATCTCTTCTCTTGGAAGGCAGTAAAAGAGTCAGAGCACTGGAGAAACTACCTTGAAACAGTATACAAAAAGTTGAGATTTCTATTATTCGTGTATATATATATATATATAAAATCATTAATGGATTCATTTCTTCAAAGATACATCTTGAGCAACTAATATGTGTTTAGCATTGGGAACACAGTGTTTAACAAGACAGGATTTGTACTGTCGTGAAAACATTTAGACTAGTGGGAAGTGACAGACTATTGAAAAAACCTAGTAAATTCTAGGACGGAGAAAACAAAAAGGCCCTTGAGAAATAGGGACAAGGAATAGTTAACCGCAATATGGTGATGTGTATGTGAGGGGTTTCTAATGAAGGCTTCCTGGAGGAAGTTATATATACTAAAATATCTGGAAAATACATAGGTCATAATCAGGTGAAGGCAAGTAGGAACAGAGAAGGGGGTAATGAGAGTTCCAGGGGTAACAAACAGCATGGGTTGTAAGAGCTCAGAGAAGTGAGAGCACGCTGGGGTTGGAGGAAACCCTGTGAGAACAGCAGGCCACATATGGTCAGTTGGTGTAGATACAGTGCTAAGTTTACATTCTACAGAGAAATGAGACAGGATTTCTGTTTTATCCTAACAAACCACCCCATCCCCACCCCCCCACTCCAGGACTTTAGAGTAAAGCTGTTCAATAGCTATTCTGAAATCATTAGTGCTAATTTTCAAATATTCTACTTTCTGCTTTCAAGGATCAGGAGTGAAATTGCTGGTCCATTTGTAATTAGGTGGGGGCCATATAACTATGTTCTGCCAATGAGTTGTGGATGGCAATGAGTTGTGAATGAAAGGGTTGTGTCTCACTTCTGGGTCAGAGTTTCTACTTGACAGTGTAAGTCCCTCTAGACCTTTACCTCCTCCATGAACAACCTAGCAATATTTCAAATAGTGTCTGCGCCATCATCCTGGGGCCCAGCATGAAACAGAGGCCCCAAATGGCACATGATTGACACAGTGTTGACACACAGAAATACCATTTTTTAAAGGCTTTTTTGAGATGTAGGTATTGTTTGTTACTGCAGCATAACCTAGCCCCCTGTTTCAGACACAAAATAGGTAACAGGGCCAGGCACGGTGGCTCACATCTGTAATCTCAGTGCTTTGGGAGGCCGAGGTAAGAGAATTACATGAGGCCAAGCGTTGAAGACCAGCGTGGACAACCTAACGAAATCTGTCTCTATAAACGATTTAAAAAAAAAGAGGAAACATAATGTCAAATTAATTTAATTAATAATTATTTTAAAATTTCCCACTTTGTTAGGCACTATAGATTTAAAAGCTGGAAAGAGCTACCGGCCAAGAGCTTAGAGATCATGGAGGAGACAGACTCGTGATCAGGTCAACCGAAGTTCAGTGAACAGTAAAAGTACAAAGCTTTGTGGGAGCACATAGGAGCGCCAGGCACTCCCACCCAGAGGGGTGTAGAGGGTGGAGGAGGCTGAAACTGACTCGGAAAAGATGCAAAGGAGAAAGCCAGGTTGGAAAGACAGGAAATGATATTTCAGGCAATGAAAAGAGTGGGAGTAATAATATAGAGAGATGAAGCCTTGCCTTGAAGAATGACAGCAAGTATTCTCCTTGTGAAGACTATGAAGCCTGCCATTTTCTGGGCCAAGACTGAGAAGAGGTGTGTATTTGGGACTACAGAACATAAGATGTAAACTTTAAAGTCCGTGGTTCCAGTGGATTTTCTGTAAAAGCCAAGTTAGAGCTCAAGAAAGAAAAGAGACAGAAATAACCAATAACCAAGCAGAGCTGATAGGAGGAACAATCTATGATTCCTTCAGAATCCTGCCTAGTGAGGCTCCAATGGAGTAACAGGCTTCCTGTTCAGACTCTGACATCTAAAGGGCTGTCTTTGTCTCTAGAAACAATAACAGAGAGAAGGAAGCAGGGAACAAAGCCATGCCCGTGTGACATCACTGTGCATGATCCTAGAAACTGGAAACCTCTTAAAGCCAAAGAGTATGCACGGATATCTATTCAGTGGTTCTTTAACAAGAAGAGAAACCTGGCAGAACAGGAGTTTCAACTCACCACGTGGCTTTTCAGGTGGAGGGTCTGTTTGCGATTATTTGAGTGTGGAACAAAGGGTGCACAGAGAAGTCACCCCAGTTTTCCTGAAACTGTGCCTCCTTACCTCATTATTGACTGGTAGCCTTGCACTCAAATGCTGATTCTTCTTAGTTAAATATATGACAGTTTAAAAAAAATGACTTCACTTTCTATTCTAATGAGATGTTAGCAATTCTGTTTTTTCTGCTAATTACTGCATATCTTCCTTCTGAAGACTCTCTTTCTATATATATATATGTAATTATATATGTATTTATATACACACATGGATATATGTGTGAATATTTGTGTGTGTATACACACATGCATATACACACACAGATATATGTGTGTGTATATATATATGTATGTGTGTATATATATATATATATAATGAAACTGTAATAACTGCCTCTTGGGATAATCCAGAGAATCCATCATTGATAAAAATACACTTGCCTTGGGTTGGTGATTTTCTGAGATTTCAATTTCAATAGCTTCTTCCATATTAGGCCTCTTTCACTTCAGAGGAAATAATTATATCCAGGTTTGGCTCTGTTCAATGGGGCATGACTACACCAGAATGAGTCTCTTCCTGAATGGAAAAAGAAAATTGAAAAGAAAAAGACAAGGTCTGACACACCAGACCCCAAATTATTTAAATCCATTTTCAACGAAAAGCTTGGTAGCTTGGTAAAGACGATGACCTTCGAAGGAAAATTCCATTGAGAAATCCCATTTCCCATGTTGTAAGTTTAGAAGAATAAATTGCACTCGGGGAGGAGGGTGGGGGGGAAGTTCCTTTCGACATTTAATAAAGCAGGTGGCCTCATTTGAATTTTCCCATTAGGTCTCCTGGAGCGATCTCAGAAATATGTTGGCCTTGCAAACTGTAACTCAGCCTTGGCTCTCTGTCTATAGGACTCACACAGTTTTTCACGAGCAGTAGAATTAGAGTCTGGATTACTTGAAACGTCCAGCAGAAAGTTATTTCTTAGAGTGTTGGATTTCTGATTTGCTATAGACTATTAAATACATTTTCTTATTTTCTGCAGAATATTAATAATCTGACTTTCTAGTAGGCAAATGCCTCATCTCTCAGCCAGCCTATTTTTTCCTCTCATCCTGTTATTCTTTTTCTTTTTTATATTTATATTTATTTATTTTATTTTATTTATCTTTTTAAATTTTACTTTAAGTTCTGGGATACGTGTGCTGAACCTGCAGGTTTGTTACACAGATATACATGTGCCATGGTGGCTTGCTGCACCTATCAACCCATCATCTAGATTTTAACCCCCTCATGCATTAGATATTTGTCCTAATGCTCTCCCTTCCCTTTCCCCCCAACCCTCTGACAGGCCCTGGTATGTAATGTTTCCCTCCTTGTGTCCATGTGTTCTCATTGTTCAACTCCCACTTATGAGTGAGATCATGCAGTGTTTGGTTTTCTGTTCCTGTGTCAGTTTGCTGAGGATGAAGGTTTCCAGCTTCATCCATGTCCCTGCAAAGGACATGAACTCATTCTTGTTTTATGGCTGCGTAGTATTCCATGGTGTATATGTACCACATTTTATTTATTCAGTCTATTATTGGTGGCATTTGGGTTGGTTCCAAGTCTTTGCTATTGTAAATACTGCTGCAATAAACATACATGTGCATGTATCTTTATAGTAGAATGATTAATAATCCTTTGGGTATATACCCAGTAATGGGATTGCTGGGTCAAATGGTATTTCTGGTTCTAGATCCTTGAGGAATCGCCACACTGTCTTCCACAATGGTTGAACTAATTTACACTCCCACCAACAGTGTAAAAGCTTGCCTATTTCTTCGCATCCTCGTCAGCATCTGTTTTTCTATCATAAGAGTCAATGGGGATGTTTTCATCACACATGCAGGGAGAGGGAGTTCTAGAAAGAGCATCTGCTTCTGATATGCTTGGTGTTGAAGTCAGTCCTAATCAATCCAAATGTAGGCATTCCCTGTCTGTGTGATGGGGCAGGCCATGCAGTCAGTTGCATCCCTTTGTTTATTCAACCAATGACTATTGAAGGAACTTGGTGTGATGTGCCAGTCACGGCCCCTGCCCTCATGTGGTATACAATCAGGAGGCAGAGCGAGAGACACTCAAGAAATAATTAGGTCCACCATTAGTTCAATTGTGAAAAGTGTTACGCAAAAGAAGTATAAGATGCAATGGGAAGGTATATCAGACACTCATATGTATGGGTGCCCCCATACAGGCCAGTAATTTGGTATGTTTTCAAACAGATTAAAACATTTTACATTTTATTTTATTTATTTATTTTTTTTGAGACAGAGTCTCACTCTGTCGCCCAGGCTGGAGTGCAGTGGCGCGATCTCGGCTCACTGCAAGCTCCGCCTGCCAGGTTCATGCCATTCCCCTGCCTCAGCCTCCCGAGTAGCTGGGACTACAGGCGCCCCCCACCATGCCCGGCTAATTTTTTGTATTTTTAGTAGAGACGGGATTTCACCATGTTAGCCAGGAAGGTCTCGATTTCCTGACCTGGTGATCCGCCCGCCTCGGCCTCTCAAAGTGATGGGATTACAGGCGTGAACCACCACGCCCGGCAACATTTTACATTTTCATTCAATGGAAGCAGGAAGAAACTAATTAGAAAAATACTCCATTTTACTAAAGGAATAGCAAACAAGCTCTTTGAGGGCTATGTGTGAGGGCAAGATGGATGTTGATGTAGGCAGGCACAGCTTCATGATGTGCTTTTTTATACGGTTTCAGCAGACTCTTCAGAGTGACAGATTTACTGGGTGAGAGGGGTATAGACCTTCCAGCTACCTACCTTTCACCTTTGTTTAGAGTAGTGACCCAGTCCTAACTTCTGGGTTGGGTGCACAATGTCTTCCCATGCCATAGCTGGGAAGCATATAGAATGCTTCCAGAGCATCCCACATAGCCTAATGACTCTTATCTTTTATTTCTTGCTGCACCCGTTGAGCCTATATGGCCATATGTTCCCATATAATGTTCCTGGGGAATCCCAGCAATAACTGGGTGAGATATTTGAGGGATACTTGCAGATCATCCTGAAGTGGGGGAGGGAGAGAAAGAGAAAAGTTAAATGAATACATTCGATTACTGGCAATGCCACCTATCCATAACCCAAGGGGTGGTAAGAAATTATAAATTCTCAACTAACCTCAAATAAATAAATAAATAACTCAATAAAAAATGAATAAATAACTCAAATAAATAAATAAATGTATTTATTTAATTTTTGCTCTTTCTCTCCCTCCCCCACTTTAGGATGATCTGCAAGTATCCTGCAAATATCTCACCCAGTTATTGCTGGGATTCCCCAGGAACATTACATGGGAACATATCGCCATATAGGCTCAATGGGTGCAGCAAGAAATAAAAGATGAGAATTATTAGGATATGTGGGATGCTCTGGAAGCATTCTAGCTGACGTAATAGACATTTGCGGAAAAGTCTTGGGGATCCTGAATTCATTAAACAGCTTCTTCTTTTGCCCTGGTTCCTCATGTTTTCTAGCAGCAAAATTACTCTGTCCCCTTGGTGCCTTGGAATGCTCCCAGCCTAAGCTCAGCCCACATCCAGACAGGCCAATGCTTTGGTAGCAAGCTGACCACACAAACTCTTGTAAACCGTGATAAAGTTCCTAGATATTTTGGCTATTTTAGCTTTTTATTATTGAAGAAATACATTAATTTTCTTTTTTAAATCCAGGGTGGTGTCTGTCACTTCCACATCATTTATCTCCCATGAACTTGAAGCTCTGTCCCTCCGCCCTCCTCCAACATGGCCACTGTCATTTTGGGATTCACCCCAGTCTTCCTGGCACATCCCTCTGGTGATTCCTGCCGCGCAGCTGCACTGTGGCTCAGGGCAGGAGAGCAGCGTGTGCAAACTGGGGCCATCTCTGAGGGCTGGCCAGCACAGTTCTGGCCGTGGGACTCTGGCTTCACAGCCCTCTCGTGCCAGAGCTTCTGTGCAGCTCAGAGATGGTGCCAAGGCAGACTGGAGTGGGTGCGCGGGAGGAGAACACAGACACACAAAGGCCGGCTCCTGCTGTGCCAGGTCTCATGCTCTGACGCGGGGCCCCACTGACTGAGCACAAAAGAAGCCTTTCTTTCTGTCTCCATTTTCTGGGAATGGAGCCTGAATAGAGGCTACAGGACAGGAAATAGTTGATGGTGAAGGCTTAAAACATGGGCTTCGGAGTTAGTGAGAAGGGGATTTACATTTCTGTTCTCAAACTTACAAGCTATGTGACATTAGGCAGATGCCGACGGTCACGGAGCCTTAGTTTTCATAGCTATAAAATGGGGATACTGACATCAACCTGGAAGAATTGTGATAATTATATGACATGAAGCATGCAAAATGCTGAGCACAGAGACCAATGGCTATTAATTAGGACTGATTTCTCTGGGTTTTGCTAGATTGTTTGCATGTGACTGTCCCTCCTCCTCCAAAAGGACAAATGTTAGGAAGAATATTTGGCTTGACTGAATTGGTAGCGGAGTAGCATCACATGCTTGCACTGTGTGGCCCAGGATTACATCAGAGACATCATCTTCCTAGCACGCCTTACCACGCCTTCAAACAAGTGCTCCATCTGGCACAAAGACCAAGAAAAGGTTCCAGTCCCTTGAGGTTGGAGAAGAAAGCAACGGCAAAGAAACAAGCTATTAATATTAATGTTCCAGGAAAAGAAGAAGAGAGAAAGGACACGGGCGCCCAGGAAGAATGACTCCATATGGCTTTGATGTGTTCGTTTCCACAGGACGGAGAGCAGCGTGGAGAATACAAAATAGTGAGGAGGAGAGAAATGAGGAGCTGGAGGTGGCCTGGCAGCATCTGAGAAATTACATGAGCTGTAGGGAGTAGGTTTTGTCCAGACAAAAAGTCAGCCAGCCACACTGCCATCTGCAGCCATCGGAGAATAAGCCAGAAAGGGAAAGGGAAGCCTGGAGTGCCCTGTTTGTTCCAATTAGTGGGTGTAGGATATTTTCTGTAATGGTCTATTGTGCTAAACCCAAAGGGCACTGGCATTATTGAGACCTCTTCCAAGTGTCTCCTCTGTGGATCTCTTCAAGCAAAGTGCTTTAGTCCCTCTATTGAGATCCCGTTGTACCTCTCAATTTCTCACATGTATATATTCTCCGTTGCATGAGAGCCCAGCCTTTGCAGTCTGAACTGGATTAAAATCCTATCTGCACCTCTACCTGGCCATGATACATTTGGCCTATTACTCCAGCACCCAGAGCCCCCGTTTCCTCATCTATAAGTAGTTTAAGTGGTATAATAAGGTGAGGAAGTAGTTTGCGAGGAATTGAAAAGAAGTAAGAGTGTACAGGGCCTAACAACCGTGGTGGGTACTATAAATATTAGAGCTCATTCTCTTTCTTTCACCCATACCAGAGACAGCACAGAGCAAAAGGGTGAAGGAATCTATGGCAAATGGAAAAATCTCAGACTAATATGTTACTAGCAGCACAGGTATTGCAGACCCTGTTGAAAAAAAGGGGCTTCCTCGGGAATACTGCAGGCAAAGCCTCCATACATTGAGTGAACTATGAGCCCTTTGTACAGATAGAAACTGAGAATACACTGCCAACCCAAATAAAAAAGATCTCTGACATGTGAAGAAATATTCCAGCCTAGAGCACATGGGAGGTACAGCATTACATTAAAAGAACTTTTTGGAGAAGGTAAAAAGAAGAGGAATTGTGCAGCTTCAGATACCCCATCTCACTGAGCTGAGATGATGTCTGGCTAAGTGTTTCTATCATTTCCTTAGTGACGAGGAATTGGGGTGTATAGCAGAAGCCCACCAAATAATATCTATAGGCTATTGTACATCATAAAACTTCAGTTAATTGTTCAGTAAAGTCTATTTGCCATGTTTTACAATACTTTTAGTATTGTTCAATTATTTCTTTGATTTCCTTGGATTATCTTTTGATCATCTTTGTAGGATCTCATATTAAATTAATCTTTAGGTATTAAACTCAACATGAATGGACTGTACCTCAGTATTTTGTTATCAACATTTTTTTTTTTTTGAGATGGAGTCTGGCTCTGTTGCCCAGGCTGGAGTGCAGTGGTGCTATCTCGGCTCACTGCAAGCTCCACCTCCCGGGTTCTCGCCATGCTCCTGCCTCAGCCTCCCAAGTAGCTGGGACTACAGGCACCCACCACCACGCCCAGCTAATTTTTTGCATTTTCAGTACAGATGGGGTTTCACCATGTTAGCCAGGATGGTCTCGATCTCCTGACCTCATGATCTGCCTGCCTCACCCTCCCAATGTTATCAACATTCTTTTTTCTAGAAAGAGTAAAACCTCATCGAGCAAGTCCCCTTAAGAATGCTACATTAGAGAAAACACTTCTTCAGGTAGTCTTGGAATGGGGAAGACCCTTCTAAACACTAAGAGAAAATACTGACTAATTTGGCTATATAAGAATCGAACATTTCTGCCCAAGAAAAAAGCATGAAGAATGACAAATGAAGGATTGACTTTCTCAACAGATAAAGAGCTATTGCAGATCAGTGAGAGACCATTTGATGACAGAAAGAATAAATATGAACAGGTAAAAACATGAACAGACTGATCTATGAAAAACAAAATTGGCTTATAAGCATATGAAAAAATGCTCAGCATCACTTATCATTAACTAAATAAAAATGATAATACCAATGAGAAAAGTTTCCCAGGTTAGATTGGCAAATATCAGAGTCTCATCATATTGGCGAGGTGTGAAGAAATGTATATTCTCATCAAGGATTTGTGCAAACTTTGGAGGGCAATTTGGCAATAACTGGTGAAGTTTTAAAAATGCTTGGTCAAGGACTGACATTTTAAATATTTTATCTCATTGATATGTCTGAACATATGAACAAAGATGCATACACACAGATTTTTTGCAGTATGTAATATAATAACAAAGACTAGAAACAAACTCAATCAGAAAGAGACTGTTAAATAAATGATTGTTCACTTTTAAAATGGAATACTACGCAGCTATGACAAAGAATAATGTGTGTGTGTTTGTGTGAGTGTGTAGGGTGTATGTGTACACATTAAGTGTGGGGAATTAGGAGTGTTTTTTTTTTTTTTTTTGAGACGGAGTCTCGCTCTTTCACCCAGGCCAGACTGCAGTGGCACTATCTCAGCTCACTGCAAGCTCCGCCTCCTGGGTTCACGCCATTCTCCTGCCTCAGCCTCCGAAGTAGCTGGGACTACAGGTGCCCACCACCGCGCCCAGCTAATTAGGAGTGTTCTATTTTTATAACGAAGTTTCTTGTGAAATTAAGTTAAAGTTAGATAAATACTATTAAGCATTTGTCTTTTGATTTAAAATAATTATTTCTAGCATGTAGGACAGTACTTTGCACATAATGTAAATACCCAAATATTCACTGAGTGTGAAAGAGTAATTTGGATGAAATGTTAAAAGAAAGTATCTCTTTAATGAGATTAGACCCAATGAATACCTTCATGTCCTTCTATACCCATCTTTAACCTCTTTTACTGGGAGTGTAACACATGGAAAAGTACACGAAACAATATACATATCAATAAGTTATGACAAAATAAACATTGTATAACCACTAATCTGATAAAGAAATACAACATACCCTCTCTTTTCACCTATGATGAGTTCATGGATGCTTTGTCATTAGAACTTCTGTTTCCTTACCTGTAAATTGAGGATGTTGAAAATCATAACACAAATGTGCTTGTAATATCAGATGAGATAATGTTACTATCGTGCTTATAAGTGATAGAAAGTTCTGCAAATGGGGAAGATTATAGGCCATTGAGTTTGATTGATGTGTCAGAGGTTGGCAGGTACCATCAAAGCCCAAGGGCATCTTGCTTGAAGTCATCCCTATGGTCCTTACTATCCTGGGCAGGTGTGATGTAGGGAAAACAGCTGCCCATTTATTTATGCTTAGCATTCCAATAATGGAACATTCCACATTTATGCCTAGTGTTCCATTATTGGAACGCTAAGCATGTGGGAGTTATTTATATCCTACTGCTCAAGGTCATGACCAAGGTCTGATTTTTCACACACGTCTGCAATTCAAAAAATTGCAACCTCCAGCATAAATGGGTTAATGGACTTAACAGAATTAACTGGTGGTCAATATTCTGCCACTGCCCTGAGAATAAACAATAAACCTTTCTTCTTATTCTGAATCTGTGAGTTTTGCCAGGGAGCAGAAAAGATAGAACCATGGAATCTCCTGGAAGACTCTCAGAGTGCTCGTTGGAATGGTCTACAATGACTAGGGGAGGAGTCACCTTGCAGTAGCCTCTAGGGATGTGGAGTGGTTTGCCTGCTCTGCCAGGTTCCTTTTAATGGCACTCTAGCTATGTGACCTTGGACAACTTACTTAATCTTGTGCAGCCTCAGCTACCCCATCTCTCTGAAGGCAAACTTAGTCTCTGCCTCACAGGGTACTGTGAGGGTCCTTGTGAGATAATCCGTGTAAAGTGCCCAGCGAGATGTCTCACTCAGCCCGTGCTCAGACGTGTTTGCAGAGTGTTAATCTCTCAGAAGGAGCTGATTATCAACATTCTTTTGCCTAGAGAGAGGAAAGTCTATTTGCCATTTTATGCAGTTTATATACATAGATACTATTTGCCATATTATACAGTAATAGATTTTACTGGACAATAATCTCACCAGATAATCTTGGTGGATGAGATTGCAGCACGTGTGCTACTTATATTCTTTAGGGCAGGAGAGTTTATGTGGATCTAGAGTGGAGTGGTGGTTTATGACTCCTGTAGCACTCAGTTGATTCTCCATTGCTCCTGAATAGGTCTTTCTTTACTGATGACAGGGTCTCTCCATACGGTGACACATGGGGTTTGATGAGGGAAGATAGGGTATGTGAAGCTTATGTAGGGACAATGAGAGCAGGAACACTATTCTTAGGCTTTATGCTTGTTTGGGCAGGGAAGTGGAGGGCAAAGGGAAGAGAGAGGGAGAGAAAATGGCTCAGGAGTAGAAATGTGTAAAGCATGATTTGAGAACAAGAAACACTGAGATAGGATGTTCTTTTAGGGAACTACTAGATGCCAAGGCAGAACATACAGTTTGGGGTCTTGAACAGAAGCCTTTGTTGCCAGCAAAGGCATGAAGAATTTATCCTGCAAGTACTGGGGAACCATTGAACTTAAACAGGGTAGTGACATGTCTCAAGCACGGGAGGTAAAATTGAATTAGCAAATTAGCTAGAAAACAGGGATAGTTACTAGCTACAACAATTACTATGTTCAACTCAAGAAAAATCCCCTGGCACAGAGCCTCATGTACTTAACATATGCCTGCTGAATTTTTATTTCAAATATAAAATTGCTGTTACTTAGATGTCATTTGGCCTCTCTAGTTTTTAATATAAAATGACTTTGCATTTTATTTAAATCTGAAGTTAAGTGACTATTTCTGATGCATAAACTCAGTCCGAGGGATGAAATGAGGTTAAATATCATAGTATCCATCCAACCTCCTTCCTCTACCTGCCCCTGCCCATCACCAAAGTCCTCTTTTCTGTAGGTGCTAGATGAAAATGGATATTCATTGTGTTGATGATGGGAGGCCTTCATGGAAAAGTACCACTGGATTCCAGCTTAGTCAGCTGCATGATTTCATAGAGCATCAAGGCAGATGCTAATGGGAGGTTGGTGGAGAGGTAGTCAGAAAAGAGACTGACAGTGCAACTCAGAGAATTGGGGGGAAGGTTTAATGGCAAAGATGGAAATTCAGCTGGGCTTCTGTGAGTTTAGTTTCATTGAGAACTAAGGGACAGGGAGAGACCAAAGTGGGAGAATGAATTAAAGCTGCTGAAAGAAGTCCTAAGAGTCAGTGTAGTATATGAGAAATGCATGGACTTGGGAATCAGCCACAGCCAGATCACAGAACAGCATTGTGAGCTTGGGGAAGTTCGTTACGATTGTGTGCTTACCTGTAGAGATGGGGATAAAATAGGGTTTCTGTGAAGATGAATCAACGATAGGACATGAAAGAGCTTGAGACAGTGTTCACCATGCATGCTTCTCTATGTTTCTGGTTTTTTTTTATTGTTCCTTGTTCTCCTTTTAACTCCCATCACCTAAAATTTTGGCACTGGTCATAGGCACCTATTTTTGTTGAAAATGTCACTGGCCTTCTGTTAGGGAAGAGTAACTCTTTATACTGATGTAGCACTTTGCTGTTTTGAAAGTGTTTTTATGGATATTACTATCATCTGCTTTTCATAGCAACTCTGTGAACTGCGGTCTTATCTTAGTTTTACAGCTGGGGACATTGAGGCTCATTTTTGCACAGCTAATAGTTAGTGGTAAAATCAAGTTATTTGGCTTTTAAAGTGCTGTTTTCAGCCGCAGACAGTATAGAGGCATCTATGAGGACTCCCCTGCTTCTGGTTTCAATACTGTGTGTAATTGTGGTATCCTGGAAACCACTTTGGGTATCCTTTTAACCTGGTTTTCCAGATGTGTCTTGCCATTTGACCAGGAGACCGGGAAGATTAGAGTGAAATGAAAATGGAGACTGGGCCACACTGCATTGGTAATAAAGTTTCTCCATGTTACCAATCTTTAACCCATAGCCATGTTACACTGAATTAATTACTAGCTACTAAGGATTGCTTCTAAGGCACCGGACAGAGGGAGAGAACTCTCCCTCCTCTATCTCTCCTCTGTTGCACATATATACATGCATGCCCCAGTTCTAGCATTAAAAGTTAGCAGGGATTTCAAGAGTTCCTCCTCTACATGCACGCACATGGCTTGCTTATAGTCTTCTGACTCCTGTTCATTAATTTGATGTGCATTTTGTTGCCTGCTCGGTTTTCTTTCTTGATTCTAGTCATGCTCTTATCCCTGCTATTGTTGAGAATGACAACTTCCAGAATTCTGTCTTAATTTAGTCATGTCACAATTATAGCACCCACCTCACTTTCCACTTCAGCTACTCTGCAGCCTGGGTTAGGCACCACTGTTGACACTTGTGGTTCTTCCTCTGACATGACATATTGACAGGCCCTATACCCCTGGCCATCCAGAGTTCCATGGTTAAGTATGGTGTAATGCTCTGATAGAGAATGAATGAAGCTGGACAAGATGCCATAATGCAGTTTCACTAGTGGAGAGAGCCACCTCTCATCAGAGGCTTCTGCCTTCACAGAATATTGATGAGGTCCCCGCCACAGTGTCCTTGCCATAGGAACTGATAAGGGTGAGGGAAAAGATAAGTGGAGAGAAAAGTGTACGCGAAATAAAATCTAGTTGACCACAAATCATTGACATGTTATTCCTCGTGTCCTAATTACCTTCGGATGTTTTCCTTGTCCTTTAAGGTTTTATCTATCATTAAAAAATGAATTGTCTCACTTGTAGAGAACTGTGAAAGCTAATTAAAAATGAAACCAAAAGCCACAGATGTAATTATTACACAATGAGATAAGGATAACATTATCTGATGCCATTTCATATACCAAAAGTGCATTTTAATTAGAACCCCAGGTGGTAACTAAGAAATCAGGTATAAAGACATTTTATCTTTACTACCTATTTGCAAAATAATTGTGCATCACAATTATTGTTTGAGGATATACACCAGATTTCTGGAAAATGTTCCCTAAAAGGAGGACTGTTCTTGATCTTGGCCCATACAACACAAATAAATAAACATAATTCTTTATCAAGACCAATGTGTTGAATCTGATATTGCAGGCATACAAGATTTAGGACCATTTGAAACTTGTAATCATTTTGTGTCAAAAGATTAGATTCATTCTTAGTTCTCTAAAGCATAAATATGACATGTATCTGTAATGGCAATGAAATAAATATTTTAAAACATCTACTTTTGTCTTTACATATAATTTATAATGCTATTTTATGACTCTCTGTGTGTGCATATAAAATACACAGTTCATTTGAGTGCAATATAGCAAAATAACAGTAATATACTTGTACATATTGTGTACAGGTTGAAATGGTACTGAGGAATTGGGAAAGCTTTCTAGTAAGTAATTCCTAGAAGACCCTTTCTAGAGTCAAAGTCATGTGCCGTCTCCATTTTGTGGATGGGAAATGGAGAGTGCAAAAGTGTCAATAGGGTAGAAGGTAATGGCACATGTATACCTATGTACCAAACCTGCACGTTCAGCACATGTATCCCAGAACTTAAAGTAAAACAAACAAACAAACAAACAAAAAACGCAGAGGCAGAATTTAATTTTATCTGTACATAAGAGAACAGGTAATCATGAAAAAGCATTCTGGTTTTCCAAATTTCACTGAATTATAATCAAATAAAATTCTTGAAACTATAAAAAGCAAAAGAAGGCAAGCAGGAGTGTTTATCTCCTTTAACATCCATTGCTTGCCCAAGGCTAGTGGGAATGCTGTGTTAAGCATCACCCCTTGGTCCAGGGTAAGTGTGTCATGGAGGTAGTGGGTGATCAGTGTCTGCCATGGCCATAGGGGTGCTGTGGAGGGTGGTGATGAGGTGCATGTAATCAATTTCCTGGTTTTGCCAAATAAAAACCCTCAGTTGGAATCTACATTTCTGTGTTCTAACTTTAGTTACCTGTACCCCTTTTCCCCAGTGGCTAAATTGCTGTGTGACTTTGGGCAAGCTCTGTAACTACCCTGAATCACAGCTTCTCTGTCTTTCAGATAGGAACAATGATACAACTCAGTTCTCTTTGGGTAGCGCCAGAATAATCAGTCTGAAATTATTGGTCAAAACCTCAGATTAAAAAATGGACACAGTTAATATGTGTTCTGTCTTCTTTTCTTCATTCAATGTAGCATTTAGGTAACTCAAGACCAGGGACCCAAGAGAAAGGACAGAAAGCACAACTGGAATCAGTTTTGCAGCTTATTTATAATTCTCATTTAAAAACAAATTAAATAAAACATACCTCTAAATAAAGATAAGAATAAAGATGAACTTTGCTCAGAAAAATATTTATTCACCTCTACTGTTATAGACTGAATGTTTGTGTTCCCCCAGAATTTATATGTTGCAGCCTTAATACTTCACGTGATGGTATTTGGAGGAGGTAGATTTAGATGAGATCCTAAGGATGGGGCCCCCATACTAGAATTAGTGTCCTTATAAGAAGAGGAGGAGACTGGAGCTCTCTCTCCACCCTGTGAGGACACAATGAGAAGGGGGCCGTCTGCAAGCCAGGAAGATGAGGCCCTCCCTCGCCAGAACCCAACCATGCTGTCACCTTGGTTTTGGGCTTCCTGGCATTCAGAACTGTGAGAAATAAATGTTGTTTAAGCTACCCCGTCTTTGGTATTTTTCTGTAGTAGCCTGAGAAGACTAAGACACCTACTATATGCCAGGCTTTGTTATAAATATTTGAACTGCTACAATGAACACAGAAATTCCTGTTCTTGTGCAATTTACATTCTACTATGGATAGATAAACAATACACAAATACATAACATGATAAATACATTAATAGATAAACAAATCCATAGATATATACAATTATAGCAATAAAGTAGTGAAGTGACATTTAAAATGTCAGATGGTAATAAATGCTATGAAGTATAAGTCAGCAGGACTGGAGAGACAGCAGGTACTGGTAGGGAGGATGCTATTTCAGATAAGAAGATTGGAGGAGTCTCTGATGGCTTGACATATGATCACAGATCTGAAAGAAGTGAGGGGGTTGACCATGTAGCTCTCTTGGAGAACACTGTTCCAGGTACAGGTATAGAAAATGCCAAGATTGTGTTCCCTGGGTTCAAGGAACAGGAAGGGAGGCAGTATGGCTTTTCCACTTCTGCAAGCTTTTCCATTAAAGTGCATTCTTGAGGTGTAGCCCATGTATTTCAGGGGCCCAGAAAAATCATACACTGGTGCTTATGGTCATGTCCTCATGTAGGAAATCAGAACTCTTTTGTTACCATTGTCAGTTAATTTTCCATGTTTGCCATTATAGATACATATTTAGACTGCGGTGGTGTTACTCTTGCCCTGTAAGTAAATAAATATAATTTATTATTCTTGCAGGGAATAATTTTTTTACTGTTTCAGAGTCTAATTTGTTGCAGCAGTAGAAACAAACAGAAACATTGCTTAAAAGGTGCAATCTGCCAAACAATGGACGTGTCTCTGACTTATCCAGGGCAGTTTCTCCAGCAGGAGTGTGGAAACTGCATTGTAGTCATCCCTCTACCTCTTCATTTCCCTCCCTCTCCTGCTCTTCCTGGACAGTGCTTCTAGCTCATCCTCTTCAATGCCAAGAGAAGCCACTCTTTGCTGTGTTCCTACTGTGTGCTAGGGAGTGTTCTGCATATAGTCTATGCACATTTGCTCAGTTTTCTCAGTCCCTGCAGGGGTGCAATTTTAGGAAATATCAAATAAGACTGACAAAATTAGGTGAAATAAAGCATATAAGGTGTTTAGCACAGTGCCTGGTACATGATGTTTTTTCTTTGAGTGGTAGCAATTGTTATCACTAGTTATCTTGTTTAGTCCTCCTAAAGAAATCCATGGAAGGGGCATTGTAATTCTCAACTTATGGGCCCAGGGAGTTCAAGTAACTTCTCCAAGGCCACTCGGTGAGTTTCAGTCTAAGTTCAGCTTTAAATCTCAGTCTGTCTATGCGGAAGCCTGTGCTCTTTTTCTTATTCTGTTGCCACTCTGCCCTCCATTTTCCTTCCATGTATAAAATGGGAATAAGATTCATATACAAGGCCTTACATCTATATATCTACATATGTACATGAATATATGTCGCAGGGGTGTTTTGAAGATTAAATGTTTTCTATATGTAATTGAGATGGTAGTATTCAAATACAAATTAAGACATTATCTAGATATCTCAATATCTGATATTATTAAGATATCTGTATCAGAAGACACAATGAAATAGAATTAAAAACAGTGAAGAGTGCCAGTCAGTCAATAGTTGTGATGAGGCACTAACAAGCTTGTGGGTATTCAGAGAAGAAAATGATCCTGATGGGCTGATGTAGGTGGAAAAGCAAGCCAGGGAATGTGCTAGGAGGAGCAGAGTGCAGGCAGGACATCGCAGGTAAAGAGCAGCACCCCACCTGTGCAAAGACCGGAAGGATGTGTGTGTGTGTGTGTGTGTGTGTGTGTGATTGCATGGGACAGGGAGGGGACAGCACTGTGTACAGGCTTCATAGGCAGAAAGAGGGGGATGCAGCCTGAGGTCTTTTAAGATTTGATTTTGGTACGTGAGGTCTTGTTCCTGTGTACGGGGCCTCAGTCAGGCATGTTAAGTAGAAGATGGACGGGTGAATAAGATCATGTGGGATAGAACCACATAGGGGTCCTGAAGCAACATGTGCTGTGCAAATCTTATACATGCCTGTATTAGCCAGGGTTCTCTGGAGAAACAGAACTGATAGAATATATATAGATACATAGAAGGGGATTTATTACAGGAATTGGCTCACACAATTTTGGAGGCTGAGAAGTCCTGCAATCTGCTATCTGCAAGTTGGAGACCATGGAAAGCTGGTGATGCAATTTCCAGTCTAAACACGAAGGTCTGAGATCCAGGGAGTCAATGGTGCATGTCCCAGTCCAAGTCTGAAACCCTGAGGACTGGGGGTGGAACAGTGGGAGGAGATAGTGTGAATCCTGGTCAGAGTCTGAAGGCCTAAGAAGGAGGAGCACTGATGTCCTAGGGCAGGAGAGATGCACACCCCAGCTCAAGGAGGAAAAAATTCACTCTCCTTCCTTTTTTTTTTTTTTTTTTTTCATTCTATTTGGGCTCCTCAGTGAATTGGCTGATTGATACCCATCCACACTGGTGAGGGCAACTTTATTTACTTAGTCTACATTTGAAGGGTGAAGTGAAGCTTCTCCTTTTCTCTGCCCTGCTTTCTTCCTCTCCCCTCCTCTCCTCTTTTCTCTTCTCTTCTCATATCTGACTCTCTTTTATTCCTCTTTTTCTTTCTTCTTTCCTGCCCAGCTGACAAGGTAAGTAAGGACGGGAATGTCCTTCTGTTTAGAAGGTATACATGGGCCACAGTGGACTGAGAAGTGTCACCTCGGGTATTTCCAGATGCTTCTACGCCATTGTTTTCCCCAGTTATCCAAAAAGGAATTCCAGATCCAATGGAACCATTTCAGGATCACTTTCAAAGTCAAGCCAGAACCAAGATGGGAGTGGCATGGGATGCTGATGCTCTGCCTGCATTCTGTCAGAACCAACATTTCCATGCACAATGGCCAAATTTCTGATGACCAGTACCTGCATCTTCATGAGGAGACTGTCAGGCTGCTGGAGCCCACTGTGCTCACCCCATGATGGGGGCCTGACATCTGGGATGGGGGCAAAAATCATTGACTGCTGGGTGTGAGTATAAGCAGCTCAGCCTCCTCATCCCCCAGATGGAATATTTCTGATGCACGTGTTGCACACAATTTCCCATGTATCCTCTGGGCATGAAGCTACAGCTGTCTACTGTGGTCACTGACTGAACAATGCACTCCTTATTGGCTTCATTCTTCATCTGTCCCTTTTCCATTCCCCTGCCAGGTCTCTGCACTTCCAAACTAAACTCACACCATTGGTCCTCTTCTCAGGCCTTGCTTCTGTGGGCATCCCACCTAGAAAAAGGGGTAGGATGTTAATGGCAGTCTCTTTAGATCTGCCTCTGACATACACAAAAGTCTTCTCTGTTATTGCAGGATCCAGCTAAGCTCACTAGGTAGGAAACAAAATAGAAATGTGAAATCAAAAATCTAAATGCAGTTATAAAGAAAGTCTCTTGTGCATACCTCTCTTAGAAGCAGCAGTGATTTGAAAGGAGAAACTGGCTGATTACTTAGTGCTTTAAATAAGGGGTCAGCAAATGTATTTATAAGGGCAAGATAGTAAATACTTGAAGCTTCGCAGGCCAGACAATCTCCGTTGCAACTACTTAATTCTACCGCTGTAGTGAAAAGGAGGCAATCATAGGCAATATGTAAAATGACGAGTGGGGTTATTTTCCAGCAGAACTTTACTGACAGAAACAGAAGCCCAGATTTGGCCTGCCCCTGGTTTAGATCCTGCCTATCTTCGTCTATTTAATAAAGTGTTCACCTTGCATTTAATTTCACATGCTTCGTCCTTTGCCTTTCCCTCCCTGTCTCTACCATCCTTCCCACACATTTGTGTTTTCTGCTTGTACTTAAAGGTGCAGCCCAGGGTTTCTTCCTCTGGAAATTCCTCCTTGACCCTCAAGCCTGGGTTAGGGGCTTCTCATCCATTTTCTCCTATTACCCAGTGCTTACCTCTGTCTTGGTACTTACAGCCCAATTGATTATCTTTACATTTGCACATTTTTTAGTGAGCGGCCTTTCAGTTGTGACAGAAATCTATCTCAAAGTTGTTTCAATACCAAAAAAGTTTTTTCTTAAGTTTGCATTTACTGGCTTTATGATTAAATTGCAAATATAAACCTAAAGCACTTTTAACTTTTCCAAAATCTGTTAACAGTCTTGCTTTACTGCAGCCCCTTTCCTCATGGGCATAATGACACATGTCCCTGTTTGCCTGGGAGTGTTCTGGTTTACATCTTTTGTCCTCAAGCAATTATGAATAGTGCCCCCTTTGACTCTCATTAGTGCCCTGGAATTTGCAATAAATTATATGATCACCTACTTAATGACATGCTAGTCATATTTTCTAACTTCTTTGTCACTTTCAAGGACAAAGAGTTAGTTGTCTCCATTCATAAACTCATATCTCTTATTTTACCCCAGGTCCCCATTCAGGGGAGTCTGTGGCAACTTTCCATATGCTCATTCCCCTGCTCTGTCCTTGCTTCTCTGAATTTAGGAATGGGAAGGAAAGAGACAGGAAAAAAAGGTATTTCCTTTTATGGTTTTTCCTAGTTGTTTTTTCATGACCTTTTGGACTTGATTTTATTATTCTGGCTTGTAGTCCCTTCTGTGTCACAGGAGCATAAACACTGGCTGTCTTGTGGGGACATATATGGATTATATTTTTGGGAAGATCTCAAGGGGACCCATCTTGTATAGTCAGCTTCCTTGCAAGAGGCCTGGTTGAGGCTCAACCTCTTCCCACTTCCCACCTTCATGGGTGGTCAAGCCCACAGCCTCTGGCTGCTGGGGCTCTCTAGACTGTCATGCAGCTCTCTTGGAAGACACTGGTAAGATGGTTTGAGATGGTTTAAGACAACTTCTGTTGTAGCAGCTCTGCCTGTGGAAATGTCATCTCTTCCTGCCAAATGGAGGTAGTGAGGGTTCACCTTGGCTTTTCTTTCTTGGCCTTTTGGGTCTTTTCCTTTTGTTACAGATCAGCAGCAATGTTCTCTCTGTTGGTTCAGAAGACCAGAAACTCATACAACAGATCATCACCAGTTCCTAAGTGGTGGAGTAGTGATGGTGGTGGGAACAGCATGTTTTGTACAACTCTATCTTATAGGAAGAAAGGGGGCTGAAATTAGTTGAAAATTATCTTTAATGTTGGGGGTAGAAATATGAAATCGTTGTTTTTTCATAATCTCTCTCTTCCAAGAGACAAATTTCCTTTTCTGTACCTAGTCGCTCCCTGGCATCTTGAAGAAAGTGGAAAGGTACATTAAAGGGGGATATAGTACACCCCAGGGCTTCCAGGGGGCTGTAGGGGAACTTAGCATTTTTTCGTTCTGTCTTCTCACATTTGTCTCTTCACAATTGCTCCTTACAGTTGGTTCTATCACAATTCATGGAAAATGGGAACATCTCTCACTTGACACTTCATACTACCATGTCACACTTTCAAAGCACTAACAGGCCACTGTGGAGCTGGCCTCACACAAGAGTGTGCTGGCTTCGGGACTCACTATGTCCCCACCCTTCAGTTCTTCTCCTTTTGCACTGGTCTTATTCTGTTCTAGGTCCCAGGAGCTTTTTCCATGTTGTGGAAGAGAAGGCACATGACTAATGACTGTCCCAGGTTTATATTATTTGCAGTTGCAGTTCCCAACCTAGAGGAGAACAACCTTCACTCTTATTTAATACCTATAGACCCCAGGGAATATTTATGACTGGTCCTGCTTAGATCATATATCCATGCTTTGGCCGAATACTGTGGCTAGGGTGATGAAGTGCTTGACTAGCTGGACTGAAGCTACGTGTTTATTTCTGTGATAGGAGTGGGGAGGAGACAATGTGACTGGAAGCTTCCCACCCCCACCAGGAATCATGTGGAGTTTTAAAATGGGGAAATAGCCATGACCTCAATGACAGGGACAGTGAACTGAAGAGGAACAGAAGAGAGAAAGACAAGTCAGTCCAGTTTAGATCATCTTAGATCAGCCAGTCACTTGCCAATCCACCCACTGATTACAAATCCATGAGTGAGTCTCAGTGGGATCAGTACACCATGCCCAGCTTAATTGTTTTCAATCCACAGAACTGTGAGCTATATAGCTTGTTATTGTTTTGGAATGATTTGTTACTCAGCAAAGGCTAACTAATACAAGTACTGAGGAATAATATTTTATCACTTATTACTTCACAGATGTGCCACCAAATCTTGATGAACATAGAATTTTATTTTTGCTATCACTGAATACACATACACACACATGCACGCAGGCACACACATATGTATATATCACATATTGTTACTGCAAGATCTACCGTTAAGTGTTAAGCTTATGTAGGTTATGGAATAAGGTATCAAGATGGTTACAACTTGAAACATGAGGCAAGAGGCATAATATAATAAAAAATTGGCACCAGAGAAAAAGTGCAGACTTTCTAGAGCTTGCACAGGACGTTTGCTCATTAGTAGAAAAGACAGCATGGTCAGAGCAGTAAGTTCTACTGAAGTATTAACATAGTACTGAAGAATAATCATCACGATAACAGTGCAGATATTGTGGAGATTTTTATAGATCCACAGAGATCTCAGTGACTTTTGAGCCTCAACCAACACCTTGATTTCAGCCTCGTAAGACTCTGAGCAGAGGACCCAGTTAAGCTGTTCCTAGACTCTTCACCCATGGAAATTGTGAAATTAAAAAGTGTATTGTTATAAGTTGCTTATTTTGTGCTAATTTGTGATGCAGCAATTGAAATCTAACACAGGGGAAGAAACACTAGCATGGGGTAAGCTATTAACTATTCCTGAATTAAACTATAACATCTATGGGGGCAGGTGCTGTGTCTATCTATCATGATGGTTAACTTTTTTTTTTTTTAAGATGGAGTCTAGCTCTGTCTCCAGGCTGGAGTACAGTGGTGCGATCTCGGCTCATTGCAACCTCCGCTTCTTGGGTTCAAGCAATTCTCCTGCCTCAGCCCCCTGAGTAACTGGGATTACAGGCACACACCACCATGCCCAGCTAATTTTTCTATTTTTAGTAGAGACGGGGTTTCACTATATTGGCCGGGATGGTCTCAATCTCCTGACCTCATGATCCGCACACTTTGACCTCCCAAAGTGCTGGGATTACACGCATGAGCCACTGCGCCTGGCCCATGATGGTTAACTTTTTGAGCTCTGGGACTGAATGCAGGCCCTGCCACTTATTAGGTGTATGG
Organism: Homo sapiens; assembly: GCF_000001405.40. Lineage (NCBI taxonomy): Eukaryota > Metazoa > Chordata > Mammalia > Primates > Hominidae > Homo > Homo sapiens. Next base: position 126,651,841 of record NC_000008.11, read on the forward strand.
CTTTGAATGCTGTATCTCAGTTTCCTAATCTGTAAAATAGGAATTATAACATTATGGGAATTGAAGGGGAATAAATGTAATAGTCCATACACAATGGTTAGCATCACCTATGATGTATGCACTCTGTAAGCATTAGCTATCATATTCAGCTGAAATCACTATTGAGTTTGTAGCAGGTGACACAGTGCCCATCTTTATAGGCATTCAGTACATATATACAGAAAGCAAGGAATGGATGGTAGACTGAGTAATTTGAGTGGCTGAAGAAATGGATAAATGGTGAATGGCTACCCGAGATATTCCATTCATGTTTCTTTTTCTTTTTTTAGAGACAGGTCTTGCTCTGTCATTCAGGCTGGAGTGCAGTGATGCAATTATGGCTCACTGCAGCCTCAACCTCCTGGGCTCAAGCGATCCTCCCACCTCAGCCTCCCAAGTAGCTGGGACTACAGGAACACACCACCATGCCTGACTGATTTCAAAAGTTTTTGTAGAGTCGGGGTCTCACTATGTTGTCTAGGCTGGTCTCTAATTTCAGGGCTCAAGAAATCCTCCCATCTTGGCCTCCTAAAGTGCTGGGATTACAGGCATGAGCCACTGTGCCAAGCCTCAATTCATATTTCTTTAAAAAGTCACAGCTTTTATAATTTAAGCCTGTAGGTGCCTGTGGGAAAAACAGCCAAAGGAGGGCAGGGCTTGTACAACAGGCTGCTTGCTCTCCGGAAGTCATGACAACAGAAAACTCGTGCTCAGATGCATCACCTGGTGACTCTGACAGGGATCACATCCGGAAATTTCCAGGCTAGGGAAACACTTAGGATTTATCCTTCCTTACTCTCGTCTTCTTTGTTTGCACTAGCTTTGTTCTCTTGCTGAGCCGCTAACTCACTGGCTAAGTGGAAACTCACATTTTCCTTCTTTCTCTTGCCCCCACAGACACCCTTGCCCTTGGCTGCATGAAAAGGATATGCTTGCTGAGCAGCAGGTATAAATTAACTATATGAAATGTAGTTATTTCATCCTGGATGTGATAGGAAGAGGGAGGAACAGAAGGAAGGTTTGCAGTGCTGAGTTAAGACTCTGAGAACGTGATCCAGATAAGAACCAGTGAAGTGATGCCTGTTTAATAAATATTAAGAACTGGTAGGCACTGGAGTCTGGGGATTTCAGGCCATACAGAACAGTTATGGAGCTTTGCAAAATTTTTTTAATGAAGCACAAATTTCCGTCGCTCATGAGAGACCCTAGATGCAGCTGTGGAATGGAGGAAAGGCACAGAGCCTGGGGTCAGAAAGCCTGTGGTGGAATCCTAGCTCCAAGTCCCATCCTCCAGGTGCAGCTGGGCAAATCACCACTCCTCATAATACACTGATATATTGACATGTGGCAAACAGGGTTCTGTGAGAAAATAAAGGCAGAAGTCTGAAGACTTAAAAAGTTGTCTCTCAGTGGATCCGTTCCTCTCTCTGGAACTCAGCTTCCTCAGTGATCAAATTTGGCTGTTGGTCTGAATGAAACTGTTCTCCAAGCAGGTGGCCACTTCAGAGTACAGCAGGGAGAACTCAGGGCTGTTGAGGGGGTCAGACTCTACTTCTCCCAACATTTACAATGGAAGCAGCTGAGTCAGATTTGAATCTATTCTACAGAATAGTCTTCCTGGTGAAATGTATCTTTCAGATTTTGATCTAAAGAAATTAGCCACTCCACTGGTTGATGACCTCATTCCCATCGATTCTCAGTATATCCTCCTACAGTTCCCAGGATTCTTGTGATTTAATCAGGGAGGTAAATGAGAATTTAGGTAGAAGACCAAGGCAGCCACACAGTAGCATCAAGGTCGTGGAAGTTGAAACCAGAAGATTTGAGTTTGAGGTTCTACCTTGCTACTGACCAGACACATTGCCCTTATTGGCTTCTTACCCTCTTGCTTTCAGTTTCTCCCTTGTCTAATGTAATCCCAGCTTCCCATGAGTGCTCAAGGGGTCATGAGATGGTTGTTCACAAGAATGTCCCACACAGTGCCTTGCTCCTGGTCTGCACAGAGAACAGGTGGGATTTGCTGGGATACCACACTTCTTGCTAGCTGTGTTATTAAATACCAATTCCTGGTGGTCTGGGTAGTATAATCTGGTATTTAAAAGCATTCAGAGAGATGCTTGAATGCGGGACAAATACATATATCCCTGCTGTTGCTATGCTGACTTATGCAATACATCAAAGTGTACTCCAACAGCGGTGCCTGTTGAAAAAGAGGAACAGGTAACCTCCCCTGGGCATCAGAGACAGGGGCCTAATGACTTATTTCTTTTCTGCTATTCAGCTGGTTTATGCATTTGTCATTTAGCCTCAGCTCTGTACATGATATTTATCACTGCAATTAAGTTGGGGGCAGAAACATTTAGAATGGCTCTGGCTAAGGAGCCGCCTGAGCTTTGTCGTTTTTATGTTGCAGAAACTGAGCACAAGTGTTTTGTCTTCCTGCTGATCTTGGGCAGGGCAAGACTTGCCATTTGGATGATAAGAGGAAGGCAAGTCTCTGTGATGGTAACAAGAATACACCAAAATAAGAGCTGAAGTCCTCACAATGTTTTTTCTGTACTCACTGTCCAATGAACGAAAGCGGGAAGGAACTCTTCATGATAGTGTTCACCAATTGATCTTCACTGAAGGCCTTCTATGTGTTGGACGCTCACTGTGTCTTCTTAATCCTCTCACCATTCCCATGTGATAGGAAATCGCATTATTCCTGCTTTAGGTGAGTTAGAGGCATCCCAAATAGTCTAAGTTTTTTGTTTATGGCTTAAGGGGTTCAGTGAAGACTTTGGATGTGCTGACAAAGAGCTGAATTTTGTATGGTAATGGGGAGTTGATATGTTGAGGAGAATGAAGAATCTTTAAGTGAAGTACGTGGCCATACTCTGTAACCTTAAAGAGCCAAGCAAATAAAAGGCATCACCAAATAATGTAGTGTTTCAGGGAGAGAACAACATGTTCTATTAAAAGTCCCCAAGATTCAGGAGTTGCTGGTGTCTTGTCCTAGCTCTAGACACAGTGTATTCATTTGTTTTCAACCCCATCACCTTAATCTGCCCCATAAAGAGAACACACCTGGCTCTCCTTCCTGTCAAGGTATGATGTGCTGTGTTCAACTGGTTACGTGACATGAAACGAAAGTGTTATGAAAAGCAGAAAGTGCTGGGTGCAGTGGCTCACACCTGTAATCCAAACACTTTGGGAGATGGGGGCAGAAGGATTGTTTGAGCCCAGGAGTTCGAGACCAGTCTGGGCAACATAGGGAGACTCCCATCTATACAAAAAATATAAAAAATTAGCCAGGTGTGCTGTCTTGTGCATGTAGTCCCAGCTACTTGGGAAGCTGAGGTATGCAGATCACTTGTGCTTGAGAGATTGAGGGTGCAGTGAGCTGTGATCAGTGAGTGAGCAATGAACAACAGAATGAGACCCTGTCTCCAAGAAAAAAAAAAGAGGAAGAATTTACCAGATGCAGCTAATATTTCATCAGTCCTCTCTGTTCACTGGCATTATAAACCTGAATCCATGATTTCACCATTCACAGATCTGTAAAACAAGAGCCTCTTTGGTCTACAGAGTTCTACAATCTTTATGGCTTAGATAGTTGGATGGAAGCTATTTGCAGAACAGTTCTGTCCATTCGGTTCACAAGTTTTTGGTTATAGCCTGCCAAATGTCCCAGGATTGCACTGAGTATGTGTATGGATGAGGAGGTGTGTGGGAAGACAGAAAAAATACGGTAGCATTTAAAAGAAAAAGGGAATCGCTTTCCTGACACCACTGGCTCTTGGTTTCCCTCCTACTTTCCTCACCATTCTTTCTCAGTCTCTCATGCTTCTCTTCCTGCCCACACTTAAGATGTTGCAGCCCTGGGAAGACTTCATCCTTAGACCTTTTCTGTTCTTACTCTAAACTATGGTAATTCTTATTTTGCAAGAGTAGATCTCCATGGAGTACAAGAGAAGAGAACTTTCCTTTTCTTCCAATTGCCCTTTCATATCTGCTCTGTGAGGCTCATTTTCCCCTGATCCTTGAATGAAGTCCAAAGCCATTCTCTCAATTCTGATCACTCTCCAATAGTCAATTGTCCTCTGGTAACTTTTAGTCACAAAAGTCTCATGAGAATAATTAACATGGCCAATAGTAATAATCAGAATTCCATAGATAATTTGAAGTTAAAACTTTAGTAGTGCTGTACCCCTATGAACTTTAATAGGGATAGCACCATGTTTAAGAGGCCAGAGAAGAGACCCAGAGCCAGCAACTGAGATATGGGATTGAATGAGGGAAGCTGCATACAAAGCAGACCAGTAGTGGCAGGCTGGACAGGAGAACTGCAACCGCTTATAAAAACCATGCAACTTACATCACATTTTCACTTAGCACCCTCCCCCTACTAATCTCCACCTTGCAATCTTCGTTTAACCCAAAACAAAGAGCCTCCATCCCCTGGATGGCCTGCGTTCCATGGACTGGGCCAGCAGTTCAGGAGTTCCTCATGTATGAGGAATGAATCTCCGAGTTGGCCACTCCTGGATTCCTTAGCTTGAAATTCTTGAATACACATTACTCTTAGACCATAGGGTCATTCTCAGAGTATGCTTAAGTTATGCTATTGCTTTTAAATGCATCTGCCATATGCGGTCAATTCTTAGGGTATGATTCAGGTTAAGCTATTGCTGTCAGGTGCACCTGCCATACAACTTCTCCCTTCCCCTCAACAAGTTCCTCCTTCAGGGTGGAAGTCAACATTAAGAAAGACTAATCCTCTTTCCTACCTTACTATTAAGCCCTTCTCTCTTCAACACCCATTCACTCCAAGCCTTGTGATCAAGTTTTTTCTCTCTTTTTCTCTCTCTGTCTCTCTCTTTCTTCATCAGAGCTGTGAGAGAAAAGATCAAAGAGAGAGGAAAACTCTTACCTGTATGGTACTGATGCATGCCTGGGCATTGACATTCTCTTCATTTAATCTATGCTCGATGTTGATTTTCTCGTAAGGTATGCCCAGGGTTCCTTGGAAATTCTATCGCCGGGATTGTGCTACTGTACTTCCAGCAGCATGGTGGTACCTCTGGAAGGCCACACATAGTTTCTATCTGAGCTGTTCTGCTGGTCCCTCTCTCCGATTGACATCACATCATCCCTTTGGATGGTCTTCTTAAGGAAGATTTAAGATGATTGTAGGGTGTGCTCTCCCTCTCCCATGTAGCCCTCTTTTGATCCCCAAGAAGCACTCCAGCATCCTCATTCTTACTCTTGATGAAGTGTAGCTAACTCCCTATCCATAATCGTCTGTCTCTGTCCTGGTGCCTCAAGCTGATAACATAGACCCTGACCTTTACATTCCTGCAGTCTGTGTCAGACAGGAGTCGAAGGTGTCCAAAGTGCACCTATTAAACTCTCTGAATAACTTATTTGAAGTTACTTTTACTCTTAAACTAGGAGGGGGTTTCCCCTTCTTTGTTTCCTTTTACTGGGAGGCACACACACACAAATGCGAGAATACTCCAACAACTTTCTCCTAAGGAAATTCTCTCTCGGAGATTTTCAACTTCAATTTTCTTACGCCAGAAAAGGGATATTAGGTTAGAGATTGCAAGCCATCTTCTGAAATTTTCTTTGCAATTCCTGCTTAGGTGATCTATCACCTTGCTTTGGGATATGAGGTTAGTTGGCACCTCATTTCTCAGGGTCTCAGCTGAAATGAGACAGAATGAGTCCTATTTCAAAATCCTACCATACTCTTGCTCCATAAGCTCATCCCTTCCAATGGCTTTTGCTCTCTGGGGTCATGAATACCGTGAAATACACAAAATCAACACTTTTTTAAAATCTAAGGACAGTTCAACCTATGTTAAGGTACACCAAAGATCTCAGATGGGAGTAGTTTTTTGGAAAGAAGCAGCTGTTCAACAAGCTGCCCCTGAGGTACCCTGGCTGAGTTGGTGCTGGGGCACAGAACCCGCTTATACACTGAATCCTCTTCGTAGAGGCAAGGACTGTCTTCTTTTCCTGCAGTCCTAGTTTGTCAGGACATGGAAGTTTTTTTGCAGACCAACAAAGTCCTGTATAGTAGCAGACTTCTGCCTCTCTGAATTGGCTACGGTCAAGGACAAGATTAAATGGACACTAGAATATTAAGGATTTACTCTAATTTCGTTTTAATTGTGATTTAAAATTACATGCAGTATATTCTTCCCTCTGTACCCCATTATTACCCCAACCAATAAAAAAATTAACCATACCTCTTTTTTATGAACTCCAGATCCAAATAGCTTACTCCCTGATGAATAATTTCATCCAGATATTCTGAAGTAACTCAAACTTAACATAAATGAAATGGAAATTATGACTTTCCTTTTTTCCAAAATTTGTTTATTATACCACATGTCTTATTTTTAAAATAGACCTCATTTCCCACACCCCTAAATCCTAAATCCTAACTTTAACATTTTCAGGTAAAATTTTTCCCTCCTACCCCACAACTGATCTGCTGCCCAATTCCAATCAACCTGGCCTTCTAATATGTTGGGAGTCTGTCCCCTTGGGATCCTTGTAACAACTCATTTTACATTCTCATCATTTCCTTTGGAAAACTGCATCAGCATCTTAACTGGCTTCACTGCATTTACTCTCACCTGCCATAACTCATTTTTCACAGAACCAACACTCTAACCACTTTAAATCATGTCTCCCTTACTTAAACTTTTCAAAGGTATTCATCGCCTAGAGTGATGGTCTCTAAGATAGAGGGTGGACATCCCAGGCAAGCAAAAGATGATTCTTGGGCAGTATGAGAAGAAAATATCATAGCTTTTATTTATATATTGTTTTTATCTTTTAGGAAAAAAATAAATTAAGCTTTATTTATTCTATGGCTTGACTTTGGGGAAGTCCTCACCTAGAAGGTGGGTCAATCCCCATGTGCTCAGGAATGAGAAATGGGAATTCCACAACATGGACGTCTTGACAGTGACCTACTCATTCCCTGGTTTTCAGCATTCTGCAGCTCATTATAGTTTATATGTGAAGTTATGTAGTTCATAGCCCCTTGTTAAAAAGACTTATGAGATTATTTGAGTTATTTTGAGATTTTATGAGTTATTTTAAATGGTGTGAGGCCGGGTAAGGTGGCTTGTGCCTGTAATTCCAGCACTTTGGGAGGCTGAGGCAGGCAGATCACCTGAAGTAAGGAGTTCGAGTCTGGCCTGGCCAACATGGTGAAACCCTGTCTCTACTAAAAATACAAAAATTAGTCGGGCGTGATGGCGCACACCTGTAATTCCAGCTACTTGGGAGGCTGAGGCAGGAGAATCACTTGAACTCAGGAGGCAGAAGTTGCAGTGAGCCAAGATTGTACCACTGCACTCCAGCCTGGGTGGCAGAGCGAGACTCTGTCTAAAAAAATACATAAATAAATAAATAAATAAATAAAATAATAAATGGTGTGATCTCTACAATATTACATTGAGAGATAAGCAATTTTTATAGCACAGATGTTATACATTTTCTATAGCAAAGAATTGAAAAGTATTGCGAAACCTGAAGATGGGTTACACGTTGCATTAGTCTGTTCAGGCTGCCATAACACAGTTCCTCAGACTGAATGGCTTCAACAACAGCAATTTATTTTCTCACAATTCTGGCAGCTAGAAGCCTGAGATCAAGGTGTTGAAAGGTTAGTTTTTTTTTTTCCTGATGCCTCTCCCTAGGTTTACAGGTGGCCACCTCCTCCCTGTGTCCTCACATGGCCTTTCCCTGTATATGCCTCCCTACTATCTGTTTAAATTCATGGAAGTACTCTAGTCATATTGGATTAAGGACTCGCCCTAACAGCCTCATTTTAACGTGATCACCTGTTTAAAGATCTTATCTCGAAATTTAAGATTATAATCTGAGGGCCTGGGGGTTGGGACTTTAAGATATGAATTTTAGGGAGATGCATTCCAGCCATAACACTTTTTTTTTGGAAAATCATTGGCCTTTTTATGATGAAATGTGGTGGTCAAAATAGGCTGGCACAGTGACTTCTGACTGTAATCCCAGCACTTGGGGAGGCCCTGGAGGGTGGATCACTTGAGAGCAGGAGTTGGAGACCACCTGGCCAACATGGTGAAACCCCGTCTCTACAAAAAATATAAAAATTAGCCAGTTGTGGTGGCATGCACCTGTAGTCCCAGCTGCCTGGGAGGCTGCGGCAGGAGTATCACTTGAACCCGGGATGCAGAGGTTGCAATGAGCCAAGATGGTGCCGTTGCACTCCAGCCTGGGCGACAGAGTGAGTGAGACTCCTTCTCAAAAAAAAAAAAAAAATTATTCTACCTGCCATATATTTTGAAAAAAAATTGAATACTACACTTAAACTGTACACCAAAGATCTGTTTCTCCGGGGTAAATGTGATGGTTTAAGAATGAGTAAAAAAAATAACTGTTTGTCAAATAAAACCTGTGCTCTGGAAAGAACATTTAAAAATGGGTGTCTAAAAATATTTTCAGTGTTAAATGATTCAGCCTTTCAAAAATGAATTAAGAGTGAGATCTCCCCCATGACACAAGTTTGCCTATGTAACAAACCTGCACTTATACCCCTGAACTTAAAATAAAAGTTAGCAACAAACAAACAAATAACAACAAAAAGAGTGAGAACTATGGTAACTCTCACATCTGCATTTATAACACTGGGTGTCATGCTAGACCCCTACTGAGTCCAGTAGGGATGGCATTATGTCCAGGAGGCTGAAGAAGAGGCTTGGAGACAATGAATGAGACGTAGGCTTCACTGGGGGACATACACACAGGGATAGTCCAGTGGCAGTGGGCTGGACAGGAAAGCCACTACTGTTTATAAGTAGTATGTCATTTATATAGCATTTTTACCGAGCATCTTACTCCTAGAAACCTCTACCTAGTACCCTCCATTTAAACCCAAACAAAAGGGCCCCTGGATGGGTATAGGCCAGGGATTCAGACATCCTTCGTAGATAAGGAGTGAATCTCCAGGTTGGCCACTCCCAGATTCCTTAGCTCAGGATTCCAAACACACATTCTTCTTAGACCCATAGGATCATTCTCAGGATATGCTGAAGTTATTGCTGTCAGGTGCACCTGCTATACACTGGGAAACAGAATTTTTAACCCATTTAAAAAGCTTTTAAATAAAAATATTATAGTGGGATATAAACCCATTTGATTACACACGCAGGCACGCACAGAGTTTATACATAAAAACACAACATATTCATATCAGTTCACAATAAAACTAACATCAGAGAAGACAGTTTTTAAATCAAAGACATTCTACATCATGGTGGTGGAATTGAAAGATAACCATTAGAATTTCATATTTGGACCAGCTTACCCCTATGAAGAGTATTTTTGCAGCTATAGCATCCATTAAAACCAAGCATCAAAATGAACTAAACTTAGAATCAGACACGTAAATTACTGTATAACAGAAAATTAAATCAAGATTTTTAAAAAGACACATATTTGTTTTCATTTGTTAGTGGATAATTTTCAAAAAGATGAAATTGTGACTATCAGACATATGTAAAATGAATATTTGTCATTAAATCTAGTTTATTAATTAATGAGAGAACTGTAAGATGACTAATCTAGTTCAAAGGAAAATCTGAAGAGTAGACATATTTATAGGCAATCAGGAATCCTAAAATTAATTTGCTAATAGCTGCAAAACTGGTTGATGTCATGTAGGGCAACAAACTGTGTGTTTCTACAGGGCAGAAATCAATTGTATCTCTACTGCAGAAAATCCGTTTGCATTTCTGTGGACAAAAATAATTTGCATTATCATCAGTTTCTTACAGTTTACAGAGTTGTAGAATAGCCTAGTCAAAGATAATCAAAGGCATGAAGCTCTATAGAATCAAATTGCCCTGAAGGGTTTGCTAGCTAATGCTCAGCTTTCTGCTGTAAGGAAACCTACTAATCATTTGCACATTTGAGTCTTTTACAATTTTGATGTTGTACTCTCACAAATATATTAGTTAATAGTACTAATTTTAGTGATATAACCAAAGATTTTGGTGTATTATTAAGTAAATTTAAAGTTATTTTAAAGTGTTTTTCATTTCATTGCTATTTTCTAACTTTTACATTTACATTTCTGTCTATGCTTTTTAATATACACAAAACAGTGGAACTTGCAAATTTAGTATTGTTTGAGATAGACTCACATTGTCACCCAGGCTGGAGTGCAGTGGTGTGATCACAGTTCAGAGCATCCTTGAGCTCCTGGGCTCAAGCGTTCCTGCCATCTCAGCCTCCCAAGTAGCTAGAACTACAGGCACGCACCACAGTGCTCAGCTAATTTTTAAATTTTTTTGCAGGAATGAGGTTTCACTATGTTGACCAGGCTGGTCTTAAACTCCTGGGCTCAAACAATCCTGCTGCCTTGGGTTCCCAAAGTGCTGGGATTACAGGCATGAGCTACTGTGCCCAGCATTGTAGGTACTTCATACAAAAGAGCATATATGTGTGGGTGTATATATACATACATATATATATACACATGTATATATTGGACACTAGTAATTTAAAAAACAATTTACTAATAAAGATGTACTGTCATAACATTTGGAGATCACCACTCCAGAGGATGCAGATCCGAGTTCTCAATATCTACAGAGACTCAATCTCTTGGCAGGAGTTTGAAACCTCTGCTTCCCTTGTCAACTATGAAGACTCTATCCCATGCTATCGGCTGGGCTCTTATTCTAAAATGGTAAGCATGTACAAAAAGAAATCTAGATGTGTGCTTAAATCTTGACAAAAATTAACTCGAATGGATCACAGACTTAAATGTAAAATGCAAAACTATGAAACTCCTACAAGATAACATAGGAGACAATCTAGATGACCATGGGTTTGACAATGATTTTTTTAGCTATGACACCAAAGGCATGATCCATGAAAGAGATAATCGATGGCTGAACTTTATTAGAATTAAAATGTTCTGCTCTGCAAAAGACACTGTCAAGAGAATGAAAAGGCAAGCCACAGACTGGGAAACAATATTTTCAAAATACATATGTGATAGACGATGTTACTTAAAATATACAAAGAACTCTTAAACATAATAAAAAAAACCCCAATTAAAAAACAGGCCAAAGACCTGAACAGACACCTCACTAAAGAAGATATACAGATGGAAATCAGCAAATGAAGAGATGCTTCACATTGTATGTTATCAGGGCAATGCACATTAAAACAAAAATACGATATCACTATACACTTAGAATGGCCCAAATCCAGAACACTAACAACACCGAATGCTGGTGAGGATGTGGAGCACCAGGAATTCTCGTTCATTGCTGATGGAAATACAAAATGGTGTAGCCATTTTGGAAGATGGCTTGGCAGTTTCTTATAAAACTAAACATACTATGACCATGTGATCTGGCAATCACACTCCTTGGTATTTGCCCAAAATAGTTCAAAAAGTATGTCTACACAAAAACCTGCATATGGCTGTTAATAGCAGCTTTATTTCAAATTCTCAAAACTTGGAAGCAATTGAGATGTCCTTTAGTGGGTCAATTAATAAATAAACTGTGGTATATCCAGACAATGAAATATTATTCAACACTAAGGGGAAATGAACTATCAAACCATGAAATGACATGGAGGAAACAAATGTCTATTACTCCATGAAAGAAGCCCATCTGAGAAGGTTACATACTATATGATTGCATTATATGACATTCTGAAGAAAGCAAAACTGTGGGGGCAGTGAGATCAGTGGTTTCCCGGTGTTGGTGGGGAGGGAGGGATGAATAAGTAGAGCACAGACAATTTTTAGGGCAGTGAAAATACTCCATATGATACTGTAAGTGTGGATACAACATAGATTTGTCCAAATGCATAGAATGTAAACCCTAATGTACATTTTGTATTTTGTATGATAATGATGTGTCAATGTAAGTTAATTAATTGTAGCAAATGTACCACTGTGGTGGGGATTGTTGATTCTGGGGAAGAATAGGTATGTGTGTGTGGAGGGACCATATGGGAAATCTCTACCTTTCCCTCAATCTTCCTTTAGGTTAGATTTAAGCTTAAATCCAATCTTAAAAAATGAAGTCCTCAGCCGGGCATGGTGGCTCATGCCTGCAATCCCAGCACTTTGGGAGGCTGAGGCGGGTGGATCATTTGAGGTCAGGAGTTAGAGACCAGCCTGGCCAACATGGTGAAACCCCGTCTCTACTAAAAATACAAAAATTAGACAGACAGTAGTGGTGTAGGCCTGTAGTCCCAGCTACTTGGGAGGCTAAGGCAGGAGAATCGCTTGAGCCTGGGAGGTGGAGGTTGCAGTGAGCCGAGATGGTGCCGCTGCACTCCAGTCTGGGCGACAGAGTGAGGCCCTGTCTCAAAAAAAAAAAAAGATTTAAAAAAAAAGTCCTTGAAAAAATTTTAAAAAATTAATCCCATGTATCTTTAATTCAAGAATGATGATTAAACTAGAATGTTTTATATTTTGAAAGAAGAAAAAATAGTTAGCCTGCCCAAGAACCACACCGTAGTCACCAGCTGTGAAACTGGTTCCCAAAAAAAACTGGAAAAAAGGCTGGCTACATTAAAAGGGTTTGACTAAATTTACTGGAGAAGAGAAAGCAAAGGAAGGATGTTAATGAGGTTTCTGGAGTCTGGATAAATGCACGTAATTATATGCAGGGGCTTTATTGATTTGGGAATGTAGGTGACATAATTCTTCAGGGTTGGTGGTCAGAGCTGGGTGGAGGTTTCAAAGTAAATCTTGAAGGGTCAGTTGCTTGATGTTATTTATAGCCCCAAGAAGGTGATCTATTGTAAGAATAAATTGAGCAACTCAAGTGTCAAATTAATAGGTTTTCAGAGAATTCCTTATATTAGTTTCCTCAGGTTGCTGTAATAAACTCCCACAAACCTGGTGGCTTAAATCAACAGGAGTTTATTTTCTCATAGTTCTGAAGGCCAGAGGGGCTGAAATCTGGGTGTTGGCAGGGCTGCACTCCTCCCACTTTCTAAGGGAGAATCTGCTCCTGCCTCTTATCTTCTTGTGGCTGTCGGCATCCCTTGGCTTGTGGCCGCATCTTTCTCCACTCTGTCATCACCTCACCTTCTCTTTTGTGTGTGTGTCTCCTCTAAACAACCTTTCTCTCTGTTTTATAAGGATACTTGGGATTGCAATTAGGTCCACACAGCTAATCTAGGATTAACCTCTCCTCTCAAAATGCTTAATTTTATCCTATCTTTTGCCCTGTAAGTTATTATCCACTCTTTTGCCATACAAAGGAATATTTACAGGTTCCAAAGATTTGACACGGACATCTTTTGGGAGATGTTTCCAGTTGAATATCTATGTCTATCCGGAAACTCAGAATGTGGTCTTATTTGGAAATAGGATCTTTGCAGATGGAATTAGTTAAAATGAGGTCATACTGGATTAGGGAGGGCTGGAATTCAGTGACTGGTGTCCTTATAAGAAGAGAAAACATCCCAGCACTTTGGGAGGCTGAGGTGGGAGGATTGCTTGAGCCCAGGAGTTCAAGACCAGCCCCGGCAACATGGCAAAACCCTGACTCTACTAAAAATACAAAAAAATTTAGCCAGGCATGGTGGTGTGCGCCTGTGGTCCCAACTACAGGGAGGCTGAGGTGGGAGGATCACTTGCGCCTGGGAGGTTGAGGATACAGTGAGCCGTGATTGTGCCATTGCACTCCAGCCTGGGCAACCCAGTGAAACCCTGTCAAAAAAAAAAAAAAAAAAAAAAAAGGAAAGAAAACAGAGACACAGAAACACACAGGGAAAACATCCTTTCATGGTGACAACAGATTGGAGTGATACACCTGCAAGCCAACAGCTGCTAAGGCATGCTGGAAGCCACCAGAAGCCAGGAAGAGGAAAGAAAGAGTCTTCCACTAGAGCCGTCAGAGAGACCAGGGCCTGCCCACACCTTGATTTTGGACTTCTGGACTTCAGAGCTGTGGGAAAATAGATTTATGTTTTACTAAACCACCCAGTTTGTGGTAATTACGGCAGCCCTAGGAAGCTAATACAGGAAGGCATTTCTTGACTTACTACATTCATAAAAAACAAATTTCATCGACCTGGGAAACCGTTAGTGGAAAAGTCAAATGATATTAATAGAGAGCTTGGATTTGAAATCCTGAATCTGCATGGCTGACTCTAGTTCTCACCACTCTCATATACAATCTCTATCTCTTGAAGACCATTCTTGCCCCCTAGCAAATCCAGTCTTTTCAGATGACTGAGCCAGCATGACTGGCATTGTAATTTGTTTGATCTGCACCCCACCTGAATTCACCTGAAGCTCTGGTGGGCAGCACCTGTGTTCTCTTCTTCTCTGCTGCCTTCTCTGGCATTTCAAACTTGTTCTGGCACAGGTAGCAGCAACCTGGAAATGCCTATGGGAGTAACTCTTGACTAATGAAGATTAACAGTTAGCAGGTCAATGCCTCAACTTTTTTCCCTAGTGGCTTAATTCTGAGATTTATTTTTTTTCTGAAAAACATTCTGTTTTCCTCATTCCTTCACTTATATTTCTTGTTATCACCTCCTATGTTAGGCCATTTTTGCTTTGCTATAAAGAAATACCAGAGACTGGGTAATTTATAAAGAAAAGAGGTTTAATTGGCTCATTGTTTTTCAGAGTATACAGGAAGCATGGTGCCAGCATGTGCCACTGTTGAGGGCCTCAGGAAACTTACAATCATGGTGGAAGGTGAAGGGGAAGCAGGTGTGTCACACTGTGAGTGTGACAGCAAGAAAGAGAGGAAGGAGGTGCCACTCACTTTTAAACAACCAGATCTCGCATGAACTCAGGGTGAGAACACACTTATTATCATAAGGACAGCACCAAGCTATTCATGAAGGGTTCAATCCCGTGACCCAAACACCTCCCACCAGGCCTCACCTCCAACACTGAAGATTACATTTTTTTTTTTTTTTTGCCCAGGCTGGAGTGCAGTGGCATGATCTCAGCTCAGTACAACCTCTGCCTTCCAGGTTCAAGTGATTCTCCTGCCTCAGCCTTCCGAGTAGCTGGAATTGCAGGTGCCCACCACCATGCCCAGCTAATTTTTTGTATTTTTAATAGAGATGGGTTTTCACCATGTTGGCCAGGCTGGTCTCGAACTCCTGACCTCAGGTGATCCACCCACCTTGGCCTCCCAAAGTGCTGGGATTACAGGCATGAGCCACCGCACCCGGCCTGAAGATTATATTTCAACATGAGATTTGGAGGGGACACATGTCCAAACCATATCACCTCCCAAGTAGACTACACATCCCAAGTGCCTGTCTCAAGGTCTGCATTTGAGGGATCCCTGAGAGACCCAAACAGCATTGGACTCTGCCAGGTCCATCCCTCATTCTGTCTGTGGCCCCTCTTTCTCTTCTCCATAGAATGAGCTGCTGTGGCCTCAACTGCTGTTGCTGTGCCTCCTGGCCTGGCTCCTCATATTCCCCTGGCCCCCTTCACAGCATTTTACAGATATTTTTCACAAATTAAGAAAGAGGCAGCTTCTAAGGAGTCACACCTGTAACACAACCCATGCACCATTTCCCCCTTTCCCTCTGTTGGAGCCAGTCAGGCAGGAAATTACAGAGACTTTCTCATTGGGTAACATTTCCAGCCTCTTGGCTATGCTAGAGTTCATATGATCATATTCCTAGTGGCTGATAAAAAGCTCTGTTTTTCAGCTTGCTTCAGTCCTTTTTTCCACATTCACCTTAAAGCCAAAAAATATATAGCAAATATAGCTGGGTTGAAGAACGTGACAATGCACTAGTTATTCTCTTTCCTCTTCAGATCCACCCTCCTCTATGCCCTGGAGGCTGAGCATGTGTACTGCATTTCCCAGAATGCTTTGCCTTCTGGCATCTGGTTGGTTTCACCCAATGGACCTCCACATGTAGGGGTGGTCACAGCCTTTCCCAGTTGCTATTCCCTGGGTGCTTCACCATTTCTTAATGGTGTTCCCATCTTTGGTACAAGGGATGTTCATAAAATTCTTCTTGGTTAAAACTTTCCGAGTTCCATTTATTTCCTTCCAGAATGCAAATACAATATAAAATTGTACAGACCAGTACAGTATAAAAACCACGCCACTTTCTTGTAATGTTGTCTGAGAAAAATTACTTAGTGTTTGCATCTGTAAAATGGGCATTCTGATACTTCTTTGTCAGGGTCATTGTGAGGGCATGCAATTAATATTGGTTTTACTTCTTTTTCTTCCATTCTGGCTCTCATGAAAGAAGCCACAGCCAAAAGAGGATTAGTAAGCACTGAAATAAGCATATATCTTATCCCCCAACTTACATCACAGCATTGTTTTGTTATGTGTGTTTGTTTTATTTCATGTGAAAACAATTATTTTGTGTTGACTTTGACACTTTCTCTTGTCCTAACACCAACATTTTCAAAAAATACTGACATTTTCAAACAATGAAATTAACTGTTGCCCAGTCTCCTTCTGATTGAGAGCCTGCGTTTATTCAGCCTGGTGCAAATGCCTGAGAAAGCATGCTATTCCAACCAGTGGGAGAGGAGCCCAGTGGGACTGTGTCTGCTGCTCCATTCATTGTAGAAGTTAAAGTGTGTGTCTGTCTATAAAAATAGCTTGCTGGACATAACTTACACCCCAAACCCTATATCTCCATAAATAACCCCTGGCAGTTTCATTACAGCCTGGGGCACCCCAGCTAACACTGACAGCTAACTTAACTCCAATCAATCTTTCTAATGCCTTTCATGGTTTGGTTTCATTAAGACACAAGGCCATCACTCACCCAGTGCCTGCTCGGCCACCATGTTGATTTGTGTCTCCTTATTGTGTGGATGAATATGCATCCCAGAAGACCTGAGATTTCCTCAGGAAGACAGTGCTGCTGAGTGTTCCCTATTTATTGCTTAGTACAAGAATATATATTACCTTTTATTATATGCCCATTAGACAGTAAAATCTGGTGAGGGATTTCTATTGGAGGGTAGTGAGCACAATTACAAATTTGGAAATGACGTGAAATATACCCTTGCAAGGATATTTAGTGATTTATCAAATGCTTTTTTTTCTAGTGACATGGATTAATTCATAGCCTATGTGAGATCATTAGGTTCCCCCTTCCCCTCACACCCTTATTTCTGCTTTTTAGGCTTTGTTTAACTCTTATTTATGCCCCAGTATATAGCCAAGAAAGGGCCAATTTGAATGAAAAAGGGACTGCTCCTAGCTCTCTGGTAAAATCCCAGCAAAACCAGTGCTTCTCTCTCATTTTCTGTGTAGAATTTGAGGCAAATATCCAAGTATTGAGGGAGAGAAGAGAGAGAAGAAATTTAAAAGATGCTTCTCTGACAGAGTAACCAGGAACTACTTCATCTGGCTCAGCACAATTACCTGCAATGTGGTCACCTCAGCCTGCCCCCTACACCGTTCCCTCATAAAATCTGGAGGTGAGAAAAATTGGTAAAGTTAAAGCTTCAACCAAGCAGTTTTCGATTACATAGCTAGAATTTACTCAGCAGATCCTAATGGTTCACACTAACCTTGGCAGGGTCTCAGTGGCCATATTTTCACAGTTGACTTATTTTTGAATAATTTCTGCAACAAATTAGATATGGAAAGCTTTTCCTTCAACCTCAGTCATGCATTTTTTTCTCTTTCTTTCTCCTTCCTTCCTTCCTTCCTTTTTTTTTCTTGCTTGCTTGCTTGCTTCCCCCCCCCCCCCTTAACATTATCCCTAAACCCCTCTGGAATTTTTATCATAAAGGCCACAGGAGATGTTACTCGGTGTTTTTGCCTTCAACTGTGTGTCCATAGTGGATTTTAATAGGTAGACTGAAGTAGGTTTAACCAGTGCTCACTCAAGGCATCATTGAGAGGTGGATGGAACTTATCTTTCCAGCTGTGTCCCCTCCCTCTAACTTCTCTCTTAGCTTGTGTCAGCAATAAACTCACCCTTACCTGTCACCTCCATCACTTCCAGATCCCTAGTGACCTTATGCAGTCTACTCGGTTTATTGCTTTCCACTCCAGTCCCTTGCCTCTATGCATCACACACACATAAAACTTGATTCGCATCAGTCTTTATAATCTCCACGACAAAAATGAAACAAATAACAACAACCGCTTCTAGTTAGTCCCTCTGCCTTCTGAATCAATGATTTATGATGTGTGTGTGTGTGTGTGTGTGTGTGTGGTGGATACCTTGGGATGATGGTGGAGAAATAAAATCAGAATCCCTGATAAGGAAGGATAGCTTGAAAGAGTATACTCAGCATTATGATTTTACATTTAGAAAATAGAGGAAAACTCTTTGTTTTCTTATATAAATTACAGAAAGTAAAAAAGGCTTGCCAAAACCTGGACAGACTCCAAGAAAACATTTTATTTTATATAAAAGAATTACAAAGTGCAAAGGTGACTTAGAAACAGCCAGGAAAGAAGGAAAAGTAGTTATTTGCCATTGCACAAAGGAAGGGTGTGGTGTCACACTTCCTCGGAGAAGGGATCAACATTAAGAAGGAGGCTTATAAGGATTTCATTTGTCGATTTCACAAATGGAATCTGCTTAGCTAATAGGTTACACCTGCACTGTAGCCTGTCTGTAATGGAAGTCTGGTAACATTTATTAATAAAGCAGTTTGATGCTGAAGGCTGGAATAACAGAAGTGACGGCAAGTGGGAAACTGGGCCAGTTTTCTGATTTGTGGCTTCAGGGTGTGAGAAGGTTTCTATCACAAGCTTAGAGATGAACAAAATGTCAAACACATGTCTTCTTTCCCTTGGTTTAATATTTCTTGCCCCATGTTGAAATATAAGTATCCTTAGGAGCTGTAGTTCTTTTAGACAAGCCTTAGTCACTATCACCTCAGACTTGACAGGATTCTCTTTCTAAGAGAAAAATTATGTGGCAGAGCAAGGAGAGTGTATTAGGACAGTGAGCAACTGAAAGAGGGAAAAGGAGGTATCATAATTTGCGTTTTAGCACCAGTACTTCCCAGCCTCTTGTATCCTTACCTGTTGCCATCTAACCTAGTGGTTCTTCCCTTAAAAGGGGTACAGTCAGGGGAAAATCTTCATGATGCTGGATTTGGTAATGATTTCTTCGCTATGATACCAAAAGCATAGGCAACAAAAGAAAAAAATAGATAAATTAGACTTCATCAAGGTTAAAAACGCTTGTGTATTAAAGGGCACAATCAACAGAGTGAAAAGTCAACCCATGGAATGGGAGAAAATATTTTCAAATAATGTGTTTGATAAAGATTAATATTCACAATATATAAAGAACTTCAACTGAACCACAACAACAACAAAATGAAAAGTCCCAACTAAAAAATGGGCAAACTATTTCAATAGACCTTACTCCAAAGAAAATATGCAGATGATCGGGGAGCATATAAAATGATGCTCAAAATCATTAATCATTAGAGAAATGAAAATCAAATTCACAATGAGATACCACTTTACACTCACTAGGATGGCTAACATCAAAAAACTGGAAGATAACAAGTGTTGGTGAGGATGCAGAGGAATTAGAACCCTTGGGCATTGCTGTTAAGAATGTAAAATGGTATTCCTGCTCTGGAAATTGATATGATAGTTCTTTAAAAAATTAAATAGAGAAAAAGGGCTTCTGTCATGAGTGGCCTATGTAGGGCAACCAGATTGCTCTTCATGTGGAATTGACATCAAGAGCTTTCAGAAGTGTATTTTTTGGAAGTTGGGCAGCTGGTAATCATTGGTCTTGGCATCCTTATTATTAAAAGAAAAAAATTAAACAGCATTGCCGTATGATCTAGTAATTTCTATTCAGGGTATACACCGCAAAGATTTGAAAACAGATGACTCAAACAGATATGTGTACACTCATGTTCAGGGCAGTATTATTCACAATTGCCAAAAGGTGGAAGCAACTCACATATTTGTTGGCGGATGAATGAATAAGCAAAACATGGTATAAACACACAATGGAATATTATTCATCCCTAAAAAGGAAGGGGATTCTAACACATGCTTCAGCATGGATCGACCTTGAACAAATTATGGTATCGGGGCAAAGAGGATTTTCCTTCCTCTTCCTTCTGAAAGCTTGGTAATTTGAGTCTATAAAACAAACTGACAATAGACAGATTAACAGGAGAAAAGGCATACAAATTATTTATGGGCAAATGTACAGGAACCTCAAAATACAAAACTCAAAGAAGAACCAGATGACTGAGGTATTTATACTGTGCTTATGACTTCAAGACCACTGTGTTCTCATGTCAAGTTTCACTGATGGTTCTGTCAGTAAAAATTTCACCTCAGCTCATAGAATGTTAAATTGAATGAAAACTTAGAGATTACATAGTCCAATTCTGAATGTGAAAACTGAGGTTCCTTCAAAGATGATAACCTCAGGGATGTTTCTCTTGACAGACTCTAAACTAGATGGTTCTAAGAGAATTACAGAATGATGAGTGTTCCTGCCCCTAACCTCTGGGTTTACTAAACAGAACATTTATTCTTGATCCCTGCCTTTTAACTGAGCCACACAAGTCTAGGACCCATAGAAGAGGAAATTTATGGGCCTATGAATCTTCATTTGCTGTTCTGGAGAGCATAATTATGACCTTTGATTTAGACGTTCCCCAGAGATGCAGCTGAGCTGGTGCTAATAGCCCTTAGCTATTCACTGGGACATCATTTCTTCCCATCAGGACATTAATTCCGAGGAATACTTCGGTTCCTCAATTGGCAATTTCCATCACTCATTTCATGACTAGTAATTAATATTCATTAAGAACTCATGGGGCATCTAATCCTCCCCTATATTGTTTAAGTATCTATTGTCAGCAAAAGAGTTAGACTTGGAGCCCAAAGTTCTAGTTTAAGTTTTGGGTCATTTCATTCAAAATTTATTTATAATTCATGCCAATTATTTATCCTAATCACCTGATACACACGTGCACGCGTGCACACACACACACTCCAAGAAACACAAAAACTAGGCCGAGTGCAGTGGCTCACGCCTGTAATCCCAACACTTTGGGAGGCCAAGGTGGGCAGATCACCTGAGGTCAGGAGTTCAAGACCAGCCTGGCCAACATGGCAAAATCCCTTCTCTACTAAAAATACAAAAATTAGCTGGGCATGGTGACACATGCCTGTTATCCCAACTACTCTGGAGGCTGAGTCAGGAGAACCGCTTGAACACAGGAGGTGGAAGTTGGAGTGAGCCGAGATTGCACCACTGCCCTCTAGCCTGGGCAACACAGTGAGACTCTGTCTCAAAAAAAAAAAAAAAAAAGAAAAAAAAGCCAGGTGTACTAGCTCACACCTGTAATCCCAGCACTGTGGGAGACCAAGGCTGGATCACCTGAGGTCAGGAGTTCAAGACCAGCCTCAAGACCAGCCTGGCCAATGTGGTGAAACCCTGCCTCTACTAAAAATATAAAAATTAGCCAGGTGCGGGGGAGGGCACCTGTAATCCCAGCTACTTGGGAGGCTGAGGCAGAAGAATCGCTTGAACCTGGGAGGCAGAGGTTGCAGTGAGCCGAGACCATGCCATTGCACTCTAGCCTGGGCAAAAGGAGCAAAACTCTGTCTCAAAAAAAAAAAAAAAGAAAAAAAAGAAAAAGAAAAACAAAAACAGACTTTTGAAACAAAAGTACTCCATATTTTGGTATTACTTTAGTATTTTCTATTTGAGTCTACTCCACTCGATACTGTTTGAATCTCTTAGACTTCATTTTGTTTTTATTATTGTTTTTAATGGTAGTCAAAATCACTTTAACTGATTTTTAACCTACAGATTGGTAAACACTATACAACTTCACGACAAACAAAGATCAACTCTATATTTGTAAGTGCATTTTAAAAACAGCGTTATGTAATTAATTCCTAGGAACAACTGCTATATATAGGTATATATAGAGAGCTAAATTTTGTTTATTTATCTGCTTTGGGTGTTGGTGGGCTCTGTAGGTGTTTTAATCATCATTTCACGAGTGTGAAAACTCAAGTTTGGAGAAGACCAAAGCCTCATAACTGGCAAGTGGCAGAGGCTGGGTGGAAACCCAGGGCAGCTGACACCACATTTCATACCCTCTCTACTTTTCTATGCCACAGGCATGTCTATAAGTAAGGAGTTACTGTGTCCTAAAACAAAAAACAGGAAGTATTTTGAACAAGAACATTATATTTGATTGTACAAAAAAAATCTAGGTTCTAAGTTCTTCCTGCCTAGGACTCTCATATGCTTTTCTAACTTTAGAGCTTGGTGGTATATCACTGCAGATGGAGATCTATACATTTAATCCAAGAACAGAAGATGAGCTACACTTCGCTCACGTCCTTCCTGGTTAGTAATTTTCTCTGACAGTGGGACCTTGAAACAGCTGTGAGACAGTGTGCTAGTCTCCATGAAGCCTCAGATATTTTTAACACCTAAATTTCAATATTCTTATTTTAGCTTCTATCATTAGGAATACCTCCCCACACTCCTTTATGTCTCTCCAAAGACCTCTATTAGTGAATGGTTATAAGACACGTTGTTCTCCTCTCTGTCTTTACCTGTAACCATCCGTCCTTGCAGTTCACATGCCTGCCATACTAAACTACTTGGAGCCCTCTGATTATGACTTGCCTATTACATTTCCGTTTCTTTGTATGTGCTATTTCCTCAGCCTAGAGAATCTCCCCCGATTTTTGACTGAAGCACTAGTTACTTCCCCTGAATCCTTCTCTAACGCTCCTGACTGATTTGTTTTTTTAATGCTTCCATTGTGCCATGTATAAATATGTTACGCAGAGTTGATCATGTTATTTTATCATTTTGCAAAACAAAACTCTCTAACTACTACAGCTAAGAAATAACAATTCTTTATTCAATATCATATTGCCAAGCACTTGAAGCCCACATCAGTTGTTTTGCCTGCCCAGGTTCCATTTTGCCTACATCTGAAGACTGAGTCAGGGCTCTGATTTGGGGATCTCCTCCTCTTCCATTGACACAGTTGGTAGAACTGCATCAGTCAAGATGACCCACAACCTCCTGGCCAAGAGCAAGCATATGATTCAAACTACACTAGCTAGATTATCTGTTTTTCCCTAGAATTTAAATCTTAAGTGGAATGACTGATGTATTCTCTTGGTACAAACCAATGGCAAATTAGATTGAATATCAAGAAAAAAACATAACCGTAATTGCACTACTTAACTCAAAAAGATATACATTTCTTTGCATAAAAATACCTGAAGCCATGGACATCAGTGAGTGAGAGTTTGGAATTTGACCCCACAACTCTCTGATATTTGTCCAATATCACCATGGGGCAATAATTCTAAACCACCTTAAAATATTTAAAACCTCTGCATAATTGAAAGGCACCATAAAAAGTTAAAAGACAAGCCACAGATTGGAGACTATATTTACAACACACATAATGAACAAAGAATTAGAGCCCAGAATACATAAATAAATTTTGCAAATCAATAAGAAAAAAAAGAACAACTAAGATGAAGAATCCACAAAGGATGTGAACAGGGAGTTCACAGTAGAGGAAATATGAGTGATGAATAAACTTATGAAAAAAATGCTTACTCTCACTAATTATTAGAGGAAATAAAACCACAGAGATATCACTTCATACTGACTGGCAAATATAAAAATGTATGAACAGTTGCAGGGGTTAGCAATGATGTTAGAGAAATCAAACTCTTTTTAAAATTAATTTTTTTGTTTTTATAGATGTATTGGAGACTTGGAAAGTCAGGAGAGTTCAGGGGTGAGGGATGAGAAATCAAAGTCTTATACACCAGGTCCTTGAGTAACATCTTTTTAATCAAAGTCGTTTCATTCAAGGTCATTTCATTCAAGGTCTTTTTGTGATAATGTTGATTTGATAAAATATTGGATTTATTATACATCGTTTTGTTTAAAGTTGCAATTTTCAAGAAGCTAGTTCTCACTTAATGTTCTTAGATACTGACTTTGAGTGAAACATTGTAGTGCTATACTAGGGGGAGCATTAGGTGATAAAATAGCTTTGTGGCACTATTAATGTTGAAGACATGCCCTTGTGCCCCAGAGAAATTCTTGCCTATATTTAAGAGATGATATGTGTAAGTATATTTATTTCAGCATTGCTTTTAGTAGCAGTGATATGTTTTGGCTGTGTCATCATTCAACTCTCAACTTCAATTGTATCTCCCAGAATTCCCACATGTTGTGGGAGGAACCCAGGGAGAGGTAACTGAATGATGGGGGCTGGTCTTTTCTGTGCTATTCTCATGATAGTGAATAAGTCTCATGAGATCTGATGGGTTTATCAGGGGTTTCTGCTTTTGCTTCTTCCTCATTCTCTCTTGCTGCCACCATATAAGAAGTGCCTTTCACCCTCCACCATGATTATGAGACCTCCTCAGCCTTGTGGAACCATAAGTCAAATTAAACCTCATTTTCTTCCCAGACTTAGGTATGTCTTTATCAGCAGACATTAGTCCATATAAAAACAGACTAATACAGTAAATTGGTACCAGGAGTGGGGTATTGCTGAAAAGATACCCAAAAATGTGGAAGCTTCTTTGGAAATGAGTAACAAGCAGAGGTTGGAACAGTTTGGAGGGCTCAGAAGAAGACAGGAAAATGTGGGTAAGTTTGGAACTTCCTAGAGACTTATGGAATGGCTTTGACCAAAAGCCTGATAGTGATATATATGGACAATAAAATCCAGGCCGAGGTGGTCTCATTTGGAGATGAAAAACTTGTTAGGAACTGTCACAAAGGTGACTCTTGTTATGTTTTAGCAAAGAGACTGGCAGCATTTTGCCCCTGGCTTAGAGATTTGTGGAACTTTGAAACTGAGAGAGAAGATTTAGGGTATGTGGTGGAAGAAATGTCTAAGCAGCAAAGCATTCAAGAAGTTAATTGGTTGCTGTTAAAAGCATTTCATTTTAAAAGTGAAACGGAGCATAAAAGTTCAGAAAAAATGCAGCCTGATGATGAAGTAGAAAAGAAAACCCCATTTTCTGGGGAGGAATTCAAGTCGGCTGCAGAAATTTGCATAAGTAGCAAGGAGCCTAATGTTAATCCTCAAGACCATGGGGAAATGTCTCGAGGCCATGTCAGATATCTTCACAGCAGCCCCTCCCATCACAGGCCCAGAGGCCCAGAAGGAAAAAGTGGTTTTGTGTGCTGGGCCCAGAATCCACATGCTGTGTTCAACCTAGGGACTTGGTGCCCTGTGTTCCAGTTGCTCCAGCCATGGCTGAAAGGGACCAACGTACAGCTTGGGCTGTGGCTTCAGAGGGTGGAAGCCCCAAGCCTTGGCAGCTTCCATGTGATGTTGAGCCTGGGGGTACAAAGAAGTCAAGAATTGAGGTTTGGGAACCTCTGCCTAGATTTCAGAAGATATATGGAAATGCCTGGATGCCCAGGCAAAAGTTTGCTGCAGGGGTGGGGCCCTCATGGAGAACCTCTGCTAGGGCAGTACAGAAGGGAAATGTGGGGTCGCAGTCCCCACATAGAGTCCCTACTGTGGCACTGCCTAATGGAGCTGTGAGAAGAGGGCCACTGTCCTCCAGACCCCAGAATTGTAGATTCACCGACAGTTTGCACCGATTGCCTGGAAAAGCTGCAGACACTCAATGCCAGCCTGTGAAAGCGGCCAGGAGGGAGGCTGTACCCTGCAAAGCCACAGGGGCGTAACTGGCCAAGACCATGGGAACCCACCTCTTGCATCAGCATGACCTGGATGTGAGACCTGGAGTCAAACAAGATCATTTTGGAGCTTTAAAATTTGACTGCCTTGTTGGATTTCAGACTTGCATGGGCCCTGTAACCCCTTTGTTCTGGCCAATTTCTCCCATTTGGAATGGCTGTATTTACCCAATACCTGTACCCCCATTGCAACTAGCTTGCTTTTGATTTTACAGGCTCTTAGGAGGAAGAGATTTGACTTGTCTTAGATGAGACTTTGGACTGTGGACTTTTGGGTTAATGCAGAAATGAGTTAAGACTTTGCGGGACTGTTGGGAACGCTTGATTGGTTTTGAAATGTGAGGACATGAGATTTGGAGGGGCCAGGGGCAGAATGATATGGTTTGGCTGTGTCACCATTCAAATCTCAACTTGAATTGTATCTTCCAGAATTCCCATGTGTTGTGGGAGGGACCCAGGGGGAGGTAATTGAATCATGGGGGCCAGTCTTTCTTGTGGTATTCTTGTGATAGTGAATAAGTCTCATATGATCTGATGGGTTTATCAGGGGTTTCCACTTTTGCTTTTTCCTCATTCTCTCTTGTTGCCACCATGAAAGAAGTGCCTTTAGCCCTGTGCCATGATTATGAGACCTCCCTAGCCTTGTGGAACAGTAAATCAAATTAAACCTCCTTTTCTTCCCAGTCTCAGGTATGTCTTTATCACCAGTGTAAAAATGGACTAATACAAGTAGTTAGAAAAAAATCCAAATATCTAATACAAATTACTAAATAAAATTGTAAATAACCAATGTAAATTAGTCAGGTTTCAGGTACAGGACCTTGAAATCACTTGGGTGATTTAAGTGGGGAGGGGAACATTTAAGGGTAGTAAGTGGCTTAGAGAATCCTTGGGGGAAGCACTGAAGAAATAGCCTAGAGATGTCTGGTATGGCCTCCAGAGTCACACCCCAGAACTGGGCCCCAACAAACAGCGGCTGCCTCCTCTGAGATCAGCATACCTCTGGCTCCAGAACCAACCTGTCATGACCACAAGCAGGAAGTTTCCAAGATAAGAAGCTGGAGCTGCTGATTCTAGAATGTGCTGCCTCTGCTGTGTGACCTGATCCTGCAGAAAGGATGCCCCTCTTGGCTGTTTCTCAACAGCCACAAAGCTAGTGCTTGGACACTGGAATCTCTGCCATCACTGGTGCAGAAAAGCCACCTGCTCTGTCCTTTCCGTCCAGCCTCTGCTTGCCAGCAGAAATGCAGAGCAGAAACACAGTGTCCATCTCACGCCTTCCTTTTGAATCTCACACAGGTGCAAACTAAGCCACATGTACAGTACTACTTCTAAGGGAGGCTGAGAAATATAGTTGGGAGCTTTCTGGGCTTTCCATTACAAGTCACACTGGAAGAAGGATAGAATAAATGTTGAGTGCCAAAACCCATATCAGTCTGTGGTGGATACTCAGGTCCTCTACCCAGATCCTCTTTTCAGGCTGGCACCTAGCTTCCTCAGTGCTTGGATTTCCAGGGGCCAAAGGCTCAAATCTGGGAACTGTCCTTGCACACTGAGAACTGGCTCACCCAAGGCTATGCTTCTTTCCAGGGCACAATTGCTAATGATTTGTTAATTTGGTGATACTAAGGACACTTCACCTCCATTTGGGACAACCCTGAAGGCCATTGCATTTCCAAAGCTCCGTGGGATAGGCTGAGACCCCCGCCACAGCCAAATCTCAGTTCAACTCTCCCTCTTCTCAGTCTTCCCCTCCTCACTTTATGTGTATCTTCCAAGAATACTTCCTAACAATCCTTACCATGGTCCATTTCAGGGTCTAAGAAACAAAATAAAAAGAGAGACAGAGACGGAGAGAAAACAGGAGCAGGAGGAGAAGGAAGAGGAGGAAGAGGAGGAGGGGAGGAGGAAGAAGATGGAGAATTATCTAGATCAAGCTTGTCCAACCCACTGTACTCAGGCCACATGTGGCCCAGGATGGCTTTGAATGCAGTCCAACACACATTTGTAAACTTTCTTAAAACATTATGAGATTTTTTTTTTTTTTTGCAATTTTTTTTAGCTCATCAGCTATCCTTAGCGTTAGTGTATTTGATGTGCAGCCCAAGACAAATCTTCTTCTTCCAGTGTGGCCCAGGGAAGCCAAAAGATTGGACACCCTGATCTAGTTAGTGGGCTATTACACTTCAATGAAAATGAGCAAGCTAAGCCTGGATGAGTAAATTTGGTTAAAACTCAAAATAAAAATGTTGAGCAAAAAAGGCAAGTCGAGAAACAATGCCATATATTTTTTATGTATCCAAATATATAAAAAAATAATAGAAACACGTATGTAAAGGATGAGTGTCATGACCATTGAGAGATGAATATGGAATGAGAGAGGAATATGGAATGAGATAGGAGAGGAAACTCAGAGTACCTTCCATTGTATCTTTATAGTTGATTAAAACAAATATGACAACATGTAATTATTTGGTAGTCCTGGAATGTTGGGAACAGTTTATAAATATATATAAATAATGTTTGTTTTCTATGTTTGTCTTTATGTTTTAAAAACGGTAAAATGTGAAGAAAAACATAAAAAGGAAATGGTTGGTCCTGACTCATCCTCATGTTGCATCCTCTAGCGCAGGGCATTCCTTCATGCGCCGTGGAGCCTGGGACTGTTCATTTCCTGACCTTTGGTAATCAGTTCTTCAGTTATCGCTTTAATTCTTAGCAGAATATGTTTCTTTTGTTTCCAGTCAAAGGGCACTGATACATCACTGTATTAGATGTGTTACATTATTACTTATTTAAATAATAAATATAATAGTGAATGTAAAAATACTTTCCAATGCTAACAAACAATTACTATTTACTGGAAGTTTTCAAGAGAGCATAATCTTGTTAATCAAATTCTGAAATCTGACAAAAAGGGGTCTTCAGGACAAGTAGATTTGATGATGTCATTCACTGCTTAAGAACCTTTCAGTGATAACCGTTTGCCAGAGCATCTTAACACTGCATGTGAGGCTCATTACCATCTGGCCCACATTACCTTTTTGGAGCCATTCCCCACTCCCACTTCATTCTGTTTCTTTAGGTTCTCGCTCCTCCTCTTCCCTCAGTCTAGGCAGCCTCTCTGTTGAAGAAACTCTTGAACATTCCGAATGCCTAGCCCCTAATCCCATGGTTTGGAGGCCTTCCCTACCCTGCATCCCTGGTAAAAGGAATTCCTCTCTCACAGCACAATAGACATAGTCCTGGGACAGTTCCTTTCTTATTGTGCCAAAAAACCTGTGTGCATACAGGGACTGTGCCTTATTCACCTTGCCATGCCACAGACCCTGGCACAGAGCTGCTCCTCAAAATGTCAGTTCCCTCCCAGAGTACACAGCTAAAACCAACAAGGAGGTCTCTTCTCTCCTAGGGATGGCCTCCTAGCCTCTCTTTGGTTACTGAACAGTAGGCCAGAGTGGGGTTGATTAGGGTTTCATTTGGGTTAACCAATCTCACATTGAAAAACACATAACATAAAATTTACCACCTTAACCATTTTAAAGTGTGCCATTCTGCGGCATTAAGTGTATTCACATTATTGTGAAAATAGATCTCCAGAACTTTTTAATCTTGCAAATAAACTCTCTACCTATTACCAAACAAGTCCCTAGCAACCAGCATTCTACTTTCTGTCTCTATTAATTTAACTAATTTATATACCCCTTATAAATGGAGAAGTTTGAAAGCTCTGCTGCCTTCAGCCCTCAAGTTGTTCTCCATGGTCTTCTGGAGGCATCCCAGGCTATGTCTCTGTAGATGCCAGACTTTACCCACTTGGTAAATAGTTGTCCCAGAATGACAGCACTCGGAGTCTTCTTTAAAAGCAAGGCTGGAGGAAACCTCTCACTTGTGGAGCACCTGCTGTGTGCAGCCACATCTGTGCCTGGTGTGTTTATGAGCATCAGCTTGTTAATCTCATATTCTCCAGATGAGGTGACCGAGGCTCATAGAGGGGAAGGGACTTGATTAGAATCCCATACCCAGGAAATGGTGGGGACTGGGTCTGCCTAATCTTCTCATCCTTTCCCATTCCCCTATCTTGGGAGAGACATCTTGTACAGTTCTACTCCAGTCACTTGATTAAATGTCCCTGGAAACTTACCCTAGACTGTTATGATCCAAGGCAAAATGACAAATGACTAGAAAGGAATAGAAATCATCCTTTAATCATCTCCAAGGCCGTAAGATGCACGTTAATGACTTCCTAGGGAGGGAGGTACAGTGCTTTCAGAAGGCAGTCTCAAGTCTGGCTGAATACTATCAATAACAATAACAATAAAACAGAAAGCAGGGAGCATGTGGAGAGGGCTGGTGAGGACTTTGACACAGTCAAAAGTTCACATTCAATAAAGGATATTCATATTTCACATTGAATTTCTTTGGTAGCCCAGACACCTGCAGGTCATTTGGAGAGATTTTTCACGTTACCAGCTTGATGGTCTTTTTCAGGAGGAGAGACACTGAGCACTCCCAAGGTGAGGTTGAAGATTTCCTCTAGATAGCCGGATAAGAAGACTAGGAGGGATGCCTAGAAAATGATTAGCATGCAAATTTCTACCTGCCATTTCAGAACTGTGTGTCAGCCCACATTCAGCTGCTTCTTGTGAACTGAAAAGAGAGAGGTATTGAGACTTTTCTGATGGCCGCTCTAACATTGTAACACAGTAATCTGTGTGTGTGTGGGTGTGTGTGTGTGTCTGTGTGAGGGGGGGTGTAGGCTTCTTCAGTTTTCCCCACTTTTTTCTCTGTCCTGACTGAGAAATGAAAAGTATTTTGACCTGTCCAGCTGCATGATTTCCCCTGTCGGCTTGAACCCGAGCTGGGGGCTTGAACATTCTAAGGCCCTGATGAAGGTGTTTAGGTTGTTGCTCAAAACATTGAAAGAAACTAGCCTGTGGCTTTAGCCAGATCTCTTAAACCCTCACACAAACTCCATACCTCAACCCCCGTGATATGGACTCAATGAAGTAGAACATCTCTTTCGTTCTATGTCTATTGTGAGGACACGCTGAAGCCCTCTCTGTGTGTAAATTCCCCTAATAAATGCTTTGGAATAATAAATAAATGAATACATGAATGAATGAATGAATGAATGAATGAATGAATGAATAAATGCTTTAGCCTGATCACCCTGTTGTTTGGTGCTTCTTTCTTTGGAATCCCAGCTGGCCCCACCTTTGAACAGTTTGGGGCTTTCCTCCCTTTCAGGAACTCCCCTGCCATGGATTAAAGTAGACAGACCACTGTGTGAATTCTTATCCAACTGAGAGCTGCTCAAGCAGCGACTGAGTCTTACTTTTAATTATGGTGAAAGTGAGGATTAATCAGCCAAACGGATTTTACTGGAGCCCTGTGGGATGCAGAATATTGATGAAGATAATGCAAGCGGTCAGGAAGATCTGCATGAGATTCTTTTTAAAAAATTCATGAGACGGTGGCTCACACATGTAATCCCAGCACTTTGACAGGCCGAGGCAAGGCGGATCACAAGCTCAAGAGACGGAGACCATCCTGGCCAACATGGTGAAATCCCATCTCTACTAAAAATACAAAAATTAGGCATGTTGGCGCGTGCCTGTGGTCCTAGCTACTTTGGAGACTGAGGCGGGAGAATCTCTTGAACCAGGGAGGCGGAGGTTGCAGTGAGGCAAGATCTCGCCACTGCACTCCAGCCTGGCGATAGAGCGAGACTCCATCTCAAAAAAAAAAAAAATGAGAAAAATATAACATATTCTACAAGTATTGAATTGACAATATATACACACACATGTTTGTATGAGTTTTCTCATGGGAATACTTTCAACTACTTAATTAGCATTGGATAGGATGCATCCATTCATGGGATATTTGTTGAGAGCCTACAATGAACTAGGAAAACCTGGCAGGAAGACTAGAAGATGAACACTAAAGATGAGGAGGAGAGCGCACATTATCAGGGCACAAGGTGGTGAAGAGGGAGGATGCATTTGAAAAGAGGTTAGGACAATGCTTTTCAGAAAATGTTCTCCAGGACAGAATGGTTTATTTGGTGTTAAACCATAGGCCCTGGAACCAAGTAGACTTGGATTCAGATCTCATCTTGGCAACTTCCTAGTTCTTTGCCTGGGGTTGTTATTTAAACTCTCTGTATTGTGATTTCTTCATCTATACATAGGAATGGTAAGAATATCCACATCATAAAGTTCTTCTAAGGCCAATGGATAGGTTACATAAAGTTCTCAGCACAATGGTGAACATATAAAAAAAAGTCAGTTACAGGCCGGGCACGGTGGCTCACGCCTGTAATCCCAGCACTTTGGGAGGCCGAGGCGGGCGGATCACGAGGTCAGGAGATTGAGGCCATCCTGGCTAACATGGTGAAACCCCGTCTCTACTAAAAATACAAAAAATTAGCTGGGCGTGGTGGCGGGTGCCTGTAGTCCCAGCTACTCGGGAGGCTGAGGCAGGAGAATGGCGTGAACCCGGGAGGCGGAGCTTGCAGTGAGCCGAGATCGCACCACTGCACTCCAGCCTGGGTGACAGAGCGAGACTCCGTCTCAAAAAAAAAAAAAAAAAAAAAAAA
The DNA here is from genome assembly GCF_000001405.40 of Homo sapiens. Classification (NCBI taxonomy): domain Eukaryota; kingdom Metazoa; phylum Chordata; class Mammalia; order Primates; family Hominidae; genus Homo; species Homo sapiens. Next base: position 126,684,206 of record NC_000008.11, read on the forward strand.
AAAAAGAAGTCAGTTGCATTATATTATTGTCATTCTCATCATCATTAATTTTACAATGAAAAGCATCCTGAGGTCAAATACGTTTGAGAAGCAAACTTTTTAAAAATGTTAAATAGAATTCTTGACTGCCAGAATTTATACATTGTACATCATGGGGACTGAGGGAGGATTGTAAAGAGTCCAATGCTTTTCCAATGTATTAAGGCACAGACCTATCCTCACTCCCTCCAAGTGCCATTTTTTTTTTATCTGATGATCTTGCATATTATACTCCTATAAATGCTAGTGGTCTAGGACAAAGTGAAGGTTTAGCTCAGAAGCCTATAAATAGTATAGGGTTCGGGGTGGGCAACTGAAAGACAGGAAAAGATGATAATTTCTGAGTGAAGGCAGGCAGGGAGAGGCAGCTATGTCTGCTTATCTAGACAAGGATGGCTAGAATTTGATTGGCTTTTGGACATCTTATGGTGGGAATTCTGCAAGACCAGAGGGACTGTTCCCTTGCCTCTGAGACAGTGGAGGCTGGTACTCATTCTGGTTATGCTTTGGCCTTCATGTAGACCAAGGAATCTCAACACTCTGTACTTTTTTTCACTTCTTATGTGTCCATCCTGTTTCTGTTCTCCCACACAAATAGTCTGGGCCAGCATCTTGGCAGCAGAGAATTCATTTGTTGACCCAGTCATTCACTTACTCATTTGTTCATTCTATTTTGCAACACATATTTCCTTCAACAAACTATTATGAGTGACTTACCAGGTGCCAGGCATAGGAATAGCTCCTGAGGACACACAAGTGGAGAATATTCAGTCCTGGCTCTGAGGAAACACAAAGGCTCTGAGGATAGCATGTGAATTTCTATCTACCTGGGGAAAATCTCCATAAGCAACTATTCTAATAAAATATGATGTCTTCTATAATAATAGTAAATAAAATATTCTTTGGATGCATAGTTTCTGTGATCTCAAGCACTCACCAATGCTGTTCCCATCATGCTGTTTATATTCTAGGATCTTCAATGATCCCATACCCTTCACAAAGCCTTCTGGTCTCTGGGGTAAGAAGATTTCCATCTCCTTTCACTGAACTATTATCAGCAGCCTATCTGACTGCCCCTACTCTTTCAGGTCTTGGATGTGAACTGCCCTGTATGTGACTTAACTCCTTTACAAAACTGTATTCTGGACAGCAGAAATTACATCTAATATTATATTTACATGTCTCAGAGCACAAAGATCTTACAATGCATTGTGATGGTTTGAAAGTTCATCATACATTTTTTGACACTCCTCCCTTCAAGAGGTGAAGACTAATTCTCCCTATCTTGAGTGTGGACTGCACCTTTGCAACTTACTTCTATTGAGCAAAATAAAGCAGAAGTGATAGTATGCAATATTAGAAACTAGGTCATAAAAGATAGTGTGGGTTATGACTTCTTTTTTGAATCAGTTTCTCAGAGAGGAAGCAGCTGCTACATCACTAGGACACTCAAGAGGTCCACGTGGTGAGAAATAGGCCTCCTGGCAACCATCACAACTAACTCTCCAGTCCTGTGAGGAAGTCACATTGGAAGCAGTTCTTCCAGCCCCATTCAAGTCTTCAGGTCTTGAAGGTTTCAGGCAGCCCAAGCTGACATCGTGACTGCAACCCCATGAAAGGGCCTTAGCCAGAGCCACCCAGTTATGTCATTTCTAAGCTCCTGACCCTCAGAAACCATTAAGATAATAAGTGCTTGCTACTTTAAGCTGCTAAATTCTGGATAGTTTGTTATATAGCAATAGATTACCAAGAACCAACACACATGTATACTTGCTCTATGAAAGAAAGAAAATACTTCTTAGGCCACCAGTGTCATCCATGTTGCTGAATCCTATGGATATTTTTTAGTATTTATTTTACTTGTATTCAGCCTCACTCAACACAGAAGCAGAAAATGTCTCTTTTCTCTTTTGAAAATTATTATAAAATGTTTTTGTATAAATTCAAGTGTTTCACCAATCCCATTTTCCTTCTTACCACCCCCAGAGGTAATTATTTTTTGAAATTTATATTTATTATCCCCATGCATGATTATTATCTATCATCTATCATCTATCTATATTGATATATCTATCTATAGATATCTATCAATATATCAATATCTATCTATATATGGATTGATAGATAATCTATATTTGGCAGTTTATTAACATTGTTATGAATGACACTCTTGTACAACCTACTTTTTTGTGAGTGCAGCATTCTGACGTTTAATCTACGTTGACACATATAACACTGGAGCATTCATATTAACTGTTGTCTGGTATTCATTCTATGACTACAGCATGATTTATTATTAGTGCTCCTTTGGGGGCATTTAGGCGTTCTCCAATTTTTCGCTTTTAGTAACATCACTGCATTGTCATTCTTGTGGATGAATATTTAACTCTATACATAAGAGTTTCTCTAGGGTACATATTTATTTTTAACTTTCTAGATATTATCAAAATAATTCTCAGAATTGTTGTACTAACTCAAGCTCTCATCTAATGTACATACAAAGTACCATTCTTCCACATCCTCACCAACAGTTTGTATTAACAGGTTTTCTTTCTTTTCTTTTCTCTTTGTTTCTTCTTCCCTTCCTTCCTTCCCTTGAATTGATGTAAGATATAATTTTTATTGTATTATTTATAGGGAAATTGAACATCAACTTGTGTTCCTTGGTCATTTATGTTTTCACCTCTATGACTTGTTTATTTACATATTTTGCTCATTTTTCTTTTTAGTCATTTGCCTCTTTTGGATTGATTGGTAAGAACTATTTATAAATGATGTATATTAATATTTTCTTAAATAAATGGATAGCTTGTCTGGGACTTATTTAAAAAAGAAACTGTGGTGTCTTTCCTAAGCAGAAATTTAAAATTTCAGTGCAGGCAAATATAGTCTTTACAGTTTAGGCATTTTGTGTCCAATTTAAGAAATCATATACTCCTTGGTATGAAAAGGTAGTTACATATTTTTGGATACACAGATTTTACTTTCTCACATTTAGGTTATTAATTCATGTGAATTTGTTTGGAGTAGGTATTATGCAAAGATCTTACTATTTTTTAAAATAAATATCATTTCCTCAGCCTTATGTATTGCATAGTTCATTCTTTCCCCACTGATTGACTGTATTCAAATATCAAAATGGCCACAGATCTGTTTCTGAAGTCTCTGTTTTATACCATTGGTTATTTTTATCTGTTAATAGGCAACTGCCACACTGTTTTAATTGTTATAAATTTCTTATAAAGTTTGATATCTTATCCTATAAATCATATTTGTCATAGATATTCTTGACACTTTTCTTGTACAAATAAATGTTAGAAACAGCTTGTTTTGTAAATAGCTCTTTGTGATTTTGGTTAGAATTGCATTTAATCTTAGATCAATTTCAGGAGAATTGACATTGCAATAATGTTGGGGTTCTCCATTCATAAATATGGTTATCACCAATTCATTTAGATCTTTTTAAATGTACTTATAAAGTTTTGTAAATTTTTTCTTAAAGAACTTGCAAATCGTATACTAGAAATGGCATTTTAAGCCTTCAATTTCTTATATAACAATCGTATAAGATAGCAATTGATTTTTTAATCAACCCTTTTTTCTTCAACTTTGATGTGCTTTTTATTAATTCCAATGGTTTGAAATATTCTGAGATTTTCCACTTAAATTATCTTGTTGTCTGTTAAAAGCAATGGTTTTGGCCGGGCACAGTGGCTCACACCTGTAATCCCAGCACTTTGGGAGGCCAAGGCAGGCGGATCATGAGGTCAGGAGATCCAGACTATCCTGGCTAACACGGTGAAACCCTGTCTCTACTAAAAACACAAAAACTTTATCCGGGCGTGGTGGCGGGTGCCTGTAGTCCCAGCTACTCGGGAGGCTGAGGCAGGAGAATGGCGTGAACCCGGGAGGCGGAGCTTGCAGTGAGCGGAGATGGCGCCACTGCAATCCAGCCTGGGCGACAGAGTGAGACCTCATCTCAAAAAAAAAAAAAAAAAGCAATGATTTTGTTTTTTCCTTTCTGATCTTTATTCTTTTCTATTTTTTTGTCTTATTGTTCTGGCTAGAATATTCATTACAGGGTTTAATGGAAATCACAGAAGATATTCCTGACATATTCCTAATGTTTTATTATAAAGTATGATGTTTCTGTAGGTTTATGGTAGATATTCTTTATTAGAACTTTATTTTCCTTCATAACACTTTATAAAATTTGACTATGTAATTATTTTTGACTATATAATAATTAAAACATAATATTTGCAGATTATTTTTGTAAGTACTTGTTTAATGATCACTTCTGTCTAATTTTGTTGCTGGAACATAAATAGGTTTAAGGAACTATTTAATAAAGAAATGAGTGCACCCTTAACTTGATCACCTTACACCTCTAATGAAGTTCTGGTAAAGTTATTTCCCCAGTCTTATCCCCTGCCTTACGCTGTGATGTTAAATTCATAGTTGAAAGAGGCCTTGGACATTATTTATTCTAAACCACTCATGTTTCAGATTGAAAGTCTGCAAATCAGAGAAGTTAAGTGACTTCCCTGAAGTTACTCAGACTGAGGTCTCAAGAAGGCTTTTATGGTCCTTCTTGAGATGACCCCTATCTACTTGAACAACTTCATGTTTCAGATACTCTTATCTTATGTTTCTATGAGTGACTTCAGTATGTCATGCTTTCTCTTTCCTGAATCTTCATACTTGTTTTTCCTTTTTCTGGAACAATCTCCTCATACCCACCCACCTTCCCTCACCTACTTCCTTCTGATCTCAGGTCTTAGTAAAAATATCACTTGCTCCAGAAAGTCTCCCATGACATGCTCACACTTGGAGTGTCTATAAAACCTATACTTCTCCCATCATAGCGTTTATTTCATTTTAAGCTATCACTTTCAAAATTATCTACTGACATACTGGACTTAAGAATTCTGTGCAGAAAGTCGCCGCACCAATCTTGCTCACACTTTTATTCCCAGTACCTAGCCCAGTTTTCAGTGCTTAATAAATAGGCCAGCAATGAATGCACTTTCAGTGAATTTATATATTTTCCTTTATAAGAATAAAAGGTCTCTGCTTTTATTAGACTGATAAATATTCAAAACTCTGGTTGGAGATAAAGGCAGCCCTTGCTTGATATGGTAAATGTGTATCTGAAGAAGTAAATTGAATTACTTTTAAATGTTCTAAAAGAGATTGCTATTTAAAGCGTTTATTTAGTGGATCTTTTCATGAAGCAAAAAATGTAATTTTAAAAGTAAGCATTGCTTACCCTTTTAGCCTCTAAGACTATTGGAGCTTGTAGAGCCTCGGGATGTTGACGGCATCTGCCTATGGCCGAGGGGGATGGAAGTAACAGTTCTTGCTGGATGTGGGAGAAGATGAAACAAAATGTTTGAACATTAACCTCATTGGCATATTTTTGCAAAACATTTATGAGACAGATTTTTGACCTCTCGATAGAAATCAAGGATGCCAATCCCATTTACAGATGAGGGAACTGGGAGATCTTGCCCTTTTGCTTTGAAGAAATCTAGTATGGATAGGTAGTCCCCAAATCACCACATCACAGAATATCAGGATTGGAAGACATTTCTGAGATCAACTGGCCCAATCCCCACGGTAGAAATGGGGAAACCAAGGTCCAGCTGTAATTAACCTCACCAAGTTCAAAAAAATGATTTACTGATTGTCTGGACTGAAACACAGAACTTAGGACTCTGATTCGGATGAGCTCCCTATTTATGAATTGATTTCCTTATTCAGAAGTTGAATAATCTCAGGATTGAGATCCCTTAGGATGTGTGCAGCACCCTAGTTGAGAACATAAAGTGTGGAACCAGAAAGATCTGGATTTCAGTGCAAGCTCCCTTAACAACTCAGTGACTTTAGGCAATTTATACTATCTCTGGAAGTCTCACTTTCCTCATCTGCAGAAGAGTGCACAGTAATAGTATCTACGTTATAGAGTGTGTACATCCCTTATAAGGTGATGTACACAAGAAGCTTAGATGAGAGCCTGGCACACAGCAGAAGCTCAGTAGTGGTGATAATGATGATGATGAAGAGGATGATAGTGACAATAATGATAATGAGGATGGTTTTAATGATGAATGGGCTTTTTCCTTTGTTACTTCCTCCTACCCATAGATAAATGGGCACATGTCCATCTTCTGTAATCTGAGATACTTAACTCAAAAATGAACTGCAAATTGAAACAAGTGGCTAGAAAGAGGCAGTTCTAGGTGTTACATGGATAGCAATTACCTGCATTTAAGCTTGTTAAAAGTTAATGTGCTGCTTACAGCCTCCAATCCAACTGAGCTGATGTCTAGCTCCTGCCTAGAAAAAAACTACTCAAGAGAGACTTTTATTTTCTTCTCTTTTCTAGTTCTCCTCTCACCTCTGCTTTAAAAAATAAACAAACTCTTAGCACCCAAATTAATAAGTAAATAAGATGCTAAGAAAAGCCTTCATGTAAATCCAGCTCTCAGGAAACGTGAGAGGAACATTCTATAGGTTCTAGTGTGAATGATGATTATTTTACAGTTTTCCTCTCCTCCTTTCTGTACCAGCTTTGATCAAGACTAGGAAAAATGGGACACAGAGCTTCCAAGGGAGCTGATTTCTAGGACATTGCTGGTTCCTAGGAGAACATATTCTTAAGACCACTTTATTTTTCTAACACAAAATTTCTGTTTCTGCTTCTCAAAAATTTTATAAGAATTTACACTCTTGGCTGTTTCCCCATAAAACATCAGCTCAAATAACATGGAAAGAAAGAACAATATTTTGTATTATGACATTAGATTTGAGTGTAGCCACAGTCATTTGGAAAAGCATCACAAAATGTTAGAATGACTAAGGATGGCACTTAAGCTATGGTAATGAATTTCCACCTGAAATCTGAAAAACATTGTGGAGCAGCAACTCATTCATGTGCTACACTGGTCCATTCAGTGTGGCCCCAGATGAGAAAGACATCATCCAGGATAAATGTAACATGTAGTCATATAGACAGGCTTACCTGGCTGAATTCAGTGGTATGTATCACTAAAGCCTTGGCATTATCCCTACTTGGCTCCTGGCATCTCTTTGTATTATTTCATGCTGTCCTTGACCATATATAATCAGACTGTTTCTTGGATTGAGAACTGGTCTCACCGTTCTTACAGATGCTGGTTCTGGTGTTGCTTGGTTGTGGATTTGATTCTCCTAAAGTTCCGTAGCAGGGCAAGTAAAGAACTGCTTTGTGTTCCAGCTGCTCCGTCAGTCTCATCATTTTCCAAGCATGTGCCCTTCAGCTCATCCACCAGGTTACTATCCCTTCTACTAAGAAGGATCCCAGGGAAGGCCTTCAGGGGCTCCACTATACAGGCAAAGGATGCATCTCAATCTAAAAGAAACAAGCCCTAGGAGGACCATCAAACAATTGAACTAAGTCACTCTTTCTTTTCCTTCCTTCCTTCTTTCTTTCCTTCCTTCCTTGCTCCCTACCTTTCTTCAGAATTTTCAGAGAGACAGACTGTTTTATGGAGAGCTGTGAGACATGAAGAGAAAGGTTATGTGGAGTAAGAGGTCTGGGGCTGCAGGGGTGGGGGTTGGTCATCTTAAGCCTTGTACAAGCTGATAAGTAAGTAGAATAACAATTTTGAGCAAAACTAGAACAGAGTAGATGCATGTAGAAAGGCAGAAATGACATGAAAGAGAATTGAAGTGAGAGCTTTCATTTGAGAAACCGAGAGAGTGGCCATATTGCCCGTGCCTGAATAGCCCCCTCAATGCCCCAGATGGACAATGGGTATTTGTCTTGGAGTCCCAGGAGTCAAATTCTATACTTTCAAACTCCCTTCCTTCTTCCCTTCCCTTCCCTTCTTCTCTCTCCTCTCCTGTCCTCTCCTCTCCCCTCCCCTCCCCTCATCTCCTCTCCACTCCTCTCCTTTTCTTTCCTTCTTTCCCTTTATTTTCTTCCTCCTTCCCTTTCTTCCTCCCTCCTTCCCTCTCTCTTGGTTAGGCTGAGTAGGTTTATTTTCTTTACAGTTATAGTGGCCTTTTCAAGTCCACATGTCACACACTTCCATGCACCATTTCTTTTCATATGTCAGTTCCTTCAACACTTCTGCCTTTCTTCCTCTATTACCTGGGAAGCCCATATTCACCCTTCAGAAATCTGCTCACATTAGTATTACAAAACTTTCCTCAGCATCGGCAGGCAGAGTAAGTCATTCTTTCTTCTTGTTTCTATCACAGGAGCATCCTGCATTGTGGTTTCTATAACTCCCAGACCCGGGCCCCTTCACTTCTCTTCATGTTCCAGTGCTAATTGGCAGATCTTTCTGGTCCTTTTCTCACATATTCTTCAGAGAGGGACTCTGGTTGATGACTGTGGATTGACCCTCAGTGCTCAGATTTCACCCTGAGTTGATGTGCTGTCCCCTGTCCTCAGGAAGCTCTTCTATTCTTGTGCATCTTAATATAACTGTGCCTAACACTAGAATGAGTGTACCTCAAGTGCTTGCAACATACAATGAATGAATGATGGTCCCTGTGGGGAAATAAAAAAAAAACCTCGAAATTATGATTTTCTTTAAATTTAAAGTTTTGTTTGTGGAAAAGTCTTTGTATACATTAGTTAGAAATTAACACAAGTAATAAAGAAAAGTTATGATAGATGATACTCATACAAATAAAATATTGCCATCCTTACGAAACTAAAAACTAAAAAACAAATGCAATAAAATAAAGTTCTACAATTATTTGTACTCATTATCAGTGAAACCAATTGTAGTAGAAGAAATCTATGACTCTAACAATTTTTCTGGGATCTCTTCTTTATTCAACTTGATAAATTGTTTTGTCCCCAACTACAACTATGTGGTTATAGTGGCAACTTCTGGTCTGAGGACTTCAGCTGGTTGATGGGGGTGGAAAATGTATCATAAGTTAAACCCAATCAAATTTTGTATTTTGACTTTTGTGGGGAGAGTCTGTGTGAGGGGTTGGGACACAGTCTTTTTGGGTAAAGTTAAAAGAGATGAGTTCTGTGAGTCTCTAGCCACCATATTTTGTCCATGTTTGCCCTTTGCTAAAAAGGATCAAGTGTACCTGAGAGACAAAAGATGACCCAACCCCAAGAGAAAGAAGCAGAGATGAGATGTGGAGGTTTCCTGGAATGTTTGAGTGCTTCCAATTGTTTCTGAGACTACCTGCAGCTCAGCCCTTTATGCAGTTAAATGAAGTTTCCAATCATTTACTTTTGTTTTAAAGCTAAACCCAACTCAAGTTGAGTTTTTGTCACTTGCTACCAATTGTCTTTATACAGTATAGTTGCACAGATGCCAATAATACTGCCGTGTATCAAGGACAGAGTACTGGTTACGCTTGATCTCATTTCACAGCAATCTCTATCTATTTCTCACCAACTCAAGAACACATTTGAGAACACAAGATAACCACTTATTTGTATAGCAGTTGTATTAGTCTGTTTTCACGCTGCTGATAGAGCATGAAAATTTGCAAAGGGAAGAGGTTTACTGGACCTACGGTTCCACATGGCTGGGAGGCCTCACAATCACGGTGGAAAGCAAGGAGGAGCAAGTCACATCTTACATGGATGTCAGCAGGCAAAGGGCTTGCGCAGGGAAACTTTTTTTTTTTTTTTTTTTTGACAGAGTTTCTCTCTGTCGCCTTGGCTGGAGTGCAGTGGCATGATCTCAGCTCACTGCAACCTCCACCTCCCTGGTTCAAGTGATTCTTCTGCCTCAGCCTCACGAGTAGCTGGGACTACAGGCGAACGCCACCATGCCCGGCTAATTTTTGTATTTTTAGTAGAGACAGGGTTTCCCCATATTGGCCAGGCTGGTCTCAAACTCCTGACCTCATGATCTGCCCGCCTCAGCCTCCCAAAGTGCTGGAATTACAGGTGTGAGCCACTGCGCCCAGCCTGCACAGGGAAACTTTTCAAACCATTTTAAAACCAATCAGATCTTGTGAGACACATTCACTATCACAAGAACAGCATGGGAAAGACCCACCCCCACAATTCAGTCATCTTCCACTGGGTCCCTCCCACAACACGTGGGAATTATGGGAGTTACAGGATGAGATTTGGGTGGGGACACAGAGCGAAGGCATATCAGCAATTTTAGATACATATTAAAATTGAGTGGGAGGTATAGAGATTTCCCATGTATACCCCGTCCTCCACAGATGCATAGCCTTGCTCATTCTCAACATCCCCCACCAAAGTAGTATGTTTATTGCAATGACAAACCTGCATTGACACATCATCATCACCCAGAGTCCACAGTTTACATCAGTTTCACTCTTAACATTGTACATTGTATGAATTTGGAAGAATGTGTAATGACATGTGTCCATCATTTTAATACCATACAGAGTAGTTTCACCGCCCTAGAAATTCCCTGTTCCCTACCTATTCGTGTCTCCTTCTCCCCTAACCCCTGGCAACCCTTGTTCACTTTACTATCTTCATAGTTTCGCCTTTTCCAGAATGTCATAGAGTTAAAATCATATAGTATGTAGCCTTTTCAGATTGGCTTCTTTCACTTAGAAAAATGCATTTACATTTCCTCCATCTCTTCTTATGGCTTGATAGCTCATTGTTTTTTTTTGGTACTGAATAATATTCCACTGGCCGGATGGACTAGTTTATTAATCCATTCGCCTACTGACATATTACTTTTTAAACATCCATGATTGATCATGATAAGCCATTATGCTGTGCCAATAATGGTTTAGATCTTGTAATTTACAATATGCGATAACCTGGGCTAAATCACTTCATTTATCTTGCACGGACTGTATTTCCTCTGTAAAGTGAAGTGTGGTGATTAGATGTCCTCTGTCTCCAAGAACAAGTTTCCATGGTTATGTGAGAGAGTCTTCAAAAGTGAACAAAGGTTCTGAATCTAAACCATGGATTATCAATGGTCAGGAATGTTATCCTCCAGGGCTGAGGTTGTGGAGGATGTACAAAAAAGGAATCTGGAATATTTGACTTTTAAAGCTTTGCAAGATTCCCTCCCAATCCTCGCCCAATTTGATGTACCCAGTGCTGGATCCCAGGAGAAATTTTGAAATAAACACAATTTCTGGTTAAAAGAATAGTCCTGGAGCCGAACTGATGTGGAGGAAACAGGCTCTGGGAATCGTAAAACCAGATGGGACAGGCTTTCTGGGCTCACACCCATGCTGCTGTGGCCTCCTGGTGTATCTCCCTGCATTTGTTCTCTTCATTCCAGTTTATCCTTTGCACGGTTACCAGGGCGATGTTTCTGAAACAACAAATCCGATGGCAACATCATTTCTGCTGAAAATTCTTCAGAGATTGCTTTTTGTCTCTAGGATAAGCCCAAACCTCTTAACATGGCATTCAAAGCTGCAAGTCCCCCTCACCATTCCTGCTGCTCACCACTCCCCACCTCCTCATACCTCAGGCTTGCAGGGCATACTGAACCGTTTTCTGCTTACAAATGACTAGGCTCTTCTTCACCTCTGCACCTTTGAAAAGGCTGTTTCCTCTGCTTGAGCCACTGCTCCTCCTCACCACCCTCCTCTCCATGCCCTGCCTGGGAAGCTATTCACCTTGCATCGCCGCTAGAATAGTACTTTCCCTACAGAGCAATCCCTCACCCTCTCCTCTCTCAGACATTTAGTCTCTGACTCTGGTTTCACACTTCCCCTGGTTTATTGCATTTATTTATTTGCATCTCTGTCTCCCTGCTTGTCTGTCAGCAACTGGGAGAGCCTGGTTCATAGTAGGTAGTCAGAAATGCTTATTGATTGCATCAGCAGAGGTAAATATATGCATCTGAGCTATAGAATGAACCCAATTGTCTTCTTATTTATGCAAAGAGGAGCAGATTAAAAATTAACAAACATATCCATTCCCTAAGAATATCTCATAAAGAAGCATCAGAAAATGCCAAGCATTTGGCCTTGGGGGTCATAAACCAGGCCCAGAATATATGTTTGTTTTGTTTTGTTTTGCTTTCTCCAAACTGCTGGGGCCAATGACTTGTTGAAGCTGAACTATTTGGCTGAATTAGTAATGACTGTGCCTCACCTGGTGAAAATCAAAAGGCTGCAAATAAGTGCTGTGTTGTGAGTGTTAGCAGTGCTTTCTTACAAGCAGGATTTATGAAAATCTTAAAGGACTGAGGAAGAGCCACACTTACAGTCTGCGTGATATTCAGGTAATATTTTCAGAAGGGTTATAGCACTTCTATCAGTCATTCTGACACCGGATTTGATGGCCTCTGCCCTCTTCTTGCTACCTTCTTGTGTGATACACAGATAAGATATGGATTGGAAAAGAATAAGAAGATGTTCCATGGCTCTGAAAAGAGGACCATGTATCTGACCTAAATTAGTCAAATCACTTCACTTCACTTTCCTCCTGACACCCTGGGTTGGGCTGGGTTTCCTCAGCTCTGCTCTCACAGAATTACACATCTCTCCATTTTAGCTGCATACTCAGTTTGTCATGTACATTTGCTTATTGTTTTGCTTAATGCAAGCATTTGCTTATTGTTTTGCTCTTCCAGCAGACAGGAAGCAACATGTGGACAGGGACTACATTCTTAGTACCTAGCACAGGGTCTGGCATATGGTCAGCATGTCTTGCTGAATGAAGTGATGGATAAAAGACCCTGTTCAGATAGCATGTCTATGTACAAGTGTGTGTAGGTATATGAGGCGGGAGCAGGGGAAACAGGAGCTGGAGGACATGTAATTGATGTGTGCCTGTGAATGAACATATATCTGCTTCATTTTGGTCTTGTATTGCAAGTCAACAATCTTCTGCATCCCAGCTTTGCCAGGTAATAAAAGCAAGCTGAAAATGCTTGCTGATATTCTTGGCAAATATTTCTCAAACTGCCCTTTCTGGAAGAAGAACTTGCCAAGATTTACTTTCCGTAGTCTATGTTATGAAAACAATAGATTTTAAAAATTGCTCTCCAGTAGAAATGTATAGGATCATTTGGAATACGCATTTTAAAAATTACACATCTCTTCCCTGTTCCCCTGGAGATGTACAAGCAAGCTCATGGCAAGTTATGCCCTCTCTGCTTCTCAGCTCAAAATCATTATTCCAGATAATGCAAAAGGTAGTCTCCAAACCCCTTGAGGACAGGGATTATGTCTCCTTTGCTCATCATTTCATCCTCTGTGCTTACAACAGTGCCTGAAACATGTCAGATGCATAATAAGTAATTGTTGAGTGAACCATTGAAACTTATTCCTGTCATCTGTATTTGTGCCTGCTTTTATTGGTCTAGTTTGGATTTTTGGCTCTTTTGACACCTTGTCCTGTCTCCCTAGGATTTGGCTCTCCTCTTGGTTTCTCATCAGTTAATATCCTGGTGCTGCAGCCTGTTGCTTTCTCTGTCTGTTGGTGTGGTCTTGGCATCTCCCATCATCTTGAGAGAGCACTTCCTGCCTTAGCTCTCTGGTTTCCTAGAACTGACATCTGCTCCTGCTTTTTGGCCCTTATCTAAATCTGAGCCCTATCTTTTTCTTCTTGAGGTAGGAGATCTGGAAAGTATTTAATGCTAATAGAGATACATCAAGGTGATATATCTCCAAATAGGGAAACCATTTGTCCACTTAATAACTTCCTTTAGTGGCTTTTGCAGGCAGTCAATTAAAAGTTGAAAGAACACTGGGTAGTAAGGCACAGGGCATGAGTCCTAGCCTAAAGTCTCCTCAGGTGGTGTATTAGCATTTTCCAGACCAACAGAACCAACAGGATATGTATGTATAGACATACCTTAGAGATATTGTGAGTTCATTTTCAGACGACTGCAATAAAGCAAATATTGCAATAAAGTGAGTCCCATAATTTTTTTTGTTTCACAGTGCACATAAAAGTTATGTTTACACTATGATGCAGTGTATTAAGTGTGCAATAGCATTTTTCTAAAAAACAATACATATACATACCTTTATTAAAAAGGCTTTATAGATTAAAAATGTTAATGATCATCTGAGCCTTCAGTGAGTCATAATATTTTGGTTGGTGGAGGGTCTTGCCTCCATTTTGATGATCTGACTGACCAGCGTGGTGGTGGCTGACAGCTGAAGTGGCTGTGGCAATTGACCAAAATATGACTACAATGAAGTTTGCCACATGGATTTACTCTTCCTTTTATGAAAGATTTCTCTGTAAAATATCATAGTATTTAATATCTTACCCACAGTAGAACTTTATCCAAAATGTGAGTCAATCTTCTCAAAACCTATATCTGCTTTATCAATGAAGTTGATGTAATATTCTAAACACTTTGTTGTAATTTTAACAATATTCACAGCATCTTCACCAGGAGTAGATTATGTCTCAAGAAACCACTTTCTTTGCTCATTCATAAAAAGCAACTCTTCATCTGTTCAAATTTTATCATGAGATTGCAGCAATTTAGTCACATTTGTAGGCTCCACTTCTAATTCTAGTTCTCTTGCTACTTCCACCACATCTGCAGTTACTTCCTCCAATGAAGTCTTGAATTCCTCAAAGTCATCCATGAGGGTTGGAATTAACTTCTTCCAAACTTTTTTAAACGTTAATACTTTGACCTCCTCACATGAAACATGAATGTTCTTAAGGGTACTTAAAATGGTTAATCCTTTCCAGTTTCCCAATGTACTTTGCCCAGATCCATCAGAGGAATTACTATCTATGGAAGCTATAGCCTTACAAAATATATTGCTTACATAATAAGACTTGAAAGTCAAAAATATTTCTTGATCCATAGGCAATGGAGCCAACCAATGAATGATGTGTTAGCAGGCATGAAAATAACATTAATCTGAGCTTCTCTCAGTAAACAAGGATCAAGTACATACCCATCCCTGTTGGCTGTAGCTCCTCTTACCCAAAAGCACCATCTACTGGCCTGTAGGTTACACCACACAGCCCAATATAAAACCTGCTGACAGAAGCGCACATAGCTACAGAGCAAAGTCAAAAGACTCTACCCAATATTCTGTACAGTCACACCCCTGTAATGATAAAGGTTAGAAAT
This sequence comes from Homo sapiens, assembly GCF_000001405.40. Classification (NCBI taxonomy): domain Eukaryota; kingdom Metazoa; phylum Chordata; class Mammalia; order Primates; family Hominidae; genus Homo; species Homo sapiens. The sequence goes on from NC_000008.11 coordinate 126,699,292, forward strand.
AGTTTGTCTTGAGGCCATGTCAGAGACCTTCACGGCAGCTCCTCCCATCATAGGCCTAGAGGCCCAGGAGGAAAAAGTGATTTTTTTGGACTGGGCCCAGGGTCTCCATGCTGTGTGCAGCCTAGGGACTTGGTGCCCTGTTGTCCCAGCTGCCCCAGCCATGGCTAAAAGGGGCCAATGTAGAGCTTGGTCTATGGCTTCAGAAGGTGGAAGATCCAAGCCTTGGCAGCTTCCATGTGGTGTTGAGCCTGCACAGAAGTCAAGAATTGAGGTTTGGGAACGTCCGCCTAGATTTCAGAAAATGTAGTGAAATGCCTGGATGCCCAGGCAAAAGTTTGCTGCAGGGGTGGGGCCCTCATGGAGAACCTCTGCTAGGGCAGTGCAGAAGGGAAATGTGGGGTCAGACCCCCCACATAGAGTCCCTGCTGGGGCACTGCCTCGTAGAGCTGTGAGAAGAGGGCCACTGTCCTCCAGACCCCAGAATCGTAGGTCCACCGACAGCTTAAACTGTGCGCCTGGAAAAGCTGCAGACACTCACCACCAGCCTGTGAAAGCAGTCAGGAGGGAGGCTATACCCTGCAAAGCCACAGCAGTGGAGCTGCCTAAGACCATGGGAACCCACATGTTGCATGAGAATGACCTGGATGTAAGACCTGGAGTCAAGGAAGTTCATTTTGGAGCTTTAAAATTTGACTGCCCTACTGGATTTTGGACTTCCATGGGCCCTGTAACCCCTTTGTTTTGGTCAATTTCTTCCATTTGGAATGGCTATATTTACCCAATACCTGTACCGCCATTGTATCTAGGAAGTAACTAGCTGATTTTTGATTTTACAGGCTCATAGGTGGAAGGGACTTTCCTTGTCTCAGATGAGACTTTGGACTGTGGACTTTGCTGAAATGACTAATGCTGAAATGAGTTAAGACTTTGGGGGACTGTTGGGAATGCATGATTGGCTTTGAAATGTTAGCACATGAGATTTGGAGGGGCCAAGGGCAGAATGATATAATTTGGAGGTGTCCCTACCTAAATCTCAATTTGAGTTGTATCTCCCAGAATTCCCAAATGTTGTGGAAGAGACCCAGGGGGAGGTAATTGAATTAGGGGGCCAGTCTTTCCCATGCTATCTTCATGACAGTGAATACGTCTCACCAGATCAGATGAGTTTATCAGGGGTTTCCGCTTTTGCTTTTTCCTCTTTTTTCTCTTGCCACCACCAAGGCGCCACCATAAGAAGTGCCTTTTGCCCTCTGCCATGATTATGAGCCCTCCCCAGCCATGTGGAACTGTAAGTCCAAGTAAACCTCTTTTTGTTTCCAGTTTCGAGTACGTCTTTATCAGCAGCATGAAAATGAACTAAAACAAGGTTCAATTAAGCAAGAAGATTTAACTATCTGAAATATATACACATCTGACATTGGAACAGCCAGAGTCATAAACAAGTACTTCTAGACCTACAGAAAGACTTAGACGGCCACACAATAATAGTGGCATCTATAGAGTACTCCACCCATCAATCACAGAATATACATTCTTCTCATCTGTACATGGAATATGCTCTAAGATCAACCACATGCTTGACTATAAAACAAGTCTCAATAAATTAAAACAAATAAAAATCATACCAACCATACTCTTGAAACACAGGGGAATAATAGAAATAATAGAAATCAATACTAAGAAGATCTCGGAAAACCACACAATTACATGGAAATTAAACTACTTGCTCCTGAATGACTTTTAGGCAAACAATGAAATCAAGGAAGAAATCAAAAACTTCTTTGAAATAAATAAAAACAGATATATAACATACCAAAATCTCTGAGGTGCAGCAAAAATAGTATTAAGAGGAAAGTTTATAGTGCTGAATGCCTACATCAAGAAGACAGAAAGATCTCAAATTAGCAATGTAACATCATACCTAGTGGAACTAAAAAAACAAGAACAAATTAACCTCAAATCCAGAAGAAGACAAAAGTCACAAAAATCAGGGTAGAACTGAAAGAAATTTTGACTCCAAAATCCATACAAAGAATCAATCAATCAAAAATTGTTATTTTTAAATAAATAAACAAGATTGATAGACCACTAGCTAGATTAACAAACAAAAAGTGAGATTACCCAACTAAGCAGAATCAGAAATGACAAAAGGTGACATTACAACTGACCCCACAGAAATACAAAAGATCCTCAGAGACTATTATGAACACCTCTATGCACATGAACTAGAAATTCTAGAGGAAATAAGTACATTCCTAAAAACACACAAACTTCCAAGATTGAATCAGGAAGAAATTAAAACTCCGAACAGACCAAGAATAACTTCCAAAATTGACTCAGTAATAAAAATCCTACCAACCAGAGAAAGCCCTGGACCAGACTGATTCATAGCCAAATTCTACCAGACTTACAAAGAAGAGCTGGACCAATTCTACTGAAAATATTCCAAAAAATGAAGAAGAAGGTACTTCTCACTAACTGATTCTATGAAGCCAGTATCACCCTAGTGCCAAAACGTGGCAAAGACAAAATGAACAAAGAAAACTACAGGCCAATATTCTTCATAAACATAGATGCAGAAATCCACAACAAAATACCAGCAAACCAAATCCTGCAGTATATAAAAATTTTAATTTGCCATGATCAAGTAGGCTTTATACCTGGTTCAACATACACAAATAAATAAGTGTGAGTCACTACATAAACAAAGTTTTTAAAAAATTATATGATAATAAATGTAGAAAAATCTTTTATTAAAATCCAACATCCCTTCTTTATTAAAAAACCCTCAATAACTTGGCATCTAAGGAACATACCTCAAAATAATTAGAGCCGTCTGTGACAAACCCATAGCTAACATCATACTGGATGGGCAAAAGCTTAAAGCCTTTCCATTAAAAACAGGAAAAAGACAAGGATACCCACTCTTATTACTCCTTATTCAATGTAGTACTGAAATTCCAAGCCAGAGCAATCAGGCAAGAGAAAGAAATAAAAGGAATCCAAATAGGAAAAGAAAATGTCAAATTATCTCTTTCTTTACTGACAATATGATTCTATACCTTGAAAACTCTGAGGACCCTGCCAAAAGGCTCCTACAACTAACAAATGACTTTGGTAAAGTTTCAGGACACAAAATCAATATACAAAAATCAGTAGTATTTCTATATATCAATAACATTCAATCCAGAGCCAAATGAAGAATGCAATGAATGCAATCCCATTTACAATAGCCACAAAAAAATAAAATACCTAAGAATATATCTAACCAAACAGGCAAAAGATCTATACAAGGAGAACTACAAAACACTGCTGAAAGAAATCATAGATGACACACAAAACAATGAAAAAAATTCCATGCTCACGGATTGGAAGAATCAATATTGTTTAAATGGTCATACTTCTCAAAGCAATCTACGGATTCAATGCTATTCTTATCAAACTACTGTTATTTTTTCACAGAATTAGAGAAAACTATTTTAAAATTCTTATGGAATCAAATAAGATCCCAAATAGTGAAAGCAATTCTAAACAAAATGAACAAAGCTGGAGGCATCACATTACCCAACTTCAAACTATACTATAAGACTAAAATAACCAAAACAGCACAGTACTGGTACAAAAACAGACGCATAGACCAATGAATAAAACAGAATAGAAAATGCAGAAATAAAGTTGCACACCTACAACCATGTGATCTTCAACAAAGTCAACAAAAATAAGCAATGGAGATAGGACTCCCTATGCAATAAATGATGCTAGGATCCCTAGGTAGTCGTATGAAGAAGAATCAAACTGGACTTCCTATCTTTCACCATATTCAAAAATTAACTCAAGATAGATTAAAGACTTAAATGTAAGACCTCAAACTTACAAAAATCCTAGAAGGAAACCTAGGAAATACCGTTCTGGACATGTGCCTTGGCAAAGCATTCATGACTAAGTCTTCAAAAGCAATTGTAACAAAAACAAAAATTGACAAGTGGGACCTAATTAAACTAAAGAGCTTCCACACAGGAAAAGAAACTATCAACAGAGTAAACAGACAACCTACAGAATAGGAGAACATATTTGCAAACTACACAAATATTTGCAAACTTTGCAAATCAACAAAGGTCTAATATCCAGAATCTATAATGAACTTAAACAATTAAATGAGCAAAAACCAAATAACCCTGTTAAAAGGTGAACAAAAGACACGAACAGACACACTTCAAAAGAAGACATACAAACATCCAACAAACATATGAAAAAAATACTTCACTAATCATCAGAAAAATGCAAATCAAAACTACAGTGAGATAACATGGTCACAACTGCTATTATTAAAAAGTCAGAAAATAAGGTGCTGGTGAGTCTATGGAGAAAAGCGAATGTGTATACACTCTTGTTGGGGATGTAAATTAGTTCAACTACTGTGGAAAGCTGTTTGGAGTTTTCTCAAAGAACTTAAAACAGAACTACTATTCAACCTAGTAATCTCATTACTCTGTATACACTCAAGGGAAAATAAATTGTACTGAAAGGATACATGCATTCATGTTCAGCACATCTCTATTTACAGTGGCAAAGCCATCAACCTATGGGCCCATCAACAGTGGATAGAATAAAGAAAATATGTTATTGATACTTATACACTGTGGAATATTACATAGCCATGAAAAAGAACAAAATCATATTCTTTGCAGCAACATAGATGCAGCTGGAAGCCATTATCCTAAGAAAATTAATGCAGGAATGGAAAACCAAATACTGCATGTTTTCACTTATAAGTGGGAGCTAAACACTGAGTACACATGGATATAAAAAAAAAGAACGCTAGAAACTGAGGACTAAGTGGGGGACTACTACAGAGGGAATGGGACAAAGGCTAAAAAGCTACATATTGGGTAATATGCTCACTACCTGGGTGATGGGATTGTTTGTAATGCAAACCTCAGCATCACACAATGTACTCATATAACAAGCCTGCACATGTACCTCATGAATCTGAAATAGAAGTTAAATTTATTTAAAAAACAATGAGATACTATTTCACACCACCTGGATGGTTACATTAAAAATGACAAATAATAATATGTTAGCAAAGGTGTTAGAAATCTCATTCTCTCATACACTAGTGATGGGAATGTAAAACGGTGCACGTTGTCATTCCTCAAAAAGTTAAATATAGAGTTAGGATATAACCCAAAATTGCACTCCTAAGTATATACCCAAGAAAAATGAAAACATATGCCCATATAAAAACTTGTATATGAACGTTCATAACAGCATTAGTCATAATAGCAAAAAAGTCAACACCCCAAATGTCCATCAACTCATTAATAGATAAATAAAATGTGCTAAATCCATACAGTGGAATATTATTCAGCCATAAAAGGAATGAAGTACTGACAGATGTTGCAATATAAATGAACCTTGAAAACGTTATACTAATGAAATAAGCTAGTTACACTAGACCACATTATATGATTCTACTTACATAAAATGTCTACTGGGAAGTCTATTGAAGCAGAAAGTAGATTGGTGGCTGCCTAGGGCTGAGGGGAGTGGGTTTAGAGAGAAACACGGAGTGACTGCTAATGGATACGGGATTTTGTTTTGGGTGACAAAACTTCTACAATTGATTATGGTAATGGATAGAAAACTCTGTGACTATACTAAAAGCTGTGGAATTCTACACTTGAAAGTAGTGCCTTGTATGACATGTGCATAATATCTCAATAAAGCCATTTTAAAAATTCCCCTCTAAAAAAGAACTTTTCTTTTGCATTAACAACTTGACTAACTGGATAAAGACGCCTAACTTTTGTCCTATTTTAGCTTTTGACATGGCCTTCCTCACTAAACTTAATCATTTCTAGCTTTTAATTTAAAGTGAGAGGTGTCTAGTTTCAATATTGCTCTGTCTCAGAGAACAGAGAGAATTAAGAAGAGGAAGAAAGATGGGAGAATGGGTGGTTTGTGGAGCATTGAGAAAACACAACATTTATTAAGTCTGCCATCTTATATGGGTGTGACTGATGGTGCCCCCAAATAATTACAATAGTGACATCAAAGATCACTGATCACAGATCACCATAATAGATATAATAGTAAAGGAAAGGTTTCAAAGGATCGTAACAATTATCAAAATGTGACAGAGACATGAAGTGAGCACACGCTATTGAAAAAAATGGCTCAGACAGACTTACTCAATGCAGAGTTTTCAGAGACCTTCAATTTGTAAAAAAATGCAATATTTGTGAAGTGTAATAAAGTGAAACTACAATAAAAAGGTATGCCTGTATATAGAACGAGATTTATTTTAAGGAATTGGCTCATGAGATTATGGGGCTGACAAGTTCAAAACTTGCAGGGTGGGCTGGGGGCTGGAAACTAGGGGTGAGTCGATGCTAAGGTTCAAGTTTGAAGATCATTTGCTGCAGAATTAATCCTTGCTCAGAGAAGGTCAGTCTTTTGTTCTATTCTGGCCTTCAACTGATTGGATGCAGCCCACCCATTTTATAGAGGACAATCTGCTTTACTCAAAGTGCAATGAACAGATTTAAGTGTTAATCTCATCCCAAAACACTGTCACAGGAACATCCAGAATAATGTTTCACCACATAGCTTGTCACCCTGGCCTTGCCAAGTTGACACATAAAATTAGGCATCATAACAAGTTTCCAAGTAACCCTGAGTTTCTGTTCCTTCAATAAAAAACAAGAAAACTAGATTTGATATCTTTCAACTAAATAAGAAATCCTGCATTTAAGAACAAGACTGATAGGACAGAGTCCTGAGATTTATTCTGAGATAAAGAATGTTCAAACAGTTTTACCTCTTTTGATGCCTGACATCTAATACACTAACTTATGCCTTCCAGGGAATCATAGATGGTTTTTGAAGGGGACCTGAAGACCTAGCTTTGAAAAGAGCCCACTTAAATTTTTTGCTAAACATGATTGAGTAGTATCTCCCTGTCTCAAATGAGAGATAAATTACAATTTTAATTTTAGACATACTGCAATTTCTGTGTTGCCATTATTTCTTGACTTTTAATTTGTTCATTAATTTTCACAAGATTAATTGGCCTTTTGGGCTTTCAAATCAATATGATATTTTATCTCATGGCCTTTTCAAAACATGCTTTTCCTGGAGCAATTTATTGCAGATCATTTCTTTGAGGCTTGCCACCTTTTAGTTAGCCCTGCTGCACTGGACACAGAGAACACATTTTTCCCCTTTGCCCTTTGATTTTTCCTAGAAGGTCCAACATGTGACAAATTGCAGAGATTATGTGGCTTTTATTAAAGTACACACCTTGTGACCCTCTGAGAAAAGAAAAATGACCCAAGATAAATAAGGGAGTGTTTGTCCAGCATCCAGAAAAGGCTGCATGGAAAAGTTAAAGTGTAAATATCAGTATCACTGTTGAATATTTGCACAGCCCTTCATAGTTAACTGATACCACAGAGTGGTCTTGCAGATTCAAGTACCTAGAGGGCCAGGCAGAGAGTATAGGCAATGGGCTAGGTAGGTCTTAGGCAAACTGAAAAAATATATGCACACTAAAACCAGCTTCACCTGTTGCCAGGTGGGGGTGAAAGCCTCATGCTACTGAATTTTTCAATAAATGCCTGACATCTGAGATTCCGTGGTATATATCTTAATTTTAAAGGGCTGAAAATTTATTTAAAACATTTAAATCCTGTGAGAATCAACAAATTATGTCTGCAGGCAAGCTCCCAGACTACCAACAGCGAGTTTGTGTCCTCTCTCTATTTTAGAAATTAGAAGATTGAGATGATATACTAGCCTGTTACAAGAACACATTACAAAATGTTTGTTTCTGTTCGATGTGTAATAGGATGTTAACCAAGGACTCTTCTTTCTGCCTCTGTTTCAGCAGGGATGTGAAGACAAGACATATTAGCAGAGGTGGATTTACTCTGAAACTGATGAAGGTAAAGAAAGCATCAGTGTGGATTAGAACCCCCAATTCCTTTTCCAAGGCCTTGGGAGAGCCTTTTAATGTGATTACATGATCATTTATTTTTGCAAAACTTACAAAAGTAATACTTTCTAACAGCAATGCATTAGGATCACAGTCTATTTCCACTTGGAGTTTTCTTTCTTTCACACCTCCCAAAGGATAGGGTGTTGTTATAGTGACTAGGGGCATTTTTTGGAGATCTAGGTAGAAGGATCCATCTAGTAAGACTCCTCAATCTCAGCAAAATTGACATTTTGAGCCAGGTAATTCTTTGCTATGGTCACTGTCCTATACATTGAAGGATATTTAGCAGCATTTCTTACCTCTGCTTACTAGATCCTGGTAGCAACCCCCTATTCTCTCACCCACACAGTTGTGACAAAGTCCCCTGGAGAGATAAAATTGAACCCTCACTCCATTGATAACCACTGAACTAATGAGAAGTTGATTTGTGGACACAGCTAGTTTGGGTTGGAATATAATTACGTGGTTCCAGGTCACATTTGTGTTACAGTTTACATTCTCACTAACAGTTTGAGTGTGGGCATGGTTTTCACAAATACTTGACCTTCTCATAGCACCAACTCACATGGGTGCAGAACCAGGATGGCAGATCCCAGCACAGAAGCACATGGGATGAGGCAAAAATAAAAGTTGGAAATGGAACCACAGGCCTGGGTCTGTGGAAATGTCTTCCAAATCTTACAACTCTTGTGTGAAAGAAACTTGATGGAGACTTTCTCAGTTTTGGCAACAATCCTAGACATTTATATGACATTGCTAATAATGTGTTATGATGCTGAAAAAAATATCGAACTTATCATAATACAAATGAATTCCAAAACAACCATGCTAGAAGAAAGACTGGATTGTCTTTCTTTTCACACTGTTGAAAATGTTACAAAGTTGTTGTCTTTATAGAAGGAATCAAAGAGTCTATAGCTAAAATTAAAGGAAAAGGCATAATAGAAGAATGTTAGATAGTTAATAATGATATCACATTTTTGAGTTTTATAATGTTTGTAGTATTCATCAGCTTTCAAAAAATTTGTTTTGTTGTGATTTATGATATCATTCAAAAAATATTCTTTTAGTACATTGTTTTATACTATACTTTTATTTTTTGTAAAGAAGAAAAATCTCATTCTAAATTATAAAAACTTCAGGACACTTAAAACTTAGATTTGCATCTGGATTTTAGATATCAAAATGAGTTGTGAGATAAATACTTGGAGTCTTTATGAAATAACTTTCTGGATAAAGCTGCTGGTTCACTATGAGCTCCTTCACGTTTCCTCCTTCCTCTCCCTTCCCCATCTTCCCTCTCAATCCCCAAGGTGAGAAAAAATAGAATTCCACTTTTTACATTAAATGAAAAGAAATGCATTAAAAAGACCACTCAGAAAGCCTGATGCTTACTTAGCTCCTGATAGTGGGAGAACAATGGGGCAATACCTGATTGACTCTAAGCTGGAAAACTAAGAGAAAGTCAGGCTGGCTGGCTCTTCAGGCAACTGCAGCCAAGGTGAGGGGCCTGCAATGGACTGTCTACACTCAGAGTGTTTAGAGGTGTAGAAATGCATAAGCCAGATGTGGGCTGAGCACAAGAGAGAGCTCACATGCAGCTCTTTTACCTCCTGTCCGATAGGGCTACTCAGAAGTGTGATGGAGCTCCAAGGGAGACCATGCAAAGTGCTCTGAAAATCCTGGGGCTGAGGGGCCACCTCCAGCCAGAAAAATGTGTCACCACATCACAGAAGTTCTATTAAATCCAGGGAAGAACTTTGAAGAACCTACAAGGATGCCAGTGAGACACAATGCCAATCTTTAAACACCAGCCAGACCCAGATGTGTGCAGTAAAGTTATAGCAGTACTGGGTAAGTAAGGAATTTCCTGCGCTTCTTGAGGAATTCAAATTGTCTCTGTTTGCAGATGACATGATTGTATATTTAGAAAACCCCATCATCTCAGCCCCAAATCTCCTTAAGCTGACAAGCAACTTCAGCAAAGTCTCAGGATCCAAATCCATGTGCAAAAATCACAAGCTTTCCTATACACCAATAACAGACAAACAGAAAGCCAAATCATGAGTGAACTCCCATTCACGATTGCTACAAAGAGAATAAAATACCTAGGAATCCAACTTACAAGGGATGTGAAGGACATCTTCAAGGAGAACTACAAACCACTGCTCAAGGAAATAAGACAGGACACAAACAAATGGAAAAACATTCCATGCTCATGGATAGAAAGAATCAATATCATGAAAATGGCCATACTGCCCAAAGTAATTTATAGATTCAGTGCTATTCTCATCAAACTACCATTGACTTTCTTCACAGAATTAGCAAAAACTACTTTAAATTTCATATGGACCCAAAAAAGAGCCCATATAGCCAAGACAATCCTAAGCAAAAAGAACAAAGCTGGAGGCATCATGCTTCAAACTATACTACAAGGCTACAGTAACCAAAACAGCATGGTACTGGTACCAAAAGAGATATATAGACCAATGGAACAGAACAGAGGCCTCAGAAATACTGCCACACATCTACAGCCATCTGATCTTTGACAATTCTGACAAAAACAGCAATAAGGAAACAATTCTCTATTTAATAAACAGTGTTGGAAAAACTGGCTAGCCATATGTAGAAAATTGAAACTAGACCGTTTCCTTATGCCTTATACAAAAATTAACTCAAGATGTATTAAAGACTTAAATATAAGCCCTAAAACCACAAAAACCCTAGAAGAAAACATAGGCAATACCATTCAGGACATAGGCATGGGCAAAGACTTCATGACTAAAACACCAAAAGCAATGGTAACAAAAGCCAAAATTGACAAATGGGATCTAATTAAACTAAAGAGCTCCTGCACAACAAAAAAACTATCATCAAAGTGAACAGGCAACCTACAGAGTGGGAGAAAATTTTTGCAATCTATCCATCTGACAAAGGGCTAATATCCAGAATAGCACTTAAACAAATTTACAAGAAAAAAAAAAAACATCAAAAAGTGGGCAAAGGATATGAATAGGCACTTCTCAAAAGACGACATTTATGCAGCCAACAAACATATGTAAAAAATCTCATCAACACTGGTCATTAGAGAAATGCAAATCAAAACCACAATGAGACACCATCTCACGCCAGTTAGAATGGTGATCATTAAAACTCAGGAAACAACAGATGCTAGAGAGGATGTAGAGAAATAGGAACGCTTTTACACAGTTAGCAGGAGTGTAAATTAGTTCAACCATGTGGAAGACAGTGTGACGATTCCTCAAGCATCTAGAACTAGAAATACCATTTGACCCAGTCATCGCATTACTGGGTATATACCCAAAGGATTATAAATCATGCTGGTATAAAGACACATGCACATGTATGTTTATTGCAGCACCGTTCACAATAGCAAAGACTTGGAACCAACCTAAATGCTCATCAATGATAGACTGGATTAAGAAAATGTGGCACATATACACCACGAAATACCATGCAGCCATAAAAAAGGATGAGTTCATGTCCTTTGTAGGGACATGGTTAAAGCTGGAAACCATCATTCTCAGCAAACTAACGCAGGAACAGAAAACCAAACACCGCATGTTCTTACCCAAAAGTGGGAGTTGAACAATGAGAACACATGGACACAGGGAGGGGAACATCACACACTGGGGCCTGTCGGGGGGTGTGGGGCTAGGGGAGGGAGAGCATTAGGAGAAATACCTAATGTAGGTGATGGGTTGATGGGTGCAGCAAACCACCATGGCATGTGTATACCTATGTAACAAACCTGCACGTTCTGCACGTGTATCCCAGAACTTAAAGTATAATAAAAACAAAACTAAACAAAAAAAAAAAAAAGGAAAAAGTTTCCTGCTTTTTTTATCTCTCCTTTCTCCCCCAGTTCTTCCATACTCAGTTGCAGCTAGATCGTTGGGAAGAAGGTAGGGAAGAGCAAAGAGAAGGATGCACATCTTTCTGCACTGAAATCACCAGCCTCAGAGTTCATGTAGCAGGCTTGACTGTGTTTCCTTAGAAAGGCCTGCTTACAAGGCTGGCCCTTGGCTAGTATCTGAAAACTCAGCTTTCAAGAGGGTTTCTGTCTCTCTAACTGATCAGAGTAGCTCACTGTGCCTAAAAAGTTTATGCAAACAATATGTTTTATGCTGAACTCATGCTTTATTTCTGGGAGACTGGAATTTTGGTATGTGTTAATTAGGGGGTGCCTATGTGATAAGCCTCCAGTAAAAACGCTGGAGCTGAGCCTCCCTGGTTAGCAAACTTTCACCTGTGTTGTTACAATTCATTACTGGGGAACTAAGCTCATCCTATGTGACTCTATTAGGAGAGGGTCATGGGAATTGAGTTTAATTTTTCCAAGATTTTGCCTCATGCACTTTTTTCTTTGCTGATTTTGTTTTGTACCTCTTTGCTATAGTAAATCATAGTTATGAGTACCATTACATGATGAATCTTATAGGTCTTCCTAGCAAATCATTGAAACTAGGGGTGGTTTGGGGGAATCTCCTGACACAGGCCCTAGCTGTGAGGGTGGAGAGAAGTTTTACTTTTTAATAAAGATTGACTCTGTGATTATTACAGTGACTAGACACTTTCGGTGACTGAACTGACACTATATTTCAGGCTTAAAGTGGGCAGAAGTGCCATGGGGCTGATCAAGTTTTCGTCCAGTGATAGAACAACTAACCCCATGAAATAAGTCTAATGAGGTAGTAAAAAACAAAAACAAAATTGCATTCTGGTTACATCCCAGGAGGCAAGCTTGTTTGGCACCTCAGTGCCTTGTACATTATTCCATTGAATTCACATGGTAGCCATGGAAGGCAGGAAGGACAAAGGTTTCATCCTGCTTTACAAGAGATATGAGAGTACATGGTACATGAGAGTTAAAAAGACTTTCCCAAGTTCACATGGCAAAAATTGAAGTTCGGTTCTCCGATTTCAAGACCTGCCTGAGCTTTTTCCACTTTGTCACATTGACTGGTTACTTATTGTAGAGTGATGAGATCAACCCAAAATTCATTGTCCTATCCTCTAAAAATTAAAAAAAAGACTTAATTACTCCACCAATCTCTTTTCAAATTATCACTCATGTGTCCTTTGAGATATCTAACTTGTTGGGGAGCTTAGTTTGGACCGGGTCATCTTTCCTACTTCACCTAATGATCTTGGAGCAAACTGATCCATAAGAGAATTGAATCTGCATCTGTGCTCTCACAGGCACAGACAAGCCCTGGGCGGTGGTCTGTGTGTTTTTGTGTTTTTTGGGAGTGGGGGATAATTTTCTCCTACCTGAGTGACATGCTGAATGTGTTCCATCTGTTCTACTTTGATCAATAGATATGAAATCCAGTCTTTCTGCAAATACCATCAGTTATGGCTCAGCTAGATTAATTTCACAAGATTAAAAACTGAACAAAACTTTCTCAAACACCATCTGTTCAACAATGAGCTCCGATTTTTCCAGGCACTGTGCTAGATATGATGGATGCAGTAATGAATATAACATAGCTGTTGGGCCAGGGTGTTCAGAGAGTGGTAGAAAAGATAGACAAAAGAATAAAATAATGATTCCAGTGGGATGTACTATAGCAGGGTCAGAGAACAGGCTATTCAGACAGACTGCTGGCTCGGGGTCATACTCTAGCTCTTCCATTTTCTAGCTTTGTGAGTTTGGGCAAGTTTCTTAACCTTTCTGTGCCTCTGGTTTTTCATCTATAAATATTCAACTAACATCACCTGTAGGTGAAGCTATTCAACAATACACGAGCCAATGATATTAGTGGCTCTGGGTTGCAACTGTGACAAGAGAGCAAGTCATTGCTATTAAGAAGTTCCCCTCTAATGTGGGAGATGCATAAATAAACAGACAGCCATTATAATCCACAATAAGGGTTCCCACAAGGGCAATTAAGGGCTACGTGGGAGCACATTGCTCCCTAAATGTAAAGACTGCTCTTTTTTAACTAATTGTTCTACCTGGTTACAGGTCCCATACAGAGAGAAGAAACAGACAACCTGAATCACATTCAAAAGAGAGTCTCCACAATAGTGAGGGCTGCAAAACCAGGTGACATGAAAACCAAGAGAATGAATTACATAGATTTGTTTAACCTAAGGAAGAAAAGATTCTGGACACGTGAGGGCCGATTTTCATTCCTCAGAGCTCTCTCCTTTGGAGGCTTCTTTGTTTGGGCCCCACTTCCATTCTTCACATTCAGCAGTTACTGGGAGACGACCTTACCATGGCCTGTCCCTCCGTGTTCATCCCAATCGCATCCAGATGCCTCTCTGGCCTCATCTCCTAGTGTTCCTGTGTCCGGAATTGGTGGGTTCTTGGTCTCGCTAACTTCAACAATGAAGCCTCGGACCCTGGCGGTGAGTGTTACAGTTCTTAAAGGCAGCGTGTCCGGAGTTTGTTCCTTCTGATGTTTGGATGTGTTCGGAGTTTCTTCCTTCTGGTGGGTTCATGGTCTCCTTGGCTCAGGAGTGAAGCTGCAGACCTTCGCGGTGAGTGTTACAGCTCTTAAGGCGGCGCGTCTGGAGTTGTTCGTTCCTCCCGGTGGATTCGTGGTCTCGCTGGCTTCAGGAGTGAAGCTGCAGACGTTCGTGGTGTTATAGCTCATAAAGGCAGTGTGGACCCAAAGAGTGAGCAGTAGCAAGATTTATTGCAAAAAGCGAAAGAACAAACCTTCCACTGTCCGGAAATGGATCTGAGTGGGTTGCTACTACTGGCTGGGCAGCCTGCTTTTATTCTCTTATCTGGCCCCACCCACATCCTGCTGATTGGTCCATTTTACAGAGAGTGGAGTGGTCTGTTTTGACAGGGCGCTGACTGGTGCGTTTACAATCCCTGAGCTAGACACAAAGGTTCTCCACGTCTCCACTAGATTAGCTAGATACAGAGTGTCCACACAAAGATTCTCCAAGTCCCCACCAGAGTAGCCAGATACAGTGTCAGTTGGTGCATTCACAAGCCCTGAGCTAGAGACAGGGTGCTGATTGGTGTTTACAAACCTTGAGCTAGATACAGAGTGCCGATTGGTGTATTTACAATCCTTTAGCTAGATATAAAGGTTCTCCAAGTCTCCACCAGAGTAGCTAGATACAGAGTGTGGATTGGTGCATTTACAAACCCTGAGCTAGACAGTTTGCCGATTGGTGTGTTTACAAACCTTGAGCTAGATACAGAGTCCCAATTGGTGTATTTACAATCCCTTAGCTAGACATAAAGGTTCTCCAAGTCCCCACCAGACTCAGGAGCCCAGCTGGCTTCACCCAGTGGACCCCGCACTGGGGCCACAGGTGGAGCTGCCTGCCAGTCCCCCGCAGTGCGCCCGCACTCCTCAGCCCTTGGGTGGTCGATGGGACTGGGCGCCGTGGAGCAGGGGGTGGCGCTCGTCGGTTAGGCTTGGGCCGCACAGGAGCCCACGGAGGAGGGGGAGGCTCACGCATGGCGGGCTGCAGGTCCCGAGCCATGCGCCGCGGGGAGGCAGCTAAGGCTCGGCGAGAAATCGAGTACAGCGCCGGTGGGCCGGCACTGCTGGGGGACCCAGCACACCCTCCGCAGCCGCTGGCCCGGGTGCTAAGCCCCTCATTGCCCGGAGCCGGCAGGGCCGGCCGGCTGCTCCGAGTGCGGGGCCCGCCAAGCCCACGCCCACCCGGAACTCCAGCTGGCCCGCAAGCGCCGCGCGCAGCCCCGGTTCCACTCGCGCCTCTCCCTCCACACCTCCCTGCAAGCTGAAGGAGCGGGCTCCGGCCTTGGCCAGCCCAGAGAGGGGCTCCCACCGTGCAGCGGTGGGCTGAAGGGTTCCTCAAGCGCGGCCAGTGTGGGCGCCAAGGCCAAGGAGGCGCCGAGAGCGAGTGAGGGCTGCGAGGACGGCCAGCACTCTGTCACCTCTCATTCCCTTCACACTTGCACTGCTCTGGCCACAAGGACATCCTGGTGTTTCTTAAAGCCTCCAGGCACATTTCCTCCTGGGGTCTTTGCATTTGTTGCCTCTTGTGCCAGTTCTGCCTCTCACCAGTTATTCACTTACTTACTCCCTTTCTCCAGAAACTTACTCAATGCCAGAGTTCTTCCTATGGCCCTTCACTGTTTTGTTTTGTTTTCAGTAGATCATATCTGTTCCAACCTAGAAAGATAATTCATGTACTTATCTTTATTGTCTGACTTCCCTACTATAACTTAAGTCCCGTGAGAGTAACAAGATTTGTGTTGTCTCATGCTGAGTCCCAGAGCCAATGACATTATCTGACAGTAGGAGTCCCTCGTACATATATGTTGAGCAAAAGCAAACAAGAATGGATTTTATAATAGCCAGTGCTCTTGAAAGATTGAATTGGAGAGCTTGGGATGAAATGAGATCCCTATCATTGGAGGGGTTCAAGCCTAGGTTGGAACAACCTTGGTAGCGATTTTGTAGAGAGCATTCGAGAATTGGGTGGTAATTAAATGTGTTTTGTTCTCTTGAATCACTGACAGAGCCCAGTTTATAAATAGATGAAGGGTAAATAGCACCATATTTTACAGAAGCAATGCCCTTCCTGTCTGGATCTCAGACTCTGCAGCTAACAGAAAGTACCTAATTGCCTTATGAGTTGGATTTAAAAATAATTATTGATTTGATTAAATATTTATAATTTATTTAAATGCATGTTAATTATTAAATTATGCTTAATGACTAAATCATTTTGCTAATCAAATATTTTTTAATAATTAAAAATTAAACCATGCTGGCTTTATTTTTGATAAATCACAACATCCTAAACCTCATTTTCAGGGTCATATGATTTTAAACATAGACACTAATTACACTGGTGGCATTTTACATTAATTGTATGACCCAATCTTAAATTGGCATCTTAAAAACTAGAAATATAAATTTCACTGTCAAAATAAAAACAAATACAGCAATCAGGATGTGTGTTCTGTATGGTTATTATTTTACATATATGATTTTCTTAATGGACAGATAACACTTTTTTTGTTCGTTTTGAGACGAGGTCTCACTATGTTTCCCAGGCTGGACTTCAACTCCTGGGCTCAAGTAATCCTCCCTCCTCAGCCTCCTGAGTAACTGGGATTACAGGCACATGCCACTGTGCCAGACTAAACAATGCTCATTTTTAAAAGAATATCACACAGTAGGAAAATAGTCATTTCATCATATCTTTTCCTTAATTTTAGACCACTGAAATTAAGTATTTTTTTTTTATCCACGCTTTCTATGGGCAGTAATCCTTGGCTCCTTCTCCTATGCCCCTTCAGAAACATTGAATTTTACACATTTTTGAGTTCCTCCCAATTTAAAACCTTCAGCATTTTCTCACCACAAAAGGACACAAAGTCTTTTCTTAGTTTTCTGGGGCCTGGCTGTCATACTGTGTTACCGTATCTGCTCCATTCTCATTTCTTATACTTGAATCTCCATAAGACCCCTGTGTGAAAAGATAGGAAGGTATAGAATTTTAAAATTTTGGATTTTAGAATTTTCAAGTATCTTACATATCTGTAATTTATGGTGCGTGAATGTGTGCGTGCATGTGTGTGTGTGTGTGTGTGTGTGTGTGTGTGTGTTTTAATCTCATTCCAGTTAGTTAACATTGAAGCATCCTTCTTGGCAATACACATTCTAAGTCAGTTAGCCTTTGAAAACCTAATCAGAAGCCTACAGACTAGCGGTGCTATTAGAAGGATGTGCTTATGTCATTGCAGTCGTGGTTTCACAGGTGTGTACTTATCATCAAACTCGTCAAATTGTATAAATTAAATATATAGCTTTTCTTTGTATGTCAATCATACCTCGGTAAAGTGGTTTGAAAAAACGATTCAACTTTCTTCGTGAATGATCAACACTAGAGAGTTTATTAATTAGTATGAGAGTTGTTAGACATAATTTTTAAACTGGTGAAATGAACGGGTCCAAGAACTTGAATTGGCCAGATGGATTGTAAGGCCTCTGCCATTGCATGAACGCATTATAACAATCCATTGATGAAATTACTCTGTTTCAGAATAAATTTGTCAGAGTATATAAAAGAAAAGAGAACAGAAATGTTATTGAGCTAGTACAGTTAACTTACTTTTTTTTTCTTTACAGCTTTACTAATAAACATTTGAATATCTGACCAAATTTGCTCAGAGACTAGCTTTCTGGGAATATGACAGCCGGTAGAAAGACCCAAAGGGGAGACCTTGCACACTCACCAAACTCCAACCATTAAAAGCTACTTGTAGTTAACCCAAAATCTTTTAACTGTGAGCAACCACGTGGGCTAATGTTGATTAAGATATGCCCTTCAGATTCCCTGTGAACTTCGAAACTTGCAAAAATCCTAGCAGTTGAAGTACATGATAACTATCAGAAACATTTGCCAAGAAGTAAAAAAATGAACTATATGATTTACGCTATATTAAGTGAGCTATGAATTTTCTAAAATCAACTAATAGCTTATATGCAAGCAACAACTATCCTTCAAATGAATTAGGTTCCCAAAATGTAATTGTATATGGGTCATTGAAATTCAACACCTTGTATTCATATAAATATTATTGTGAATGGTGGTTAAGTATCTTATTTAGGCCATGAACCTGCCTAACATGATGTAAACAGAAATACTACAGCTACAAAGACAAATCAGCTCATTTAAGAATCTAACTACTAAATAATACCAAAATATGTAAGTCTTGATGAAGAAGAATAATTTTATTTATTTGAGTAATTGAATTCATTTATTTGAATATGAGCTTAAAAATATGGAGGATAGGATTTCTAAAAATTCTGGGCAAATTTGTGAGTTTAAATGTTGAGGACACTTAAAATTTTCTTTATAGAAAGTTTGAGTTAGGTTGCTTGGATGTTCAGAAAAGTAACAAACTAAGCAGGGAGATAGAAGTTCTTAAAATAATTGGATAAAACATGAAGAAGATGGGGAGGACTAAATTAGCTAAGGGGAATGCATATAATTATGGAAGAAAACATTTACCTGGGATGATATTAACTTAGCTATAACTAGAGGTAAAATGTTGAGAGAAAAAAATAAAAATGAAATAGTATGGTTTGGGTGATTTATCCTGAAAGAGAGAGAAGGGAGGCGATTGTGATAGAAAAAAACCTTCTAGGGAATAGATTTCTAACCTCATCACGAGGGCACGGTTCGCTGAAGACAACTGGTTGGTCCTTAGCAGCTACACCTGAGATCCCTGAGCCATGGGGCAGCAACATGCAATGGTTCTCACCCTTTGAATCTTCATTTCTATTGCTTTATGTTTATAAGTCACAGATTTTCAATACATCTGTAGCACAACTTATTGTCTGCTCTCAAAACCTCAACTTTAAAATCTGGGGTCTTGTCCAGGCACAGTGGCTCATGCCTGCAATCCCAGCACTTTGGGAGGCCCAGGTGGGTGGATCATTTGAGGTCAGGAGTTTGAGACTAGCCTGGCCAACTTGGTGAAACCTTGTCTCTAATAAAAATACAAAAAATTAGCCGGGCGTGGTGGCAGGCGCCTGCAATCCCAGATACTCAGGAGGCTGAGGCAGGAGAATCACTTAAACCCTGGAGGCGGAGGTTGCAGTGAGCTGAGATCACACCACTGCACTCCAGCCTGGGTGACAGAGCAAGACTCCATCTCAAAAAAAATAAGGAAAATAAAATAAAAATAAAATAAACATAAAATAAAATGAAATCTGGAGTCTTAACTTTTAGGTTCATTATTCATTTAATATAGACTTGAATTATAATTCATGAATCAAATTTCAATCATGTTCCTGAGAGAGTAACTAAACAATGCAAAACAAAATGAAGTAATAAAACCCTATTCTTACACAACTAACGTATGAACTAGTGCTAGTCCTTGCTTTAAAACATAATATAACACGGAAAGAAGGAAGTAACTTCAGTAATTGAGTACCTACTACGTGCCAGACACTGTAATGAGGATGTTCTTTATGCTGTCTGTCTTATTTAAATTCTGTGAAGACGATATTATTTTTTCTCCATTTTACAAGCAATGAAAACAAAAGCCAGATACATAATATAAAGCATGGACAGTCATAGAGTGAGTAAATGGTGGTTCTTGCATTCAAAACTCAGACTCTGTGCCATTATGCCATACCACTTCTCAATCTACTAAGTTCTAACAGGTATCATATCTAAAGGAGGAAAAGATGTGTCACACTTAACATCAGAAGACAGGAGAATCAGTCACTTTTTAGATTTATCAAGTTGAATTGCAGGAGGATGGCAGTTGTTGAATGCTGTGTCTGTCATTGTTGCCAAATACCATGGCCAGACAAAAGTTCCATTCTAAATGATCCAATCATCCAATAGAGATAGAAGCTGGTCCTGTCATAAACCAGGCTGGGAGCAGGCTCTACACCCGCTAACCAGCAGTGCCATTGTTGCTGATATCAAAGTTTCTATAAAGCCCATAAAGATCATGCCAATCTGAGAAATCACATGCTAAAGGAAATCATTAATGCACCAACAATTCTAGTATATTTTTTTTTCCAAGAGAAGGTGCTAACATCCAAAACATTGGCCAAATGCATTTCATATTTGTAACTGTCTTGTGTTTACTTGAGCACAAGTAAAATCTTTCCATATGTACTGACGGGAGCCAGTTTTGATTTTCTGTTTATCTCTGAGTTTGCCTTCTGGGAAAAAAAAAAGACAGGTTTCTTTTCTATCATCAAAGGTAGTGATTATAGGAAATCAAATCCAAAAGTTAATAATAGGAATTCATTGCTACAAGTATGTATTGAATGATGCTCATTCTGTCAACAAAGGTGTATTAAGCACCTATTCTATACAAATCCCTCTGAGGATACAAAAAGAAAAAGATGGACTGTGCCTTAGAGAATTCCAGACTGCAGAAAAAGAGATGAAGACATTCACACACAAATAACTCTAATAGTGGGAAGAAATAAAATCAGCCTCATAAAAGAAGTACACATAAAATCTAGCCTATTTGGTGTACTTGGAGTTTAAAAGGCAGTGCATGGGTTTTGGGGTCCAAAATATCTGAGTTAGAATCCTGGCTTGGACATTTATTATGACATTGGGTACACAATCATGCTGAATCTCAATTTCCTGTGTGTAAAATGGTTCCAGTGGCACCTATTTCACAGTCTAAGGTTTAAAGGGCAAAATGTATGCAAATTGCTTAATGCAGAGCTAGGCAGAAATTGCTGTTATAAAGCATGAAAAGATTCTTTTATGGAAAAGTTTCATGAAAGAAGTGACACTTAAACTGGGTCTTGAAGCTGGATGGAAGAAATGACATTATCAAAAGAGCAGAGATAGGAGAGCACACAGTACATTAAGGGAACAAAGCGGCTTAATTTCTTAGGAGTGGCATAATGATGCAGTAGGAACAGTGAGAACTAAAGCTAAAGAGATGGCTGGATTGTTAAGGTGTATTAATTTGAATGTTGGACTAAAGGACTTTAGACCTGGAAGTTTCCAAATGATAGCCTATAGGTCAAACCCAACCTGCCACCTGTTTTAGTATGGCTCATGCATAAGACGGGTTGTTATATTTTTTAAAAGTTTGGAAAAAAATAAAAAGAATATGAACATTTCATGAAATTCAAATTTCAGTGTTCATAAATAATGTTTTGTTTGAATGTAGTCAACTCATTTTTTAATATATTGTCTCTGGCTGCTTCAGCACTACAATGGCAGAAGACAGAGTTGAGTAGTTGCAACAGGCATCATCCGGCCCCCAAAGCTAAGGATATTGGCTATCTGATCATTTATGGAGCAAGTTTGCCAATCCTTGATTGAGAAGGTCTCTTGTAGGCAATGGGTCTACACTACAATTAAGGTTTTTGAACAGGGAGGTAATGAGCAAGGAGATGTTTACCAAATTAAATTTGCAGTTGAATTTGAGAAGAGAAGGTCAAGAGTCTGTGACACTTCAGATGCAGGTGATATAACTGGCCAAGAATGAGGGTAGGAAGAATAAAAAAGAAGGGGACTGTTGTATTATAGAAACACTTAAGGCAGCCGCAAGCCTGGTCATTCTCTATTTCTGTGTGTCTCATGTCAGCATTTTCAATTCAATTTAAAAGCCTATATTATATATTAAAATCTTTCATCCACAAAACACCTACTCAGAGAAAGAAAGTGGGAAAGAATTCTGTTTACCCAGGGGAAGAAAGGACCCTAATGGGCTTAGTGGCCTAGCTGGGAGCAGCAGGTTTATGATAATGGCCCAAAGCAGAGGGAGGATTGGGAGATGCTCCAAGAGTTGAATTGTCTGGCATATTTCCTTCTGCATATAAACTGGTACTAATCCTCTAGGCAGACGTGGTATCCTGGGCTGCCACCATCCATCTTTTTTCCCCATGGAACAAAAATGCTTTGTGAAAGGAGGATATTTATCTCTATGGAACTGGTATAACCCTAGATGAGGAGTGAGTATTTTGGGATCAGGCGCTCAACTAAAAAGAGCCCAGTAACTAGCCCAGCTCATCTTTGTTCCAGTGTTAAATATTTTAGAGACACCAGACACAGGGGCAGCATTAAATACAGACCATTATCAGTAGCAGACAGAAGAAATTAGAGAAAGCTTATCAGACCGAGGTGTTTTGTTTACCACTAGTCATTTAAAAAATTATATTTGCATTCCATACCTTTTGGAATTTTTAAGTACAACAGAGTTGCTTTCCCATGAACAAATGATAATAATAAGATGAACTAAGTGTCACATCAATATTTATTATTGCACAGATATTTTTATTATATATTTATAACACGATTGACTTTCCTTCAAAGGTTTCTGTGGGCATAACATGCATGTGCATTGGATATCCTCTTACTTTCTGGACTTCAAATGCTGCATTTAGTTATTTTGATAAGTGCATTACTCTAGAACAAGTAACTTAATTTTTTTGTTGGGTAAATGTGGTTATCATGCAGCTCTGGAGGTGTAGTTGTACAAACTGATTGCTGGATTGTAAGGAAAAGAATTATCGACTGGGCATGGTGGCTCATGCCTGTAATCCCAGCACTTTGGGAAAGAATTATTGGCTGGGCGTGGTGGCTTACGCCTGTACTCCCAGCACTTTGGGAGGCCGAGGTGGTGGATCACCTGAGGTCAGGAGTTCAAGACCAGCCTGGCCAACATGGTGAAACCCTGTCTCTACTAAAAATACAAAAAATTAGCCGTGTGTGGTGGCATGCACCTGTAGTCCCAGCTACTTGGGAGGCTGACAGGAGAATTGCTTGAACCCCAGGGGGGCAGAGGTTGCAGTGAGCCCACATCGCGCCACTGCAATCCAGCCTGGGCGACAGAGCAAAACTCTGTCTCAAAAAAAAAAAGAAAAATTATCTGGTGATATGGCAAGTGGTTTTCTAAGTTGCAGAAATTAGCCTGTGGTTTTATATTTAATTTGTTCAATGCTGACTCTGCCATTTGCCAACCATTTGACTTTGGGCAAATGTAGTGTACTCACTGATTGGCTATTTAGCCGCCATCCCCCTTCTTCCCTCCTACAAGCACCCAGTGTTTGTTCACATATGCATCTGTCATGACTCAGAGGAAAGTGGTATCATTTCTAGCTCTGGGAATGGCCCTTATTGTTAGCATTCTAGCACATATGTCCTTGAGCAGCAGTTATTGATTTAGGAGTCATCTTATAACCTGCGTTGTCCTAGACATCTTGAAGAGAAGAACAGATAGTTCATACCCAGGAGGAAGGAGCATTCTTCCCTATGCTGGACAGGAGAAAGGAAAGATTTAGCTCAGATTGTCACCATGACCCATGTGTATGAACATCAAGGGATACAGGTATAAGATGAAGCTGGCACTTAGGTCCTTGTATGACACCTAGGGAGAGTTCAGCCACTGTACTCTCAGTTGCAGGTGATAACGAATATTTCCTTATGGATGGAGTTTGAATAGGGGCTTCAGTTACTTACAACCAAAGCATTCTAGTGGATGGTTAAAATGCCTTAAGACTAAGCTCACTCATCTTTAAGTATCTACTTCATAGGATTTTTTTGAGGATTGATGGAGAGTAAATAATTGATTTAGCAAACACTCTATTTTATATTCCCCTTAGTAGACAATATAGTTCTCAGACCGAATATTAGATACTTCATCATATTTGTTGATTCACAGTTTATGTGAAATCTACTCTATTTGCCAACTCTTCACTGGCTTTGTTTTGATTTTCTCTGTGTTTCTACATTTGCTTTAGTACGTTTACCAGATTAGAGAATCATGGTGTCAGCATCCGCTTTGAGAAATGAACACTCCCCTTACTTCCCAAGCCTCTTTCTCTTTTACTGCTTCTTCCATCTTTAAAATAAGATGGAAAACTAGGAAACAGAGGTTATATTATTTTTCTAGCTCTAGTGAAAAGGCTAGTCATATGAGAAGATAATTTTCACATTTTTTTTTGTTTGTCAGTGAGAATATTTTTACTTAGCATTGCTAGTTAGCAGCAGAGTTAACCCTACCCCCTATTTTTGGTCTTTAGTTTTGTTGGTCTGTTTTCCCACCTTATGGGGAAAATAAACCAATAAAACAATTCTGTGAGGATAGCTCTCACAATAAGTTATTGTTGGTTTTACTAATTTGCAGAATGTGGTTTGTTGAGAGGGATATGTTAGTCTATCGTTTTTAGTCTCACCCTCTACATTTTTGAGCTGTTGTCTTTATTTTTTTTGCATTAGCATTTCTTTATTAACCCACATCTGGGGCCTGATGGCGGGTGTGTAATTGTAATAATGTTATTACGTTTACTGGTGTAGGCCACAGGAGCCCAGGTGGCACAGTCTTGGATGATGTCTTTAATTGCTTTGTTAAATGATATATATTTTTTAGACCTTTCATTAAGTAAGTTCTCTTTGTGATGTGCTTGTAACAATTGCCCTAGGCCAGTAGATTTCAAAGTGCTTTCACTCTAGGGATGTTTAGAGGTGCTCTAGGGAGTCATAGAGAAAAATAAGGTAGAAATCAAAGTCGTGAGGCACCGGCTGGTGAATGCCTCCTAAGAACATATTTCAGCAGAGCCCTCTGATAGTCATCACCAGGGTATTGGAAGTAGATTGAAGATGAAGTATCTTTGCTAGTCTGAGTGTAAAATCATTTTTAAAAGTGCTATGGTCTGAATGTTTGCATCCCCTCAAGATTTGTATTTTGGTATCATAGCCCCCAAGGTATTAGGGTATTAGGAGGTGGGGCCTTTGAGAAGTGAGCAGGTCATGGGTGGAGTCATCATGAAAGGGATTAGTGCCTTTATAAAAGAGGCCCAAGAGAGCTGTCTTGTCCCTTCAGCCATGTGAGCACACAATGAGAAGATGGCTTTTATGAATCAGAGAGGGGGCCCTCACCAGACACTGAATCTACCAGCACCTTGATCTTAAACTTCTCAGCTTCCAGAACTGTACTGTGAAAAATACATTTGTCTTGCTCTTAATCTACCCAGTTTATATTTTGTTATAGCAGCCTGAACAGACTAAGACAAAAAGGTATCTGGGTGTCTGATCAAAGTGAAAGCAAGAGTTCTAGATGGATAGCAAGAGCTGGAGAGGTCTGACTGTGGAGTTCTGACTGCAGGGGACAGCATCTAACCCTTTTTCAAAATCGGCTTTGTGACAGGCCCTGCACTAAGCCTTTAAAAAACAGTATTTCATTCAGTCCTTATAACTACCTATGGGTGGGTATTATCATCTCTCTTTAAGTTTTGGAGACGTAAACCAATGGGTTCAAGGTGATTCTGCTTGTAAATAAAGAGACAAAGGATAGGACTGCCAGGCTTCAAAGCTACAATATGAGTTTTACAAGATCTCAACATGTTCCAAATATGAGGACTGGAGTTTGCAGGCCTCTACTCTCTGGAGTGAGAAATGAACAGGAGCAGTGTAGGAAATTGTACAATGCAATGGAGATATAAGGCACTATAAGGAGTTCAACTTAAACAGAGAAACAACTTGCTTATCTAGCAGGATTTAGAGGCTAAGAGTATTCTCAATTTCTTTTCTTTTAATATCAGTGACAGAAGCATGCTGATGTCAACTGGCCAAGTCGTTTTTGTCTATTTGGTTATTAAATGCCACATCCATGGTGAATGCTGTCATAGGCAATAACCTGCAATTAAAAGATAATCTCATATCCTGCCCCCCTGACATAGTCCCCATTCTCATGCCTCTTCTCCAGACAACTTAGGATCTAATATTCCAATCTTTCTCCTTCCAGACCCCCGGCACACCAGCTATTCCATTTGCTTTCCTACATGTCCATATATTTCCTTACTTCAGGCCACTTCTCTTCTAATACAAAGTGGATGTCCAGGTTCATTGACCAAAGCTCTGTTCATTGGGCTAATTAACCTCATTACTATTCTCAGTGGCACCCCTCAATGGGTTTTGAGTTCAGCACCAATCCATTTTCATTATTCCACATACGAAGCCAACCCATCACTGAACCAAGCTTGGTCCTTTTCCTCCTTTGTCAGCTGGTCATAAAGTTTGAACTGATGAAAAGGCACCAGTGTAACAGTGGTGGGTAACATGGGAAAATGGGCCACATCCTCTTGGAGCTTACTTATACCTTATGAATATATTTGTCCCGATCCTGGATATACCATCCCATCTTATGATGGATCACTGTTGGCCTTCATGCACTTAGGTCTTTGTGAATCAATCTGGTGGAACCCAGCTCATGATAGGCATCTCTAGCCATATGGTCAGTCGATATCCCATGATTAGTTGCATGGTCTCTATTAGAGCCCATTAGCACACCAAGAGGTGCTCTTTGAGTGGTATATATTTCTCTGCTGCAAGTAGTCCACACAAAGTGGTAGACTTGGAATAAGAGGTCAAAAAGGGTCAAATAAATGAGCATATGAGAATATATCTCCCTATACCAGCAAACCAACTAGTTTATTATGATTTTCAGGAAGGCTTAGAGCTCATCCTACTTACCAAAGTAATAAGAAACATGCTAGTGATACGGGCACCAGCATCACTTGACAAGCTCAAAGGTGTCTGTCTTCTAAAAGTTACAGTTCTCATTAAGGGGTGCTGTTACAGAACTGGAATCCTTAATATCAATAAATATTGAAGTATCCCCAAATAGTGGAAGCCAGTTAATAGCACTTAAGCATAAGAGGCAAGGTAAATGTAATTACTATTAGAGGTAGCCAAGGGAACCTGACCAATAGAGAGTTATGTGATGGTTAATAGAACACAGTGCTCCTAGTGGCAAGAGTGATCGGCAGACAAGTGAGTTTCTTAATTTATACCATTACAATAAATCATGAATTGATAATCAGAAGACTGAAGACAACTCCACCAATTAAAAGTAATGGTTCTTTACCCCATTTCTGGTCCTGAGCCAGTTCTCAGTCTTAGACTACATTAACTGAAGGAGAGGCCAGGTCCTCCAAGGACAGACATTCCAACATCAGAGTAAGTGTATACAGTAATGATTCCCTTAGTTCCACAGTATAGGGACCTATGGCCTTTACTTGAGTAACCATACATTGAAGAAATTGGAATATCCAGAACTTCTGAGGGCTATTAGACATATCGCAGCATATGGTACGATCATGGTTTATTGTTACAGTGAAAACATATGAGGACGAGGCTCTATATGAAGTCTTAGCCTGGGTTTATCTTCGTGGCCCCATCCATTTCAGAATGTATAATTGCAATGATCATACTTGGTAGTTGACAGAAATTTCATAATTCTTTTTTAAAAACATAATTTCAACTTTTGTTTTAGATTCAGGGGGTACATATTCAGGTTTGTTACTTGGGTATATTGTATGATGCTGAGGTTTGGAGTACAATTGATCCCATCACCCAGGTAGTGAGCATAGTACCCAATACACAATTTTTCAACCCTTGCTCTACTTCCTTCCTCCCCACCTCTAGTAGTCCCCAGTGTCTATTGTTGGCATCTTTATATCCTTGAATACCAATGTTTAGCTTCCACTTATAAATGAGAACATGCAGTATTTGGTTTTCTGTTCCTTCATTTATTTGCTTAGGATAATGGCCTCCAGCTGCATCCATGTTTCTGCAAAGAACATGATTTCATTATTATTATTATTATTATTATTATTATTATTATTATTATTATTATTTTGAGACAGAGTCTCACTCTATTGCCCAGGCTGGAGTGTAATGGCACAATCTTGGCTCACTGCAACCACCATCTGCTGGGTTCAAGCGATTCTCCTGCCTCAGCCTCTCGAGTAGCTGGGACTACAGGTGCACACCACCACACTAGGCTAATTTTGGTATTTTTAGTAAAGATGAGGTTTCACCATGTTGGCCAGGCTGGCCTCGAACTCCTGACCTCAGATGATCCTCCCACCTCAGCCTCCCAAAGTGCTGGGATTACAGATGTGAGCCACTGCACCTGGCAGATTTTATTATTTATTTTTCATGGCTGTGTAGTATTCCAAAATGTCATACTTCTTTCTTGACCTGTGGTATAAGAGCTATCATGCTGGAAAAGGGTGAGTGGAAGCTTATGACCTCCCCTCTCCCTGGACAAATTAGTAAGTCAAAACCAATATTGCATCTCAGGAAGAAAGATTAATTCCTCAGTGT
This sequence comes from Homo sapiens, assembly GCF_000001405.40. Lineage (NCBI taxonomy): Eukaryota > Metazoa > Chordata > Mammalia > Primates > Hominidae > Homo > Homo sapiens. The sequence continues at coordinate 126,727,880 of NC_000008.11, forward strand.
TTGTAACTGAGAGCACAGAAAAAATTCTCTAGGAAGCTCTGGAGCTTAGGCAGACCCTTCAGAGTTGACATAAATTGAGGCAAGTCGGCCAGGTGTATGTATTTCCGTACCAGCCACTCATTGACTATAGACAGTTCCTTGGGAGGGAGTGTAACCTTAAGTGAGACAGTTTCTTGTGGCCAACGTCAATTCCCAATGAAGAAGAGAGCTGTGAATTCTTCATGCTAATATTCCCAACAGCTAAAGGCTAGGTGAGTTGGCCCTGCTAAGGGAATCTGGGTGCAGCAGCAAAATGTATTTTACATAATGTCCTTCAATATATGCTAATTGCATTCCACCAGTGCTAGTTCATGATATATGAGCCAGTGCTGGTAGACAGGAAGAAATGGGCTCAGAGTAACAATGTCTGAATTTCCATAGCAATTTATTTAAGCAACAGTTGGTACTTGTATATGCCTATTAGATACCTCAGGAAAGTAAGAAGGCTCAGACGCTGAGTTGGGATCTAGGGTAGAACAATAGTGGAGCAGGTAGCTACAGGCATACACACCTCTGGCATGCCATTTCCATCTGACCTCTTCCTGCTCTAAACTGGAAAAGAAGCATGGATCTTGTTTACATCTTTTGCCTTTATTCCTCATGTTCTTTATCCCAAAGCTATCCCTGGATGTGGAATGAAACTAACAACTTAAGGTAGTCAAGAATTACGCCTCTAGAGTCAGACAGAAACAGATTTTGGTGTTAACTCTGCCTTTTCCAGATGGGTGAACTTGGCCAAATTTACCAAAACCTGTAAGGCTCAGTCTTCCTATCTTAGCACTGCTGTGAGAATGATTTGAGTTATACTTATTATGGCATATAGGCCATGATTAGATTTTATTAAACATTAGTTTTATTCTTTCTACTATTATTAACATAACTGGGCAATTATTTTATAGCCTCTTCCTCTCATTATGTGACTCCAAATAAAATTGGGTTAAATAGAATTCCCAGGGCAGATTTAAAGAGCAAAAGTAGTTCCCAGAGAGCAACATATGAATGAGGAAAGAGTAGTCCACCCTATTTGTATAGAATGTTATCATAATCCATCATCATCATTATCACACTTACATAGCCTTGTCATATACCAGGCATGGTTCTAAATGATTTTAAAATGTTTTATTTTATAATCTTAATCACAAAATAATGAAGTAGAAACTATAATTAAATTCCTTTTTAAAATTGAGATGTTGAAGCATCTAGAGATAAAGTAATTTGGCCAAGATCAGGTATTTATTAAGAGGCAGAGCTGGGATCCAACTAGGGCAGGCTGGCTCTGGAGCCCATATAGTTTATGATGCTGGTGGAAGAGGTTAAGGGGTTCACTGTCAATGTCACTGTGGACACTGCCAAGTGTCTACTCTTAGTGCAGGGATCTTCCACCATGTCTTGCAAAATAATTACCTCTGAAATTCTTAGCAAAAGGGCTGTGGGACCAGAAAGACAATGAATGTGGTGGGTCAGGGACAGTTCTGTGTGAGGCCTTGATGACAATCCTAACTGATCAAATAACCTCATATTTTTTTTAAAAAAGTTTTTACTGTCCTAAATAATAGCTCAAGTAAACCAACAGAAATGAGTCCAAATTTATCCTTTTTGAAAAATTACTCCTTGGGACCCAGTGTCTGAAGTGACTTCAAGGCCAAAAAGCGTGCAAGCAGCTGTGTCTTTCTCTCTATATAGGAACACTATTTTTAATTCCCCCCCCTTTTATTTCTTCCCTCATGAAATAGTTCTGGTGTCTTGGTCCATTTTGTGCTGCCACAGCAAAATGCCCAAGACTGGGTAATTTACAAATGACAGAAATTTATTTAATAACAGTTTTGGAGGCTGGGAAGTCGAAGCCTCTGATGAGGATTTTCTTGCTGCATTCTCATGTGGTGAAAGGCAGAAGGGCAAAAGAAAATCAACTTCCTGTGTAAAGCTCTTTTTTAAGGGCCTATAATCTCATCTGAGGGAGAAGCACTTATGGTTTGATCTCCTCTTAAGAGCTCTACCTCTTAATACTATCGCATTGGCAACCCCTGAATCTTAGAGGGGACACATTCAAATCATTGCCATCTGGGAAGAAAGAGACTGAACAAATTGTTACATATTTGATGAATTAATAAACCACTATTGTCTGAATTGATATAGTAGAAAAAATTTGTATGCTTGACAATGTACAACAAGGAGATGGTAGATCTGGGGAAGTCTTCCTCAAGGAAGTAGCATTTAAGCTGAGATCTGAAGGTTGGTAAGACATTACTAGGTGAATTCACCCATATATTGGAGTGAGAAAGAGAGTGGTATTTTTGAGAAAGTGCCTAGAATAGCTGGAATCTAGAGATGAAAAAACAAGGCCGGGCGCGGTGGCTCACGCCTGTAATCCCAGCACTTTGGGAGGCCGAGGCGGGCGGATCACGAGGTCAGGAGATCGAGACCATCCCGGCTAAAAAAACGGTGAAACCCCGTCTCTACTAAAAATACAAAAATTAGCCGGGCGTAGTGGCGGGCGCCTGTAGTCCCAGCTACTCGGGAGGCTGAGGCAGGAGAATGGCGTGAACCCGGGAGGCGGAGCTTGCAATGAGCCGAGATCGCGCCACTGCACTCCAGCCTGGGCGACAGAGCGAGACTCCGTCTCAAAAAAAAAAAAAAAAAAAGAAAAAACAAAACACATCTATTTAGGATGGAAAGAGGAAAGAAATGAGCTTATATCATACCACAAGGAGCCTTTGGAAGTCATAAGAGTTTTTACCTTTATTGTAAGTGTTGGAAATCTATGAAGGTGTTGTAAGTGAGGGGTTACTTTAAAAATATATCAGATTTAGATTTTTAGATTTTAACTATAGCTGCAATGTGAAGAATAGCCTGGAAGGAAACTAGAGAGGCTATGGAAGCCAAGTGAGGAGGCGATTAGACATGAACAAAATGACTTGGGTTACGTGGCATGGGCAAAAGTTGAGAGATTCAATAAACAGAGATTCAACTTGATGATTCATTAGAGATAAAGCACAGGGAGAAGGAGGTGCCAATTCCAGCTCCCAGTTTTCTGGCCTGAGTAACTGGTTAAGAGATGGTGCTTGTTACTGAGATCAGTGGATAGGAGACAGAAGCAGATAGGAGGAGTAAATCATGACATTGTATGTCTTTCTCTATGAAAGAGATTGCTGTTAATGAGAATTTCCATGTATTCAGTTCTACATTTTATTTGGATCTTCTTATAAAAAAGATATTCTGGAGCCTAAAAATGGAAATATTTTAAATCTCACGCTTTACGGAAAATGGTAACATTTTGATGTAACAGGAGTAGAAACCATAAGTCATAAAATCACAGATGTTTATGACAAAAATGTTTGTATTCCCAAAAATTCCATCCTTGGCTTTCTGTTCTACATGTCTTCCTGGATAAGCATATCTCCTCCCATGTATTCATTATCACTTGCATTTCAGTGATTCCCAAAATGCTTATCTCTAACTTGAAAGTCTATTGTTAGATCCAGATTCTTCTATCAGCTGTCTACTTGGATGTTACTCAAAGTATCTTAACCTTAGCACGTCTACAAATGAACAAATTATCCTTCCCCATTTACTCTTCTGTGTTTTGTATGCAGGTGAAATGATTCGCCATCTACCTAAGTCCCTACACCAGAATCCCAAAGAATTCAAGACTCACCTTCTCTATTTCACCAACTACATCTAATCAAGTCACCAAATCTTGTGGGATAAATTTCTTTATTAATATTATTATTATTATTATTATTATACTTTAAGTTCTAGGGTACATGTGCACAACGTGCAGGTTTGTTACATATGTATACATGTGCCATGTTGGTGTGCTGCACCCGTTAACTCGTCATTTACATTAGGTATATCTCCTAGTGCTATCCCTCCCCCCTCCCCCACCTCAAGACAGGCCCCAGTGTGCGATGTTCCCCACCCTGTGTCCAAGTGTTCTTATTGTTCAATTCCCACCTATGAGTGAGAACATGTGGTGTTTGGTTTTCTGTCCTTGTGATAGTTTGCTCAGAATGATGGTTTACAGCTTCATCCACATCCCTACAAAGGACATGAACTCATCTTGTTTATGGCTGCATAGTATTCCATGGTGTATATGTGCCACATTTTCTTAATCCATTCTATCATTGATGGACATTTGGGTTGGTTCCTAGTCAACTTTCTTAAGTATGTTTTATCTTAGCTCCCTCCTTTCCATTCCTATTGTGATTATTATGTCCAAAGTCTTCACCATTTATCACCTTAATGACAATGAGATTTCCCACTGATGGTCATTCCATATGAATTTCAGTATTTTTTTTTCTATTTCTGTGGAAAGTTCTATGTGATATTGATAGGAATTGCATTGAATCTGTAGATTAATTTGGGTAGGATGGAGTTATTGACAATATTAAGTCTTCCAATCCATGAACACTGAATGCCTTTTCATTTTATTGTGTCTTCTTTCATCAATGTTTTACAGTTTTTATTATGCAAATCTTTAACCTCCTTGGTCAAATTTATTCATAAGTGTTTTGTTATTCTTGGTGCTGTTTTAAATGGGGTTATTTTCTTGATTTTATATTCAGATAGTTCACTGTTAGTGTATAGAAATGTAACTAATTTTTGGCCAGGTGTGGTGGCTCACGCCTGTAATCTTAGCACTTTGGGAGGTTGAGGTGGGCGGATTGCCTGAGCTCAGGAGTACGAGACCAGCCTGGGCAACATGATGAAACCACATCTCTACTAAAATACAAAAGAAATTAGCCAGGTGTGGTGGTGGGAGCCTGTAATCCTAGCTACTCAGGAGGCTGAGGCGGGAGAATTTCTTGAATTCGGGTGGCGGAGGTTACAGTGAGCCGAGATTGTGCCACTCCATTCCAGCCTGGGTGATAGAATGAGACTCCATTTCAAAAAAAAAAAAAAAGAAATGTAAATAATTTTTCTTTATTGTTTTGTATCCTGCACCTTCACTGAATTTGTTTACTAGTTTAAACAGTTTGTTTTTTTTTTTTTCTGGAGTCTTTAGGGTTTTCTACATTTAAGATCATGTTGTTTCCAAACAGTGACGATATGATTCTTCCTTTCTGAATTGGATGCCTTTTATTATTTTATTTTTGCCCAATTCCTCTGGCTAGGACTTCCAGTACTACTTTGAATAGAAGTGGTAAGAGAGTGGTCATCCTTGCCTTGTTCCTCACCTTAGAGGAAAAGCTTCTAGTTACTTACCACTAAGTATGATGGTAGCTCCGGACTTTTCACATGTAGCCTTTATTATGTTAAGTTACTTACTGTTTATAGTTTGTTGAGAAGTTCTATCATGAAAGGGTGCTGATTTTTGTCAGTGTTATTCTGCATTTACCAAAATGATCATATGATATTTTTCCCTTTATTCTGTTAAATTGGTGTATCACATTAATTGATTTTCTTATGTTGAACCATCCTTGCTTTCCAGAGATAAATCCCACTTGGTTGTGGTGCATGATCCTTTCAATTTGCTACTGGATTAGGTTTGCTAGAATTTTGTTGAGAATTTTTGCATCAATATTCATCACGGATATTGACCTATAGTTTTCTTTTCTTGTGGTGTTTTTGTCTGGCTTTGGTATCAGGGTAATGCCAGCCTCATTAAATGGGTTTGGAAGTGTTACCTCTTCTTCAAATGTTTAAAGAGTTGAGAATGATTAGAATTAACTTTTCTTTAAATGTTTGGTGGAATTCACCAGGGAAGTCATCTGAGTCTTGGCTTTTTTTTTTTAAGGGAGGTGGGAGATTTTTTTATTACTGATTTAATCTCCCTGCTGGTTATAGGTCAATTCAGACTTTCTATTTCTTCATGATTTAGTCATAGTAGATTGTATGTTTCTAGGAATTTATCCATTTCCCCCAGCCTATACAGTTTGTTGGAACATAATTGTTTATAGTAGTCTCATAATCTTTTTATGTTTCTGTGGTATCAGTTGTAATGTCTCCTTTTTCATTTTTCTGGTTTTATGTATTTTTATGTATTATTTTTCTTAAGTAGTTTCACCTAAGAGTTTGTCAATTTTGTTTATGTTTTCAAAAGAAAAAACTCTTAGACTCATTTTTTCTATTTTTTTCCCTTTTTAAAATTTATTTCTGCCTCAGTGTCCTTTTTAATAGTGTTTGCCTATGTATGATCGAGTAGTGTCTTGTTACACAACCATGAAGTGGCAAAACCAGACCTTGAACTCAGGTGTATCTAATTCCAACCACTAATCTATCTGGATTATTTTCACTCAGGGTGGAACAAGCTTGAAAACTAGGAGGTCCAGTCAACAAGTTAGCTGCGATGCATTCAAGCAGAGTAAGTACAGAGAAGGCCATGAGCAGGGTCAAAGGTTTCTAACAATGCAGAGTGTGTGTAAGAAAGAGTCTGTGTATAGTAAAGAAAGAAAATCACTAGGCCATATTCTCTCAAATCAACTTATTATGTTATTATTCATCTTATTATTTTTTGAGACAGAGTCTTGCACTTTCACCCAGGCTGGAGTGCAGTGGTGTGATCTCAGCTCACTGCAACCTCTGCCTCCCAGGTTCAAGCCCTGCCTCAGCCTCCCAAGCAGCTGGGACTACAGGCACCCGCCACCATGCCCGGCTGATTTTTGTATTTTTAGTAAAGACAGAGTTTCACCATGTTGGCCAGGCTGGTCTTGAACTCCTGAACTTCAGTGATCTGCCTGCTTCGGCCTCCCAAAATGTGGGGATTACAGGCATGAGCCACTGTGCCCGATCTTCAAATCAGTTTTTGAACTTGATATTTCAAACTTGTGTCTAATAGATTTGGCCAAGTTCTGTTTTAGGATATCTGGAGAATGCTGGGATTCCTCACTTTGAAGAGCTTTACAGTCTGATGTATTTCTCAGCATTTGAGTATGATCTCAACACGTATCTCTGGGGTGAGTCTATGGAATTATAATATTACCTCTGATTGTTATGGGAAGCTCCCAGCACAGTGCACGCTGTACAGCAAGCCCTCAATTTGTATTTGTTCAATGAACATTGTTTTTAATTTACACAGGCTTGCCTGAAAGGGTAGGTGATGGTAGGTAAGGCCTTTTTGGTGGGGAGTGGGTACACATAGATATATAATTTGGTCTCAAATTTTCTTTGCTATTTCACTTTAGGTGTTTAGTCAGTCTAGGTTCTGGAGTGTAATTGGCAGCACCATGGGTAAGAGAGGGATAATTTCTTACATTGGCAGAAAGGCATTAACTAGCAAGTAAGAGAAAAATAAGAGGACGAAGGACATTGGGAGCAACCTTAGGCTATCTCTAGTTTGGAAAACTCAATTTGTTTTGCAAAACCCCTGACGATACACTTTCAGTTTTAGGCTGGAAACCCCTTATGGAAAGTGAAACCAGATAAAAATCAAAAGAGCTATAGATTCTGAAAGAATGAGAGAAGGTGCTTATTTATTAACCTCTCTCAAGAAATACTAATATTTTGAAATGTTTTCTGAGGTTGGCACTGTTTGGGAAGGTAATTGAAAATGTTGTGTATAAATGCACATAAATCAAGATGTATTTCTACTTCTGGGATGTTTTTCAATGATGTTTACACATTTCAATACTTTAAAATTGAGGTATTATTATTAAGATACACAGTTCACTGAGTTTTTACTATGTGCCAGGCCCTTTGCTGGATACCTTATAAATGTTAGCTGTCTTTATTTAATTCCTCAGATTAACTTACTGTCTTGAATATGATTTCCCTCAATTAGCCTTCTCCATAGTAATATCTCAAGCCTGCCTTCTATTTGCCAACCCCACTTCACTCTTCCTTGTATGCATTTTGCAGAGATTTACTATGTCCAGCTGCACATCTCAACTTTCACATTTTATCTCAGCACCCTACACCCACCTCTCATTATCCATAGCTACACCCCAGTGACATACCTAGTACCTTAGTCATGCAATCTATTTGCCAAATGAATGACCATTTAAAAACCTTTATCTTCAACACTCCTCTTTTGTTGCAATTCCTACTTCCCCTTCTTACTTATTTGGGAAAAAGAAATTCCTGCTTTCTCCTCTTGGGGACTAAATGTTCTACAAAGTTTGGGTAATTCTTCTCTACCCAATAGGCAGCCTCAGAAAATGATTGGTCAGGGTAGAGGCATTATGGGAATTTTTTTGAAGTATAATCTGAAAAAAAACTTATAGAATGGGTAGGAGGCCAACAGGAGAGCTAAGCATTCATTCACTGCAGGAGTCCAGAGGAGAGGAAGTAAAAACCCAAGCCAGGGACAAGACAAAAGGACCAGTAACTTCTGCTGCTGATGTAGCTGCCACAGGGATTAGGGCTGGTGAGGCACGTGTTTAAGTCTCAGGTTCCTTAATGCCAGATGTGTAGTCTCAGTCAATTTCCTCATTTCTAAGCCTCAAGATGCCACATGTGCATGGTCATAGACACTTTCCTAGGATTGATGATGATCATTAAATTAGAGAATATTTGTAAAGTTCTTAGCACAGCACCTGGGCATGTAGTAAGTACTTAAGTCTATTATCAGCCCAGGAAATAACTCTACCTAACAGGTTCTGAGGCATAAAAGTAAACAAGATTCATTCCCTTCAAATTTATCTTCTTATGCATATATTTACTGAGTGCTTAGTATGTGCCAGTCATAGCACTGGACACCAAAGTCTCGGCAGGGAATAAAACGAAGTCTCCAGTCTTATGGGAATCTTATGGGAGGGGCCAAGATTTGAGTGCAGGAGCTACAGAAAACAAAGAAAAATCGTATATTTTATCATCTAGTAGTAATGAGTGCTAACACTTCAAATAAAATAGCATAAAGGTGCAGATTGAAGAAGGGGATTAATTTCATTTATTTGTTTTATTCTTAAAAGTTTTAAGTAGCATGAAAATCACATTAATTTTAAAAAATTCAAAATTGCACATGGCATAGCACTATGGGATGATTTTCAAAATTTCCCAAATTCAGATAATGAGCATGCATGCATTTTATTTTTAATATTCATAAAATGTTCCCATGTAATCATTTTTATACATATAATTTTAAATTTACAATATTCAATATGTCAATAGTATGAAAGATATGCAGGAGAAAATGAATTTTTCTTCCATGATGGACACCTGTCCTCTTCCCATAGGATACGGCTATCTTGGCATGTCTTCCCAAACAGTCTATGTATGTGTTATCAGTACTTTTATTTTGGAAGTTTCTCAAAATTACAGCAAAGATGCAGATACAGAACAAAGACATTTTTCCTAAACCATATGAGAGTTTTCCATCCTGTGCCTTATCACTCTTGAATTTTTTATTGCATGTTTCCCATATTTTCTACGCACAGGGCATTCTCTTATGTAACTAAAACATACCCATCAAAATTAGAGTTAATGATGATACATTACTGCCATCCAATTTGTGCGTGTGTGATTTTTAAAAAAAATTTATTTCAATAGCTTTTGGGGTAAAAGTGGTTTTTTTTGTTACATAGATGAATTATATAGTGGTGAATTCTGAGATTTTAGTGCACCTGTCACCAAGCAGTGTACACTGTTCCTAATGTGTAGTTTTTTAATTCCTAGCCTCCCTTCTACCCTTCTACCCTTCTCCTTCTGAGTCTCTAAAATCTATTATATCACTCTGTATGCCTTTGCATCCTCATAGCTTAGCTCCCAGGTATAAGTGAGTGATTTTCCACTCCCATGTTACTGCACTTGGAATAATGGCCTTCAGTCCATCCAATTTGCTTCAAAAGACATTATTTTGTCCATTTTTATGCCTGAGTAATATTCCATGGTGTATGTATAGCACATTTTCTTTATTCAATCATTAGCCAATGTGCATTTATGTTTGTTCCACATCTTTACAATTATGAATTGTGTGGCTATAAACATATGTGTATAAGTGTCTTTTTCATATAATGACTTCTTTTCCTTCAGGTAAATATCCAGAGTGGGATTGCTAAATTGGATGGTAGATCTACTTTTAGCTCTTTAAGGAATCTCCATACTATTTTCCATAGAGGTTGTACTAACTTACACTCTCATCAGCAGTGTATAAGCATTCCCTATTCCCCACATCCACACCAACATCTATTGTTTATTGACTTTTTAATAATGGCCATTCTTGCAGGCGTAAGGTGGTATCACATTGCTATTTTAATTTGCATTTTCCTGATGATTTATGATGTTGAGTATTTTTTCCATATGTTTGTTGTCCATTTGCATATCTTCTTTTGAGAAATATCTATTCATGTCCTTTGCCCACCTTTTGATGAGATTATTTGTTATTTTCTTGCTGATGTGTTTGAGTTCCTCATATATTCTGGATAATAGTCCTTTGTTGGATGTGTTGTTTGCAAATATTTTGTCCCATTTAGCAGGTTGTCTGTTTACTCTAATTATTATTTCTTTTGCTGTGAAGATGCTTTTTAGTTTAATCAGGTCCCATTTATTTGTTTTTGTTTTTGTTGCATTTGCTTTTGGGGTCTTAGTCATAAATTCTTTGCCTATGTCGATGTCTAGAAGAGTTTTTCCAAGGTTCTCTTCTAGAAGTTTTATGGTTTCCACTCTTAGATTTAAGTCTTTGATCCATCTTGAGTGGATTTTTGTATAAGATAAGAGATAGGGATCCAACTTCATTCTTCTACACATGGCTTGCTAGTTTTCGCAGCACCATTTATTAAATAGGATGTCCATTCCCCAACTTATGTTTTTGTATGCTTTGTTGAAGATCAGTTAGCTGTGTGTATTTGGTTTATTTCTGGGTTCTCTATTCTGCTCCATTGGTCTTTGTGACTACTTTCATACCGGTACCATGATGTTTTGGTAACTATAGCCTTGTAGTATAATTTGAAGTTTAGTAATGTGATGCCTCCAGGTTTGTTCTTTTTGCTTAGGATTGCTTTGGGCTCTTTTTGGTCCCATATGAATTTTAACATTGTTTTTTCTAGTTCTGTGAAAAAATGATGTTGGTATTTTTATGGAAATTGAATTGAATCTGTAGATTGTTTGAGGCAGTATGGTTGTTTTCACAATATTGATTCTTCCAATTCGTGAGCATGGAGTGTATTTCCATTTGTTTGTGTCACCTGTGATTTCTTTCAGCAGTGTTTCATAGTTCTCCTTGTAGAGATCTTTCAGCTCTTTGGTTAAGTATAGTCCTAAGGTTTTTTTTTTTTTTTTTTTTTTTTTTTTTTTTTTTTTTTTTTTCAGCTGTTGTAAAAGGGATTAGTTCTTGATGTGATTCTCACCTTGGTCATTGTTGGTGTATAGCAGTGCTACTGATTTGTGTACATCGATTTTGTAACCTGAGACTTTACTGAATTCGTTTATTAAATATGGGAGTCTTTTGGAGGAGTCTTTAGGATTTTCTTGGTATAGGATCATATCATCTGTAAACAATGACACTGAATTCCTCTTTTCCAATTTGGATGCCTGTAATTTCCTTCTCTTGCCTAATTGCTCTGGCTAGGACTTCCAGAACTATGTTGAATAGGAGGGGTGAAAGTTGGCATTGTTGTCTTGTTCCTGTTCACAGGAAAAATATTTTCAACATTTCCCCATTTATTATGATGTTGACTATGGCTTTATCATATATGACTTTTATTATTTTGAGGTAAGTCCTTTCTGTGCTCAGTTTGTTGAGAGTTTTTATCACAAAGGGATGGTGGATTTTGACAAATGCTTTTCCTGCATCTATTGAGATGATTATATGTTTTTTAATTTTGTTTTTAATTTTGTTTATGTGATGTATCACATTTATTGACTTGTGTATGTTAAACTATCCTTGAATCCCTGGGATGCAACCCAATTGATCATGGTCTTTTAAATGTGCTGTTGGATTTGATTAACTAATAGATTGTTGAGAATTTTTGCATCTATGTTCAACAGGGAAATTGGTCTGTAATTTTCTTTTTTGTTGTTGTGTCCTTTCCTGGTTTTGGTATCAGGGTGATAATGGCCTCACAGAATGATTTAGGGGGGGATTCCCTCTTTCTCAATCTCTTGAAATAGTTTCATTAAAGTTGGTACCAATTCTTTGAATGTCTGCTAGAATTCAGCTGTGAATCCATCTGGTCCTGGGCTTTTTATTGTTGGCAATCTTAAAATTACTGACTCAATCTTGCTGCTTATTATTGGTCTGTTTGGGGTTTCTATGTCTTCCTGATTTCATCTAGGAGGGTTATATGTCTCCAGGAATTTATCTGTTTCCTCTAAGTTTTCTACCTTGGGTGCATAAAGATAATCATAGTAGTCACAAATAAACTTTTATATTCCTATGGTGTTGGTTGTAATGTCTCCAGTTTCGTTTCTAATTGAATCTAATTTCTCATTTGGATCTTTCCTCTTCTTTTCTTGTTAACCTATCTAATGATCTATCTATTTTGCTTATATTTTCAAAGTATCAGCTTTTTGTTTCATTGATCTTTTGTGGTTTTTTGTTTGAATTTTATTTAGTTCTGCTCTGATCTTTGTTATTTATTTTCTTCTTCTAGCTTTGGGTTTCATTTTTTCTTGTTTCTCTAGTATCTTGAGATGTGACATCAGGTTGTCAATTTGTGCTCTTTCTGACTTTTTGATATAAGCATTTAGCACTGTAAACTTTGCTCTTAGCATGGCTTTTGCTGTCTCCCAGAGGTTTTGATAATTTTGGTCAGTATTATTCAATTCAAAGAACTTTTAAGTTTCCTTGTTGATTTCCATGTATTTGTGTAGTTGTTTGTATTTGAGAGTTCCTTTTGGAGTTGACTTCTAGTTTTATTCTACTGTTGTCCTGAAAAGATACTTTATATGATTTCAGTTTACTTAAATTTATTGAGATTTGTTTTGTGGCCTATCACGTGGTCTATCTTGGAGAATGTTCTATGTGCTGATGAGAAGAATGTATATTCTGCAATTCTTGGGTAGAATATTCTGTAAATGTCTGTTAAGTTCATTTGTTCTAGCATATCATTTAAATCCATTGTTTCTTTATTGACTTTCTGTCTTGAAGATCTGTCTAGTGCTTTCAGTGGTGTGTTGCAGTCTCCCACTATTTAGTATTGCTGTCTATCTCATTTCTTAGGTCTAGCAGTAATTATTTTATAAATATGGGAGCTCCAGTGTTAGGTGCATGTAAATTTAGGATTGTAATAGTTTCTTGTTGGATTGGTCCTTTTATCATTATATATAGTGATATAGTGACTTTTTTTTTTTAGTGTTGCTTTGAAGTCTGTTTTGTCTGATATAAGAAGAGCTACTCCTGCTCACTTTTGGTTTCCATTGACGTGGAATATCTTTTTTTCATTTGGTTACCTTCATTTTGTATGAATCCTTTTATGCTAGGTGAGTCTCTTGAAGATAGCAGATATTTGGTTTTCAATTTTTTATCTATTCTGCCATTCTGTATATTTTAAATGGAGCATTTAGGCCACTTATATTTAATGTTAATATTGAGATGTGAGGTACTATTTCTTACCATATTAATTGTTACCTAGATAGGTTTTTTTGGTTGTGTTATTGTTTCATAGACTCTGTGAGCTTTAAGCTTTCAAGAGGTTCTATATTGGTGCATAATGGGCTTTTGTTTCTAAGTTTAGAACTCCTTTTAGTATTTTTTTGTACTGCTGATATGGTAGTGACAAATTCCCTCAGCATTTGTCTGTCTGAAAATGACTTTATTTCTTTTTCATTTATGAAACTTAGTTTTGCTGTATACAAACTTCTTGGCTGACAGTTATTCTGTTGATGGAGGCTGAAGATAGGACCTCAATCCTTCTGGTTTGTAAGGTTTCTGCTGAGAAGTCTGCTGTTAGTCTGATGAATTTTCCTTTGTAAGTTACCTGATGCTTTTGTCATACTACTCTTAGAATTCTTTCCTTCATGCTGAATTTAGATAATCTGATGACTATATGCCTTTGTGGTGAACATCTTTTTGCCATGAATTTCCAGGTGTTATTTGAGCTTCTTGGATTTGAATATCTAGATCTCTATCCAGGCCAGGGAAATTTATCTTAAATATTTCCTCAAATAAGTTTTCCAGACTTAATGTTTTCTTTTCTCCCTCAGGAACATCAATTATTCTTTGGTTTGGCCAGTTTACATAATATCATATTTCCTGGAGATTTTGTTCATTTTGTATTCTTTTTAAAATTTTTTTGTCTGATTGGCTTAATTTAAAAGTCTTATCTTCAAGCTCTGATATTCATACTTCTACTCAGTCTGTTAAAACTTTCCACTGCATTTTGTAATTCCCTAAGTGTGTCTTTCATTTCCATAAGTTCTGATTAGTTTTTCTTTATTATATCCATCTCTAGAAAATTCTTAATTCATATCCTGAACTGCTTTTTAAATTTCTCTGTGATGTTTTTCTCCTTTCTCTAATATCTTCTTGAGTAGCTTAATAATTGATGTTTTGAATTTCTTATCTGATATTCCTAAGGTTTCATTATGGTTAGGATCTATTGCTGGAGAGATAGTGTGATCTTTTGGGAGTGTTATGGAACACTGAATTGTCATATTACCAGAGTTACGTTTCTGGTTCATTCTCATTAGGCCAGACTATTTCTTCTAAGTATTCTTGAATTTATGTTTGATTTGGTTGTGTTTCTTTTGTCTGTTTTTAAATTTCTCTTTTCCTCTTAAGAATGTGACTTTAGTGCTTATAGTTAATTATAGCCTAACTTGGTTCTTGGTGCTTTCAGGGGTGAAGACTCTGTAAGAATTCCTTAGTTATAGAGAGTCTCTGATTTTTGGAGCTTTTCTTTTTTTGTTGTTTTGTTTTTTGTTTTTTTTTTTTGTTTTTTGCTTTTTTGTTGTTGTTGTTATTATTTTGTTTTGAGACAGAGTCTTGCTCTGTTGCCCAGGTGGTGTGCAGTGGGGTGATCTCAGCTCCCTGAAACCTCAGCCTCCCAAATAGCTGAGACTACAGGTGCACACCACCACACACACCTAGTTCTTTTTTGTATTTTTAGTAGAGACAGAATTTCATTGTGTTGGCCAGGCTGGTCTCGAACTCCCAGCCTCAAGTGATTCACCTACCTTGGTCTCCCAAAGTGCTGGGATTACAGGTGCTAGCCACCATGCCCAGCCTATAAAGAATCTTTGTATGATGGCTTTCACATATGCTGGTTGTAGTAGCAATGTGCTCTGTGTGTGAGCAAGTTTACTGTCTCCTATGGGGTTGGAATGCATTTATATATTTGTTTGTTTGTTTATTTATTTATTTATTTTTCCACGATATTTTATTTACTGATTTGATGGTTTAGGCTTCAGGCCAGTAAGGGAAGTGTTCCTGGGTAGGAACCAGTTGTGGCTAAAGCAGGTTGGTAAATGCATTATCCAATGATGGACGGAGGTCCTAAGATCAACAGAGGTGGCTGGAGGAGCTCTTGGTGAGTCGCACTGAGGTCTTATCAGGGGGAAGGGTTGGAGCCACCTCAGCTCCCCGTATCAGGTCAGGAGGATAGTTATACACCCCTCAGACACACTCCTTTCTCAGTGTTCTGGCTATGCAGCTCAGACTGTCATCTCTTTTCATATGTAGGAATGCTGATGTTCCAAGTATAGAAGAATTGTAACTGTCTCTCATGCAAGCCTGAACCTGGAGGGTGCTCCTCCTGCGAGGATGCAGTTACCCTGATGTGTTCCAGAAAGGCTGCCTATGGTTGAATCCATGCCAGCCTTCTGTGAGGGAACCTCCAACTGTGCTTGCAGTGGTGGACAAGAGGGGAAAGACATCCCCTTCTCCAAGACCCTTTGTATGCACCAGGGCTATCTGACTGTTGGGTTAGAATTGCAGACTTTCCTTGCTGAGCCAGCACTGCAACTGTGCCTCTGCTGAAGGAAACTTCCCACCAGCAGAAAGATCTGGTGCTGAAGGCCTGCCATCTAGATTATTTTGACCCGTTGGGTGTTCCCTTGATGTGGTGCACTCCTTCTAGGAGTGGAAGTCCCTGGGAGCCAGACTACTATGAGTGTTGTTGCTCCTCTGGGTCTAGCCACTCAGTGAAGTTGCCACACTCCAGGCTGGTGCTCGGGAATATCTTCAAGGTATTTGGTGATGTGACTTTTCCTCAAGTCTCCCAGTAGTGGGGAGCAGCACTGGCTCTAATGGGGATGGCAGTGGAGTGAGGTAGACTATGGGAGATTTCTTCGTTATTGATAGACTTAGTGTGTTGGCTTTCTCGAATACCAGTAATAGTAATGAACTGGTCATTTGGACAGACTCAAGACCACCTGTTTAGCCAGAGTGGTGCAGGTGGTGCAGGCAGTAGTGATAGCTGAGATTGTGCAGCTGTTTTCTCCTTCCTGGGTGCAGTGTTATTCTACCAGGAAATGCTTCAATGGACTGTGTTGGTTGGCCTCCAGCAAGGAGGTGGCGCTTACAAAGGAACAGCAGCTGTGGTAGTAGCAATGAGATTTTTGCTTGTCTTATGTTGCCCAGGGGCAGTACTCTGGTTTCTTAGGCAATGAGTGGGGTCACAAAGCTCCCAAAAGTTTCTGTCCTTTGTGTTAAGCTACCAGGGAGGGTGGTGGGGCAAAGCCAGGGAAGGGCTGGGTCAGGCAGGTTTGCACTCTGAGTTTCCACATGCAGGTCAAGCAGCATCCCCTGTGGGTGTCAGGGGATGGAGGCAGTTCTCAGGCCACTGGGTTGATGTTCCATAGGGGAGTGTTGCTGCTTCTGCTACACAGAAGAGTTCGTGTAGGAAGTGAGGAGTAGCAGGCGGCAGTAAGCCCCACACAGATCCCATGCACTTGGCAAGGCAGATCCATTCCCGCAGTGCTCCACTAGCAGCAATGGGCTAAGTTCCAGGTACCTGCACTCAGAATTCGCAAGTGCCCTGGGGCATAAACTTTCCCCACGGAAATAGCAACTGGGGCTTTCGGGTCATGACTCTCCCCATCTGCTGAAAACCTGGGTGCCCAGCTCCTACACTCATGGCTGCAGCCTGCTTTTCACTCTTCCTGACCCCAGCCCTGGCCAAGGGAGTTTGTTCCTACTGGAGGTTATATCGTGAAACCCAGGTGGGGGCTTCTTTGAACATGTGACCACTGCCTGAATAATTTGGCTGACCTCTGCAGGGTCCCTTGTGAAAAACAGTAATGAATGGCTTCCCTATAGTGACAGTGAAGATGAAGAAAAGTAGGTAAATTCAAGAAAAATCAAGAAGTTAATTTAAGTGCACTTTGTCACAGATCAATTATGGGAAATGTAGACGGCTTCAAAAATTGCAATTGCAGGTTTCTAGCTGGCATAATGAGATGGTGGTGTCATTCACAGGGAAAGGATACTCCAGAGGAGAAGTGATTGGGGGATTTAAGGTAGAAGTAGTTGCTGAGTCCAGATTTGAAGTTATTAATATGGGAAAGTAGAAAGCTTGCTTTTGACACATTTTAGACACTAAGTGGATATATTGATTAGTCAAGTAGATACAAGTCTAGGACTCAAAGATATGTTCTAGGCTAAAGATAAAAATTGGGGAGTCACTGATATATAGTTGGTTTTTTGAATCAAGATATTAAAAGATGAAATTTCCTAGAGAAATAATATAGAGTGAGAAAAGAAGGCACATGTCTCTGCTTCTCAAATAAGGGTACAAGAACTCCAGAGAAATATTCTCTGTATTTACCAATGTTCTTGAAGAGCAGGGAAAATTTCAAGTCATAGACACAGCTCAAATTCTTCAATCACCAGTTTTATTTAAATATTTGGGATGAGGGATGTTATAGAGTATAACACAATGTAGAATTCTGTAGATTAGAATGCAAAATTTACATAAATCATAAGACTAAAGAAGAGAATTAATTTATCTGTTTGACACCGTTTCCTTGAGCTAAATCTTCAGTTCTTCAACCCAGGGTGTGAGAAGTCATTGGCAAATTGGTTAGGTCACAATTATAACTACTTATTACATAGTAGTTCTCTTCCTTTACCTTATGTGTATATAGTCAGTGATTTAAAAGTGGAAGGGTGAAAAGGACACAAATACATGAACATATATGCCAGTGTCATGGATTAGAAGAATAAATACTGTTAAAATGTCCATAGTATTCAAAATGATATACAGATTCTATCCAATCCCTATCAAAATAACAATGATGTTCTTCACAAAATAGAAAGAACAATTCTAAAATTTATATGGGACCACAAAAAACCCTGAATAGACAAAGAAATTTTGAGCAAAAAGAAGAACGCTAAAAGCATCACATTCCCTTACTTCAAAATATACTACAAAGCTATAGTAACCAAAACAGCATAGTACTGGCATAAAAAAATACACATAGACCCATGGAATAGAATAGAGATCCCAGAAACAAATCCACATATCTATAGGCAACTGATTTTCAACAAAGGTGCCAAGAACACACAATGAGCCAAGGACAGTCTGTTCAATAAATTGTGTTGGGAAAACTGGATATCCATATGCAGAAGAATGAAATTATACTCTTATTTATCACCATATACAAAAATACCCTCAAAATGGATTAAAGACTTAAATTTTAAAATGAAAACTATGAAACTAGTAGAAGAAATACAGGAGTAAAACTCCTTGACATTTTTCTGGGAAATGATTTCTTGTATATGACTCCCAAAGCACAGGCAACAAAAACAAAACTAGATAAATGAGATTATATCAAACAAAAAAAATTCTGCACAACAAAGAAAACAATGAACAGAGTGAAGGGACAACTTACAGAAAAGGAGTAAATATTTGCAAAGTATACAGCTGATAAAGGGTTGATACCCAAAATATATAAGGTACTCATACAATTCAATAGCAAGGAAATAGATAAACTAATTAAAAATGGGAAAATGACCTTAATAGACTTTTCTCAAAAGAAGACGTATGAATGACCAACAGGTATATGAAAAATGCTCAATGTCACGTATCTTCAGAGAAATGCAAATCAAAACCACAATGAGATATCACCCCACTCCTGTTAGAATGGCTATTCTCAAAAACATGAAAGATAACAAGGGTTTGTGAGGATGTGCAGAAAAGGAAACGCTTACACACTGTTAGTGGGAATGTATATTAGTAAAGCCAATATGAAAAACAGTATGGAAGTTCCTCAAAATATTAAAAATAGAACTACGATATCATCCAGCAATCTCATTACTGGTTACATATCCAAAAGAAATGAAATCAGTATGTTAAAAAAGTATCTCTACTCCCATGTTTATTGCAGCACTATTCACGATAGCCAAGATATGAAAAAAAAAAAAAAACCTAAATGTTCATCAATAGATGAAAGGAATAAAGAAAATGTGGTGCATTTACCCAAAAGGAATACTATGCAGCCACAAAAAGAATGAAATCCTGTCATCTGAGATGACATGAATAATCTGGGGGACATTATGTTAGGGGTGAAATAAGCCAGGGACAGAAAGACAAATACTACATGATCTCACTAATATATAGAATCCAAAAAAGTTGATTTCATCAAAGTAGAGAGTAGAATGGTAGTTATCAGAAGCTGGGGTGGTTAGGGGGCAGGAGAAATGGGTAGATGTTGGTGAAAGGATATATAATTACAGTTAGAAGGAATAAATTAAAGAGATCTATTGTACAACATGGTGACTATAGTTATCAATATATTGTATTCTTGACAATTGCAGAGATAGTGGATGTTAACTGTCCTCGCTGCAAAAAAGATAACTATGTGAAGTAGTGCATTTGTTAATTAGTTACTTAGGTTGGTGCAAAGGTAACTGCAGTAATTACTGCAAAGTAATTGCCATTAAAAGTAATGGCAAAAACCTCAATTACTTTTGCACCAACCTAATAAATTTAATTATTCCACAATATATGTGTACCTCAAAACATCATGTTGTAGATGATAATATGTACAATTTTGTCTTTTTATCTTTTTTTAAAAAAATGTTGGATTGGATTTCAAAAAAGAAAAAGAGAAGTAAATTCTCTCTGCTGCTCCTTGTAGGAGACCATGAGTCTCCAGACGTCCTTTCTCATTTGATTTACATTAAGTCTGTGATGCGGATTGCACTGTTTAAATGTGGAAGCCCTATGCAATACACCAATTGAGAGACTGGTATTTAAGAGGCTACCTGTGAATCCTGTGGTTCCAAAATTAGGGAGGTATTCCTCAGTGGAAAGTGCTTATTTTTTTTCTTTATTCTGCAAGAATTTATTGACCTTCCATTGTGTACCCTGGGAGTGCAAAGATAAATAAGGCACCATCGCAGTCCTCAAGGATTTCAAGCTTAATCAAGAGAAAAAATGCAAAAAGTATTTTTATATAGTATTATAAGTTGTGTTTTCGAACAGTGATTACATTGCCGTGGAGAAACAGAGCAAACAATCATGTGTGGCATGGGGGTACAGGTGGAATTCATGGAAGGCCTCGCAGAACATAAATTTTTTAAATAATAGTTTAAGTAGAATACTGGAAGAACTGCACAGAGACATGATAAAGATTAGTGAATTCAATGGTAACATGAGTCAGGGCTTAAAAGAGGTGAGGAAGAAGGGATAGGAAGCTTCGAGAACATAGAAGATTCTAAGAGACATGAAAAGGAAGTTGGACTTTATCCTGTAAGCCATGGATAAAAATGTGAAACAGAGAAGTAGCGAGATTAAATTTGAGTGTTAGAAATATCACCCTGGTAGCAAGTGGAGGAGGGGCTTGGAGGGAGAGCGACAGTACCAATAGTTTAGATGTGTGCTGTTCATATGGTAGCCACCAGCTACGTGTGGCTACTGAGTACGGGAAATGTGCTAGTCAGAATTGAGATGTTGTCAGTACAAAACGTGCTCTAGGTACTGACAAGAAAAAACTTTGAAGAATATAA
This sequence comes from Homo sapiens, assembly GCF_000001405.40. NCBI lineage: Eukaryota > Metazoa > Chordata > Mammalia > Primates > Hominidae > Homo > Homo sapiens. The sequence continues at coordinate 126,748,686 of NC_000008.11, forward strand.
AATGTCTTACTTATATTTAATACTGACTCGATTTTGAAAACAGTAATATTTTAGATATGTTTGGTTACACAAAATGTACTATTAAGAATTAAAAAAATAAAAAATAAAACTGGGAGAGAAGAATGTTCTGCTTTTGCGGCACATGCTTGGCATCTCCTAGAGCCAGCAGTTTTAGCAGGTGAGGGAGGGGACGACTGGGTGAAAACCATACACCTTGTAAATGACATTCCAATCCAAATGCTTCACAAGTAACAGGATGGTAATACATTGGGTCTGTGAAAATGTAGTCTAGGTGTTTTCAACCTCAGACCACATTACTTCTTTGGAAGAACAAGTAGGAAGGAATTTGAACTTAGTATTAATGATTATATATATAGTTAACACATATATAGCTCTTCATCTGTGCCAAGTTCAGTTCTTTATTTTTCTAACTTTAGTGAAGTATAGTTGACAAATAAAAATTGTATATATTCAAGATGTACATGATGTTTTGATATACACATACATTGTGAAATGATTCCCATAATCAAGATAATTAACATATCTATCACTTCACATAGTTAATTACTATTAACTATGGTCACCAGAACATATTTATCTTATAACTGCAGATTTGTATCCTTTGACCAACATCTACCCGTTTCCCACACTCCTAACCCCTGGTAACCACTCTTCAACTCTCTGTTTCTATAACTTTTTAATATTCTACATATAAATTAGATTATGTAGTATTTATCTTTTGTGTCTGGCTTATTTCGCTTAGCATAAGATCCTCCAGGTTCATCCATATTGTCACAAAAGACAGAATTTCCTTCTTTTTAAAGCTGAATAGTATTCCATTGTGTGTATGGAAGTGTATACACACATAATACATACATACATATATGTACATATCTATACCTATGTATCTATCTAGTACATAATTTCTTTCTTCATTTATTCACAAAAAGAAACTTAGGTTGTTTTTATACTTGGCCAGCCTGAATAATGCTGCAATGAACATGGGATTGCAGATATCTCTTAGAGATAATAATTTTATTTCCTTCATATAAATACCCAGAAGTGAGATTGCTGGGTCATGTGATAATTCTATTTTTATTTTATTATTTATTTATTTATTTATTTATTAATTTATTGAGACAGAGTCTCACTCTGTCGCCCAGGCTGGAGTGCAGTGGCATGACCTTGGCTCACTGCAACCTCTGCCTCTTGGGTTCAAGCAATTCTCCTGCCTCAGCCTCCCGAGTAGCTGGGACTACAGGCATGTGCCACCATGCCCAGCTGATTTTTGTATTTTTAGTAGAGACGGGGTTTCACCATGTTGGTCAGGCTGGTCTCGAAATCCTGACCTTGTGATCTGCCCGCCTTGGCCTCCCAAAGTGCCGGGATTACAGGCGTGAGCCACTGTGCTTGGCCTGTTCTTATTTTTTATGGGGAACCTCTGTACTGTTTTCCATAATGGCTGTAACAATTTACATTCCCACCAACAGTATATAAGAGTTCCTTTTTCTCCACATCGTCATCAATACTTGTTTTTTGACTTTTTAAAATCAAGTTCAGTTCTTAGTTCTTTTCTTCAATTAATGCATTTGACCCTCTAACAACCCTATGACATGTGCATTCTTAATAGCATTTTCCAGCTGAAAAAGCAGGGACATAGGAGTTAAGTAATTGTCCAAGATCACACTAATACATGTGAGATCCAAGACTGAACCCAGAAAATCAGCTTCTGTGGTGTATTATCTTAATCATAACAAACAGCAGCCTCCTTGGTCGTCAGCTCCCTTCTCGTGACTCAGGGATGAAACATCTTACTAGAATAAAAGAAGAGAGGCATCCATCAACCAGCTACCTGTAACGCTAGTTCCATTGCTTAGTAAGCCTCATTGGTAAGAAATATATATATATATATATATATATATATATATATATATATATATATATATAGAGAGAGAGAGAGAGAGAGAGAGAGAGAGAGAGAGAGAGAGAGAGAAAGAGAGAGAGAGAGAGAGAGAGAAAGAGAGCCTTATACTCATGTTCTCCCTAGTGATGATTCCACTGTGCCATGCTTTGTATCTGCTCCATCACAAAAAAATTCTGTCATTTGCAAAAACATTGGTTATTCTGGAGGACTTTATGCTAAATGAAATAAGCCAGACAACAGGAAGACAAATACTACATGATCTCACTTATATGTGGAATCTAAAAAGTCAAATCTATAAACATAGAGACTAGGATGATGGTTAACAGGTACTGGAGGTAGGAGTGGAAATGGGAGGATGTTGGTCAAAGGATACAGATTTCATTTAGGTAGGAGGAATAAATTCTGGAGACTTAATGCAAACCATGATGATCATGGTTAATAATAATATTTTGAAAATCGTTAGATAGTAAATTTTAAATGTTCTCACCACAAGACAAATGATAAGTATTTGAGGTGACAGATATGTTAATTAGCTTGATGTACTCATCCCACAATGTGTGCATATATCAAAATATCACAATATCCCCCATAAATATATATAATTTTTATTTGTCAAATAAAAATAAATTTTTGCCATGTTGAGTTTGGATATTAAAGTCAATTAAAGGAATTGTTATATCAAACAACTTTAGGCTTCCAGTGATAATGGGTAATTTTAGGGGAGGTGGAGGGAGAAAAAAAATAGGGTCTGACAGACATCATCGCTCTTTCTTAAAAGAACAAAGCTTTTTATCAGATGAAAACTGATATGGTTTGGCCCTGTGTCCCCACCCAAATCTCATCTTGAATTGTACTCCCATAATTCCCACATGTTGTAGGAGGGACCAGGTGGGTGATAATTGAATCATGGGGTGGTTTCTCCCATACTGCTCTTTCAGTAATGAATAAGTCTCACGAGATCTGATGGTTTGATAAGGGGAAACCCATTTTGCTTGGCTCCTATTCTCTCCTTGCTTGCTGCCATCCATGTAAGACGTGACTCGCTCCTCCTAGCCTTCCACCATGATTGCAAGGCTTCCCCAGCCATGTGACTGTAAGTCCAATTAAACCTCTTTCTTTTGTAAATTGCCCAGTCTTGGTTATGTCTTTACCAGCAGCATGAAAATGAACTAACCCGAAGACCAAAGCCTAATCAACCAGCATTTCCAAGATTCTGACAAACAGCTATTTGTATCAGATTAATGCTGTATAACTTAATTATTTCTGCCACCTCCTGATACCTTAACTCTGGGGCAATGTGGTACATCAATGGAATGGTGATGAATAAAAGAAATTCATGTTCTGCTGCCCACTCTCCCATTTTAGGCTCTTCTTCCACCCACATATACACACTGTCCCTCTTGAATATAATTTTGATTGAAATCATGTAAGACAATGATTTCTAGAAGAAACTGCTGTGAAGAGCAAAGCTGCAAAGGCACTCCAGACAGGATAATACTTGAAAGTAGCAGAAGTGCACATCAGAGGGATATTAACCTGGAGTCAGGTAACAGCAGGTTCGAGATCTTTTAAGCCATTACTTGCACTGATCTAAATTAAAAGGCCCTAGGAAAAAGTGTGCTAATCTAAAAACTATCTTATTCCGTCATATTTTTTTAACTAGAACAAAGTCAATGAAGAGAATGAAACTCAATTCAAATTGTAGTAACAATCTGCATAGAGCAATGAGTAAGTTTGCTAACTTTAGATTTAGATTTGCCTGGGTTCAAATCTTGACCTTGGGCACATTAAGCTCTCACTTAAAAAGAAAATAACCTTGTTTTACATTTCTCTACGTTCTTATTTTTAAGGTGTGATACCCTATTGTGGTATCAGATTATTAGGATAATTATTATATCGTAATATATCCCAAAGGATAGTATATCCTAATGTATCCTATATTATATATATCCTATTATATATAGGATATATAATAATTAGGATATAATTATTAGGTTATAATATTATTAGCATAAAAATTATCCTAATAATAATAAGGACATAATATGATATATTAGGATATAATAATTATCCTGATAATCTTATACCACAGTAGGGAGGGAAATGTGCACACTTCTGTGTACTTTCATGTGTGTCTGTGTGTGTTGGGGCTGAAGGATTGGCAGGCATGTGATCTTGAAGATGTTGTATTCATTGCTTTGGACCTGGAAATTATTCGCTAGCCTATGACATACTGCAGTGTTGTGAACATATTTCAGTTGTGCCAAGTTAACCATCCCCTTAGTCTTCAGGGTGACTGGTTAGGACCTGGAAGAGTCACACCTCATTGCAGGTCGCCTCTAGTTTGCAAGCATCTTTGTCCCTTGACCACAGTGAGCCATATGAAATTCTGACTTTTCTACTAGTGCTTTGATGTAAAGTTTGGGAAGAACTGCTATAGGCAGAGGGAACCCACAGAAGACTTTGTGAAAGAGTGGCACGTGCAAAGAGGTTAATGTGATGTGATGTGTCTAAAGTGCTTACTTAGCACAGTGTCTGGCTTATTGTAAGGCCTCAGTTGAGGTATGTGTCTAGCTGGGTATGAGCTCATTGAGAGAATATATGTTGAAAAATATGTGTCATGAATTTAGTAATAGAATTAAAATGAAATCGCGTATGTTAATTATAAGAGATTAGCAAACAATAGAGTATATAATTGTTTTTACAGCATTTTTGTGTGAGGCACATTAATGATTTAATTTGTTATGTAATGCTTAGTGTGCACATAATTTTTAGTTTCTTTTTCTTTCTTTCTTTTTTTTTTTTTTTTTGAGACAGAGTCTCACTCTGTCACCCAGGTTGGAATGAAGTGATAGAATCTTGGCTGACTGCAACCTCTGCCTCCCGGGTTCAAGTAATTATCGTGCCTCAGCCACTCGAGTAGCTGGGATTACAGGTGTGTGCCACCACTCCTGGCTAATTTTTGTATTTTTAGTAGAAACAAGGTTCCGCTATGTTGGCCAGGCTGCTCTCAAACTCCTGACCCCAAGTGATCAACCCACCTCAGCCTCCCAAAGTTCTGGGAATGTAAGTGGGAGCCACTGCACCCGGCAAGTGTGCACATACATTTGAGGAGCTCTCAATGAATCACACCTGCTCAGGGGTTCTAAGATTTCAATTTGGGATCCGTTGCCATAAAAATCAACAATGATATAGTCCACATTCTTCTATCCCTACACCATTTCCTGGTCTTTTAATAAGAATTATGGATGTTGGGGAATTTAGAGACAAATTAGAAATGATTAAGTTTCTTAAAAATATTAAATTCTAGTGGGGGGGATTAGATAGATACAGAAGTAATTGTGATGCATGATAGAAAGTGCTAAATTCCACATGACAGACACAGGACCAAATGCTATAAGAATATACAGAAAGAAATCCTGTAAGAGGAGAGAGAAATCCACTCCATTTAAGAGGATCTGGAAAGGCTTCATGGAGCATGCATGTGTCAGTTAAGGCTCTTTAGTTACTAGCGACAGAGAACTGAATGAAAAAGGGCTTAAGAAAAAAATAGAAGATATGGACTTTCACTATTAATATTCCATGAAGAGTTGTAGCTTCAGGAATATTTTGATCCGGTTGTCATACACCGAGATCAGCCTCTCGGTGTTTCTCTCTTCCTTTTCAGCTTTGCTTCCTCTGTGATGGCTCTATTCTCAGACAATCTCTCTGCTCACTCCAATATCCTCCCAGGGGCAAGTTCGGCAAAAAGGAGAAACATGTTTCCAGCTGGGTTTCAGACAAATCCTAAGATTCACCAGGAATTTGGCCAATTTGGTCAAATGTCCACCCCTTGGGAATTACTATGATGGAACGATAGACTACCTTTCTTCCCTTAGGCTTGGTTTCATGCTGTGCTCTACAGCTCATGAACTGAGAGTGAGGGGCATTTTTCAAATAGGAAAGTGGATTCTATTTCTAGACAAAAACAAAAAAACAAAAAACAAAAAAAACAGTATTATTTGCAGAATGGCTACAAAAAATCAATAACTATCCATCAAAGGGTTTGATTTTTTATCTGGGCCTTGGAGTATAGGTGAGATCAGAAATGTTGAGAGCAAAGTAGTGTGAAAGTGAATAAATAAATTATTGGCACACAGATCCTGTTGCAGAATTCTTGTTGGGTGAAGTCATAGTCATAACCCTCCTCCAAAGGCACATTTCTCATGCCCTTAGTTCCTTCCACTAATGTTCTCCCATTTATGTCATGAGAGGTAGCATAAAACTCTGAAGCTGCGCCACTCAAAATGACAATGAATTTAGTAAAATTTACAAGTGAGCTCTTTAGGCTTAAGTGTCTTTGTATGGTCTATCATATCAAGGGGCGATCTGTGAGACAAAAAGATACCAGGAAGTTCCATATTTCAGGAAGAAAAGGGTAGATTTTGTATCATATATCTCCCTATATCCAATATAATGCTCAAGAATGATGAAAATGATGATGATAATGACAGCAATTAAGAGTTTTTGAATGCATCAAGTACCGTGCTAAGTGCTTTGCATGGATTATTTCATGAAGTCTTTATAACACTACAAGGTGAGGGCCATTTTTACCTCTATGTTATAGGTGAGGAAACCAAAACATAAAATATTAAATATATTGACTAAGGAAACAGTCAAAGATAAGATCCGGGATACAAAACCAAACTCTCATCTCTATACCTCCTCTCCTCCAGTTCTGATTCTTCTCTAATCTTAATCTCAGCACCTATGTAAATCAAGTAGCTCAAATCAGAAACTCAGAACTCATTGTTGACACCAACCTCTCCTTTACCCTATGTAGAGACTGCTAAGTGTTTCTCAAACTCCACATACCATTTCTCCTAGACCCACAACTGGGCTACATTTTCCCAAATTCCTGTCAATTAAAGACCATAAGACTGAATCTTGGCCAACAGAATGTGGGTGGAGGTGATGTGTATCTCCCACGGTCCTACACACTTCCGATCTCTCTCTATATCAGTGGAGAGGGCTTGAGGAGTGAGCGTAAGGTCCCGAGGTTGGACTGTGCTGCAAGGTGGCATGGTTCCCTAGATGACATCCTAAGGCAAACCCACATTGCTAATGTACGTTGGAAATACATTTCTATTTTATTTTTCTATTATTAAGCCGGAAATACATTTCTCTTATGAGAAGCTACTGAGATTTTAAGGTTCATATGTAGAGACGTTAGTCTATCATGATTAATATATCCACCCTGAAATCTATTACTAAAAATCTATCCTGAATATATCCAGTCTTCTGATTTCCATGCCTCTATCCTAGTCTAAGTTACCACCCACCATCCCTTGTCAAGATTGCAGCAGTAGCCACTCAAGGTGTTTCTTCTTTTCTTTTTATTGGTGACAGAGTCTGTCACCCAGGCTGGAGTGCAATGGTGCCATCTTGGCTCACTGCAACATCTGTCTCCCAGGTTCAAGCAATTCTCATGCTTCCGCCTCCACAGCAGCTGGGATTACAGATGGGCAACACCACGACTGGCTAATTATTTGTATTTTAGTAGAGACAGGATTTCACCATGTTGCCCAGGCTGTTCTCGAACTCCTGAGCTCAGACAAATCACCCACCTCGGCTTCCCAAAGTGCTGGGATTACAGGTGTGAGCCACCGCGCCCGGCCTTAAGGTGTTTCTTATCACCACCCTTACCCCAACTACATTTTCCATATACTTGCAAAGGTAGACTTTTTTTTTCCTTTTTTAGTAAAAATTGTATTCAGTGGTGAAATGATTCTGTATGATACTATAATGGCAGATAGATGAAATTATGTATTTGCCAAAACCCATGGAACCGTACAACATAAAAATGAACCCTAACATAAAGACCTCAGTTGATAATATTGTAACAGTAATGGTTTATCAACTATAACAAATACACCACACTAAAGCAAGATGTTAATAATAGGGGAAGCTGTGTATAGGTCAAAGGAGAAGAGGTATACGGAAATTCTCTGTACTTTCTGTGCAATTTTCCTGTAAACCAAAATTGCTCAAAAATGGAGTCTATTAATTTTTAAAAATCTGGTTATATCCTTCTTCTGCATAAAATCGTTTAACATCTTCTCATTGTTCTTAAACAAAACATGTTCTATGTGGCCCTAATGGCCTGGCCCCTCTATGTGCCTCCAGCCTCATCTCCCACACTTCACCAACCTCACTGTGTCCCTGACACATAAACCTTCCATCAGTTCTTCAAAAGGGGCAAATGCTGTTTAACCAGGGCCCTGCACGTGCTGTTTCCTCTGATTGGGCATTTTGTCTCTCTTCTTTGTCCCCTCAAACTTCAGTTTTCAGATCCAGCAACACCTCTTCCAGAGAGGTTATTTTCTCACCATTCAGTAAATCAAATTCAGTAAATCAGAGCCCGATTATTTTCTCTCACAACTCTATATTCCACTATAGTATTTATGGTGGATTACAAAATGAGAAATATTGTTTGTTTTGTTCCCTTTGCAAAACTTAGTAGCTAGTGTGGGAATTGGAATACAGCAGATGTACAAAACAAAACAAAATAAGAAAAGCAAAACTTATATTGGACTCATGATGTGCCAAGCAGGGTTTTAATTATCTTATCTATGTTAACTCATTAAACTTTCCTAGCAACCTTATGAAATAGATACCATTAGCACGTCCATTTTACAGATGAGTAAACTGAAGCCAGAGATGTTAAGTCACTTGCTGAAGACTTCACAGCTTGCCAGTGGTGGAGTTGGGATTTGGTTCCAGTATGTGTGGCTGTGGTGTCTGTCCTTTTAACTAGTGTGACTCTCTATCACTGACTAATAAATGAACAAACCAATGAAGGTAGCCTGTGCTCCTAACTTCTCATTAAACTGCCTGCCCTGTTCCCTGAAATTCACAGAAATGTTCATGACCATTTTTACTTATTTTTTTTGCTCTTGCTCATCAGTTTATATTCCAAGTCCAAAGCAAAAAACTTCTCGTTATCATTATTTCAAATCTTCTCTTATGTTCCTTTTTTTTTTTTTTTTTTTCCAAAGGGCAGCTTCTTTTTAAAGTCTTTTGGCTAAGTGATAATAAATATATTGCCCTTCTCTCAGTAGAGTTTTGGGTGAATGGTATTCTGACTTTAGAGGTGATCAGTTAACTTTAGGGAGTAAAGAAAGATAAATCGATGTGGTCCATATTCAGCTACATTCTTCAGTGGATTATTGCTTGAAGATCAAAGCTGGATTAATGAGGGAAAAAAACCTCCAGAAAACACAAGAGCATTATTGCATTTTGAGCCCATGGAACGCATTTTTCATTTATTAGCTTTGGGACTTTCTGCTCATATTCTGTACCTGAAAATGTAGGAACATAAAGACAAAGGCAAAAAGAAAGAGCAGAAATAATCAAGAAAAAAATGAGAATCTGTATAATACGACTGAAAAGGCTCATCTTTAAATTTAGTTGTAGAAACACAGGCAATAGCATTCAAAAAGGTATCAACTGACTTGGAATAATATGATCCATCGGCTTAACTAAGAACTTTGCCACAGGGAAGCCATACACATAAGCGGTTGCTGTATAGCTGTGATTTGAATTGTCAGTCCCCTCTGGGGGCCCAGAAGATTTTAAAGAGAAACTACAGTTGCTTTCCATCAGCTTACAGCATAGAGGCAATTGCTTCTTTAAAAGATATATCTAAATAAAATGTCAAGATGATACATGCTTTTAAAGGAATGTTTGTAGAATGTTCAACACAGCTACAATTCTTTCTGGCACAATTCAATAGCAGTTCTCAATTTGCTTTGAAGGGAAATATGCAGGATATAAAGAAACCTGCACTCTGCAGAGATGATAAGTGCAGTTGCCAGATCGAAGTAATATTTTTAGTTATGGTTTTAGTATATTAAATTATATTTTTATGGTGAATTATTTTTCTGGTTAGTTCATTGAGCCTATATTAATGTTAGCATATGGACTTACTATCTGGGCATTTATATAAATTATCAGAATGGAGGTCATTAGGGGAAGACACAGAGAGAGTCACACAACATTAAGATTTTTAAAAGAAAGTAGACATAGAACTAGGAATGTTGAGCTGTAGTTTTGGTACTAATCAATGAGCTGTTGGATCTTAGATAAAAATTAATAACTTAATTTTTCCTGCCCTCATTTATATAACTTACAATAATTAAAAGTAACTCAGTTGTTGTAGGGTTTTGATGATATAGTGTACACATATATGAACTAGCTGTGTAATCCTGAGGAAATGGCCTTTTTCATTTATTTGATAAATATTTATGGGATGTTTACCATGTGCCAGGTCTGTGCTTGGCCCCCATGGTATGGTAGTATGTGTATACTATAGTGCATGCTGATGTCTACAAAGAGATACATGGTAGGTCCTCCTACAGTGTTTATGATTTACTAAGGATGAAAAATTTTAAATGATTAATCCTGCTAATCAAGGTGTAATTATATCCTGAGCTCAAGACTTGTCAGGAAAGGGACATGGTCCTTTAAACCATGAACAAGGGAACTGACTGGTATTGGGAAAGCAGGGAAAGCTTCCCTAAGGAGTGTCCTTGAGCTGAGATCTAAAGGGGAAACAGGAGATAACAAATGGAAAGAGAGACTAGCAGTTCAGACTAATGAAACAGCATATAAAAAAACCCTGGGGTCAGCATAATGGTGACTGGTCAGCTGAAAGAAGGCTGGGTTCCTGGAGGCAGAGTGTAAACTACAGCAAGTTTTCAGAGGAAAGCAAAGGTAGAATAAAAAAAGTCTTGCAGGCAGCATTTGAATTTTGTTGTTCTTTCCAGTTATAACAGGAATCTCCAGCTCCTCACTTAAAAATGGGGGAAATGGACTTAAAGAGCTGATTATGCATGTAAATCACACAAGGCTTAAGTTACATTAATCCATCTTGCATTACTATAAAGGAACACCTGAGAATGGGCGATTTATAAAGAAGAGGTTTATTTTGGCTTATGGTTCTGCAGGCTGTACAGGAAGCATACTGCTGGCATCTACTTCTGGTGAGGTCTCAGGAAGCTTACAGTCATGGCAGAAGGTGAAGGGGGAGCAGGCACATCACATGTCCAGAGAGAGAGAGAGAGCAAGAGAGAGATGGGGGAGATCCCACTCTTTTTAACAACCAGATCTTGCATGAACTTATCACCACTCGTTACCTTGGGGAGGGTACCAAGCCATTCATGAGGGATCCACCACATGCCTCCCACTGTCCCTACCTCCAGCATATTTCAACACAAGATTTGGAGGGGACACACATCCAAACCATATCACCGATACACAGTAGGCATGTAATAAACAATTCTCTCAGACCATGTTCTGAACTATAAAAGTCTTTCACTATTAGACCCACTCTTCACCAAGAGGTTCTTATTTTATGCATATTTACAAAGCCTGATGCATTCTCATAAAACATTTTTCTTCTCTACAGCTGCAATAAATAGTAAATAGCAGGTTAATACTACCATCTTAATATCTAAAATTAGCAGTCTGTGGACTATTTGCCCCCCAAAACTTTTCTCTATGTCTCCAAGAAAATATTTATAATTGAAATATAATACATGTAGAGATGTGCACAAATCATAGCTGGACAGCTTGATGAATCTTTACAAAGTGAACAGGTACATGCAACCATCACCCAGATCAAAGAATAGTATATAAGCAGCACCCTGGGACCCTCCTCATGCCCCCTTCCAGTCACAGCCTTCCTTCCTTCCCAGTGGTAATCATTATGCTGTTTCCTGCTATCACTGATTCATTTTACCTTGTTTGGAACTTTAAAAGAGTAGACTCATACAGTATGTATTATTTTTGATAAAACTTTTTTTACTCATAACAACATTTGCAAGATTTTTCTGTATTATTGCATGTAGCAGTAATTTATTCATTTTCATTATTTCATAGTATATATGAAATATATATAAATATATAAATATATATATATATAGTATGTATTCTGCCACGAATACATATAATTTATTTATCTGTTCTAGTGAGGATAACCACCCAGGAACATTTAATAAATATTTTCAAATGAGAAAATGAATACATTTCTCAAAGACTTACTCTCTTCAACTGTAAAACAAGCTCAATAATAAAATCAAAACTTACTCTGTAAGATTGTTGTGAGTATTAAATGAAACAAAGCATACAAAATGCCCATTCAGTGACACATAGTAAGTCTTCATAAGTAGTATCTACTTATAATTATTTAAGGATTTTTTTTTTTGTGTGAAGGAGTCTTGCTCTGTCGCCCAGGCTGCAGTGCAGCGGTGCGATCTCGGCTCACTACAAGCTCCGCCTCCCGAGTTCACGCCATTCTCCTGCCTCAGCTTCCCGAGTAGCTGGGACCACAGGCGCCCGCCACAACTCCGGGCTAATTTTTTTGTATTTCTAGTAGAGACGGGGTTTCACCATGCTAGCCAGGATGGTCTCGATCTCCCGATCTCGTGATCCGCCCGCCTCGGCCTCCCAAAGTGCTGGGATTACAGGCGTATTTCAGGAATTCTTTTATAAAAGATTTAGAAAATGGGGGAATGTCCACAAGTGAAAAATGCTACCTTAACTCGAAGTGGCTAGAATAAGGCTCTAGAATTGTGAAGAAATCAAACTAAAATAAATATGCAAAATACTGTCTGTCACACCTTGTACTTTTTAAGCTAATTTGGCCCATCCAAGTACTATGTACATGATAAACGATGAAGTCAAGCTATAGATGTTTAAGCACTTTAATCACCTTGGGCTGCTCCTGTCCTCCTGACTTTGCACTTGTTCTATCTTGTTTCGCCAGGCTCTTGACCCTCACATTGTTTCTTGGTTTCTGTACCACCCTTGCTATTTGGTACCAAACCATCTTGAATTTAAAAAATTTATACTTGCTGCTCCTTTATGTCTAGGACTGTATTTTATTCTGCAAATTCCTCCTACTTCTGGTCACCATATCCAGAAGTCTGAAGAGGGTTCAGATAGTTGTTCTGAACATATATGGGGCATTCGATATATAGACATTGATTGGCATATTGCCTGCAGATTTGAATCATGGTAAATAGGAATTAGTGGAAGCCTGATTATAGATTAATGCCACAAAGTCACTGAAGTGACCCTTCGGACACTGTTTGCTTAGCGTATCATTGATTATAGAGAGAAATTATAACAGCCCCAGGATTGCTGTGAAGGGCTAATTCACACAATGCTGTCACATTTCCCTGACTCCTCTGTTCATGGGCCATATCCAATCAAAATTCTTACTGCAGAGTATGCTGGTGCCAACAAAATCTCCGAGTCTGGCACAGAGCTCTCCTGTGAATATAGTGAATCCAGCTACCTGGTGGCAATCTCTACTTAAATAACCTGTAGAGAGTTGAAACTTAACATGTCCAAAGTACAACTTATTATCATGCCTTTTATCATTTCTAACCATTTCTCTCATATTCGCAAACTTCATGGCACCATCATGCATTTTGCGTCTTCAGTCAGAAACCTGGGCATTGTCTTTGACATCTTTTGCAACTTACCCATCACATCCAATCAATCATCAAGACCTGTCCATTCTGTCAACTAAATAAACTTAAAAATCTGTCTACTCCTATCCATTCATACTCAGTTTTCTTTGAATGCATAATTTCCAGTCCACAATAACATGTACAACTTTCAATTAATTTTCCTGGTCTTTTTTACTTGATCTCTCTACTCCTACTCAGGAAGACCCCTATAGTCAAAGGGGTCTTTCTAAATGTCATACTTGATCATGTTAATCCCCAGCCTAAAATTCTTTCATAACTCCTTCTTGCCATTTAGATGAGTCAAGCCAACAATTTAGCATGGACTGTAGATTCCTTTGTAATTTTGTACCTGGGGGTTCACCACTTGCAACGTTCTCCATTCCAGCCATTCTAAGATATTTGCAACATGACATTTTAACATTCATCTCTGGACATTTGCATATATTCTGACCTCCACATGGAATATTTTTCTTCCTGATTCACCATTTCCAGACTAGTCCTAATTATCCTCAGGTTTGTACTTCTGTATTAGCTCCTCCTCCAGTACCTTATACTTACTCCTTCAAACCAATTGTTGACTTCTTTGAAATTGATTGTTTACTCGTTTGAATCCTCTCTAGACCATAAACTGATTGAGCATAGTAGTCTATCTTGTTTTCATTTTATGACCAGCATTGAGTGCAACACATGGCATAGAGTACTAGCACAAAACATTTGTTGGATATATGAGCAAATCCATTAAAAGTTAATGAAAGATGTGCTTATAGGAAAGTATTCAGCAGCTGCCATTTTATTTTATGATAGCAGTGTACTAGATGTCAAACCAAGAGTATCTCAGTATTTTTTTTTTTTTTGAGATGGAGTCTCGCTCTGTCACCCATGCTGGAGTGCGGTGGCACGATCTCAGCTCACTGCAGCCTCCGCTTCCTGAGTTCAAGAGATTCTCCTGCCTCAACCTCCTGAGTAGCTGGGATTACAGGCGTGTGCCACCATGTCCGGCTAATTTTTGTATTTTTAGTAGAGACAGGGTTTCTCCATGTTGCTCAGGCTGGTCTCGAACTCCTGACCTTGTGATCCGCCTGCCTCAGCCTCCCAAAGTGCTGGGATTACAGACGTGAGCTACTACACCCAGCCTCAGTATATTTTTAAAACATACACTTATTCGAAGTTTTCCTGAAAGAAACAGATAACCTGGTAAATGCTAAATGCTAATGGAGTACATGAAAGTAAATGTCACACTCCAGGCAAGCCATGTTTTTCTTTATAAACAGAGATGGACATAATTAACCCAATATCATCCATTCATTCTTTCCATAGACATTTACTATTCTCAGCAAAAATCCAAAGACCACAAAATTTGAGTTCTCTTACTGATATTTGGGATGTAACACTAACTTGTAGATATTCTTACTCTCTCAGTGTTTGGTGGCTTATAGCTATCTAGGTTAGAAGAGAAGGTAGCTGTAAAGTAGGGTAAAAAGTAACACCTGTATTTCGCCACTTACTTAGCTGAAGGACTTCAGATATGATTTGGCTCTGTGTCTCCACCCACATCTCATATGAAATTGTACTTCCTAATGTTGGGGGAGAGACCTGGTGGGAGGTGACTGGATCATGGGGGTGGATATCCCTCTTGCTGTTCTCATGAGATCTGGTTGTTTAAAAGTGTGTTGCACTTCACCCTTCTCTCTCTCTCCTACTCTGCCATGTGAAGAAGGTACTTGCTTCCCTTTTGCCCTTCTGCAATGATTGTAATTTTCCTGAGGCCTCCCCAACCATGCTTCCTGTACAGCCTGCAGAATTATGAGTTAATTAAACCTCCTATCTTCATAAATTGCCCGGTCTCAGGTAGTTCTTTATAGCAGTTTGAAAACAGGCGAATACAACTTCCTATCAATTCTAGCAACAGAAGCATCTTCTTTTGCTTCCATCTACTTCAAATGTCATCTACTTGTTTCTACTTTCTATTACCAGCCAAGCCCAGGCCACTATTATTTGTCACTTAGCCTTTCCATTGACTTTGCTGTTTCTAGGCTTGTCATAATCCAATTTATTCTCTGTCCTTCAAATAGCTAGGGTGATCTTTTCAGAGGGCAAATTTGATTTTGACACTGCTCTGTTGGAAATCCTTCCATAGCATCCCATTGACCTCAAGATAAAATTCAAGTTCTTTATTGTCACCTAGGAAAGTGTGCCAGATTTGGTTCCTGCTACGTTTTCCCCTTCAGATGAGGAATTCCACATTTCCTTTCTTTCTTTTGTTGTATCCAGCTACACTGGCTTTTTCTTCGGTCTTAGGTGAGCAATGCTCCAAATCCCAAAGTAGCTCCTGTTGCTGGTGAATAGTGCAAGCTCCTTATTATATAGCCCACTGTCTTTCACCAGGGAGGTCACAGAGCTCCCACTGCATTCCACCAGGGACCCCCACACTCTAGGAAGATAGCAAATCATAGAGGGAACAGCTCAAAGGCAGACAGGCCTGGGTTTAAATGCCCACATAAATGAAAAACAATAATATAAATAAGGAGACTAAAACATACTCACTATTATTTATTATTTGTATAGGGACTATACTAATTGGTTTTCATTTATTGTCTGTTTTTGGCCAAAAAACTGCTGTATCTTATATTTATTGCTATTTGATACATAGAGAATGAATATGCAAAGAGGATAAGTATCTTGGCCATCCAGTGAAATAGGCAAAGGGAGGGTTTAAATCTTTCAAGTAGCCAAGGTCTGTGACAGATTCTAGTGACAAGATTCTAGTGACAGAACTTAACTTCTGTCATATATAGAACATTTCTAGGATATAACAAAGTATTTAGCCTGCTGCTTAGCGAACACTAAATTTTTACTATAAATAATTGTCCTTTCTGGAAGGAGCCAACCCTGTTTCTTCTCTGCCGGACCACATCCTTTTCATGCTTCAGTGTTTACACAGCTTTTCTCTATCCCTGCTGTCACACCAATCATCCTCTGACTGACTCTACCATTAATTTGGCCTTTGTTTGGTTTTGTTTTTCATTCACCATGTAGGATCACAAACTCCTGGAGAGCGCTGGCTGCTTTTTTATGTTTTTCTGGCATCTCTCTCTGGACCTTGCATGGTGCAAAGCAATTGCAGACCACTCAATTCAGTGCCGGTTGAATGAATGTGTTAAGCCTCATAAGGATCAATCTTCTGACCTTGAACTCATTAGTACTGCACTCTAAACAGCTGAGCTAATGAGTTAGACTAAACAGTTAATTTTTTTTAAAATAAAGAAATGCTTTGTGAGCCCCATTTATTGAATAGCCCTATGTCTCTTAACTAGGGGATATTTTTCCACCAGGAGACATTTGGTCCTGTCTGGAGAAATTTTCGGTTGTCACAGAGCGGGTGGAGTTGGTACTAGCAATTTGTGTGTACAGGTCAGAGATGTTGCTAAACATCCTGCAATGCACGGGACAGCCCCATCAACAGAAAAGATTATCCAGACCACCATGTCCATACCACCGAGGTTGAGAAGCCCTGGGTTAGACTAGGTTATATCAATAGATTGTAAAGCTCAAATAGATTTTATCAGTTTATAAATATGTAGTATGAATCTATGTTGCAGCTTACTTAGATTGCATATAAACGTATGAACAATAGCATAAAACCTGTATCTGCTAAATATTTTTTGAATCAAATTTTCAAAAACTACTAGAAAAGCTCATGTGTAAACTTCATTAATTCAGAACTTGAGGGAAAGCTACTTCTTACAGTGTGATTTGTATTACATAGGCACCCAGTTTTATGTTTTGGCATAATATAACAATAATTCAATGTGTCAACTTACAGACTAATGCTCAGAAGATTTTAAAAATAGTTTTCATAAATTGATAAGAATCATCTGTTACTTACATGTTTTTGTAGTCAAAGGATTGATGATAAAGTTTTTAAAAATATTTTGAAACTTATTATAATTTTAATACCTCACTCTCTTTTACCTTTATAATTTCAAATAAGAATTGCAACTCACGTATCAAAGAGCATAAATTCCAAGTTAGTGGTATTTAAATTAATATATTATTTCATGATAACATTATGATCACATAATTTTTATATTGAAGTATAGTGCAAATGAAACCCACACACACATACACACACAAACAGAACAGCTGATGTTTGGATAGAGGCTAGAAACAGGGTCATGAAGATGGAACACTGGCTGTAAGAAAAGAATAGGATTACAAACAGGGATTCTTTTTTTGAGACATTGAACTCGTGTACCTGCAATGAAAGAATTTTTATATGTTATCCTAATATCTAAATTTTAAAATAAAAGTCAAAATAAATAAAGTTTCTCAAAACCAGAAAGATCATTTTTCATGTTAAAGAAAAGCATGCCTTTCCTGGGTCATTTGCACAAAGATTCCAAGAGGGAATTGGAAACTCTAAGCGAGGCATCAGAAACATTTTCACATTCAGCCTTTCTCTTAAGCCATGTAGCTCCTAAGAGTTTGTAGGAAATTTGTCTAAATTTCCATCCCGAAGGTTGGAGAAAGTTGTGAAACCTCTGCCAAAGATGAGAAGACTGTTATAAAAGAGACATCTGTAAAATGATGAGGTATAACCAAGAATTGCTCCAATTCTGAATCCCTGAAGACCAGGGATACTTTGATGAAATTAAAATGATAACACTTTCGGGCAAGCAAGACAAAAACGGATTTTACATTCTTCTTAGAGAACCTACTATAGACAGATACAATTGTGGCAGTTTGGATCAAAAATGGAATTAAACACATACGTGCATATTACCAGCAAAGTTAACTCGAATGAAGCCAATATTTCCATGGTTAAGTAGGTCATCCCTCTGATTACGGCAAGAAGGCTGTGATTAAAAAAGAACAACTGATTTGTCAGGCTTGATCGCTGATGACTCATTGCTAAAAGAATTCAACCATTTCAATTACCATATTTCTTTATAACATTACCTGAAATAACTGTGCCTTTTGAAAGTGAGACTAATTCT
Organism: Homo sapiens; assembly: GCF_000001405.40. Lineage (NCBI taxonomy): Eukaryota > Metazoa > Chordata > Mammalia > Primates > Hominidae > Homo > Homo sapiens. Next base: position 126,767,126 of record NC_000008.11, read on the forward strand.
AATGGTATCAATAGCACTTTTGCAATGTAAAAAAAAATTAGCAGATTATTATGAAAGGCACCCTCATGCAGTGTGATGAGTACTGGAGTAAGAGTAGGGCTCAGACAACCTGTGTGCTGTTCAGCTCTGCCACTCACGAACTGTGTGGCCTTGGATGAGTCACGTGACTTTTATGAACATCAGTTTTCACATGTTAAGATGGGAATGATAATGCTTATTCCACTTTGAGTTTTGTTGATGGAGAAAATATTCAAATTCTAGGATCAGGAAAATAAAGAACTGTGGTGATATGGTTTGGATCTCTGTCCCCACCCAAATCTTGTGTTGAATTGTAATCCCCATTGTTGGAAGTGTGGCCTAGTGGGCGGTGTGGATCACGGGGCTGGTTTCTCGTGGTTTAATACCATCCCCCTTGGCATTGTTGTGGCAATAGTGAGTGAGTTTTCTCGAGATCTAGTTGTGCAGCCCCTGCCCCCAACTTCCTCCTGCTCAGGCTGTGAGAGGTACTGCTCCTCCTTTCCCTTCTGCCATGATTGAACATTTCCTGAGGCCTCCCCATGCTTCCTGTACAGTCTGTGGAACGTGAGCCAATTAAACCTCTTTTCTTTATAAATTACCCAGTCTCAGGTGGTTCTTTATAGTAGTGCAAGAATGGACTAATACAGTTGGTGATGAAGCATTGACAGGAAGACTAAGACTAGCTTGATTCTGAAAATGACATGTATTTTCTTTGGAGGAGAGTGAATCCAAGCCGATTCTCACATCTGTATTCAACACAATTTCTAAACTTGAAGAGATACACTGATATTATTGAGGGTATGGGGGCAAGATGTCCACTCTATGGAAGAGAATGCATACTAGACTTCAGTAGAGTACCTGATGGAGGAACTAAACTGTGAACCACACGGGTAGTGTATGCCTACACTAGCTGCAGGCAGATCTTGAGTACAAGTTGCTACTAGTCACATGTGTATGTTACATACTTGGGTGGAGGAGAGAAATGAAATGGGATTTACTTGGAAGATCTTATCTTTTATTATTTAATGACTATCCACCATTCTACAAAGATCTCCCATTATAGATCCCCTCCCATCATAAAAATATTACCAATTATTATTGCCATTACATGTTGGTCACTATCCATATATAAACTTCCTTTCATATTGAAAACAATTTTGAAGTATGTAGTATTACTTGTGTTTTACACATGAGCAAACCTTTGTTCAGATAGGCAAACTGATTTGACCAGGTCCCCACAACTACTAAGTAAAGGAAGCAGACATCAGCCCTAGGTTTGCCTGAATCCAAATCTGAATTTTCCTGGCATTCTTTTCATTCTTTTCATTCCCTGTATAAAACTGGAGAAGCACTCCATGTCCAAGATGGACTCCAAGATTGGCATTGTTTCTAATGATGAATGATGGGCAAGGTTGCCTTGTAACCCCAGCTTCTCAGAACACTAGCTTGGTGACCACCTGGCTGGAGTGATTTATTGAAATGTATCAGTTCTTGTTTCGATGCACTTAAGTGCGTTGCCATTGTACCTTGGGGTAAACAGAATGGGGATGAAGAACGGCCACGGCAACCACCCATGGAGTTGTTTATGTCTTGAAGCTGCAGTGCATGGCCCCCAGAGGGCTCTTCATCCTGTTAAGGTTTGCTGCGGGTGGTAGAGGCTGGGGAGGGAGATGGAGGGATGAGCACTTACCTATCACCATGGAGACAGGGATGCTGATAAAGAGCAGGCATCCTGAGGAAGCAGCATCTGGAATAGCAGTATTGCATTTCTCAGAGGGCCCTGGTGAAGCCGACCTTTTTCAAAGGTTCCATAAATAATTTACAATCCATCTCCAAAATTAGTCCCCATGCTTTTTTCTTAGAACCTGCAATTCTTTTGGCAGTAACCAAATTCCAGCTCAAAACTTATTGTAATTCTTAAAACATTTTCACCTTAATAAGCCCTTTGGTTGAAATCAGATAATGATGCGTCTCATCTACCTTTAACAGCGGGAGTGGACATTTGGTGGATTTATGTTTGCATTTGAATTTCCTTTGAATACCAGTTTATGTTTCTTCGAATGAAAGCTTCCCCCAAAGAGCCTCTCTTTTCAGCTGTATTTAATTAAACTTTTAAGACTAAGCCTTCCCATCCACGTTGAAACCCAACCAAATTTTTCAGATAAAAAGTGAAGGAGAAAGTTAACTAGCATGAGTTGAAAAACTTATTTTAAAAATAGATTTTATTTATATGTTCCAACAAAAGGTAATACTTACTTTATACGGCCTTTTCAAGAATTAAGTTGTGACGCAGATGTGGCAAACTCAAAAGTCTATAGGGGACAAGAAGATAGTATCATTGGTGACATGAGCTATGTGCCATGTAACAGGGCAGAGTGGGACCTGGAGGAAACTGCAGAGCATGTGTCTAACCTAACATAGGTATTTATTACTCAGCTTTGCCATTAAAAAAAGAAAAAGCAATCAGAAAGGCAAAAATGGCAAAAATACATGGTAAAATTCCCCCATTTTAAAATGATGACAACTAATTTTAAAATAATGGAACAGCTAGTGGTTAAAAAACATGCCAACATACAAAACAAACATGTCATGCGCTTCCAGTTTGAGACCTCAGTTGATGTACATACCTTAAAACCTTAGCACAGTGCTGGCACCTAGTAAGCTGTCAGTAAAAATTAGCTATTCATATATCTATATGAATATATAGTATATAATAAAGTAAAAAATATATAATATATAATAAAGTAATATATAATAAAATATATAAATAATAAAATATGCAATAAAAATTATATATAATTATATATAAGATTCATATATATGAATATATATATAAGTATTCATATATATTTTTGTACTTGAGTTACTGAGAGTTTTGTACTTTTTTCCTCATTTATGGAGGGGAAACTAAGGCTCAAAGAGCTGAGCTGGTATGTGACCTACGTGTTTCTGATCTTGAGTCTCAGCTACCCAGCAGTGTCTGGTAAGAGTGTCATTAACAGCTTATGCTTTTTTAATGCTGACCTGAATTCCATAATTTTTTTAAACAAAACATTACTTTTGCTGCTTTTACCACTCTTGTATTGCATGTCTGTCTTAAATTCAGAGAATTAATAGGCAGAAGCTAATAAGACACAGAAGTGTCTTATTTATTTATTATTAAAGGAAAAAGGCTCATATATGGAAATCTCAATTTAAAAAAAGAAAGACCTAGAGGGGTATTCTGGATTTACTCTTTTTAGGCCGAACTGCTTGCACTGTGACAGTTGCAGGATCTGAATTCACAGTTGTAACACGTTTTTCTTATCTTCAGAGAAAATAAGTCTCAAAAGACTCTTTGTGGCCTCAGTCTAAATTCTGGGTTCCCTAATGCTTTTTTACTTTAAGGATAAAAAGATTTCAAACAGACAAAAGCTTCCTCCGTTCTTGGTATTGCTTACAAAGCAACAACCATGAAGGTAATATTTCATGTTTTTGCATCTTTATTTTTGAGGTCCAAATATGTCCATATTCTATTAAGGAGAACCAAGGAGCAAAATCAAGGTCAGCGAGATGTGAGTTAATGACCCAGGAAGTAGAACAAGGTCAGTGAATGCAGATAAGTTATTGATCTAGGAAGTTGAAGTAGGTCAGTAAAATAAAATTAGAACTATGACCCAGGAAGTGGAAGGTGGTCAGTGAGTGAAACACGAGCTTGTGACCTAGAAAATAGAATCAGGTCAACAAAAGCAAGACAGTGTCTTAGTTAGAGAGTAGCTGTTGGAAGTCAAGAATAATGTTTTCTTTATTTCTGTGTCTTTATGCCAAACAAAGGCTGGTAACATCAGGAGATTATTTGAAGGAAAAAGAATAATTTCTTTTCTTAAGGCAGAGTCTCACTCTACTGTTTAGGCTGGAGTATAGTGATGAGTGATGTGATCATTGCTCACTGCAACCTCGAACTCCTGGGCTCAAGGGATCCTTGTGCCTCAGCCTCCTGAGTAGCTGGAACTACAGGTGCTTGTCACCATACCCAGCTAATTTATTTTATTTTTTTGTAGAGATGGGGTCTCACTATGTTACCCGTTACCCAGGCTGGTTTTGAGAGTCTCAAATGACCCTCCTGCCTTGGCTTCCCAAAATTTTGGGATTACAGATATGAGCCACCACGCCCAGCCATATGATTCCTTTTAAATTAAACTTTGTAGGTTCTCTGCCTCTTTGCAGTTGTCAAGCTTTGGGGATTTCCTTAACCTCTTTCTGCCTCAGTTTCTTCATTTGTACAATCAAGATAATAATATGGCATACCTCACAGGTTGTTGTGAGAATTAAATGATGTATGTGAATGCTTAGAACGGTGCCCGATAAGTATTCAATAAGTACTTATTTTTATTATCATTATTAGTATAATCATTATTACCATTATTATTCTCTTTTAAATATTTCAAATTGCCTTTCTCTTTCTTAATGAGCATATTCTGTCACCTACTGGTGTGTTTCTCAATTATCTACTGGCTTCTTTATTGCATAGAACCATCCACTAGTTGTTAATTAATAGACAGCAAGGGGGTTCTTCGTGAGACAGGCTCTCTCCTGCTGTGAAATACTATCGAAATCACATCTGCTAATTCAGTAGCACCGAGACCCAAATTCCCAGGGCATTCTCCCAGAGTAAATCTATGATAAATAAATTGATAACAAATGAGTTGTTTATTTCCCAGTAAAAGGAACATGGGAGAGTAAGGGATATTGGTTTTGTTTTATAAAACAGATTGTCATGCAAAGGATAGCTTTAAATCAGAGATTGTGGGTTTGATACACATAATGCCCGAGGGAAAGAGAAATCTCAGCCTGCTTTCCTTAGCATCACTTGACAGTTGAGTGGAAATTTCCTCTCTATTGTATGGACATAAGTATGATGAAAATCATGTCTACTTGGCTTGAGGTTCTTATAAAGATGAATTTGGGTAGGAGCTATGTATTAATAAAAAGCACAATGGATTTCTTCCCTCCATCTCCATAGAGGTCTGCTTTTGTGACCAATATCTTTTTTTGTTGTTTCCTTCTTGCTTTTTATTGCTCATTGATGTGCATTTCAACAAAATCTGTATTGCTTTATTACAAGGTGAGATTTTAAGTCCCTGGCAAAGCGGAAGTCTATATAATATAATGTATATGTCTAGCTTTGATAGCCTGGTTTCCACTGATTTGCTGACTACTTAAACTACTATACGGTTATCAAAGCAGGGCCACTACACACAGTGCATCCCTAGCCCCTGCCCCAAATTTCTACTTTCATAAAAAATGGTTTGGGGAATGCCATTTCAGCAGAATAATAACCATTCTTTCTGTGTGTATGGTGCTCTACAGTTTCAAAAGCTCTTTCCCACACAGTTTGTCATTTGATTTTCATAATAAACCTGTGAGTCCAGCAGAGCATTATCATTTCTATTTCATATATAAGGCAAATAAACCTGAAAGAATATAGTCAATTCATAGAAGGTCACAAAGTGACAGTGTGGGGATTTGAACTCAAGAATACATGACTCCAGGGTCCTTGCTTTGTCCTCTATTCTCAGGCAGAGAGAAGTGATTTCTCAAAAACCAGTCCATTCATTAGAGTGCCTCTTTTTCTAAAAGGATCTGTATACTGAAAGCATGCTTAGAGGCACAATCTGAGCCATGAAATGCAGTATTTTTTATCCAGAGTGCCTCTGATCTTGTTCTGGTCCTTTACCTTTTTAAAACTGTTATGGAAAAAAACGCAAAAAAGTGTGGATTCTTTCTGGGTTCAAGTTTGTTAGGAGAGAAAATCATCCAGAGGTCACTGATGTTGCTGGTCACTGGTGAGGTGGAATAAAGGGGTGAGGAGTTAGACCTGGGTTTGGGTACTGGAACCACCTGTTTCTAGTTGTAGTATCATAAGAAATCTCTGTAAGCCTCAAAGTATTTATCTGGTAAATGGGCACAATAACAATATGTGCCTTATATAGCTGGCATGAAGATTAAAAACTTATTTTCTATAAACTGCTTAGTAAAGAACATTGTTTCACAACCACTTAAATAAATTATAGTTACGGTTACTATTATGCCAATCTTGTCATTGCTATTTGAATGGTATAATACAGCGAAATAATCCTACTGGAAATGCCTCAAGCACATTTTGCCTTTGGGGGTCTTACAAATCTTTGGTTCTTCAGACATAAAAATGATGAGTAAAGAGAAGGATACATGATGAGTGTTTGCTTTCATGCCCTCTATGCCCCATCTGTCCTTGTACAAAAACTGATCATAACAGTTACCACATTCCTTTCAATAAATTCAGTGTATTTCAACACATGTTATCTGAGAGCCAACCGCGTGTCAGTCACTGAGGGAAGAGATGGAGAGGACATGGGTTTCAGCTTCAAGAAATTAATGGTTGAAGGGGGACAATGAAAAACAGATGTCTTAGAACTGTGCTTCATGTACAATTATGTCTGTATGCCCAGAATAATATGAAAACTATTTAGGGTCATTATGACATACCAGGGGCTTAGAAGACAGTGAGAGGAATCTTTAAAGCACTTTGACATTAACAAAGTATAAACAAAAAGTCAACAAGAGGTGAAAGATAACTCTGAAGTGGATTTCTGAAGTTAGGTTGCCTTAGTCAGTTCCTGCTGCTGTAACAAAATGCCTGAGACCGGGTGATTTATTAGGACAGAAGTATATTCCTTACAGTTCTAGAGGTTGGACAGTCAAAGTACCAGCAGAACCGACATCTGGTGAGGGTTGCTCCCTGCTTCCAAGATAGTGCCATGTTACTGTATCCTCACATGGCAGAAGGGCACAAAGGCCGAGGTAGTTTCCTCTAGCCCTTTTATAAGGGCACTCATCCCACCCATAAAAGCTTTGCCCTCATGACTTTATCACCACCTGAAGGCCTCACCTCTTAATACTATCACATTGGAGTTTAAGTTTTAACATATGAATTTTGAAGGACAAATGCATTTAAACCATAGCACAGGTCATGAGATGCTATTGATAAGATGTGGGCATTATCTTATAGGTTAGAGGTCATAAAGGCACAGAACATGGGCCACATGCAGCTCATACAGATTTTGATTGATCTCCAAGATCTTTTAAAAATGCATTCACATAAATATGAAAGCCTACTTCACTTAAAAATCTCAATGACCATCATCTGGAGAAATCACTCAACCCACATTTCAACACAATATCAATTAACTGGAACTAAAGTATGGCTACCTACAAAATACCAGGCACGCTAAGATTTGCCACAGTTTCTATCAGCCCTTTTAATTACACTTGGCCTACTGCACTCATTTTTACTATGTATTTGATACCCACAGATGTATGAGACTGCCTAATACTTCCTCCATCGTCCAGTGCTTAACACGCATATAAAACTACACCTATCAGAAAATTTAATGTCGATCTCTTTACTGCAATGAATACTGCTTTGCAAAGAGCCAACAAACTGCTCCACTCCCCAAACACCAATGTTCTCATCAAATCATCTCTATCTGAATGCAGCAGATTAGAATAAGGCTGATAGGCAGGTTACAGCAAATTAATGGCAGTAATGTTGGTACTACTTCTTACTGCTGCTGATAATAGCTAACATTTATTTAAGTCAACACTATGCTAATAAATTTACATTGATTATCTCAATTAATGGTCCTACAAAAGCAGTTATATTATTACCCCCATTGTACTGATGAGGAATATGGGGCTTAGAAGTTAATAAAATTGTCGGCAAGGCGCAGTGGCTCATGCCTGTAATCTAGCACTTTGGGAGCCCAAGGCAGGCAGATAAGCTGAGGTCAGGAGTTTGAGACCAGCCTGGTCAACATGGTGAAACCCTGTCTTTTTGAAAAATATTTAAACAATTAGCTGGGCTTGGTGGCATGTGCCTATAGTCCTAGCCACTCGGGAGGCTGAGGAAGGAGGATCGCTTAAACCTGGGAGGCGGAGGTTGCAGTGAACCAAGATGGTGCCACTGCACTCCAGCCTGGACGACAGAGAAAGACTGTCTCAAAAAAACAAAAACAAAAAAAATTGTCAAGGTTGGAGTATCTTAAACACACACACAAACACTCTGTAGTGCTGCATACTAGAGGGAAAATCCTCCCAGGTGGTACTATGAGTAGGAGGGGAAAGGCAGAAACAGGAAGAACTGTGATAGAGTACATATACTGGGGCTTATGATGTTTGCTGTTTTATATCTTCAAAGAAAATAACATTTTAGCCCAGTTCAAACCTATTCAATGACAGCTGCTTGATAATTGGTCTAAGAGTTGTACAAATAAACCTGCCACTCAGCTATAGACCTGTCTATAGCTGACCACTGTAGCTGACAGAACCTATTAATAGTGATCTATAAACTCTGTCAATAAGTCTGAAAGAACTTCTAACAAAAAAAACCCAGAAAGACCAATTTGAATAAATCGGGGGACAAATTTTTAGATAAAAGAAAGGGAACATTATCCTGAAAACTCAGAAGAATAAAAACCTTATGGATATTTGAGAAAACAGCCTGGTATTTTCAGCAAGATGTGAGAAAATCTTGCCTCTCTGAAACAAAGGCAGAGTCCCATAAGGAAGAACTGGTTAGCAGAAAAGATAGTAGGATGAGATGAAAATATGCAAATTAGTGAAGTAAAAGATGGCTAAGAAACGGAAAACACTGCAATAGCACAATTAAAATAATTGCCCAAAATAGAAAAAATAGGAGGAAAAGTCAGAAATTCTGCTTCCTGAATGGCAGACTATGAAATTCAGACTAACCTTCTGTTGAAAAAAATATTTTAAAAAATGGGCAAAATGTTTAAAACCAAAAGTATTTGCACATTTATTTGAATGAATTTTAGGGCCAATAAGGAGATAAAGAATTAAACAGCCAACATTAAATAATATAACAAAATCTTGAGAGATAGTTTTGGCCTTTAGAGCCATTTTTCTTTCTAAAATCCTCCCAGTTTGTCAAAAGGCAGATTAGGGGTAGGGAAGCTGAAATGAGATTTCAACAGCCTCATGGGTTTGTAGAGTAAACAAACAAACAAACAAAAAATGTGATTTCAGTACTTGTTAATGATGTGTAGTACTCCATTCAGGTCTTAGAATATGACCATACAGGCTACATCCTATGAATAAAGGTCAACAGATCAACCTGCAAAGGGATTGAAGCCGAGTTTTGAGTTATTTAATAACTGATACTAGATTAAATTATTTCTGAGTTGATCCTCTAGGTTTATGCCTTCTCTAGAAGAAAGTAAATCTCCTAAGGCTGAATTTTTGAATATATTTTTATTTAGACAATTCAGTGCTCAATAGAAAATTAACAGGATTTTATGGAGTAAAATCACATGATATAAAATCAAGAGAAAAAATGAACAACAAAAATGGATGCAGAGGTGACAAATATAATAAAGCTGTCAGACATAGATAAAACAAATAAACAACTCTGTTAAATATGTTTAAGAATGTAAATATAGGATTGATAATTTTGACAGGGACTTGAAAACTATAAAAAGAAACCAAATCAAAATTGTAGACATGAAAATATATAGTAACTATAAATAACTTAATGTGTTATGTGTTAAAGAGTTAAAGAGCAGATTAGACGAAGCCAGAAGTAGAATTAGTTAACTAGAGGATAACCCCCAAAGTTATATTATATTTTATTATATCCAAAATAAAGCATGTAAAGACAAAAGAATGAAAAATCCAGAAAAATGTGTAGCATACATAGAGAAGCTAGCAAAAAAGTCTTAAATGCACATATAATTGGAGACCCAGAAGGAAAGAAGAGGGAGGGGAAGGGCCAAAAAACAATAAGAATTTTCTTAAAATGACAAAATAAATTACAGATTGAGGAAATGTCTAAATCTCATGCAAGATTAATATAAAGCAAACCACACCTAGGACCATGATAACATGACTGCTAAAAACTAAGGGCAAAAATTAAAATCTTAAAAACATTTTCTTAATCCAGTCTATCATTGTTGGACATTTGGGTTGGTTCCAAGTCTTTGCTATTGTGAATAATGCCGCAGTAAACATACGTGTGCATGTGTCTTTATAGCAGCATGAATTATAGTCCTTTGGGTATATACCCAGTAATGGGATGGCTGGGTCAAATGGTACTTCTAGTTCTAGATCCCTGAGGAATCGCCACACTGACTTCCACAATGGTTGAACTAGTTTACCGTCCCACCAACAGTGTAAAAGTGTTCCTATTTCTCCACATCCTCTCCAGCACCTGTTGTTTCCTGACGTTTTAATGATTGCCATTCTAACTGGTGTGAGATGGTATCTCATTGTGGTTTTGATTTGCATTTCTCTGATGGCCAGTGATGATGAGCAGCCATAAAAAATGATGAGTTCATGTCCTTTGTAGGGACATGGATGAAATTGGAAATCATCATTCTCAGTAAACTATCGCAAGAACAAAAAACCAAACACCGCATATTCTCACTCATAGGTGGGAATTGAACAATGAGATCACATGGACACAGGAAGGGGAATATCACACTCTGGGGACTGTGGTGGGGTGGGGGAGGGGGGAGGGATAGCATTGGGAGATATACCTAATGCTAGATGACGAGTTAGTGGGTGCAGCGCACCAGCATGGCACATGTATACATATGTAACTAACCTGCACAATGTGCACATGTACCCTAAAACTTAAAGTATAATAAAAAAAAAAGAAGAATGAATATGGTTACAGAAGTGAAAGAATCTGTTTTATCAGATACAAGGTTTATTATAGAGCTGTAGTAATCAAAACAGTGCAGTGCTGGAAGTCTTGGTAAAAAAAAAAAAAAAAAGTGAAGTGAGGGAAGACATATTAGCTTCAGATAACCAGCAATAATACAGCCTATTTATCAGAGAAACAAAGAAAGCAGAATATGAAGGAATAATATCTTCAAAGTACTGAAAGAAAAGGATAGCCAATCTAAAATACCATACTTAGCACTGGGTGTGGTGGCTCACGCCTGTAATCCTAGCACTTTGGGAGGCCAAGGAGGGCAGATCACCTGAGGTCAGGGGTTCAAGACCAGCCTGGACAAATAGTAAAACCCCATCTCTACTAAAAATACAAAAATTATATGGGCATGGTGGTGTATGCCTGTAATCCCAGCTATTCAGGAGGCTGAGGCAGGAGAATTGCTTGAACCCAGGAGGCAGAGGTTGCAGTGAGCTGAGATGGCACCGCTGCACTCCAGCCTGGGTAACAGAGTGAGACTCTATCTCAAAAAAAAGAAGAAACAAAAACAAAATAACAAACACAAAAACATACTTAGGAAAAACGTCCCTCCAAGAATTAATGTAAATTTAAGATCTTTTCAAAGAAGCAAAAATGAAGGAAATGTATCACCAGCAGAATTTGCACCAATACAAACGCTAAGAACAGTTCTTCAGTGCAGAAAGAAGATATGTTATATGGAAGCTCTGAAATGCAAGAATGAATAATAACATCAAAAAGAATAAATGTACAGGTAAATGTAACATAATCTATAAAAATTATTTGATAGAGTTATCAAATAATGAGAACACACAGCTTTAGGAATGTGGACAAAATTTTTTAGTCAGCCACATGTGAAAGAAAACTTCTGCAGCCAATAAACATGTAAAAGTGTTAATCCTCATCAGTAATCAAGTAATGGAAATTGAAACCAAAATGACATGTCACTAAACACTCATTAGAATATTAAAATTAAAAGGGAGACAGTAGCTAATTGTTGGTGAGATTGTGGAACAACAGGATCTCTCATACACAGATTTGGAAGTTAAAGTGTAGAATCATTTTGGAAAACAGTATTGACAGAGCAGAAGCACCGTCATCTTGGACAAACACTGCCACTTTAAGTTCCAGCTCCCTTTGTAGTTTCATGCATTTTAAGAAAATCCTTTCTCCTCTAACTACAAGCAGCCAGAAAGAGCAGACAGTAAAACACAGATAAGACAGCTCGGGCACAGAGGGAGGTTGGGGTAAGTCTCCTGGGTAACTGCCAAACTTCACCCTCATACAATACGCCCCAGTAAAACAGTGGGCCTTAATAAGCACATTCCTTTTTCTTTAGGTGCGCTAAGATAGGGAAGCTAAAAGCAGATTTAGGGGTATGCCTGTAACTGCAGAAAAATGTATGGGAACAAACACACAACTCTCCCTCCCAGATAAGCACAACAGAAAGACACAGAAGCAGTCCAAGCCTCTGATAAACTCTCCCACCCTGTATCCTTAAAAACTCTTAGTCTATAAGAGAGTGGGCCTCTTATCTAACTCGGCCAGAAGCTCCTCTCAAGTTTGTTTTCTCTAAAATAAACCTGTCTTGACTAGTGAGCCACCTTTCATGTTTCTTTCCTCTTTCTTTAATTCTTACAAGTATAACATTATCAAAACTGAAGAGTGTCATGCTTTACGACCCAGCAATTCCATTTCTTTACAAATACCTAATAGAAATGTGAGCACGTGCACAACAGGAGACACATTCAAGAAGGTTCTTAGAAGCAATATTTGTAATACCCTAAACTGAAACAACCCAAATGCCCATCAACAATGACATGATGTGGTCACCATGGCTCATGCCTGTAATCCCAGAGCTTTGGGAGGCTGAGGTAGGAGGATTGCTTGAGGCCAGAAGTTTGAGACCAGCTTTGGCAGCATAGAGAGACCCTATCTCTAAGGAAAGGAAAGAAGAGCAGAGGAGAGGGGAGGAAAAGAGAGGAGAGGAGAGGAGAGGAGAGGAGAGGAGAGGAGAGGAGAAGAGAGGAGAAGAGAGGAGAGGAGAAGAGAAAAAGCCAGGTGTGGTGGTGCTCACCTGTAGTCCTAGTTACTAAGAAGGCTGAGGCCGGAGGATGACTTGAGCCCAGGAGTTGGAGGTTACAGTGAGCTATGATTGCACCACTGCATTCCAACCTAGGTGACAGAGCAAGACCTGAGACCCTGTCTCTAAAAACAAGCAAACAAGCAAACAAACAAACAAAAAAAGATATGATAACAAACCATGACCTAGTTGCACAAGAGAACAGTGTAGATCAGGGATCAGGAAATTACAGCCTGTGGGTCAGATCTGGCCTACTATTTTTGTATACACATTTTATTGAAATACAGCCATGCTTATTTTACATATTGCCTATGGCTAATGGCCCTCAGGTCTGCAAATCCAAAAATGTTTACTGTCTTCTTTACGGGAAAAGTTTTCCAAAATAAACAAACTATGGCTACATTTGTTAACAAGTATGAATGTTACAAATAAACACTTGAGCAAAAGAAGCCAGACCAAAAAAATTACATAAATATTATGCTTTAAACCGTATTTCTGGTCTCCTTTCCCTACTTCTCCCAGAGTTTTTACCATGTTAAAATGTAACCCTGTTCTTCCAGTTTCCCCCTACAAACATCTATGTTTCCACATCCAATTCATCAGAAATCTCATTGTGAACAACATTAAATATCCAGCCCCATGGCTCTACCATTCTGATTGAAGTCATCATCATCTCTCATGAGGATGATGATGTAACAACCTTCTCACTGATGTGTCTCTTTCTGCCCTTGGCCCTGTGCACAGCAGGCAGAGTAATTCTATTAAAAATCAAATTTGCTTATGGTATTCCTCTACTCAAAACTCTTCACTGCCTTTCACTCTTATTCAGTACAAAAGCCAAAAGTTTCACTCTTACTAATGTGGCCTTTCTTTATCTGGCTTTTGATTCCTTGCTGGCCTCATTTCCTACTACTCTCTCTCTGGCCAGGGTCTTCCTGGAACACACAAGTATTCTCCTGTCTCAGGACAACTGCACTTGCTGTTTATTCTGTCTGGGAGACTCTTTGAGGTATCCGGTTGGCTCACTCTCTCAGCTACCTGATGTTTTTACTCAAATATTTCCTTCTTAGTAAGATCTTCTTTTCTCACCCCATTTAAAAGTTCAGTTTCCCTCTTCTGACCCTCACTTTCACTTTATTTATCTCCAAAGTATTTGGCACTTTCTAAAATATTCTCCATAGCTCTATTTTCTTTTGTAGGCTCCACAAAGACAGATATTTTTGTTTGTTTGTCTCTCTTGTTCTCTGTTGTATCCCCAACACTTAGAACAATCAATGGCATAGGGTAACACTCAATATTTATTAAATAAATAGGGAATTAACTGAGAAGTTATTCTGGAATGCTAAAGAAAAAACAAGTGAGAAAACCACAACAGAAATGAATATGAAGGACAAGGAGGGGAGGTCTGCTCTAAAGGTGCAAAAGTTCACGAAGGAAAAAAAAAAACAAAGCAACTGCAACATGGACAAAAGAGACATAATTTTAAAAGACCCTCATAGGAAATTAGATTAGAAGGTAATGACAAAAGTGCTCTTGCTTCTTTGATGAAATCAGTGAAAAAAAGACAGGTGCCAGCAGTATTGATGTACCAGGATAAAGGAAATTTTGACAAGCACTCTCAGCTAAGAAAAAAGGAGAGAAACAAACAAAACAGGTTGCTAACAAAAAGCACAAATCAGTCTGACTCAGACTTCTTCACTATCAAAAGCCAGAATGAAGAGGAGTGACAGCTCATGAGTTTGAAGAGAAGAAGGTTGTGACCCAAAATCTTTACACATGTCCCAGCTATTTCTCATGCATGTGACAACAGAAATATATTCACAGCTCTCCAACAGCTTAGAGACAGGCTACCCATGGATCCTTACTGGAAAAAAAAATTACATGAAGAGATGACTATAAAATAAATTCAAATTTAAAAATATCATGACTAGACACATAACAACATAAACATACCAATATCCTTTGTCTTTATCATCAGGGTAACAATGCCAAAGAATGAAAACAGTCGAGCAGAAAGAGCAAAAGATAGAACATCTGGGTGCGAATCCCAGCTCATTCACTAATTAATGTTGTGACTTTGGACAAACCACTCAAGCTCTTTGAGTCTTAATTTTCTTATTTATTAAGTTAAGAAAGCAATACTTAACTCTCACAAGTTGATTGAACAGAGAAAACTAGATAACGCATGTATGAGGGATTTGTAAATTACTCTAAAAATGTCAGTACTTATTATTATTCCCTAATGGCTTATGCATTTTTCAATTAAATCCTCACAGTGGCTTCCACTTTTCAAGGGATGGGCATATCCACGAACAGGAGAATTGTGGAGCAGTGAAGATAGCTCAGTGTATGCAGAAAACATAAATCTTTTTATTGTGGGTCTCAATTACCACATATCTCTGCAACACAATGACTAGCATCACTTATTTCTATAGAATGCTTAAGAATTGGATCTGGCCGGGCGCAGAGGCTCACGCCTGTAATCCCAGCACTTTGGGAGGCCGAGGCGGGTGGATCACGGGGTCAGGAGATCGAGACCATGGTGAAACCCCGTCTGTACTAAAAATACAAAAAATTAGCCGGGAGCGGTGGCAGGCGCCTGTAGTCCCAGCTACTCAGGAGGCTGAGGCAGGAGAATGGCGTGAACCCGGGAGGCGGAGCTTGCAGTGAGCCAAGATCGGGCCACTTCACTCCAGCCTGGGCGACAGAGCGAGACTCTGTCTCAAAAAAAAAAAAAAAAAAAAAAAAATAATAATAATAATAATAATTGGATCTTACCCTTAAGCCTTTGTGAACTCCTGTATTAACAAGTCAGGTTACTCTTTACTGGAATCTATACCTCCTACCTGGAGCATGCTTATTTATTATTCAGGTTATATGTACTTGCTCTCATCCCGGCTAGGCTGCCTTGATCTTGTGTTCCAGTCTTTCCAGCCTTTGCTCACATCCCTTCTCTGCATGGTCTTTCCTCTTATCTCCAGACACCCATCATTTTTGGTCAGCCTCTTTAAAACCTTTAGCGTAAACTACACAAGCACACTATTTGCAGCTTAATCATATTCTTTACTATCTTGCATTAGAATTTAGTATTGTGTTGGTTACATTTTTCATTAACATTTATACCGGAATTGCAACTAAACTATCACTGATGTCCACAAAAATATGTACACTGATCAGAACAATGTTCATGACATAACATTGAGAAGAAAAAGGAAGTAAAATTATTTGTACCATGTGATCTACACAAAGTAAAAATGCTAGCAAAAGATTAGAAAGAACTGTACTTCAGGTTGACAGCAGTTATGTCTGGGACGTAGGATTAGGACACTGTTTCAGAGAATTGGTTTTATGGTGCTATAGTTCTTGAGCTATTCCAAGTGATCAAATGTTTTAAGAAATTCTACAAGTGAAATCCTCCTCTTTTTTTTTTTTATTATACTTTAAGTTTTAGGGTACATGTGCACATTGTGCAGGTTAGTTACATATGTATACATGTGCCATGCTGGTGCGCTGCACCCACTAACTCGTCATCTAGCCTTAGGTATATCTCCCAATGCTATCCCTCCCCCCTCCCCCCACCCCACCACAGTCCCCAGAGTGTGATATTCCCCTTCATGTGTCCATGTGATCTCATTGTTCAATTCCCACCTATGAGTGAGAATATGCGGTGTTTGGTTTTTTGTTCTTGCGATACCATTTGACCCAGCCATCCCATTACTGGGTATATACCCAAATGACTATAAATCATGCTGCTATAAAGACACATGCACACGTATGTTTATTGCGGCATTATTCACAATAGCAAAGACTTGGAACCAACCCAAATGTCCAACAATGATAGACTGGATTAAGAAAATGTGGCACATATACACCATGGAATACTATGCAGCCATAAAAAATGATGAGTTCATGTCCTTTGTAGGGACATGGATGAAATTGGAAATCCTCCTCTTAAAAATTCATATCACAAGTAAAATTATTAAGTAATGTAGCATCATTCAGCTAAGATAATTGTTTAAATGTATCCTCAAATACAATTCTCTGGAACACATTTTGGAAACTAAACATTCCAAAATTTCCCTAGTGGACATAAACTATTTGAAAAAATATTTTTGTTTAAAGTTTTTTATATTAACAAAGTAACATATCCTCTTTTGAAGCAGTAGAACAATGCAAAGTTGTATTTAAAAATTAATCTTCTCTTCCCTTTCCATTTTATTTCCATTCCTAAGGTAAGAAATATTAGCAAGTTGATGTGCATTAATTCATTTCTTTCCCCACAAAACAAGTATAAATGTACTGATGCACAAATGCTTAGGACTTGAGTTATTTATTTTACAAATAAATTATTTACAAAAGCAAGATTATATTTACACGTTTTGCAAGTTTTTATTCTCATCTAACAAAATTAAATAACTATGCCTCAAAGTCTAACTCAGCCTTTTGATTAGCTGGATAATTTTGCAGAGTAATATGCCACCATTGATTTACTTATTTTTCTACTGATGGATATTTCATTTGCTTCTATTTTGTTTTTAACACAATTAATAATGCATCTTTGCACAACCACATTTACTTAGAAGCAATTTTATTTTTATGGGATCAATTCCAATACATAAAATTCCTGAGTTCAAGGACGTATATTTATTTTGACTTCAGTAGATAATGTCACTAAAATCATTACTTTTTATTTTAGTAGATATCGTCATGAAAATCATTACTTTTCAATATTGTGACAGTCACATTCTCTCTTGGTAAATATGCCCATTTCTCTACATCTTTGCTAGCACGTGATGCTATTATCATTTTTATTTTAGTAGTGTAATGTAGAAAAATTAAAAGCTTGTATTTTCTTAATAATATTGCCACATACATATATCCATAAATTAATAATTCTTTGTTTTTCTTGGTTTTGAACTTGAAAAAACTGTATCCCGTTATAGGTGTTCTTTCACAACTTGATTTTTTTCCACATTGTTTTTAAAATCCATGTTGAAAATCATAGCTATGATTCTCATTTTCACAGCTGAACAGTATTTCACTGTGTGGATATATTTAATTAATTTATCCATCTCCTTTCAATGGACATTTATGCTGCTTCTATTCTTCCTTCTCTTTATTTCTACTAGCATCAAGACTACCATAAAGATTCCTCAGAATATCAATTGATATACATGCTCCATGTCTATACAGCTCCATAATTAGGAGTAAGGTTACTAGTTCATAGGATATACACAATTTCAACTTCATAATTTTATTTAGCAAATTCTTTTCTATTGAATTTTTTGATCCATTTATATATTAGAGGCTTTTATTTTGTCTTCTTTTGTTTTTTTGAGATGGAGTCTTGCTCTGTCTCCCAGGCTGGAGTGCAGTGGCACGATCTCGGCTCACTGCAACCTCTACCTCCTGGGTTCAAGCGATTCTTCTGCCTCAGCCTCCCGAGTAGCTGGGACTACAGGCTCACGCCACCACACCCAGCTAATTTTTTTGTATTTTTAGTAGAGACAGGGTTTCACCATATTGGCCAGGCTGGTCTCAAACTCCTGACCTCGTGATCCGCCCACCTCGGCCTCCCAAAGTGCTGGGATTACAGGTATGAGCCACCGTGCCTGGCCTATATTAGAGTTTTATACAAGTTTTTATTTCCCCAAATTCTTTCCTATACTTGGTGCCATCAGGTTTTAAACATTTCTGAAAAATGTGTTGGTTTCTAATGGTCTATCACTACAGTATCTCATTTTAAATTTTCATTTCCCAGATTTTTAACAGGGTGAGACTGGAAAGAACATCCTTTTATGTTTCTTAGCCTTTCATGTGCCCTCTTCTTGCAATTGTCTATTTAAGGCTTCTGTGAATTTATCAATAAGATATTTGCCATCTTTTACCTACTAATATTCTAGAGAATTATTTGTCTTTTACACCTGTGGAAGATACTGGTTAACAGTTGGGGGTTGTCTTCACTTTGTTTAATAAATTTTGATAGAGTTACTCACTGTTCCAGTTTGTTTGAGACTGAGGGGTTTCTTGGGACACAGGACTATAAACTGCTAAAACGTGAAAAGCCCCAGGCAAACCAGGGCAAGGCGTTCACTTCGTTTTCAATGACTACACATTTTTAATTTTGACAAAATTGAATGTACTAATCTTTGCATTTACGGCTAGTGCTTTTTGTGTTCCAAAAATAATGCTTCATTTCCTGGATCAGAAAAGAACATATTCTTGTAACTTACTGTCAAAGTTTATCTTTCATATTTAAGTCTACAAACATCTAAAATAGAATTTTGTGTATATTGTGATACAAGAATGCAATTTAACACATTTTAAAAGTTTATTTTATTAAGGTATTGTCTACATAAAGTCCATCCATCTTAAGTGAACAGTTTTGTCAATTTGGGGAATTATATACAGCACTGTAACCTCCACCATAACCATGATACAGAACAATTCTCTCACCTTAAAGAAGTTTCATTGTGAGACTTCACTCCCAGCCCTGTGGCAAACGCTGATCTGATTTTCATCCCTTTAGTTTTGCCTTTTTAAAGATTTAATTCTAATGGAAGATAGAGTATGTAGTCTTAGATTTGACTTTTTTCACTTAGCACTGTTTTGAGATTGATCATGGATTTCATTTCTTTTTATTGCTAAGTGGTATTTCATAATATGATATGTCAAATTTGTTTATCTTTACCATTTGATTAGTTGGCACCATTTGAATTTGCTATATTCAGTCTGCATCTATTATGAATAATGCTGCTATGAATATTCACATAAAAGAGTTTGTGTGTGCATACATTTCCATTTCTCTTAGGTAAATACCTAGGATGTATGGTAAGTGCAGGGCTGACCTTTTAACATACTGCTGTACTGTTTACAAAATGGCTGTGCCACCTTTTTTCATACCAGCAATGTCTATACACTCTTTTTGGTTCGTCCAAGAAATATTTTCTTAAGCTAGTGTTAAAATGATTTCTTCCATGTTTTCCTCTCTAAGTGTTAATAGCTTTAGCTTATACGTTTAGGTCCCTGATTCATTTCAAATTTATGTGTATGGTGTGAAGGAATTGTATGATTTTTCTTTTTATTTTTGTACATATACACAGCAGTTTCATCACTGTTTTTGGAAATGCACACTTTCCACTCTTTAAATAACTTGGCACTTAACGTGGAAAATCAATTTTCCATTTAAGTGCAGGTCTATTTCTGAACTTTCCATTGATTTATGGATCTATCTTTACTTCAGTATCTCTCTGTCCTGACTAATGTAGCTTTATATTGCCTTGAAATCAGGTTGTATGAGTTTTAATTTTTTTTCCAAAATTATTTTGGTAAGTGCTGTGGTCTGAATGTTTGTATCCTCCTAAAATTCCTATGTTGAAAGCCTAATCACTAATATGATAGTATTGAGAGGTGGAGCCTTGGGGAGGTGATCTCATTTTGCAGGGGAACCCTCATGAATGGAATTGACATCCTTATAAAAGAGACCCCACAGAGCTGATCATCCCATCCACCATGGGAGGACACAGAGAGAAGGCGCCATTTCTATGAACCAGAAGGCAGCCCTCACCAGACACTGAATTTGCTGATTATCTCCAGAAATGTGAGAAATAAATTTGTTGTTTACAAGCTGCCAGGTTGACAGCATTTTGTTGTGGCAGCCCAAACAGACTAAGACAGCTAGTTTAGATCTCTTCCTTTTCACGTAAATTTTTAAATAAGCTTACCAATGAAAAAAAAAATCTTGTTAGAATTTTGATTGGAATTACCTTGAATCTCTAAATCAATATGTAAAGGACTGCCATCTAGGCAGTGTTGACTATTCCAGTAGTTATCTCTGCATTTGTTTAGGTGCTTATTACTTTTTATTTGCAATGTTTTGAAGCTTTTGTTGTATAAGTATTAGGCATTATTATTAAATTTTCCACTAAGGATTTTTAATACTATTATAAATGAAGTTTAAAATATTTATTTTCTAATCACACATTAGTTGAATATAGAGATGTAATTGTTTTTGTATATTGGTATTGAATTCTGCAATCTTGCTAAAATCATTTATTATTCTAGTATATGTAGATTTTTAAGGCTTTTTTGCATACATGGTTATATAGCTGGAAAATGAGGACTGTTTTGCTTCTATTCTTCCAATCCATGTGGGTTTTATTTCTTTGTGTTGGTGGTGGCATTGGACTTCCAATATAATTTTAAATAGAAGTGGTGAGAGTGGATTGTCTTGCCTTGTTTGTGATCAAACATTGGGCTTAAAGTATGATGTTAAATATTATGATAGTTCTAGGTTTTAAACAGATGTTCTTAAATTGAGTAAGTTGCCTTCTATTTTTAGTTTGCTGAGTGTTTCTGTCATAAAATGGTGTTGAATATTTTTAAATGCTTTTTCCACACCATTGATATAATGATGTGGTTGTTTCCCTTTATTCTATTATTATGATGAAGTACATTGATTTGTTTTCAGATTTTTAATGAATTTTGAATTTCTTGTCAAAAAACTCTTGATCATAGTATCTCTTTTTCTATGTGGTTGGATTTGATTTATTACCTTTTTAAAAGGATTTTTATATTATGTTCTTGAAGAATATCGGTCTACAGTTCTCTTTTAATGGCCTTTGATTTTGAAATCAGAATAATATGGGTCTCACAAAATGAGCTGGGAAATGTTTCCTTCTTCATTGTCTGAAAGAGTTTGTCTGAGATTGGTGTTATCCTCTGAATGTTTGACAGAATTGATCAGTGAAGCCATTTAGTCCTAGAGTTTTTTATGTAGAAGATTTTCAATTTCAGACTCACTTCATTCAGGTTTCTTCATATTTTGATTTCTTTGTCATTTATTCTTAGTAAAGATTTTTTGGTGGCAACTCAGTTTATGTTTTTCTCAATGTCTTTATTTTATCCTCATCCTTCAAATAGAGTTTACATGGGTAAACAATTTTAAGATATGGTCTTCTCTTCTGATTTCTATTGTTTTTATTGAAAATACGCTCATAGTCAAATTTCTATTTCTCTTCCTTTATCATTTGTAAGCTTTTCAAATCTGAGTTTTTATCTCTGTAGCTAAGTATAAAAAATTTACGATTGGATTCTTATTCTGCATCTTTGGCAGGAATATCACAGGAGTAATGCCCTGTTCCTTCTTTTCTTGACTTCTGTTAAGTAATGCCCAATTTCTATTTGTTATTTTACTCTTGATTTGCATTTTGCTTATTTCATTAACATGGTATTATCTTCCTCTCCAGAATAAAGTTTCCTTTATAATTAATATGTATTTTGTGGGGAGTAATTTAGAACTACATAATTATCGCATTCCTCACCAAACTTTCCATATTTTCACTTGCTTATTAATATCTATGTGGATTCATAGCTTCCTATTTTATTCAATGTATGACAATGCGCTACTACCAGTATTTATTTTAATGCTCCAGTTGTCTTTAATTTAGCCAGTGGGCATCCCTTCAAGTTGGCTTCTGTGTCTTTTTGGTACATCCCATCCTTCTTTCTGTCTTTCCTTGCTTTCTGGCATCAAAAGATGTTTCAGGCCCATCGTATTTTTTCATGCTGCAGCTCTAAATCAGCTATTTCTCCAATGAACCCTCATTTTTTTTTTTAATTTTTATTTTTAAGTTCTGGGGTACATGTGCAGGATGTGCAGGTATGTTATGTAGGGATACGTGTACCATGGTGATTTGCTGCGACTATCAACCCATCACCTAGGTATTAAGCCCAGCATGCGTTAGCTATTTTTCCTAATGCTCTCCCTCCCCTGCCCCTGCCCTGCCAGGTCCCAGTGTGTGCTGTTCCCCTCCCTGTGTCCATGTGTTCTCATTCTCTACAGTGGAGAATGTTATTTAGAAGTCCTGCTCTGGGCCCTTTCACGTGTGCTCATTACTACTGGAGTGTCATTAGACCCAGGATTTCCCAGTAGACAGAACAAGGGAATAATATGTGTGTATCCACAGGCTCACATATATGTATAAATACATATACACATTTAAATCTATATTTACTTTTCTATCTATACATACTAAAAATTGTAAATATTCTGTAGGCAGAATAATGGCTCTCCAAAGATGCCCATATTCTAATTCCTAAAACCTGTAAACATGTTAGTTACCTTATGTGGCAAAAGAGACTTCAGGTAGTAGCTGGAATTAAGCTTGCTAATCAGCTGCTCTTAATAATAGGAAGTTTTGCTGGGCGCGGTGGCTCATGCCTGTAATCCCAGCACTTTGGGAGGCCGAGGCAGGTGGATCATGAGGTCAGGAGATCGAGACCATCCTGGCTAACACGGTGAAACCCCATCTCTACTAAAAAATACAAAAAAATTAGCTGGGCGTGGTGGCAGGCATCTGTAATCCCAGCTACTGAGGAGGCTGAGGCAGGAGAATGGTGTGAACCCAGGAGGTGGAGCTTGCAGTGAGCCGAGATTGCACCACTGCACTCCAGCCTGGGCGACAGAGCAAGACTCTATCTCAAAAAAAAACAAAAAACAAAAAAAAAAGAAGTTTTTTTCCAGAATTATACAGGTACATCCAATGGAATCACAAGGGACCTTAAAAGTGAAAAAGGAAGGTAGTGATGCAATGTGAGCATGCCTCACCTGTCATTGCTGGCTTTGAAGATGGAGGAAGAGGGCACAATCTAAGGCACCCAGGCAGCCTCTAGAAGCTGAAAAAGGCATGGGAAAAAAATGACATCTTGCGTTTCATAAAGAAATGCACCCCTGCCAACACCTTGATTTTAGCCCAGTAAGACCTATGTTAGATTTCTAACTTTCAGAACTGTAAAATAATAAATTTGTATTGTAAATCATAAAGTGTGTGATAATTTGTTAAGGCAGCAATAGAAAAATAACACAACATTGATGTTTTAATTCCAATTCCATAGCCCATAGTCTATTCCAATTTTCTCCTGTTTTGTATTTATAACTACTCTTTCCAACAGTAAGAATTCTGTTTCTTATTGTTTTTAATAAACTTATTTCATCAATCTCTGGGTATGTAAACAATCTCCCATCCCCACCTCCACCTACCTGTAAGCGTAGATTTCCTCTACGCTCAAGTTCCAACATTGAGTCACCTTCATGCAAAGATGGCTGAATCCTGCTCAGTCTCTGACACCACATGCTGGACTGCCCCTTAATGGGCATATCTTCCTCACTCTGCTTGGGTTTTCCTTACCAATATCGAGTTCCCTTTCCCCCTGCATGAATGCCTTCTCACCCTGCTTAGTTCTAACATTCTGTGCAACTATTTCTCACTCCCTCAATCTACTGTCTACCTTGGTTTGTCCCAACTGATGGCTTTTCAGCTACATTATTCAGAAAAGGTAAGTTAAAGAAAAGGAAAGCAGGAGAGAGAGAAAAAGGAAAGCATAAGGGAGAGAAAGAGAGGCTCTTTTTTATATTTTCTGGACAGCAGATGTTTCACTTATTTTATATTTTCTTCACTCTGTGTTGCATTTTCTGTAATTTCCTTGACTTTATGTTCCAGTTTTCTAACACTTTCTTTAACCATGTCTCTCATTTTTTAAATTGGTTTTTGTTTTGTTTTCTTTTAGTTTGCATTTCCCCAATAACCAGTGGAGTTAAGGATAGTTTATTATTTTTTAACACTTACTGGAATTTTCTCTTCTTAATTGCTTAGTCAATATTTACTGCTCAAATTTCTATTGAGTATAAAACATTCTAACAATGGTTATCTCTGAATGATTGCACTATGGTTGGTTTTATTCTCTTATTTATAACAATCTGTGTTTTCTAAACATTATTTTATACTTGCATTCACCATCAGAAAATTACTAAATTTCAAAATAAAATAATTAAAAGTAGTTCTGTGACTTATTTCATACTTTCTTTTATGACAAAAACAGAATGACAAATGTTGAAAAATGAGAAAGGATGGGATTTATTCTCTATCTCCTAAATAACTGCATCACCCCTATAAGCTTCCATTTTCCTTCTTCAAAGCCAGTAATATAATTTTATTACTGAGTTTTGAATAATAATTAAAGCCTTTAAAATGTTCTATATCCAGAGATGGATGATGTTTGATTTTCATGAGGTCTTCTGGGAATGTTACTGCCAGATTGCCAATGAAATGTCGGCCTTTTCATGAAAGGTATCACATTACTTAATGGATTCAACCTCTTGTCCCTGGCATTCAATAGATTAATTTTGTTTTTATTGGTTTCTGACCAACACCATCCTCAATACTTGAAGTTACACACTGCCCATAAAGGATTAATTTTACACAAGAATATCACCAAGATTAAAAAATGGGGTGGGTGGGGAAACAAAAAGGAAGTAAGATATAGAGCTCCAGCTGAAGTGATCAATAGTAATCTACATTTCACTTGTTTTTCTTCTCACTTCTCTCACTGTCCTGTCATCTCTGCATATCTCTTTTTGCAAATTATAGCATTGTTTTGGTTTACAGGCAACTCAAATTTTGAAGGTGATTTTAGCTAAAAAAAAAAAAAAAAAAAAAAAAAGAAAAGAGAAGCCACATGGGGACCATGTACTATGCACTATGCTGTTGAGAAGTCAAGGACAGATTCTAGAAAACAAGAGGTAGAATGGGGAAAGGGAGGAGCTGGGGGTCGGCATTAGGCACACCTGAATCCCAGCTCCACTGCATCCTGCCTCCATTACCTTGGGGCACTTATTTAATCTTTGACCAGAGTTTCCTCATCTATAAAGTGGTGACTAAAATTAACTGATTAATTCTTCATTAATTCAGTAAGTATTGCTTGAGTGCCTACTATGTGTCAGTAACATGAGCTATTCAAAATATTGAATCAGAAGAAAATGGCACATTCCAGGAAGTCAATAAACGCTAATTTCCTCCCTTTATATAAGAAACTATGTACAGAGGACATTGAATTATAATTTTCAGTTCCCTGATGATAACTTTAAACTGAAGTTATTCCATTATTGATCCATTAAGTTGAGTCTTTATGGTGAAAAGCAATATCTTATTACGTGGAAATTGACTTGTAAGTTTAGTAAGTAATAACATTCACAGCCTCGAAAATCCCGGGAGAGAAACGATGCAGAATGTAATTGAGATGTTCTCTGTCAATTTATTTGGTGGCCATTGAGAGGCAGGCATGAAGTTTTTTTTTTTATTTTTATTTTTTTATTATACTTTAAGATTTAGGGTACCTGTGCACATTGTGCAGGTTAGTTACATATGTATACATGTGCCATGCTGGTGCGCTGCACCCACTAACTCATCTAGCATTAGGTATATCTCCCAATGCTATCCCTCCCCCCTCCCCCCACCCCACCACAGTCCCCAGAGTGTGATATTCCCCTTCCTGTGTCCATGTGAACTCATTGTTCAATTCCCACCTATGAGTGAGAATATGCGGTGTTTGGTTTTAAATAAAGTGTTTTGCACAATACCTTGCATATACCAGACACACCAATATTTGAAATTATTATCATCATCTTACTCACTTAAATAGGATACTTTCATCTGAAATCCAGAAATGATAAAAGAATCCTGTAATCAGTGTTTCTTCACTATCAGTCTATTACATAATGTGATAAACAATAAAAATCACTCACTCTCATGCACCACACACACACACACACACACACACACACACACACACGTTCATCTCAAAATTATGATATATTTTCTTTGGTATTGCGAGGCAGTAGTACCTGAGAATAAGCCTCATTTATAATCACTGTATTTGCCATCTGCTTCCACCAATTAAGATAACAGTTTGTGATTTAAAAGTGGTGACTTTTTCCCAAATATAAAATTGTATCTGAATATTAATCCAATTTTTTTCTGAACAGGTAGCCTGAAGAATCCCTGAAATGGCTAATTTCCAGATATTGGGAATCTGGAATTCGAAGCCCAAAGAGGACACAGGACCTGCCCAAGTATACACAGCTTGTTGTTGACAGAACCAGAACAACACACAGTTCTCTTTTCTTCCAGAAAAGTGGGGCTGGTTCCATTTCTCACTCCTGTCTTCCTTTGGATGGAGGAAAATGATAATGAAACCTAACATAATGCCTATTTCAACTTCAGAAATTTTCCTCAAATAATTGAATCAGTAGGTTTGAGGCTTCTTGGGAATCATTATGTTAGACCTGAAACAGAAATAGCCAATCCCTTGGTTGAAACGTGTTACATTTAAATTGATACTGCTTTTCCCCAAAGTGCAATTAGAAAAGACAAAGACCTACTTCTGTAAATGTTGTTAAGGGAAAATGGAGCAGGTGTCTCCTTTCTTTCATTTCTCTGGGTCAGTTGTACTCCTGAAGTCTCTCTCTGTTTAGATGTCTATTGTTGTTCTCGGTTGCCAGGGATGATTCTCCCAGTGGCTGCTGAGGATTGCTTTAGGTGAAAAGATAAATTCACAGGGCCAGGGAAAGGGGCAACCTCAAATGTGCCAGACACGTCCCATACACTGACTCCTTCAGGCTTCACAACCACACTGGAGGCCACGCATTATGTTTCCTGTATGTATTATTTCATCCATTTGTCTAATAGAATATTATTTAATGTCCATTAAGTTCCAGCACTGTGGAAGCAGTGATGAGACTGAATAAAAGAGACACTGTCCCTGTCTCTGTGGATCTTGCTTTCTGGCAGAAGAGCTGGACAGTAAATGAATAATTAAATACAATTTTCACTGTCAACCCCATTTTATAGATGAGGAGGCTGAGGCTCAGTTGGTTAAAGTACCTGGCAGGAGCCATTCACCAATTAACCAGGAGAATGTAAGGTCCACAGCTTGCCCATGTTCCACCACACTGACCCTTAGCATTATGTTTCTGGAGAGAATAAACAGATAGGAATCTCAAGGGGTCCCTTCCTTTCAGAACACAAAGAGGGTTGAGCCATCACCAACAAACACAGGCAAATGCAGAGCACCAACAGCCTGAGGTAAAAACCACCACAGGATACTCACGGTTTCACTTTTTTTTTTTTTTAACAGAACTCCTCAGTAGCCTTTTAATTTTATTTTATTTTTAATAGACTTTACTTTTTAGAGCAGTTTTAGGTTCATAGCAAATTTAGGCAGAAAGTACAAAGAACCATACATGATGGCTTCCTCCACCATCAACATTCTGGACCACAGTGGTACATTTGTTACAACTGATGAACCTACATTGACACATCATTATCACCCAAAGTCTATAGTTCACACAAGGGTTTACTGTTAGGTGAGTGAACCCTAATGTGAACTGAGTGAACCCTAATGTGAACCCCTTATATCTCTTAAACTAGGGTTGCATATTCTATGGTGATACAGTTTGGCTTTATGTCCCCACCCAAATCTCATCTTGAATTGTAATCTGCACATGTCAAGGAAGGGAGGTGATTGGATCATGGGGGTGATTTCCTCCATGCTGATCTCATGACAGTGAGTGAGTTCTCATGAGATCTGATGGTTGATAAGCATCTGGCATTTCCCCTGCATGCACTTCTCTCTCCTGCCGCCATGTGAAGAAGGTCCTTGCTTCCCCTTCTCCTTCCACCATAGTTATAAGTTTCCTGAGGCCTCCCCAGCCATGTTAAACTGTGGGTCAAATAAACCTCCTTTGTCTATAAATTACCCAGTATCAGGTAGTATCTTTATAGCAGTGTGATAATGGCCTAATACATATGGATTTGGGCAAATGTATAATCACATGTATGGACCATTATAATATGAAACAGAGTAGTTTCACTGCCCTAAAAATCCTCTTTACTCCACCTATTCATTTCTTCCTCCTCCTTGATGCTGGAAATCCACTGATCTTTTACTATGTCATAGTTTTGTCTTTTTCCAGAATATTGTAAAGTTGGAATCTACAATATGTAGCCTTTTCAGATTGGCTTCTTTCACTTGGTAATTTGCAAGTTTCTTCCATGTCTTTTGATGACTTCATAGCTCATTTCTTTATAGTGCTGAATAGTACTCCATTGTGTAGATGTGTAGTTCTGTACAATTTTAATTCTGTTTGCTCCAGCAATTATCTTTGCAATTAAGAGCACCAGCTCAACTAAGGGGAGTTTAAAAAGAAGACACACACAATAAAATCTAAAAAGATATGAAATAAAGAAAAAGGGAAGCAATCTGAAAAGGGATAGTGCTGGGAGCCCAAGACACACATTTTACACATTACATAAATTCTGAGAGCCTCAAATTTCTCACCTGTGAAATGCCTGTGGTAATAGTAACAGTCACTTCATACTGTTTCTATGGTGAGTAAATAAGCTGAAATATGAAGTCATCTAGGAGGATGTTAGGCACCAACAGGTGTGTATGAGTCAGAATTCTCCAAAGAAACAGAACCAATAGATATATATGGAAAGGAGATCTATTGGGGGTATTGGCTCACACAATCAGAGGTAAAGTCATAGAGATGATAGGCTGTCTGCAAGATGGAGAACCAGAGAGGCCAGTAGTGTGGCTCCCAGGAAAGCCTGTACCATGGCTCAGGGCAAGTCCAAAACCTCAGAACTGGGGAAGTTGACAGTGGAGTCCTAGTGTGAGGCTAAAGGCCTGAGAACCTCAGGAGACCATGGGTTCGAATCCCAGAATCAAGAAGCCAAAGACCCTGGAGTCTGATATCAAGGGCAGGAGAAGAAAAAGGCATCCCACTCTGGCAGAGAGAGAGAGAGAGAGAGAGAGAGAGAGAGCAAGAGAGAGATGAGTATCCCTCTTCTTCTGCCTGCTTTTTCTTAGAGGGGCCCCCAGCCAACTGGATACTGCCTGTTCACGTTGAGGGCAGGTCTTAGTTCACTGACTCCCATGTCAATCACCTCTGGAAACACCCTCACAGACACACCCAGAATAACACTTCACCAGCCATCTAGGCATCCCTTGATCCAGTCAAGTTGACATCTGATATTAACCATTACAAGGTGTTTCTTTCTTTGCTCTTGAACATAGAAAACAGTCAATAGTGCTTTCTACACTATGGTTAAGGTACGTTCCTGTAGCCTTTACTTTTATCCACATGATGTTTTGCTTGTGTTAAGAAAGATCTGCTATTCCCTAGACTAGACCCTTTGGGCATTTTTCAGACTAATGCTCTGGGGTGCATACGTTGTGCAGCAAACGTATGACATATTTTCTCAAATTTACATAAAGTTACTTTTGCTTCAGTGTACTTATTGCAAGCTTTTTTTTTTTTTGAGATGGAGTCTTACTCTGTCGCCCAGGCTGGAATGCAGTGGTCCAATCACGGCTCACTGAAAGCTCTGTCTGCCGGGTTCACGCCATTCTCCTGCCTCAGCCTCCTGAGTAGCTGGGACTATAGGTGCCTGCCACCACACCCGGCTAATTTTTTGTATTTTTAGTAGAAACGGGGTTTCATCGTGTTAGCCAGGATGGTCTCGATCTCCTGACCTCGTGATCTACCCGCCTCGGCCTCCCAAAGTGCTGGGATTACAGGCGTGAGCCACCGCGCCTGGCCGCAAGCTTTTATTCAGAAACTTTTACGCATTCATTTCCCCTGATAGGCTGAGTTTTTAGAAAGCTCATACTATATCTTATTCCTCTTCGTGTTCCTGGTAAACAGCCTGCTACATATTGGATGCTGATTAAATACTTGCTAAACAGAGAGTAAACTTAGATTATTAAAGTCCAATGCGGACTTAATATAAACATCCTAAAAATATCTTTTTTCACCCCATACTGTAATACTGGGTTTCTCAGCCTCACCACTGTTGACATTTTGGATGGGATAATTCTTTGTCATAAGGCCGTGAGCTGTTTAGCAACATCTCAGCCTTTATCCACTAGACACCAGTGGCAATCCCTCCCCTGTGCTGTGACAACCAAAAACGTCTCCAGACACTGCCCAATGTCCACTGGGAGGCAAAATCACCCCTGATTGAGAACTGCTATTGTAAGATAACTTGTTAATCATCTCACCCACCATACATTTCCAATTAAACTTTTATCCACTCCACAAAATATCCTGACTTCCTTTTCTTATTTAGTAGTATGGACTCCCTGGATTCCCAATGACTCAAGCTTAAAACCCTAAAGACTTCTGTGACTTCTTTTTGCCTTTGTTTTCTCGCATCAGATCAGTGGTTAAAAGTCTTGAAAGCTCTACACTCAGGCAGCTAGATAAAATAGTTAAATTTGAATTCCAGAGAAGCAATAAATAATATTTTTGTGTAAGTATGTTTCAAACGTTGCAGGGGAGAGGTAAACTAAAAAAAGTTTTTGTTGTTTATCTGATATTGAAATTTAACTGTGTGCCCCGTGTTTTTATTTGCTAAGTCTGACAGTCCTATTCTATGCCTAAATTGCCTCTCAAATTCGTTCAACTTTTTCTTTTCCTGAGGACAACATCTTAGCTCAAGCCTTAATTACCATTTGCCTGGATAGTTCTGATGGTCTCTTTATTCATCAGCAAGCTTTTGGCTTTAAGTGCTATGAAACCTTGATGCTCCTGGCTAAAATGATAAGAAAATTTATTTTCTCTAAAATAACACATCCATAGTGGTTCTAGGCACAACGGTAAGATTGCAGCTCAGCTTCTCTGCAATCTCTTGGTTCTTTATAACTCATGGGTCAGTCTCGCCCACTGACTGGTCCTCTCTTCTATGTGTTTCTTTTTTTATTTTATTATTATTATTAGCAAAAATCCCATATGTCTCCACAGGCCAAAACTCTAACACGTGTCCATGCTTAATCCATGCTTAAACCAATTCTTGGAAGGACCTCTGGAATTATTTTGGCTAAGCAGGATCCAGTTCCTGAGGCTTGGGCTAACCTCCTCTGCAGTACCTGGCTGTGTAGAAGAGTGAGGAAGCCAGAATGAAACTGAGGATTGATTTGAGAGGAATGGGGTAGGGAGATGGGATTTGGATATGTAACTGACACTGCATTACAGCCTCCTAATTGGATTCTCTACTTAATGTTTCTATTTTTTCAAAGCATATTTTACTTTGCTGCCATTTATCTAATGAACATTTGTTGAGTATCTACTTCATGCCAGATACTGATAGATAAATTTTCCTAAGACACAAATCTCTGCATACTCTCCCACTCTGAAAGCTTCAATGGCTCTCCCTGGCTTATCTAATTAAATATCCACTTGTCACCTTGTCATTCAAGGTTTGAATCTTGTGTTCTTCGTGACTCACACTATGCTCAGTCAAGAGGCACTCAGTGTTTTCTAAAGATGCTGTCTGTTTTTATGACTGCTTTTCCTTATCCTAATTGATCCTTTAAACAGTAAAATGCGGCCGGGCGCGGTGGTTTACACCTGTAATCCCAATACTTTGGGAGGCTGAAGCAGGCATATCATGAGGTCATGAGATCGAGACCATCCTGGTTAACACGGTGAAACCCCGTCTCTATGTACTAAAAGCACAAAAAATTAGCCAGGCGTGGTGGCGGGCGCCTGTAGTCCCAGCTACTAGGGAGGCTGAGGCAAGAGAATGGCGTGAACCCGGGAAGCAGAGCTTGCAGTGAGCTGAGATCATGCCACTGCACTCCAGCCTGGGCAACAGAGCAAGACTGCATCCCCCCAAAAAAAAAAAAAAAAAAAAAAAAAAAAACAAGAGTAAAATGCCACATAACAATCAACCAGATTTTCACAGCAAATATTAACTGTGATATTAACTGTGGGATTTTATAGATGTCCTATATTAGATGGCAGAAATTCCCTTCTTTTTTTTTTTATTATACTTTAAGTTTTAGGGTACATGTGCACATTGTGCAGGTTAGTTACATATGTATACATGTGCCATGCTGGTGTGCTGCACCCACTAACTCACCATCTAGCATTAGGTATATCTCCCAATGCTATCCCTCCCCGCTGCCGCCACCCCACCACAGTCCCCAGAGTGTGATGTTGCCCTTCCTGTGTCCATATGTTCTCATTGTTCAATTCCCACCTATGAGTGAGAATATGCGGTGTTTGGTTTTTTGTTCTTGCGATAATTTACTGAGAATGATGATTTCCAATTTCATCCATGTCCCTACAAAGGACATGAACTCATCATTTCTTATGGCTGCATAGTATTCCATGGTGTATATGTGCCACATTTTCTTAATCCAGTCTATCATTGTTGGACATTTGGGTTGGTTCCAAGTCTTTGCTATTGTGAATAATGCCGCAATAAACATACGTGTGCATGTGTCTTTATAGCAGCATGATTTATAGTCCTTTGGGTATATACCCAGTAATGGGATGGCTGGGTCAAATGGTATTTCTAGTTCTAGATCCCTGAGGAATCGCCACACTGACTTCCACAATGGTCGAACTAGTTTACAGTACCACTAACAGTGTAAAAGTGTTCCTATTTCTCCACATCCTCTCCAGCACCTGTTATTTCCTGACTTTTTAATGATTGCCATTCTAACTGGTGTGAGATGGTATCTCATTGTGGTTTTGATTTGCATTTCTCTGATGGCCAGTGATGATGAGCATTTTTTCATGTGTCTTTTGGCTGCATAAATGTCTTCTTTTGAGAAGTGTCTGTTCATGTCCTTCGCCCACTTTTTGATGGGGTTGTTTGTTTTTTTCTTGTAAATATGTTTGAGTTCATTGTAGATTCTGGATATTAGCCCTTTGTCAGATGAGTAGGTTGCGAAAATTTTCTCCCATTTTGTAGGTTGCCTGTTCACTCTGATGGTAGTTCCTTTGCTGTGCAGAAGCTCTTTAGTTTAATTAGATCCCATTTGTCAATTTTGTCTTTTGTTGCCATTGCTTTTGGTGTTTTAGACATGAAGTCCTTGCCCATGCCTATGTCCTGAATGGTAATGCCTAGGTTTTCTTCTAGGGTTTTTATGGTTTTAGGTCTAACGTTTAAGTCTTTAATCCATCTTGAATTGATTTTTGTATAAGGTGTAAGGAAGGGATCCAGTTTCAGCTTTCTCCATGTGGCTAGCCAGTTTTCCCAGCACCATTTATTAAATAGGGAATCCTTTCCCCATTGCTTGTTTTTCTCAGGTTTGTCAAAGATCAGATAGTTGTAGATATGCCGCGTTATTTCTGAGGGCTCTGTTCTGTTCCATTGATCTATATCTCTGTTTTGGTACCAGTACCATGCTGTTTGGGTTACTGTAGCCTTGTAGTATAGTTTGAAGTCAGGTAGTGTGATGCCTCCAGCTTTGTTCTTTTGGCTTAGGATTGACTTGGCGATGCGGGCTCTTTTTTTGGTTCCATATGAACTTTAAAGTAGTTTTTTCCAATTCTGTGAAGAAAGTCATTGGCAGCTTGATGGGGATGGCATTGAATCTGTAAATTACCTTGGGCAGTATGGCCATTTTCACGATATTGATTCTTCCTACCCATGAGCATGGAATGTTCTTCCATTTGTTTGTATCCTCTTTTATTTCCTTGAGCAGTGGTTTGTAGTTCTCCTTGAAGAGGTCCTTCACATCCCTTGTAAGTTGGATTCCTAGGTATTTTATTCTCTTTGAAGCAATTGTGAATGGGAGTTGACTCATGATTTGGCTCTCTGTTTGTCTGTTATTGGTGTATAAGAATGCTTGTGATTTTTGTACATTGATTTTGTATCCTGAGACTTTGCTGAAGTTGCTTATCAGATTAAGGAGATTTTGGGCTGAGACAATGGGGTTTTCTAGATATACAATCATGTCGTCTGCAAACAGGGACAATTTGACTTCCTCTTTTCCTAATTGAATACCCTTTATTTCCTTCTCCTGCCTAATTGCCCTGGCCAGAACTTCCAACACTATGTTGAATAGGAGTGGTGAGAGAGGGCATCCCTGTCTTGTGCCAGTTTTCAAAGGGAATGCTTCCAGTTTTTGCCCATTCAGTATGATATTGGCTGTGGGTTTGTCATAGATAGCTCTTATTATTTTGAAATACGTCCCATCAATACCTAATTTCTTGAGAGTTTTTAGCATGAAGGGTTGTTGAATTTTGTCAAAGGCTTTTTCTGCATCTATTGAGATAATCATGTGGTTTTTGTCTTTGGCTCTGTTTATATGCTGGATTACATTTATTGATTTGCGTATATTGAACCAGCCTTGCATCCCAGGGATGAAGCCCACGTGATCATGGTGGATAAGCTTTTTGATGTGCTGCTGGATTCGTTTTGCCAGTATTTTATTGAGGATTTTTGCATCAATGTTCATCAAGGATATTGGTCTAAAATTCTCTTTTTTGGTTGTGTCTCTGCCAGGCTTTGGTATCAGAATGATGCTGGCCTCATAAAATGAGTTAGGGAGGATTCCCTCTTTTTCTATTGATTGGAATAGTTTCAGAAGGAATGGTACCAGTTCCTCCTTGTACCTTTGGTAGAATTCGGCTGTGAATCCATCTGGTCCTGGACTCTTTTTTGTTGGTAAACTATTGATTATTGCCGCAATTTCAGCTCCTGTTATTGGTCTATTCAGAGATTCAACTTATTCCTGGTTTAGTCTTGGGAGAGTGTGTGTGTCAAGGAATTTATCCATTTCTTCTAGATTTTCTAGTTTATTTGCGTAGAGGTGTTTGTAGTATTCTCTGATGGTAGTTTGTATTTCTGTGGGATCAGTGGTGATATCCCCTTTATCATTTTTTATTGCATCTATTTGATTCTTCTCTCTTTTTTTCTTTATTAGTCTTGCTAGTGGTCTATCAATTTTGTTGATCCTTTCAAAAAACCAGCTCCTGGATTCGTTAATTTTTTGAAGGATTTTTTGTGTCTCTATTTCCTTCAGTTCTGCTCTGATTTTAGTTATTTCTTGCCTTCTGCTAGCTTTTGAATGTGTTTGCTCTTGCTTTTCTAGTTCTTTTAATTGTGATGTTAGGGTGTCAATTTTGGATCTTTCCTGCTTTCTCTTGTGGGCATTTAGTGCTATAAATTTCCCTCTACACACTGCTTTGAATGCGTCCCAGAGATTCTGGTATGTTGTGTCTTGGTTCTCACTGGTTTCAAAGAACATCTTTATTTCTGCCTTCATTTCGTTATGTATCCAGTAGTCATTCAGGAGCAGGTTGTTCAGTTTCCATGTAGTTGAGTGGTTTTGAGTGAGATTCTTAATCCTGAGTTCTAGTTTGATTGCACTGTGGTCTGAGAGATAGTTTGTTATAATCTCTGTTCTTTTACATTTGCTCAGGAGAGCTTTACTTCCAAGTATGTGGTCAATTTTGGAATAGGTGTGGTGTGGTGCTGAAAAAAATGTATATTCTGTTGATTTGGGGTGGAGAGTTCTGTAGATGTCTATTAGGTCCGCTTGGTGCAGAGCTGAGTTCAATTCCTGGGTATCCTTGTTGACTTTCTGTCTCGTTGATCTGTCTAATGTTGACAGTGGGGTGTTAAAGTCTCCCATTATTAATGTGTGGGAGTCTAAGTCTCTTTGTAGGTCACTCAGGACTTGCTTTATGAATCTGGGTGCTCCTGTATTGGGTGCATATATATTTAGGATAGTTAGCTCTTCTTGTTGAATTGATCCCTTTACCATTATGTAATGGCCTTCTTTGTCTCTTTTGAACTTTGTTGGTTTAAAGTCTGTTTTATCAGAGACTAGGATTGCAACCCCTGCCTTTTTTTGTTTTCCATTCGCTTGGTAGATCTTCCTCCATCCTTTTATTTTGAGCCTATGTGTGTCTCTACACGTGAGATGGGTTTCCTGAATACAGCACACTGATGGGTCTTGACTCTTTATCCAATTTGCCAGTCTGTGTCTTTTAATTGGAGCATTTAGTCCATTTACATTTAAAGTTAATATTGTTATGTGTGAATTTGA
Organism: Homo sapiens; assembly: GCF_000001405.40. Taxonomy (NCBI): domain Eukaryota; kingdom Metazoa; phylum Chordata; class Mammalia; order Primates; family Hominidae; genus Homo; species Homo sapiens. Next base: position 126,803,653 of record NC_000008.11, read on the forward strand.
TCCTGTCATTATGATGTTAGCTGGTGATTTTGCTCGTTAGTTGATGCAGTTTCTTCCTAGTCTCGATGGTCTTTACATTTTGGCATGATTTTGCAGCGGCTGGTACCGGTTGTTCCTTTCCATGTTTAGCGCTTCCTTCAGGAGCTCTTTTAGGGCAGGCCTGGTGGTGACAAAATCTCTCAGCATTTGCTTGTCTGTAAAGGATTTTATTTCTCCTTCATTTATGAAGCTTAGTTTGGCTGGATATGAAATTCTGGGTTGAAAATTCTTTTCTTTAAGAATGTTGAATATTGGCCCCCACTCTCTTCTGGCTTGTAGGGTTTCTGTCGAGAGATCTGCTGTTAGTCTGATGGGCTTCCCTTTGAGGGTAACCCGACCTTTCTCTCTGGCTGCCCTTAACATTTTTTCCTTCATTTCAACTTTGGTGAATCTGACAATTATGTGTCTTGGAGTTGCTCTTCTCGAGGATATCTTTGTGGTATTATCTGTATTTCCTGAATCTGAATGTTGGCCTGCCTTGCTAGATTGGGGAAGTTCTCCTGGATAATATCCTGCAGAGTGTTTTCCAACTTGGTTCCATTCTCCCCATCACTTTCAGGTACACCAATCAGACGTAGATTTGGTCTTTTCACATAGACCCATATTTCTTGGAGGCTTTGCTCATTTCTTTTTATTCTTTTTTCTCTAAACTTCCCTTCTCGTTTCATTTCATTCATTTCATCTTCCATCGCTGATACCCTTTCTTCCAGTTGATCGCATTGGCTCCTGAGGCTTCTGCATTCTTCACGTAGTTCTCAAGCCTTGGTTTTCAGCTCCATCAGCTCCTTTAAGCACTTCTCTGTATTGGTTATTCTAGTTATACATTCTTCTAAATTTTTTTCAAAGTTTTCAACTTCTTTGCCTTTGGTTTGAATGTCCTCCCATAGCTCAGAGTAATTTGATCGTCTGAAGCCTTCTTCTCTCAGCTCGTCAAAGTCATTCCCCATCCAGCTTTGTTCCGTTGCTGGTGAGGAACTGCGTTCCTTTGGAGGAGGAGAGGCGCTCTGCATTTTAGAGCTTCCAGTTTTTCTGTTCTGTTTTTTCCCCATCTTTGTGGTTTGATCTACTTTTGGTCTTTGATGATGGTGATGTACCGATGGGTTTTTGGTGTGGATGTCCTTTCTGTTTGTTAGTTTTCCTTCTAACAGACAGGACCCTCAGCTGCAGGTCTGTTGGAATACCCTGCCGTGTGAGGTGTCAGTGTGCCCCTGCTGGGGGGTGCCCCCCAGTTAGGCTGCTCGGGGGTCAGGGGTCAGGGACCCACTTGAGGAGGCAGTCTGCCCTTTCTCAGATCTCCAGCTGCGTGCTGGGAGAACCACTGCTCTCTTCAAAGCTGTCAGACAGGGACATTTAAGTCTGCAGAGGTTACTGCTGTCTTTTTGTTTGTCTGTGCCCTGCCCCCAGAGGTGGAGCCTACAGAGGCAGGCAGGCCTCCTTGAGCTGTGGTGGGCTCCACCCATTTCAAGCTTCCCGACTGCTTTGTTTACCAAAGCAAGCCTGGGCAATGGCGGGCGCCCCTCCCCCAGCCTCGCTGCCGCCTTGCAGTTAGATCTCAGACTGCCGTGCTAGCAATCAGCGAGACTCTGTGGGCGTAGGACCCTCCGAGCCAGGTGCGGGATATAGTCTCGTGGTGCGCCGTTTTTTAAGCCGGTCCGAGAAGCGCAATATTCGGGTGGGAGTGACCCGATTTTCCAGGTTCGTCCGTCACCCCTTTCTTTGACTCGGAAAGGGAACTCCCTGACCCCTTGCACTTCCCGAGTGAGGCAATGCCTCGCCCTGCTTCGGCTCGTGCACGGTGTGCGCACCCACTGACCTGCGCCCACTGTCTGGCACTCCCTAGTGAGATGAACCCAGTACCTCAGATGGAAATGCAGAAATCACCCGTCTTCTGCATTGCTCACGCTGGGAGCTGTAGACCAGAGCTGTTCCTATTCAGCCATCTTGGCTCCTCCCTCCAGAAATTCCCTTCTATTCCTATTTTTTGTGTGTTTTTATCATGACCAGATATTGGATTTTGTCAAATACTGTTTCCACATCTATTGAAATGATCATGTGGTTTTTGTTTTTTATTCTATTGATATGATATGTTACATTAATTGATTAATTTACATATTAAGCCAATGCTGCATTTCTGTTATAAGTCTCACTTGGTTGTCATACACATTGTTTAAAATATGTTGCTGGCTTCCATTTGCTATAATTTTGCTGAGGAATTCTGCATACCTTTTCATAGATATATTGATTTACAGTTTTCTTTTCTTGTAAAATTTTTGTCTACTTCTGATATTAAGGAAATTTTGGCCTCATAGAATGAGTTGGGAAGTGTTCCCTCTTCTGTTATTTTTTGGAAGAGTTTATGAAGTATTGATATTAATTTTTCTATAAATGTTTGACAGAATTTAACATTGAAGGCATCTGAGCCTAAGCTATTTTTGTGGGTAGTTTTGTTGTCATTGCTGTTGTGTTTGTTTCGTTTTTTAATTAGTAATTCATTCTCTTTATTTATTATGGGTCTATTTAGATTATCTTTTTCAAATTGAGTCAATTTCAGAAATTTGTCGCTTTCATCTAATTTGTCTAACCTATTGGCATACACTTGTTCATGGTATTATTCTATAAACCTTTTTATTTCTGTAAGGTTGGTAGTAATGTCCCTTCATTTCTGATTTTAGTAATTTGAACCTTCTCTTTTCTTTTTGGTCAATCTTGCTGAAGGTTTGTCAATTTTGCTTATCTTTTCAAAGAACCAACTTTTGATTCTGTTGATTTTTTTCCTATTGTTTCATATTTTTTATTTCATAAATGTATGCTCTTATTTTTTACTTGTATAAATTTATGGGGTATAAGTGAAATTTTGTTACGTGCATAGATTACATGGTAGTGAAGTCAGGGTTTTACAGTATGCTTCACTCAAATAATACACATTGTACCCATTAAGTAATGCTGTAATCTTTATTAGTTTCTTCCTGCCACTTGGTTTAGGTTTAATTTGCTCTTATTTTTCCAGTATCTTAAGGTGGAAAGTTGGGTTATTGATTTGAGATCTTTCTCATTATTATTTTAATACAGGCAATTATAGCTCTAAATTTCTGTCTAAGCACTCCTTTAGCTGCATTCCATATGTTCTGGTTATGTTATATCTTCATCTCCATTAATTTCGAACTATTTCCTAATTCCCCATGTAATTTTTCTTTGATTAATTGGTTATATAGGAATGCGTTGTTAAATTTCCACATAATTTCTAGTTTTTCATGTTCCTTTTCATTATTGGTTTCCAATTTCATCCTGTAGTTCTCAGAATCAAATTTAAATTTAATTCCTTTAAGATTTATTGGGGTTTATTTGGGGAGGGGGGCTAGAATATGGTTATTCCTGGAGAATATTTATGTGCACATGAGAAGGATATATAATTTGATGTTGATGATTGCATGTTCTATAGATGTTTGTTAGGACCAGTTGGTTTATTTGTATTCTTCATCTTCCATTTATTTGTTGGTCTGCTGCCTGGTTGTTCTATCCATTATTGAAAATGGATTGTTATAGTTTCCAAGTGTTATTATTAAATTCTTTATTTCTTTCTTCATTTCTACCTGTTTCAGTTTCATGTATTTTGGTGCCCTATGATGAGGTATAACCAATACTTTTAAAAAATTATTTAAAATTTTTTTATGGATACACAATATTTATGCATATTTATGGTACATGTAATATTTTAATGCAAGCATACAATGTGTAATGAACAAATCAGAGTAATTGAGATATTCGTCACCTCAAAAATTTATCATTTCTGGCTTGGCATGGTGGCTCACGGCTGTAATCCTAGCACTTTGGGAGGCCCAGGAGGGCAGATCATGAGGTCAGGAATTTGAGACAAGCCTGACCAATATGGCGAAACCCCATCTCTACTAAAAATACAAAAATTAGCTGGGTGTGGTGGTGCGTGCCTGTAATCCCAGCTACTCAGGAGGCTGAGGGAGGAGAATCGTTTGAACCCAGGAGGCGGAGGTTGCAGTGAGCTGAGATTGTGCCATGGCACTACAGCCTGGGCGACAGAGGGAGACTCTGTCTCAAAAAAAAAACAAAAAACAAAAAACAATTGATCATTTCTTTATGTTGAGAACATTCCACATCTACTCCTCCAGTTATTTTTGAAATATGCAATAAATTACTGTTAACTTATAGTTAAACTTATAGTTTAAATTTATAATTAACTTATAGTTAACTGATGTTATATTATAGTTGCCCTATTGTGCTTCCAAACACTAACTTTTATTCCTTTTAACAATATTTTTACACCTAGGACAGGAACTCATTCTCAATGAAATCCAGGACAGGATTTCATTTACCTTTGTGGCTGAATAATATACCATCAGGTATATATACCACATTTTTGTTATCCATTTGTCCATTGAGAGAGACAGGTTGATTCCATATCTTGGCTATTGTGGATAGTGTTGCAATAAATATAGGAATGCAGCTATCTCTTCAATATACTGATTTTCTTTCTTTTGCATATATACCCAGGAGTGAGATTGCTAGATCATATGGTAGGTCTATTTTTAAGCTTTTTGAGGAAGCTCCATAGAGTTTTCCCTAGTGGCTGCACTAATTCACATTGCCACCAATGGTGTACAAACATTTCCCTCTCTCCACATCCTTGGCAGCATCTGTTATTGGTTGTGTTTTTGATAATAGCCATTTAATGGGCTGAAATAATATCTCCTTGTGGTTTTGTTTGCACGTCTTGGATGATTAGTGATGTTGAGCATTTTTTTCATTTTTCATTTGTATGTCTTCTTTAGAGAAATGTCTATTCAGATCTTTTGCCCATTTTGTAAATAGATTGTTTATTGTTGTTTTGGGGTTTTTGTTTGTTTGCTTTTTGCTACTGAGCTATTTGAGTTCCTTATATACTCTGGTTATTAATCCCTTGTCAGTTGAATAGTCTGCAAGTATTTTCTCCCATTTTGTAGGTTGTTTCTTCACTTTGTTTCCTTCACTATATTTCCTTTACTATCTTTTCTTTGCTGTTTCCTTTTCTATGCAGAAGCTTTTTAGTTTGATGTGATCCCATTTATCCATTTTTGCTTTTGTTGACTGTACTTTTGAAGTCTTACTCAAGAAATTTTTGCCCAAGACAAATGTCCTGAAGCCAATACTTTTTAATAAAAGAGAATAGAAAACCTTAGAATGTATTTTTTGCAGTCCAGTTAAGCAATGTTTGAGTAAGTATTGTTTTAGTTTTGTGTGTGGGGGGGGTCTGTGTACATATTTTGATGTGAAATATAATTTTTATTGTAAATTGTCATCAAAGGTATTTGAAAGCCATGACTGCCAAACCCTAGTCTTTGCCTTTGGTCTGCCATAGCCTGTACGAAAATCCCATCCCACTTCTCTCCTTTACCTGACCGCTCTTTTCATCAGCATCAGTTTAGATGATACTTCCTTGAAGAGGCCTTTCTTAATTCTACCTGACAAGACAAGTTAATTCTGCTGCATACTCCCATAGCTCCCTGGACTTCCTCTATTGTAGAGCTTACTAGAATGATTTATCTCCCTCTCCTTCACTCTACTGTAAGGCATGTGCGGGTGTGGATCATGTAAATCTTATTCACTGCTCCATTTCTGGCAGCAAGCAGATGCTTGGCAAGTCATTCGTGTTCAAGGAATATTTACTGAGGGCATAATGGAAGCACAGGATGGTGAAAAATGATACTTTCTATATTATCAAAGACTGGTAAATAAATATATTTATGAGAATTTACTGTGTGTTGGGCACTGTGTTAATTGCTTTACATGTATTATTTTATTTAAACATAACAATTTCATGAATGATGTATTATGGCTGTTTCCATTAGACAGAGGGAAAACTGACCCACAAGTAGGTAAAGTAACTTTTCCAATGTTACACTGTACTATTTAATAAAGAGCAAAGCAAAGATATTAGGAATTGGGGAAAAAAGAGGAATTTAGGAAAAAGGGATGATAGTGGACCAGAAAGGTCAATGAATGCTTATTATAGAAGAGAAAACTGTTTGGGGCCTTGAAGAAGGCTGAAATGTGGGGCAAAGGTGATGAGGCAGGTGAGCAGCTCATGCTTAGGGTGGGGAGTGGGGAATTAGAATTCCTCTGATGGTTCGATTTTCAAATATGCAAACTCTCAGCACAGCATCAACACATAAAAATAAAAAATTAAATTAAAAAACTCCCTTTCAAGCTAAGCAAAGCAAAACTGTATTCGACTCCGTTCCTTCTCACAAGATCATTGGCAAGTAAGGCAGGCAAGTGGAATGACAAATTAGGATAGCTATCTGGTAAAGTGTTCCTTGTAATGGACTAAATTCACCTCTGGGTTTTAGTGTTGAGGAAATATGAAGGCATTGCACCATCTAGTGGTTCTATTGGACCCACAGCTATTTTTTGCTTTCTCTGTTGGTTGTTACTGACGTTCTCTGAGACAATGCAGATTCTAGCTTGCTGAAGGATCAGGATAAATCTTTGTCCTTCAAGATTCTCAAAGACTGTGGTGTGTTGACAAAATAAAAAAATGAATCAAGCCTTTCAGGCACTACGGTGGATGCAGGTGTCTTGAAAGATCTGCTTTACTGCTACAAGTGCATAGAAAATCTTAGGTAGATTTTACAAGAAAATTATTGGAAATGGTGCTGATCTTAAATTCAATAGAGAGAAAATATCTAAGAATTAACAACGGAAATAGATCTCAATGCCAGAGCTGTGAGCCACAGCTCGGGTCAGGATGGCTCAGGTTATGAGAATAAGTTGTTTCATTTGTTCCATTTCTTGGTTTTGATTAATTTTTATCTTCATTATGGTTTGTATTTTGCTGCTTTTTGAATGCCTGGCAATTTTTATTGGATATCAGATGTTGTGAATTTTACCTGATAGAGTACTGCTATGGTCTTAATATTTTTAACTACCACCCCCACCCCACCATCCCATTCATGTATTGAGACCTAATTACCCAATATGAAGGTTTTAGAAGGTGAGGACTTTGGGAAGTGACTAGCTTATGAAGGCAGAGCTTCATGAATGGGATTAGCATCCTTATAAAAGAGACACTGGAGAACTGCCTTGCCCTTCCCCATGAGACAACATGGCGAGAAGTTGCCATTTCTATGAATCAGGAAGTGTACCTTCACTAGACACCAAATCTGCCAGCACCTTGATCTTGGACTTCTTAGTCTGCAGAACTATGAGAAATAAATGTCTATTGTTTATAGGCCATCCAGTTTATGGTATTTTTTCAAATAGCAACCAAACAAATTAAGACAAGTACTGATATATTTGTATTTCTATAAATAGTATTGAACTTTGTTCTAAGACCCAGTTAATAGCTTTGACATAACTTGATCCTTTTGGGTTTTGCTTTTAAGTTTAGTTAGGTAGGAAAAAAGCAGTGCTTAGTTTAGGGCAGGTACTATTTTTTTGTACTATCTACAAGCCAAGAATAGCTTTTACATTTTTAAATTATTATAAAAGAAAAAAGAATATGCAACAGGGACTCTATGTAACCCTCAAAGCCTAAAATATCCACTACCTATCCCTTTATAGAGGAAGTCTGCTAGAATTCATTTTCCCCAGTACTAAGACAAGACCCTTCTTAGTATTCTAATAAATTCCCTATGTATTATGAGGGTTTTCATTCTCATTCTTGATGACTCTTACAAAGTCTGCTCGACTGTGGTATATGTCAAATCCACTGGCCTGCCATTAGCCAAAGAAACAACTAATCCCATCAAAAGTTGGCAAATGACACTCATAGATGTTTCTCATGAGAAGATATAAAAATGGCCAACACACAGGAAACATCACTAATCATCAGGGAAATGCAAATTGAAACCACAGTGAGATACCGCTTTACTTCTGCCAAGAATGGCCATTATTAAAAAGTCAAAAAACTGTAGATGTTGGCATGGATGTGGTAAAAAGGGAATACTTATTCACTGCTGATGAGAATGTAAATTAGTACAATCTCTATGGAAAACAGTACAGAGATTTCTTAAAGAACTAAAAGTAGATCCACCATTCAAGCCCATTACTGGGCATCTACTCAAAGGAAAATAAGTCATTGTATCAAAAAGACTCCTGTGCATATGTTTATTGCAGTACAATTCACAGTTGCAAAGATATGAACCAACCTAAGTGACCATCAACCAATGAGTGGATAATGAAAATGTTACATAATTGAAAATCTAATTCAACATATACACCTAGATTAAACAGGAGAGTCATTTAATGCAACGCTAACTTTGAACCTTCAGTATATCATTGCGGTTTCTTGTAATGATGTCCATGAGTTACCAATAATTTTTGTTTTAATTTGTTTATATTTCGGTAATAATTTTAATAATTTTATGTAAGCTTATTCATAATTTTAGTAGAAATCTTGAATCATACTATTATTAGGAGAGTTCAGAGTGCACATTTATATGCATGTTTCCACAATTTCAATAATAAGAGATAGAGGCAGAAAACAAACAATGTATTTGGGCACCCATGTTCTTCCAAGCACTGTGTAGAACTCTTATATTTGTTCCTTCTTTTCATCCTCACAGCAACTCTTTATGGTAGGTATTATTAACTGTTTGATGGATAAGAAACTTGAGTTTTACAAAAGTTAAGTTGGTCATAATTCAAATTTTTGGGAAATGGTGAAGCAGGACTTAGAGCTCATGTCTGTCTGACCTGAGCCCTTGATCTTACCTGCCATGACATGATGCCACCACAGCAATCAGAGAGGGAAGCGGAGTCAGCAGCTACATATAATCAGCAATGTACACCCACAACAGTCCTTCCTTACTCATTCATACATGTTGGCCATTAAGAAAATGAGATCACTTTGGATGAGAAAAAGTCGAGACTCTGGGCTCATGGCAACTCATGATTCTCCTCTGAAGAAAAATCCAAATTTGATATTCACACTTTCTGATTTACTAGCACTGAAAGTAATGGTCTGGTCAAAGCAGTAATTTGGAATTAGTTCCTTGATTAATGACAAAAATATTATGAAAAAATTAAATGTTCTATATAAGAAGAGCATTTAATGGAAGATTCTCAAAAGAAATGATTGCTCACAATCAATCATTTTAACTTAATCTAGTTGCACCAATTGTCCTTACTATTAAAAACAAATTAAGCATAAAGCCTAATAATCCTTTGTGTAGTTTGTCCATAGTACAGTTTGTCCTAAATGTCCTTATGGACATTTGTTGTTTCCAGTTACTTGCAGTAATAAATAATGCTTCCTTTGTATCAGCTTTTGCTACAAAAGTGCAAAGTGAATATATAACTACAACTAATTTAACTACAACTCGATGAATATTTAAAAGGTCACCAATTGTTTATAGTCCTTAAGGCCCAGCTTTGGAACTTATACACTGTCACTTCCAATCGCATGCTAATATTCAAACAAGCCTCCTAGTCAAGCCCATGGTCAGGCCCATTGTCAAAGGTGGAGAACTGCTCCACTCATGATGGAGTCATGTGGACACGGGGAAGGCTGAAGTGTTAGGGTGAGTTACCTAGCCTTGGGTAACATTTTGTCAAAGTGTGTTTGAAATATATTTCTGGAAGTGGGACAGCTGGGACAAAAATTAAGTGCACATGTAATTTTCTTAGATATTACTAAATTCTTCTATTGAAATATTTTTAATTTCTACAGGCAATAGATGCGATTGTTTTTTCACAGCCTGTCTTGTCAGCCAGTATAGTTTTAACTTTTATTTCTCTTCATAAGAGTAAAATTAATAATCCTTTTATGTATTTAAAGTCATTTACATTCCTTTTTTGCGTGAACACTTTGTGTCTCTGGCCCTACTTAAAAAATTCATAAGTTTTTGGCCTTTTACTTATTTATCTTAAAAGTTTTTTATATAATAAAGAAAAGGACCAGTTTCTTCATAATATACATGGCAAATATCCTTTCCAGGTTTTTTACTTGGTTTACTGCATTTTGTCATACACAGGTTTTAAATTTTTATTTAATCCAATTTATTATTTTCCTTATTTCTGCTGGATACTGAGGTATAGTTGGGAAATTTTTCCCCATTAGTGAATGGAGAAAAACTTCACCCATATTGTCTTCTCATACTTATATAAGTTTAATTCTTTTTTTTAGAGTTTAATTTTCACCCTTAAATTTTTTATAAATTTATAATTTATTCTGTTTTAAATAATACAATATTAACTTTTAAAAAATGTCTATCCAGTTATCATACTTGAGATGCTGCTTTTTAAAAATATTACTAAAAGTCATATGCAATCAGATCTATTTCTAAATTTTCTACTATGTTCCATTGGTATGTCTGCCTTTTCAAGTGCCAGAACAAGCTTTTCATTATAGAGGCTTTACGTTTAAATGTCTGATGAGCTAGTTCATCCAATACTTATAATGCTTATTTATTTCTGTTCAGAATTCACTGTTTATTTGCATTCGTTATCCATTATGGTTATATAACAATTACCACAAACAACTTTGGGAGGCCGAAGTGGGCGGATCATGAGGTCAGGAGATTGAGACCATCCTGGCTAACACAGTGAAATCTTGTCTCTACTAAAAATACAAAAATTAGCCCGGTGTGGTGGTGGGCACCTGTAGTCCCAGCTACTCAGGAGGCTGAGGCAGGAGAATGGCGGGAACCCAGGAGGCGGAGCTTGCAGTGAGCCTAGATTGTGGCATTGCACTCCAGTCTGGGCAACAGAGTGAGACTCCATCTCTAAAACTATATATAAATAATATATATAATACTATATATACTATATATAGTAATAATATACTATATAATATAAAATAAAAAAATAAAATTACCACAAACTTGCTGGCTTAAAACAACATATATTATTTTCTGCAGTTTCTGTGGTCGGAAATCTGGGCATGGCTTAGCTCAGTCCTCTGCATATGGTCTTACAAGGCTACAGTTTAGGTACTGCCTGGGCTGCATTCTCATCTGGAGTCTTGACTGGGGAGGAATCTGCTTCCACTCTCACTCCAGTTTTGACAGCATTCATTTCTTTGTTTGTAGGACTGGAGGACCCTGACTTTTTACAGACTATTTCCTGGAGACTGCTTTCAGCAAGTAGGGGCCACCCACAGTTTCTAGAAGCATCTAGGAACATTTCCATGTGGTCTTTCCCAACATAACAATTTACTCTATCAACTTATCAAGGATACTGTTTAGAATATGTCTGCTAGACAGTCTTACATAATGAAACATAGTCATTCAGTGACATCCCATCATCCTTGCTTCATCATTTTGTTCAGAAGCAAATCACAATTCTCACCCACACTCAAGGGGGAAGATCATACAAAGGCATGAACATAAGGAGGCTTGGACAGCAGAGTACTTACCTCCAGAAAAAGGTAGCATTTTTATCAGACTTGTTTTAAATTTATAAATTAACTTGAAAAGATCAATTTTTTAAAGAGTATTACATTTTTCTGTCAAAATACAGAGTATATTTTCTTCAAGTCATACTTTTTAAACTTTCAAAAGCATTTTATAATTTATTGTATATAATTTTGAGCATTTCTTCTTAATTTATCTATAAATATTTTATTTTATTTATTTTTAATTTTATTTACTATCTACAATGGGTATTTCTTTCCATTATAATTTCTAATTGTTCTTTTTATGTATATACATGACATCTACTGATTTCGTTGGTTAATTCTATTTTACGCTTCTCTTCTAAAAGTTGGCTATAGGTTTTGGTAGTTTTTATACTACTTCTTTTAGATTTTCCCAAATACACAATCATAGCTTCTATAAAAAGAGATAGTTTTACCTTTTCAATTCCAACTTTTATGCCTCTAATTGCATTCTTTTTTTCTAATTTCATTGGCTAGTACTTCAACGATAGTGTTAAAAGTAATAGAGATTATAGCCATCTTTTTAGTTCACGACTTTAATGAGACTGAATTTAATGTTTCCTCCATTAGGTAAGATGACTGTATCTTAATTTTATCATTAAATATTCCTGAATTCTTGTCTCATTGAATATTTTAAATATAAATGTGTTCAATTTTTTCAAAATACTATTCTATATCTAATAAAGTTTTTCTCCATAGCTCTATTAATATGATGGATTATATTAATGAGTTTCTTAAGGTTAAGCCATCTTTAATTACTGGAATAAATCACCCTTGGTCATCATGCATTGTTTGTTAATGTGCTAATAAGTTATGTTTGCAAATATTTTATTTAACATTTTGCATCAACATTTAGAATTTAGACTTTTCTCTAGATTCCTTTTATTGTATAATGTTTATCAAATTTGTGGATCATATTTTCCTTCAAAACTAATTTTAAAATTTTTGTTTTTCTTTTTAATAGCATTGGGTTTAAATGTGAGCTTTAAAGATTTAGAAAAATTCTCCTGCGAAACTATCTGGAGCTGGTGCTTTTCATGAGAAACCCTAACTATATTATCTACTGCTCATAAATATTAAGGTTTTTAGATTATGCCTTTACTGAGGTCAATTTCAGTTAATCGTATTTTCTGAAAATTATGTATTCCATTTGGATTTTGCAAATTAATTACAATGATTTAAAAAATTTTTCTACTTTGATGGCTTTTATTTCTAACTTTGTATATTTATATTTACTCTTTTTCTCATTTGGATTAGTTAGTTGGTTGTTTATCTATTTTTTGTTATTTTTATTGCTTTACAAAAGAACCAGCTTTTAGATTTATCTCTTTATGAGTTTCACTATATTTTTTTCTAACTCATTATAATCTGATTTAATCTTTATTAATTATTTCCTTTTGCTTTTTTAGTGGTTTTCTTTTGAACTTTCTGAGTTGAGTATTTATGTTATTTTTTAATTTTTTGCTTTTTATTGATATAAATATGTTATACTATACAATCTCTGATAACTGCTTTGTCTCATAGAGAGAACGTCATGCAATCATTATAATCATTTTTCAGAAATTTTGAAACTTTATCTTCCTCTTTGAACTAAAAATTGTTTATAGCATATTTTTAATAAATTCTAGATAGAAGAGGATTTTAGCTATTTTACTAGTTTAGTTTTATTGCACTGTTATAAGAGAATGCTGTTATTATTATTTCAATTTTTTAAGATTTATAGCGGTTTTACTTGGGAATTAAGATGTCTTTAGTTTTTGTAAATGCTCCATGTGTACTTTTTAAAAAAGCATCTGCCTTTTTGGTAGACTATATATATTGTACACATACACACACATGCACACACACGCGCGCGCACACACACACAGAGATTACTTTATTGGTTATGCATTTATCTTTATTTAGATCCTCCTAGAGCCAACTCCAAGATAAGGTTTTGTGTGTATGTAACCTATATACAAGATCATCCCTGGAAACAGGAGTGAAGGACTAGAAGGAGTGGATGAAGGAGAAATAATCAATGTAAGAATGTGTTATTGAAGGTGCTACTTGAGGGAAATGGGGTTCAATGCTCACCAGCCTTCTTTGAGTATTTACAATGCCTCTTACAGTTGCATACTGCTGGGTGAGTGCTAATTAGCTGCAATGTTGAGGGTTACCCTTAGAGGCAGTGCTACCATGGAGTTAAGGAGGCAGTGCTTTTTGACTGTGCAGATGTGCTTGCACTGGGCTCTTACTAGCGTCTGGATGTAGAATCCCTGGGGCAGAAAGTGAAATACATTTCAGATACATGCTTGAGGCAAGATAGTGTCAGCAGGAGTTGAGTCAAAGCCCATCTGGAACTGTGTACCACCCATGTGACTGAAATTAGAGGGGAGATGGAGAGCTTTGAGTTGGGACACAAGTAGCATGAGAAACAGCTGATTAAGTCTTAGATATACTTGCTAATTTTTCGTCTGCTTCATCTGTGTTTGCTTAAGATATGTGTGTTAAAGTCTTCGGCTATTAGTCTATGTCTGTGTGTTTTCTCTTTTATCTCATTTAGACAGTGATTTATGAAATATGTTACTATATTATCAGGTAAGCAAATTCTAATGGCCCTAATTGCTTTATAGTAAATAGTTGCCTTTAGCACTATAAAGTGACTTTTAATACTTTTGGGTGTAAATTCTATCTTGTTAATTATTAAGATCGTGACCCTTTCTTTCCTTCTTTATTTTTATATTTTGCATTAGCCTAGTTTTGCTTTTTACTATTTTTGTATTTATTTATTTATATTTTATTTTTGAATAGGCTTCATTTTTAGAGCAGTTTTAGGTTCACAGCAAAATTGAGCAAAACGTACAGAGATTTCTCATATACCCCCTGACACTCCCCACCCCACCCCACCCAGACAGCCTCCCCCATTATCAACATCCCCTACTACTACATTAACACATCATTATCACCCAGAGACCACCCAGGGATCACTCGTAGTGTTGTACAAGCTATACATCTGACAAATGTATAATGATATGTCTCTACAATTACGGTGTCATATAGAATTGTTTTGTTTGTTTGTTTTTTGATATGGAGTTTGGCTCTTGTTGCCCAGGCTTGCATGCAATGGCGTGATCTCGGCTCACCACAACCTCTGCCTCCCGGGTTCAAGTAATTCACCTGTCTCAGCCTCCCGAGTAGCTGGGATTACAGGCATGCATCACCACGCCCAGCTGATTTTGTATTTTTAGTAGAGACAGGGTTTCTCCTTGTTGGTCAGGCTGGTCTTGAACTCCCAACCTCCAGTGATCCACCTGCCTCGGCCTCTCAAAGTGCTGGGATTACAGGCGTGAGCCACTGCTCCTGGCCACAGAGTCGTTTTATTGCCTGAAATACTCTTTGTGTTCTGCTATTTTAGCCTTCCCTACCCACAACCCTTGACAACCACTGATCATTTTACTGTCTCCGTAGTCTTGCCTTTTCCGGAACGTCATCTAGTCGGACTCATATAGTATATAGTCTTTTCAGATTGGCTTCTTTCATTTAATAGTATGCATTTAAGTTTCTTCCATGTCTTTTCATTTCTTTTTAGTACCGAATAATATTCCATTGTCTGGATGTACCATTCTTTAATTTTTAACCTTTTTGAATCTCTGTGCTTTAAGTATGCTTCTTATATATAACATAATATTGTATTTTGCTTTCTTAACTATTCTTAAAATATTTTCTTTTTAATAGGTAAACACATTAAATTTATTGACCTAATAATATGATGATATGTTTGGTTTCAGTTCAGATATTGCATCATATTATATATATGTGCATATAGCAATATTTAAATATGTAATAAATGTTATATGTTTGTATTGTTACATCTAAAATATATTTATTATAAATTATACATATTATTTGAATGTGTAATATATAATTATCTTTATATATTAAAGTCTCTCAGTATCTTAGTTATTTGCTCTCTTTTGATAAATCTTTTATTATTTAGAAAGGTTTATTTGTTTGTGGTCATAATTATCTTTCCCTCATATTTTTACATCATACCTTAGTGTCTTCCTTTTCTTCATTATTGTATATTATTTTCCTCTATGACACCATTTAAGTTAGCTAGTACCCTCTTCTTTTTCTCAGCATCTAAATTGAAGTAACACTCTTTTATGCCAAATACTGCATATGGTCACTAGCAAGTTTATTCTACTTTTCATATGCTTTCCCCATTTCCCCCCATTTTCAGATAATTGCACTGTATCTAAATTGTCAGAACACATAGCCATTACCTGCTATGCTGTCTCAGTTTAGCCATTATCTAGTCTAACACACACATGCACACACACACACACACCCCTATATGTACACACATATCAACACCTACACATCAACACACACACACACACACACACACACACACACACACACACTCCTATATCCATCTCTCAAATACGAGCATGTGGGGATGGATCTCTCTGCTCTTGGGTCTCCTCCTTAACTCCATGGTAGTGTACTGATATTTAATTGGGTGGGCAAAACTATGAACATTTTCCCGATTTCAGAAATTTCTTCTCTGTATCAGGTTGCCCGGAGGATAACATTTCATTCTTGTCAATTAAGTTTAAGAGAATTCCTTCTAACCAACTAGGGTAAGAGCCCCTTTTTTTGTCCTCCCTCCTTAACTTAGGAGCTAAAATTCTCTATCACCTTGTGAAAAACCAGAGAAAGTCCTTTGATTCCTCACACTTGTTGTTCAAAGTATTCTGTTTCTTGCCTTTTTGTCTATAAAGTTGGATAACTTTTGGCTTACACTGGAACATCAGCTTCTTGCACGATTACTGTTTCAATTCAGTCATGGCCGTCATAATTGCTAACTGCTAAACAAATCATGATTGTGACATCTGGATGCAATAAAGATTATGAAAGAAAGTAATGTAAAAGAGAGCTGGCAGACAAAAAAAAAAGCAGTAGAATGTTTTACAGGAAGTGATAATTGATTTGGATATGAATGAAAATGAAAAACGTATATTTGCTGTTTCGTTAGAGAGAAACTGATGCTGGGCGGCTTAAAATCTATTCTGGTGTAGAACTTTACTCCTTAGGGGAAAAAGTTCAGCTATGGAAAGAATCTTTAACGTGCCCTCATCAGACAGATGTGAATGCCAAGTCTTACTACTGTTCATGACACAATCTCACTGTCCTATCGTGGGAACATCCAATTTAAACAATTTGCATATTTATTTTCTAAATAAGAGACCATTACTACGAAAAGCAAAATTTTCTTGGTGCTGAGTGATAGGAAAATGTACAAAAATGTTGCTACATTCAAGCCATCATCTGTCCAATATAGCACTTGTCAAAATACGGAGCATAAAGAAAGTTCAGAAATAAAACCAGTTACCCTGTGTTTTATAGCTCACTGGATCAAATGGCTGTACTATTGAAACAGGAAGAGTTCCCTTGTCCCCCTCTCAGGGCGCAAGATGTGGGTGTGGCTCGCTTCTTTGGTGCCCCACTACTCATACCTCTAGGGGAGCATGCAGACGGGCAGGCTGTGGGGCTCTGACCCCACAGCAGTGTCTAGGGGTGAATGTGTATAGCTGAAGCCCTGTGGGCGTGTGTTACAAGGTGCTCTTTTAGCTTAGCCATCCATAGGCGGCTTGTGTTAGTCAGCTCCATTAGACCCCTGCCTTATTGCAAGGACAGAAGGATTTCTGTAACCCGAGGTTCTTGCCTTGGTGTACCAGAAGAATCGGATCGCATGTGGGCTTGGAGAATGAGTGCAAGGTTTTATTGAGTGGAAGTAGCTCTCAGCAGATTGGAGAGGAAGAAGGGAGATGGTTTTCCCTTGGAGTCAGGCTGCTCGGCGGCCCGGGCTCTCCTCTGACTGCCCCGGACAAACTCTGCGTTGTTCTGCCGGTAGGTGGCCTGCTGGCTTGCTGGTGCCTGCTGGTACGCTCCTCTCGACGTCCAGCTGCCTGTGTATCTGCCTGCTAGGGTCTGGGTGTTTCTATAGGCACAGGATGGGGGCATGGCAGGCCAGGGGAGGTCTTGGGAAATGCAACATTTGGGCAGCAAAACAAAAACTCCTGTCCTTGCATAGGTCAGAGGGCACAGGCCAAGGAGTGGAGCCCTAGCCAGGGATCCCCGTCCTCCTCTACTCATCACTTCCCTTCCCCCTTCCGTATCATTTAAAGGTACCACTCTCTTCCCTTCCCAGCACTTCCCTTCCCCGCTTCCATATCACTATGAATTGTTTTCTTTACCACGGTCAAGGAATGCATACATATTTTTTAACCAGTAATGTGATTTACTTGAGAACCCCATTTCCAATAGTGATAAAGGGGACACAATGAGCTTAATTTGCAATAAGGGGGGTTTTCCTTTCGCTTCTAGGACAAAAGCCTCTGTCTGAACCAGATGAGGTAGATCGCACTCAAGTGTGGAAACACATTGCAGAATATGCTGGCTTCATTTCTCACCGCATAACACCTGGTAGGGTCCGGAGAACAATTTGTTCTCCAGCTTATTACTGTAGAAGCTAAACATTCCCATTTTGTTCTCACTGAATCCAGGATGTATGGAAACTTAGGTTTGTAGCTAACGTAAGGTCTTTAGACATCGTTCTATTCACTAGGCAACGGACACACCTTCCAAGGTCTCTATGGAGCTGACTTTCCTAACTTACGTAGGACTTGCTGTTCTCTCTTATCTACTTTGGCATGCACTACAAAATGCTTTCATCGTTACTCTTTCATGAGTAATGCCTTCATTTGCTAGAAAGCTCACTGGGGGTAAAGAGTGTGGATTCTGTATGTTTCAAAACAGACTTCGGGTTTACGCTTTCAGTCATAATTTGGTCCCAGCAGTATTGCTTACTGGTTCTGTGTACTTGATCAAAGAGCCAGTGCTCTATTCAAGTTCACCAAATATCAAGCAATAGATGAGTTTCCATGCTACCTTTAGATACCAATGCTGCCATTAGCACCTAAAAGTAGCATGGAAACTCATGGATGTTCCCATTACATATGTGAAATTATCCACCTTCATTTTTTAGATGCTATGCTAAATGCTTTACATATGTCAATCCATCTATTTTTTTTTCTTTTTTCTTTTTTCTTTTTGAGACGGAGTCTCGCTCTGTCACCAGGCTGGAGTGCAGTGGTGTGATCTCGGGTCACTGCAACCTCCACCTCCCGGGTGCAAGTGATTCCCCTGCTTCAGCCTCCCGAGTAGCTGGGACTACAGGCATGCACCACCACACCTGGCTAATTTTATTTTTTTCCTTTTTTTTAGTAGAGATGGGGTTTCACCATGTTGGTCAGGATGGTCTCAATCTCCTGACCTCATGATCCACCTGCTTCAGCCTCCCAAAGTGTTGGGATTACAGGCGTGAGCCACCACGCCTGGCCCTGCCAACCCATCTTATCATCACAATTACTTTATGATGAAGCTACTATTATTATCTTCCTTTCAGTGATGACACAGTGGCAACAAAGAGACTAAAGTGAGCTGGCATTGAACCCGGAGAGTCTACCCTTTTTGCTCTTGGCCACTATGCTAAACCACTGTGGGAAAGCACCATGCAGAGTGACTGGCACACAGAAAGTCTCCAACAAGCCTCTGTGTATCTCTCACAATAATAGTTTACAAGGTATGACTGAATTGATAGACAAAAAACCTGCAGGCTGAAGCATGGTATTTTTTAAAGTGTTGTCTGTGGGCTACACACATCAGAATCTTGGATTTGACTTCAAACCTACTGAATCAAAAACTGCGGGGACTGAGGCACGGGAAGGCTCATGTTTTGACTATCTCTTCTGGCCAATGTTTTAAACACTAAAGCTTAAAGCCTTTCGATGTGGTTAAAAAATTATGAGCTGGACATCAAAACATCTAGGACATGAATAGCTCTGTACAATTTGCAATTTGCTTTTGCGTGTGTATGCAAAATAATGTCAAAAATATGTGCATATTTTAAAAGTCATTTTAACATCTTAGAGTCAACTTCTAAGTATAGATTGCAATTAGTAAAATGGTTTGTGGTGGGAAAGAGGAAGTAAGCAATACTTTATCAATAACCTTTTTTTTTTCTGCTGGATATAAGCTTTATGGAGTCAGTAACCAGTCTCTCTTACTCCCTGTGTCTTCTAGCCCACATATAACTGACATTTAATGATAACTGTATAATTGAGGAAAAGGATTCCCTACAATGGGAAAGAGTTTTCCAAGCAATATCCAACCTAGCCATTGTACTTTTCCTGCCTAAAGTCAGATAAGTCTATAAAATGCTTCTTATCAGGGCCAAACATTTTTATAATGGCTTCCACAGGCAGAAGGAATTTATCAGAGCAAGTTTACACTAAAAGACCTTTCAGAATGTCTGAATTCATCCAGACTTTTATAGTGCCAAATAATACAAATTAAAGGTAAATATGCACACTTACATGAAGAAATTCCACAAACTTCTGGTAATTAGCTTATTAGCTCTGAGATAGAAAAGTGGCAGATCAGGTGTAAACCTGAAATGTGATGGTGCTGAATTAGGCAGAGAAAGAGAAAGAGGAGGGACCATTCAGTCAAAAGGAAGAAGGTAGTGTCCTAGTAAATTTGTAAGAAGGGTTGGTAATTAACACCATGATATGGTTTGGCTGTGTCCCCACCCAAATCTCCTCTTGAATTGTAGCTCCCATAATTCTTACAATGTTGTGGGAGGGACCCGGTGGGAGACAATTGAATCACGGGGGCAGTTTTCCCCATGCTGTTCTCGTGGTAGTGAATAAGTCTCACGAGATCTGATATTTTGTAAGGGGAAACCCTTTTCACGTGGTTTTCATTCTCGCCTGCTGCCGCCATGATTGTGAGGCTTCCCCACCCACGTGGAAATGTGAGTCCATTAAACATCTTTTTTGTTATAAATTACCCCAGTCTTGGATATATCTTTATCAGCAGCGTGAAAGTGGACTAATACACACCACATCTATATTATAGTTAGTCCTAAAGTTATATGGATTATAATTTGCTGTAAATATGAGCTTAGACCGGATGTATGCAGGAGCAGCTATTTATGTAACTTTAACCAACAAACTGCCATCTGCAACTCATCTTCTCATTAACCAAACCCATGGAACAGTGGAAAAGAAGGGGAGCTCACCAGCCTAGATAACTCGATTATCCAAGCAACCCTGGTGATCCACAGGATGATGATAATACCCAAGATAGATGTGTCAAGTAAATATCTTTTGAAGAAGGGTACTTTTTTTGAAGAAAGGTCGATAACTTGTTCAAGAACACAGCTAGTAAGGAAACAATATTTAAAAGAGGGAGTTCCTCACATGGGAGGGTGTCCTTTGGATCACAGTACAGTTTCTATTAACAAGCAGCATGTTGTTACTGAGTGAGGCTCTCTCAATCTCAGCGTCCTGGTCTTTAAAGTGAGTGAAGTGGAATGGGTCAACTTTAACGTTCAGTGAGGACGAATTCTATCCTATAGGGCTGGTCTCAGCACCCATTACCAGCAGAGGGCGCCAGAGCCCTTTGAAAGTGGTTTTTTTGTTTTTGTTTTTTTTTTTTTTTTTTGCCAGTCAGTCTTGGCATCAAATTTCTCAGCCTGCATGAATCAAATTATTGCTTGGGGGTGGGTGGAGGGAAGTGTCACGGAGTTATCTGACTCCCTCTTTCACTTTCTTAAGGAGGGAGAAAAACCTCTTTTCATTAAATTGTAAGAGATATGCCGTCACAGCGTTACTTGTTAATCAAAACAGGTTTCCCAAATCCAAATGCAATTAAAGCCGAGTTTTTAGACCGTTATCTCCTTCCTCCTGGGTGTGTATCCCCCTGTGGGAACTCCTGCTGGGAACACTGCTTTGGAAACACTAATATGTGTTGCAGGCCCGTGAATATGGCACCAGAGAAGACGGAGGAGGGAAGCTGGCCTGTCAATTAAGCGAAAGGAATCTGAAACAGGAGAACAGACACAGTGGCGTTCTGCTGCAGGGACAGAAACCTCTGCCAGGGAGACTCGCCCCACACGCTAATAGCAGATTCAGTCTCTCCTGTGGTCTCGGTCGAAAGAATCGCTAATCAAGAGCCACCAGCCAAATTCATGGAGAGAGTTTTTTTTTTTTTTTTTTTTGGAGGGAGCTATTACAAAGCAGTGCTGACATAGTGTGAAGTGCATGTCATAGGGTCTTAGAAAACATCACCAGCTGCATTCATTAATACTTAGGCCTAACTGGGACATTCCAGAGAGGTAAATTACTCCTTTGCAATTATTCTTGTAGTATTTTTCACCATGATGTTAGATATTTCTGACTCAAATGAGTATTTCTGGGAAGAATTGTTGTTTGCGGAAATAAAAATGTCAGCCTCTTCAATCTTTGCTCATTTGAAAACCTTTCTTATATGAAACTGAATTGAGAGAGGAAGACAGCAAAATTAAGGCATTTGCTCTGCTCAGGACCAACGTAGAGATAAGTTGCCCTTCGCATTACTATCACTTCTCTTCCAAAGGTTGGTTTTCAAGGGTAGTATGGGAGCAGGAAAAAAAAAAGTCATCTGCCCCAGTTTCGGGAACACGTAGGGGGCCCAGGGCAGTGGGATCTAATGTGAGACATGAAGGATGAGGCTGACTTAGCCAGGCATAGAGGGGTTTGGGACACATGTTCTGGACTAGAGGAAGCAACACCAGCAGGGCTTACAAGGGAGATTGTGCTCTCAGTATTTGGCCCACTTTTCTGGGAAGGTGATGCCACGGAGAATGAGCACTTGGCTATGAATTAAATCAATTTAGTAACGTTTCCAATGTGAGGTATGAAAGAATTTGGTCAGGTAGAAATAGTGTATTCCAAATGAAGAACTGGACGTTGGATCAGGTCTAAAAAGAATTTTCTGCTGAGGTGAAATCTAGTGGGGGACAGGAGACTCAGAACTATTTCAAAACCCAAAGGACAATAAATATTCAACCCACATTTCTGTGCAATCTGATATAGAGAGTAGGAAGGAGAGAAAAGGAAGAACACGATCCTCAATTCAGTAGGTTTAACGGGGGCAATTTTCCCGCTTACCCGTAATGGCAGCCTATTTTCTACTTAACGTGTTTAACTTGAGATCTCTTGTTTTAGGTGTGAATGACAGTAGGATGCCCTTTGCCAAGCCTGGGGACTTAGGCCATGTTTTCTTGTAGCCTTAAACACTTGAACAGCTCACTAGAAAAGAAAAAGTCCAAATTTGAAATTCTTCCATTTCTTTCTATCTAAATTACCTGACTCCAGGGCATTGTGAATGCAGATGAAAGGGCACCATCACTAAAGGGATGTGATATAAGAAAGATCCAAAGAAAAGTCCCAGGAAATGGAGGCATGTGCATCTCTGTGGTTGCTACTTTTGTGTTTGGAGTCTGAGGAACTGGCGTGGGATGGAGGTAGGGAGGGTAAGGGCCATCTTCTAGGGGTTTCTGGAGGGAAGGGGTTCTGGTAATGTAAATTCCCTGGCTGTAGAGTTGAGTATTTGAGCTTTCATGGAATTATGGGTGTCCACAACTCAAATCCTACCTGTGGTAAAAGAACAAATGAAAGCCCAGAGAGACTGAGAGGACAAAAGATTTTCCAGAACCTCTTTTTATGTCTCAACCATCGTTGTCACAATGAATCCCAAATGTATCATTCCTTGAGTTCTCCCTACACTCACAGCATGAAGGTCTTGTAGACACAAAGCTGTTTAATACACAGTCTCTTTAAGGGGGCACAGCACAGAACATTCATGAGAAAAGTATTCATGAGAGAAATAGGCTAGACACCATTCGATAGAAGGGATTTCGTCTTATTCATCCCAAATTCGAAGTTGCCACAGTAATGAACTAGGTACTGTGGAAGGACACAAGGAGGCGATATTTGTGTTGGAGACTTAGAGATGGCAACAGAAATGGCTTCACAGAGGCTGTTCTAGCAGAGCTGCAATGAGATGTGAAAGATGTGTAAGAACATGAGAGAAGGAATGTAGGGAAGGACATTCCGGGAAGAATTCATATGTACATATTGTTTGGAGGACTGGCAAGCAGCTTCACAGATGGGGGAAAGCATAGGAGGAGTTTCAGGAGATACTGGAAGAACCACGAACACAGACTGGGTCAGGAAGGAATTGGAGGGAAGTCTTTGGATGTATCCTGTAGAGCTGTGCTTCTCACACTGTCTGTGGTACAGGACCAGTTGTGGTGGTTGTTCTTACCCCAACCGTGCACCGATTAAGCGTATGGAGTTGGCCCCACAGGTGACTTACCGTGTGAGTTCCACAACACCCTGGGTAGACTCTGTTTAATGACACCAGTCTACTTACCACACATGTGGATAACATGGCGATGTCAAATGTCCATAGATACTTCCAAATGCTCTCTCTGCTTTCGTACTTATCTTTCAGGGACAGGGACAAAGTTCACAGGCTGGTGCCCATCCGCAGACCATGCTTGGAGCAGCATGACTGAGGATAAGGAACCACTAGGAATATCTAAGCAGGGAAATAACTTCATCAAATTTTGCCCTAGGAAGGTTACACTGGCAGCAAGATGGAGAAAGGTTTTTGGGCAGAGACTGAGTCAAGGAGACAATTCAAGACACCAGAAGCATCAATGCAGACAAGAGATGCGAGGATCTGACCCGGGGCCCTGAATATCCTTAGGGGGAGCAGATTATGCATCTAAGAACCATTTCAGAGACAATGCTGCGCTTGTTGAGTGTTGAGTATATGAGACGCGGGAAAGGGAAGATTCAAGATTTCTGGAAAACTGTGGGCGTTAAGATCCCATTAACTGAGGTTTGAGCTTGGGGCCTTAAAAGAGGATCCTGAAGGCCAACCTAGGGTAGGGGAAAGCCCATATGGCTAAAGGAGCTTTTCTCAGGAAAGAACAAAGATAACACAAACTTTGAGTCAGAAGCAGCTCCAAACAGCCAAATTGGTGCATGTGTGTGTATATATATCTGTATGTGTTTTCAACTTGGTTGTAGCAATGCAGTTTTGCCGCAGAACATTCCTCTGTCCTAAAGTCATGGGCAGAATCACAGATCTGTCAGTGTAACCTTATCCCAGCTTCCTGTTTGAGCACTTCCTATCTTTTCACAGACTCAAAAACAAGCCCCAGCTGGTCTGATAAAATGGAAATTACTCGTAAGTGCAAAGTGACACTGGACCCGCTCTGCCACACAGAATGCAGTTCTGCTGTTGGGACTGGAGGGAGAATTTGGAAGGGAGGATTTTGGGGTGTAGGGGAGCTTGTAGCCTGGAAGAAATGGTTTGTGTCTCCCATTTACTTACCCAGTAGAAGGAGAAATGATTCCAAGGGTCTTCTTGAGTCGGCTGACACGTGCCCACTCCCCTGCCACCCCCCCAACACACACAGACACCTCTGCACATCACACAGCGCAGGTGTTCCAACCACCTGTCATTTTCCAAACGTGTCTCTTTCCTGTAATGATCGCTGGGCCCCCAGCCTCATGGAGACAAACTTCCCCAACTCCCACCACACCCATAGACAAGGCCTGTTTTAGACTGTCAGACTGAATATGGACTCCAAAGTGGACACTGAGCTAGGGGACTGCATCTGGAATCCTTGTAACCAGGATAGTGCTTGGCACACGGCAGAAGCTAAATGAATGGCTGAGGAGCAAATGAATGGGGCTTGAATCTGGAAACTGCCCCCAATCAGGGATTCCTCCCTTCTCCTTCCTTCCCATCTTTCCTACTTCTCTCTCCCTCTTCCTTCCTTTATTCTTTCATTTTCATTTAATATATGTTTACTGAGCACCTACCATGTGCTAGAATCTGTTCTAGATTCCAAATAATCCTTGATAAATAAACCAGACAGGATTCTGCTTTCTCCCTGGATCATATAATTTCTGTAGTTTCAAAGTTGGAAGGATTCTTAAATGTCCTTCAGTCCAGACCCACTTTCTGCCCACGTTATGGTTGCATCCATCTATACCAGCCCCTATCCACTAGCCACCTGGTCTTTGCTTACATACCTGTAGTGACGGAGAACTCACTACCTTTGAAAGCAATTACCCTTCACTGGACCATTTTGACAGTGAGAATGTTCCTCTTTCTGAAAAACCTAAATGCTAACAGTTGTTGCCTTTGTGTGGTGGAGTGATGAAAGATTTGGGTTCCATCTTTTCTGCATTTTGGTGTTTCCTAATTTTTCTCCAAAAGAATGTTTTGTTTTATTAGAGAAATTGTAATTTTGTTAGATAATTATTGAAAAGCATTTTGTAAGAAATAATTTTGTAAATTCTTCCTTGGGAATTTCTCAGACCGTGAGCTGAGAACTCTCTCCATGTAGCTTCTACAGATTGACCCCAGTTTTGTCCAGAGGAAGCAAGAATAAGCTTATACTTTTTTTTTCCTCTTTTAGCATTTAATGACCTCTGTCCTTTTAGGATGTAGTTGCTTATTTTGCTGCCAGTACTTCCAAAGTGTTTGGCTTACTCAGCATTACTCAAAGTTTATTCTAGCAAATGAGGCTTGCATGTATTTCCATATTTTTAAGATGTGGATCATTCAGTCTCTCCTTCACTGAAGATATTTGATTTATATTTGTTGACTTTACATGCTATTTTCTGCTTTGGCAGTCATGACTATACTAGAATAGGATGTTCTGAGAATTTTGGGAGGCAGGGTACCATATTGCTTAAGAGTATACATTTTGGAGTCAGGGATATGGGTGCAAATCCAGGCTCTATTAGCTTTGTTGTTTTCAAACAGTTATTTAATATCTCTGGGTTTTGGCTCCCTCATGTATATTATGAGGATAATGATGTTCGACTGACATAATTGGTGTGAGGATTCAACTTGCTAAGATACAAAAGTGCTTAAAATAAAACAGATAAGAAGGGAACAGTAGACATCAGGGCCTACTTGAGGATGGAGGATCAGAGGAGGGTGAGGATCCAAAACCCACCTATCAGGTACTATGCTTATTACCTGAGTGACAACATAATATGTACACCAAACTCCTGTAACACACAGTTTATCTATAGAACCAGCCTGCATATGTACAACCAAAACTAAAATAAAAACTAAAGGGAAAATAGAACATGTGCCACAATTGGGTTTTACTTATTCGACAGAATTCCATTTATTTACATATTTATTTCTAATTAAGTGAATAAACATTGATTTCACAAATAGATTTTTGAACGCTTTTATTAACCAAGATCTCTGCTTGCTCCCGTCCTCCCAGGCATTAAAGACTATGCTCTTGGTATCTCCTAACTGGTTGGTTAGGTTCTACCTGAGAGCAGACATCCCACTAAGTGTGAGTTTCTTGGTGTAGACATCAGAAAACTTACAACTGGCTTTATCATGGTCCTCATCTGACATCTCTTGATTTTGACAGGAAGACAAGAATCATCCGAGAATCCAGGAATTCAGGCAGGAAATGGGAAAAATTCCAGATGGACATGAGAACAGCCCAAAGGAACTTTCACTAGTTAAGAAAAGGCCCCTGTAATTTTCAGAAGGGAGATCCTTTACATCTTCTGTCAGATTTGCACCATAGTATTTCA
The DNA here is from genome assembly GCF_000001405.40 of Homo sapiens. Taxonomy (NCBI): domain Eukaryota; kingdom Metazoa; phylum Chordata; class Mammalia; order Primates; family Hominidae; genus Homo; species Homo sapiens. Next base: position 126,830,614 of record NC_000008.11, read on the forward strand.
CTTTCTTTGGTGTAATTGCCAATGGTATTGTGCTTTTAACTTGTTTCCAAATGTTTGCTGTCAGTATAAAGAAATGCAAATGATTTTCTATCTTGATCTTGTGCTCTGTGTGGTTCTAGGATAATTTTTATTTTTGGTAGATTCCTTGGAATATTTTATTTCTTCCTTTCCAATCTGTATGCCTTTTATTTATTTATGTTTCTTTCTTTATTGTGCTTGCTTGAACTTTCATCACTGTGTTGAATAAGAACAGAGAGGGTGGATGTCTTGGCCTTGTTCTTGATATTAGGGGGAAAGCGTTGAGTCTTTTCACCTTTAAGCATGAGGTTGCGTAGGCGTGTTGCAGATGTTCTTTCTCAAGGTGAGGTCATTTTCCTGTATGTCCTTGCTGCTTTTCTATCCAGTCATTCTGTCATTTGCCATGAGTTGGATGTCAGAGTCCCTAAGTATCATTTTGGAATTGTTTGTTTCTCCTTTCAACTCTATCAGTTTTTGCTTCATTTATTTTGAAGCTCTGTCGTTTGGCGCATATGTGTATGTATGTATACATATATATATTTTATATTTAGGATTGCTACTTTTTCCCTGGCAAATTGAGCCTTTTTTCATCATGTATTGTCTCAGTTGTATCTTTCTTCATTTTCTTTTTTTACTATATAACCCATTTTTTTTCCACTTTACTCTGATAAACCTGTTTTCATTTAAGATGTTATTAACATCAGTGTGATATATGTCTATTCAATTTGATTTGAAAAAATGCTTTGGCTTACAAGAGCCACAAACTTAATGGAAATCAACTTAACAAAAGGCAGAGTTAAAAGATTTACATATCTGGGAAGTTTAAGAAGGTAGCTCTAGTTTTGAACATAGCTGGATTCAAAGACAAAAAATTCATTTAGTCTCTTTCTTTCTCTCTCCCTCTTTCCTCCTGCTTTTCTGTGTTAGCTTATTCTCACTTAAATCTTCTCCATACACTGTCCAAGATTATAACACATGCTGTTAGCAGTTTCAGATAAACCAGATGGTTGTTTTTGTCAATGGCTTCAGGATTTTTCTGGCCTGTGTCATGTCCTCATGTCTAAACCAATCCCTATGGCCAGGGAAATGGGACACTGTGACCAGTTTGAGTCATGGTCCCAACCCTGTGTCATCACAGGCTGGACCATATAAGTGACCAACTCAAAAAGAACATGGTGGTGGTTGGTGGGGTGGGGATGAATTTCTAAAAGGGAAATATTATGAGAGATAGAAGTACCCCAAATCTTCTAAAACATCCTGAAGTCAAAAATTATACCACCCAATATGCAGCTCTTTATTGTATGCCTCAAGTAAAAATGATTTGAGTATTCAATGAGGCAATAGTAATGAAAAGCCAGTTTGTTTCAAAGCCCTGGTTATGTCACTTTCCTGGAAATATTTGCAAAGAAATAGGAACCGTCTTCTATATTAACTTCCTCAGCTACCTATTATTTTCTCTTGTTCATTGTCAAGCAAAAATAAATAAAAGCAAAAACCTTTGCCACATGAGTTCAGGAGGGAGGTAGGATAGGAATTTGTATTAGTCCATTCTCATATTGCTATGAATAAATACCCAAGACTGGGTAATTTGAAAGGAAAGAGGTTTAATGGGCTCACCGTTCCTCATGGCTGGGGAGGCCTCACAATCATGGCGGAAAGTGAAGAGCAAGCAAAGGCACATCTTACATGGTGGCAGCCAAGAAGAGTGTGTGTAGGGGAACTCCCCTTTATAAAAACCATCAGATCTCATGAGACTTATTCACTATCATGAGAACAGCACAGGAATATCTTGCTCCCATGATTCAGTTACCTCCTACCGGGTCCCTTCCACGACACGTGGGGATTACAGGAGCTGCAATTCAAGATGAGATTTCAGTGGGGACACAGCCAAACCATATCAAGAGGCAAAGGAAAAGACTGGAATGATTGGTTGTCTGAGACACTTAAAATCCTGGGAGGTTGTTCCACACATCAGGAGTAACACAGACACTGACATTCACAGGCAGGAAGCATATGGCAAGAATGAGTAAAATCGGAATGGAAGGTTGTTGAGAGGAAAAATGAAAGAAGGTTGAAGAAATTTCAGGAAAGGAGAAAAGTACCAATTAGCCTATGTTTAAGGAGCCGTGAAGGACCGCACAAGTTTATATGCAAAAACACAGTAAGGAGACCGCTCTGCACCTCATTATCTTTACCCTCCCTTTTCTTACTGCTGCTCTCTGGCCTCCAGTTCTCAGCCTCCCAGTCCCAGCACAGCCTGATCCGTCCCATCTTCAGTGGGCACCCACCTCCATTGCAGCACATGCTCTGTTGTACTGTAATTACCTGTTTGTGCGGCTTTCTCTACCATATTACAGGTGCATTTTTCAAGGTCAGTAACTAGACATTATTTATCTTTGTGACCGCGATATAATAAAGCTTTTTGGACTAATGAGTAAATTATGATAGGAAATTTTCAATCCCATTACTTGTAATAGCAGAGGTGGTCATTTCCCCTGGTGCACTGTTCCTTTTGATTAAGCAAATGCTCCAGTTTCAGGGAAAACTAAACTTTCCTTTTGAAGAATGGTTTCTTTTAATAACCGATGTACAAAACTCTGATCATGAAATCTTGGCTAAACATGTAGCTCTTTAAGTGCAGCAGGAAATTCATATCTGGGACCTCTCGATCCTCTTCTCTCTTTTGCTTTTTTTTGGTGGGGGCGGGGGGAAGAGGCCCTGTTGTATGATACAGTAGCTTGCCGTGCCACCAGTCAGGGTGAGAACTGCTGGCTTCCTTGGAACGGCATTCTCTCCCCCACCCTACCTCTGAATCCCTAATTGACATGCTCAACAGCTGTACCACACTGCTGCCCAGATCCTTCAAGACTTTAATGACTGTTTGCAGGACTCTCTGGCCTGCTAATTGTGCCTCTCCTGTTACTCATCTCTCACGAGTGATACTGACATTGTTTATGAGTCCAGGCATTACAGATCAGAAAGATCCTCAATCCCAGACCGCCCTAGGCTGATTTGCTGGGAGTTGGAAACCTTCTGGTATCTCATTCCACAAAGGAAATGATATTCTCCCAGGAGCACTAGTCCCGGCCACCCTGCTGTTGATAACAACCCTCACTTTCATCCACGGGCTTCAGGCCCCTCCTGCGTCCTTTCCTAGCTTTTAGTAACAGCAGCAGCTGCCTAAAGCCGTACAATTTCTCCGTGTTGTTCTTGTCCTCTTCCTATCTGCAGTTTTGTTGTTGTTTTAAAGGAGCCTACCTTCCTTAAACTGCTTTCCCAATGTGAGGCCAAAAGATTAAATCGCCTCCGGGTAATTCGGACACACCAGCTGTTACTGCTGGCTTCCCATGATCGTCAGTGACTTCATTGAAAACGTATGTGTGATCTTTCAACATATGCACAAGTGGAGGGGAAGAAAAAAGCTTGCTCCTGGAAAAAAGTTCCCTGATGTGTCACTAGGTGCATACACATGATGAAACAGGATCTCAGGACAGTCATTGCAAATGACTCCCTGGCCCCTCTGCTTCCTTTCCCCTGATTTTAGAGCCAAATTCCAAAGCTTTGCCACACAGAGAGTAGAGTATTTGGGCTGTGCAAACATAGAGCTCTGGAGGAAGCAGGAAGCGTGAGCAAGGCTGGGCCACCCACTCAAGGCCCGTGTCGCTGTTTTTATCAGTGCAATTGCTGCATTTCTAGTAACTTCATTTCTCAGAGCAGTCTCAGCACTGTTCATGCATACTTTCAGCAAATAGACACTGGGAGATGCCCTGCAGATGGAGTGGCTTCTTTCAGGGGGCTTCCAGTCTAGTGCGGGAATGAGGATTTGCAAAGGTAAATAGAGCTGTGAAATGCAAAAGTGTTGCTGTTATGGGGAATAAAACAGAATGACTTATCTAGTTTGGAGTGAAAAAGAGCCAGAAACACCTCTTTGAAGAGCAGCTGATTCTAAAGTTATATTTGGTGCATTAAACATTTTTAAGCTTTTACAAAACCAGTTCCGGGCCGGGTACGGTGGCTCACACCTGTAATCCCAACACTTTGGTTGGCCAAGGCGGGTGGATCACTTGAGGTTGCGAGTTCGAGACCAGCCTGACCAACATGGAGAAACCCCATCTCTACTAAAAATACAAAATTAGCCGGGCGTGGTGGCGCATGCCTGTAATCCCAGCTACTCGGGAAGCTGAGACAGGAGAATCGCTTGAACCCAGGAGGCAGAGATCGTGGTGAGCCAAGATCACGCCATTGCACTCCAGCCTGGGCAACAAGAGTGAAACTCCATCTCAAACAAAACAAAACAAAACAAAACAAACAAAAACAAAAACAAACAGTTCTCATGCTATGTGTTGCAAATACAAACATAGAGAAGACATGGCATCTGCCTCCTCAGCCACTCCGTGGTAAAGAGAAATGGAACTGTTCAGTAAAAATAGATTGTTGTCAATCCTGTGATAGAGATAAACCAGGGGCACACATAAGAAAGACAGTTAATATAATCTTGAGAGATCCGAGCAGTTTGAAGGAAGTACTCCCATAGCTCTCAGTCTTGAAGGATGGGCAATACAATAGTAATAGCACCTGACAGGTATCGAGGCCCCGCGTGTGTCAGGCAGTGTTTTACTTGCTTTCCATGCACTGTCTTGTTTAACCATGGCCACCCCTCTAGATAGAGTTAGTACTGGTTGACTATCCCACATTCCAAAATCTGAACTCCAAAATGCTCTAAAATGATCCTGGATGAAGAAATCATTTGACCGTAATCTCTCCAACTAGCATTATTGGGTTAATTGGCCAACATTCCTTTCAAAGGAATAAATTAGTTACTTTCTTGATGGTCACTTTTATATGTGCAAATGACCTCTGCCCTAGAAAGAGAGGGATGGTTAGAACACTGGCCAGAGGATGAAGAAAGTTCAGGTCCCATCACTTATTAACTGTTTGACCACATGTATGTAACTTAATCTCACCAATTTTTCATTCCTGCCCCTGTAACTGAGGATAGTACTATCTACTGCCTATATTACCCAAGATTATACCTGTGACCCTGCTTTGCAAACAGCTAATTGAAAACTGCAGTACACATGAAAAGGTGATTATCTAAAAATGCTCAGTATTGCAACTTCAAGAAAAAATATCTTCCAGAGTTGAAAAGCAGAAGTGTTAAGGATTGGGTGGAAATTTTGCTTGGAGGTATCAATTTCTAATAGGGTCAGGTCTGGGAAAGAGTAAACCCATAAGTCTTTTCTTCTGGCTTCATAAGCCTGATCAACTTGTCCTTATGAAACTTTTAAGATTCTTGTAAGCTGATTTTTCAGTATTTTTTTCTTTCTGCTCTTCACCTAGTTAAGCCCCATTCAGTCTTCATATTTCAGTTGAAATATGCATTCCTGCATGCATTCCTTTATGATTCCCTCCTCCCACAACCAAGTAATGCCCCGCTAACCCATGGTCTCATAACATACAGACTTCTTTTTTACACAAATCTTTTTATAATCATTTAGCAATTTTTTATATTATTATACTTTAAGTTCAAGGATACATGTGCAGAACGTGCAGGTTTGTTACATGGGTATACATGTGCCATGGTGGTTTGTTGCACCCATCAACACATCATCTACATTAGGTATTTCTTCTAATGCTATCCCTCCCTAGCCCCACACTCCCTGACGGGCCCCAGTGTGTGATGTTCCCCGCCCTGTGTCGAAGTGTTCTCATTGTTCAAGTCCCACCTATGAGTGAGAACATGCGGTGTTTGGTTTTCTGATCCTGTGTCAGTTTGCTGAGAATGATGATTTCCAGCTTCATCCATGTGCCTGCAAAGGACATGAACTCATCCTTTTTTATGGCTGCATAGTATTCCATTGTGTATATGCATCACATTTTCTTTATCCCGTCTATCATTGATGGGCATTTGGGTTGGTTCCAAGTCTTTGCAATTGTAAATAGTGCTGCAAGAAACATGCGTGTGCATGTGTCTTTATAGTAGAATGATTTATAATCCTTTGGGTATATACCCAGCAATGGGATTGCTGGGTCAAATGGTATTTCTGGTTCTAGATCCTTGAAGAATCACCACACTGTCTTCCACAATAGTTGAACTAATTTATACTCCCACCAATAGTGTAAAAGCATTCCTATTTCTTCACATCCTCTCTAGCATCTGTTGTTTCCTGACTTTTTGATGATTGCCATTTTAACTGGTATGAAATGGTATTTCATTGCGGTTTTGATTTGCATTTCTCTAATGACCAGTGATGATGAGCTTTTTTTCATATGTTTGTTGGCCACATAAATGTCTTCTTTTGAGATGTGTCTGTTCATATCCTTCGTCCACTTTTTGATGGGGTTGTTTGTTTTTTTCTTGTAAATTTGTTCAAGTTCTTTGTAGATTCTGGATATTAGCCCTTTGTCAGATGGATAGATTGCAAAAATTTTCTCCCATTTTGTAGGTTACATGTTCACTCTGATGATAATTTCTTTTGCTGTGCAGAAGCTCTTTAGTTTAATTAGATCCCATTTGTCAACTTGGGCTTTTGTTGCCATTGCATTTAGCAATATTTTTAATGCCTTTCCTCTTAACTAGATAGTATTCTTCACAGGGGCAGGAGCGGTATCTGTTTAGTTCGCCTCCACATTTCTAGTACCTATTGCAGTACCTGAGATGAGTTAGGTGCACAACAAATATTTGTTGACTTAATTTAACACTAGACTATTTTTTTTTCCTAATCCTTAACCTTGATATGATCTTTCATACAGTAGCTCGTGCTATATTCTTCTAAGAATTATTAAGGATGGTAACTTTGGAGAGGAAGTCCTAATTTAATGCCTGCATTCTACTGAATGGAAAACTGAATCATAAGAAAGGAAATGATTTGTTGAATATGAACAAGCTAAATAGTGCTAAAAGCTCAGAACTCAGTTTGCTGCCTCCTAGCTCAGTGTTCATTTTGTTGGAGCATGTTGTGTGAATGGCATTTCCAGAGTTTCTGAGTGTTACTCTATAAGTCAGGGTTAGCTTCAACTATATGCCAGGCAAAATCCCAAAATACAGTTTAGTTTAAGATGGAGGTTTACTCCTCTCTTAGGTAAGGTCGGAAGGCGTTGTATTCAGGACCAAAGTCTTCCTAGCTTTTACTCTTTCACGCGTGGCTTCCATTCCCAAGTTTATCTTATTAACTAGGCTGGCACTTCCAGCCAGCAACCAAGGAGAAAGGGGAAGGCAAGAACAGCTCCCTCCCATTAAGAACATTCCAGGAAGCCACCATCAGCACGTTGCTCACACCCCACTGGGCAGAATGTGTCATGTGGCCATGTCTAGTTTCAACAGAGGTGGGAAAATGTTCATGTTTATTTTAGGCAGACATGTGCCCAACTGAGAAAATAGACTTCTGTTACTGAGGATGTTCTTTTTTTTTTTTTTTTTTTTTTTTTTGAGATGGAGTCTTGCTCTGTCACCCAGGCTGGAGTGCAGTGGCATGATCTCGGTTCACTGCAACATCCACTTCTTGGGTTCAAGTGATTCTCCTGCCTCAGCCTTCCAAGTAGCGGGGATTATAGGTGGCGCCCACCGCACACAGCTAATTTTTGTGTTTTTAGTAGAGATGGGGTTTTGTCATATTGGCCACGCTGGTCACCAACTCCAGACCTCAAGTAATCTGCCTGCCTCGGCCTCCCAGAGTGCTGGGATTACAGGCGTGAGCCACCATGCCCAGCTGGAAGTTCTTCTTTTTAATCTCTGAGTAGGATTTGCCAGGGCTGTAATAAGAGTAAAAAAAAAAAAAAAAAAAAAAAAAAAAGAAAAGAAAATCGAAATACTTGGAAGTACTCCCATGACATGACAAAAATTTCACATATTTTCTTCCCATGACATTTCAACATGTGTTTTCTCAGGAGAGATATGTGAATCCGTGAATTTTGCCTCTGGATTGACTCCCTTGTGGATTGGGTAAGTGTGAAACTGAAAATTCACAGCACTGGTCTCATAAAATATTTTAGTTTTCTCCATTTATACATTAACTCACTAATTCATCCATTCCTTGACTGAACATGTATTGAGGGTCTGCTAGGTGCCAGGCGCGCATTCAGTTTCTAAGTGTTAAAGCTGGATGAGCACATCTTGACTCTTCCACTCTGCAGGCACCATGCTGTAACCAGGTGCTGACTGAGCTGTGCAGCAACCATTTGAAATGTTCTATCATCTCAGCAATCTTAAACTTTAAAAGCTAAGTCTGGATTTCCTAAGAGAGGATTACATTGTTTTTTTAAGATGCTGCCCCTATAAAATGCTATCTTGCTTCCTTAGGGTGGGCCATATTGCAGGGCAAAGGACTTTTCAGTTATGTGTGCTTAACCTGGGATCTGGCACAAACAGGCTCACATGCAAAACTACTATGTTGTTCTATTTCTTTGAGCACGTGCCAGGCACTTTGGTTTATGGAATCACATTGAATTTCTCAATTGCTCTTTGAATAATCACGGTTCCATTGGGGTAAGTTGAGGAGCCTTGGGTCCCACGACCTCACACAGCCTACCTCAGTGACCTCATTCAAACTACCTCAAATATCAAGCAACGTAAGTAATTTCACTGTGCTTGTTCTTGCTACCTTCACAATTACAGACTCAAGGAAGATCCGCCAGACTGTCTTCAAATCAGATCAATACTTTAGTCTTACGAATATTCTAGTCCTGCCACTGCTGTGAACAGGTGTACCACTATGCCTGATTTACAGAGGAAGTAACAGAGATCAGAGAGGTGAATGGCTTCCTTAAAGCCACACAGCACATAAGTGACAAAGCCAGGATGCAAGCCTCCTGCCATAGGTCCAGTTTCATTTTTCCCCAGGAATACTGTCTGAATGAGTCAATGAACTCTCAGGCAAGAAGATGAATGCTCAGGCCTCGTGGGAGCCCCCTTGAGCTCTGTCCTTGTTTCTACAGAGCTAATTGTGTTTGGGCAGGATGCAGATTGCTAACATCTGTGCACAGCCAAGTGTCTCTCAAACTGGGGCAATTAACCACTTGGAACTTTAGAGCAGAACCTCCTTTTAAGGTTTTTTGAGTCCAGCTCCTTTCTGTTACAGTTGAAGAAATGGTACAGCAACGTCCCCCATGGTCACACACAGTGACCATGTGACAAGAGCAAGACGATAGCCCAGATCTCCTACCCACTGCTCCAAAGCACTGTTTATACCTCACTACATGGAGAATGAATAAAGAAGGGAGTGGATTCATAAGGTAATCATATGAGGATGTGGATCACATAAGCATGTGTAATCATGGAATACAAGGATCTTTTGTTCACTGTATTTAGAGGTTAATGCGTAAGAGCTGTGGAAATGTTCAATTAAGGCTTACTGTTAAGTGATGGGAGGAAGGACAGACACTTAAATCATTTCTCACTCTCTCTGGAAATAGATATGAATAAGCCACTCCATTTTCACCAGAAGTGGTTCACACCCTAGTTGTTATCAGTTGCACCTTAACTACCCTAGCCAGTGATCATTTAATAAGGATTAGTTGATAATCTGTTGAATGGAGGCAGGTGATGTCAGGAGGAGGATCATGGGGCCTCCTGACAGCCCACTTCATAATATTTCCTTGATGCTGGTCAGGCTTCTCAAAAAGTGTTCTTTGTGCCAACATCATATGGCAGAAAGGTCACCTAGATTGGAATCCTGGTTCCATCATGTGCTACACTCACCCCAGGATTTGAGGCACAAGTTAAACCCAGCTTCAGCTACAGGAAACCAGTGCTGTCTAGAAGATGCGTGACAGTAGGGACCCTGTCTCTCTGTTCATCAGTGTCCTCAACATTGAGTGCATACTGGACATAATAAGCCTTTAATAAGTTCTTGTGAATAAACTGAGACTTGTGAAAAACACTCAGAATAAAAGGTACTGGCAGTGAGAGTGAGAGTCATTAAAAGCAACTTTCACAATAAAGAGAGTAAGGGAGGAAGAGACTCATTGCTCAGGGCAGAAGACATAATGCTGACAGATGACAGTGAGAAAACAGAGCTGTATTCATCTGGTAAAATGTGTCATCTCTGTCAAGGAGAATGATCTTCCATCTGGAAAAGGAAGAACGTGGAGACAAGGATACGTGAGGAAATGTGGTGAAAGCACAGAGTTCAAGATGCGGAAGCTCCATGTGAGGTCAAGATGCAGAAATAAAAAGAGCTGATTCCCACGGGGCAAGGATAGATATTTATGAAAAGACACACAAGCACTGCATCAGGTATTTTAGGGATGCTACTGAATTCCTTTCTCACAACAACTCTGGAAGACAAATATTATTACATCCATTTTACAGCTGAGGAGACTGTGGTACAAAGAAAGTAAATTATTTGCCCATGGTCACCCCCTTGAATACATTATTCAATAAGAGACAAGATTGAAAGTCACATCTAAATCTCATGCTTTTCCTGCTAAGAATTAAAAAAACAACTGTAACTGTGAGTAATCTCAGAGGAACTGCAGAGATGAACTTCAGGGGACTGAAGATGGACAAATTCAATGTTAAGGAAGAAAAGATGAATGCTACGGTGGACATCTAAGTCTGATATTTGTCCCCAAGAAAACTACAATTAATAATTATGTATCTATATATCAAGATATATCTATTTTATTTCATCACTTAAAGAAGGAAGCAGTGATCAACAAGAAGTAGTATGGGTTACATAAATATAAGAAGAACTGATGTCAAATTCACCTTCTTTTCTGATGGAGTGTCAGGCTAGCAAAGCATCAGGTGCAACTGATGCCATGTGAGTCAATTTCAGTCAAGGATGTGGAAGTTTCCTTCAGAAGATTTTGGAGGAAACACTTGAGAAATGAAGCCTAGAAGATAGTAAACTTCAATACATATACATTGGAATGGGGCAGTCTTTAGCTACCCACCATATCTGTCTGTTCTTGGTGTTATATATAAAATTTTGGTGTTGCAAAAGAAATAGCATTTGAATATAAATTAAAAAGAATTTTAATAAATTTTTTAAATTAAAAATTAAATATTTAATAAATTTTATTAAATAAATTTAATAAAAGTTTAAAAATTAATACTTTTTTTAAATTTTTAGCAAGGCAAGTTATTTTTATATAGAAGGGTGCGCCCTTACAGGTGGAGCAATGGTGAGTGCACACTTGGACAAGGGAGGGGAAGGGGATTTTATCCCTGACGCACGTGGCCCCTGCTGCTGTGTCATTTTCCTATTGGCTAGGGTTAGACTGCACAGGTTAAACTAATTTTGATTGGCTAATTTAAATAGAATGACTGGGTGAGTGCTTTGGCGGGAGTCAGGGCAGAGCAGGTAGCAGGTAATTGGAATGAGTTAGGGTGGAGCAGGTGATTGGAATGTAGTAGGGTGGAGCAGGTGAGTTAGGGTGGAGTAGGTAACTGGAATGAGTTAGGGTGGAGTAGGTAATTGAAAAAGGTTGCTTTACAAGGAAGTTAAATTTAAAAGTAGAAGGCAAAGAATTGAACATACTGACATATTAATTTTTTGAAAAGAAATTTAGAACTCATATCTAACATTGGCCTCTTTGATAAGCATTTAATTGCTTGATTGAGATGAAACCTGGGTTTGCTAAAATGCCTAGTGTCATGGGGTCAGGAGGATCAGCAACTAGGAGCCTGGGATCAAGGCTTCAGTCCAAGGAGAAACAAGTGTGATAGGAGTGGACTCAATCATTAAGAAGAGTGGTTTAAGACAGGGACACACTCTAGAAGTGGTAACGAGAGTCGGTATTGTACCAAGCTACAAGTTAGAGAGTAGGGTCCAGGAGTATGAAATGAAGCAATTGTAACAGTGATGGATCAGGGCTGAAGCAGTCCGCAAGGTTAACTCCAAAGGGTGTCTCCTGAGGAAATCACACTTTACCTAAGGACAATATCCATCAGAGTTTTAAAGGATTGCTGAGCCTGCCAGTTGGCAGTGTGTGTGCATGTGTGAAGACACATGTGTGTCTGGGGAGAGAGTCATGTGACTTGGGATATGGGCATTGAAGACAGGCAAGAGTTATATTTAAGCCAGATGAAAAAGAAATTGCCTAGAGTGATTTATTAGGCAATAAGTTATTAGATCATCAGTGGGCTCTTATGTGGCAAAGAATCTGTTTGTTTCTTCATTTTACTTATATACATGTTTGCTTTTCATGTCTTTCTTCCAAAAATGTTTTGAAGTCACTAAAAAGTATTCAAAATTGACTCTGTATGGATTCAGAAGTCAGAACTAGGACAAATGGTGAATATTATTAGAAATCCATCCTGCCAGACACTGTGGCTCATGCCTGTAATCACAACATTTTGGGAGGCTGAAGCAGGCCAGGATTTCTAGACTAGCCTGGCTAACATGGTGAAACCCCATCCCTACTAAAAATACAATAATTAGCCAGGCGTGGTGGTGCACATCTGTAGTCCCAGCTACTCGGGAAGCTGAGGCAGGAGACTCGCTTGAACCCAGGAGGCGGAGGCTGCAGTGAGCTGAGATTGCGTCACTGCACTACAGCCTGGGCTACAGAGCCAGACTCTGTCTCAAAACAACAACTACACAACAACAACAACAACAAAGGAATCCATCCTAACCATCAGAGCTTCAAAACAGTGGGTTAGCTTGCTGGGCAAGCAGTGACCTCCCAACCCTGGAAGTATGCAGATGCAAGGTGGCCAGAAGTGATGTGTGCACACACACACGCACACATACACACGCTCGCACTCTCCAGGTGATTTGAGGAGTGGATTCATTTGGCCTACTAAAATGCCTTTGGTGCAGTTTCTGCAAATATTTAAGTTTGATCATTCTTTTATATATTTTGTTTTCAATATCTTTTTTTTTTTTTTTTTACATAGCAAGCACAATATAATTCCAACAAATTTAAGACTTCTGGTTCCAGTCATTAATGTTCTGTGCTGCTAAACCCAAGCCTGTGAAGGTAAAACTATCTTTTGGGACTATAGCTTAGTCGGACCTGTTTCTGAAACATGTAGTGTTTTGTGAAATCATAAGTGTGTTCATGAGTGGATTGTGAAATAATCTCCAATTGCTTTGGAAAGAAGACTAGAAACGCTGGCAGAGCTGGGAACAAAATACACAATGAGGCTTTCTCTCCAATGCCCCAGCCCCTTGCTCCCTGGTCTGCACTATTCTGCTTATACAAACCTTGTATATTCCCTGGTCCCTGCTTCCATCTGTGCAAACTGGACTGCCCTTAACTACTCTCTAGCTTCTGGGGAAGAGGGGACACTATAAAAGGCTACTGATGCGACTGGTGGAGGCATTTTACATTACATTAAGGGAGTTTACGTCCAAAAAAATAAAAGGGAAAAAGAGATAAAACATGGCTCCCTGCTCCCTGTCCAACCAAGGACAAATCAAACAGGTAGGAAATTACGACCATCAAACTCTCTCTCTCTCTTGGTCTTTAAAGTCATGGCTAAAACTTGGACTCTGCTATTTCGCCCAGAGTCAGGTTTGTAAGTGCAAGAAAATAGATGACACTTCCCGGAGGAAGCCCTCCCCGGAGTCCTTTGAAAGTTATTTTTTTCTTCCTCTAAGCTTTGTACAAGCATCTTCTGAGTTGTCATTCATTTCCATGCTTGTCTGTCTTTGAGAAACAAAGAAACAAAACCCTTGGGGCAGACACCCTGGAGCAAGGCTGCCTAGGTCCAAATCCTAGCTCTGCCATTAACTGACTCTGTGGTCTTGGGCCATTCACTCCTTGGCACAGCGGGAATGGTAACAGTGTCTAACTCACGGGGTTGTCCTGAGAACCTTCACGAGATCATGAAGCAGGCAAAGCACTCAATACAAGTTAGCTACTGTGATGACGGAGGCTAATGACATGGGCTCTGGAATCTGACCTGCCTGGGTTCAAGTTCTTTAGGTTTGTTACAGTGCTCCGTAGTTAACCTTCTTTAGTCTCAGTCTTCCCTGGATATTAAATGGGAATAATCACAATCTCTATCTCAAAGGCGTTGCTGTAAATATGATGTGAGGCAAGTGCCTGGTTTATAACACTCGGGAAAATTTGCATGCTGGGCTCTGAGGTTTTCCAGGGTAGTGACTTGTTCTAACTTATCTCTGTACTTTCATTACCTAGCCTGGGGCTGGCACATAGTAGGACCTATTGAATTTATGAACCTCGACTCTCTTGGCTGACAATCCTCCACGACCCTCCCTAAACATATACGTACTTGTATAAACACCATACACACCACACATTCCCACATATGTATACAACATACACCCAAGACAGACACAAACATCACGTGTACCATACACGAAGCACTGTGTGCTTGTCTGTACACCACACAATCACCAGGCACACTCATATACATAACAAACACACAACATACACACATAACGCCATGCACACATACATCCACAATATACGCATGCCACAAACACAAAAGCACCACATATACCACACACAACACAAATACATACATATACCTGTATATGCATACACAAACACCATATTGGATACACCAAACACCAGACATACACATATATACACACCACATGAACATACCACACACACACACCACAAACCAAACACCATGCACATACACACGTACTGCATACATAACTCTCACCCCACATACATACTATACACACATGCACACACGCGTATGCACCATTTACCTTTCAGCTGCTCTGTTGAGCTGAAGGAAGCTAGGCCAGTTTCAGGGATACAATTCAGCTCCCAGGGCCTGTTGGAACAAGCGTGAGGTCTTTCATCAGCTGTGGCCACCTCCCTGGAAAGGCATTCGGAATGAGTTTCAAATTCGCATTTTGGCCTGAGGAAAAGGGAGTGAAGTTATGACTTTTTCCCCTTCTGATTGTCAAGTAACACCATTAGCCCAGGCCAAGAAGCCATTTCTCCAAGTAGAGATATAGATGAGGCTGGTTATTCTTTCCAAAATTCCGCAAGGCTCCAATTAATTCCATGTGTATTGTATAGTTAACAGGCATTTCTTCCTGAGAACAACAGAAGATGGTATACTTTAACTACATTTCAGAGAGGCCAGAACGTTGGGCTGGAAGGTGTGCTAGAAGAGTGTCTTTCTTGTCCAGTGGGTCTGAAACTTTACTGGATTTTAAAATCCCCAGAGCTCATGCTGTTCATACATATTACCAGGCCCCAAACCTCGGAGATTATAATTCAATAGAGGTCTAGGGTGGTGCCCAGAAATCTGCCTTTTGGATAAGTAACCTAAATGATTCTGATTCAGATGACACTTGGAGAAACACCAGAATCCCTTATTTCTTAGCTGGGGAAAACTTGATCACAGTCATAAAATAACTGACTCATACAGATAGTAAGTAGCAAGGCTGGGACTGGACCTCAGGTCTCCTTGCTTTGAGTTCAGTGCTTCTTAAGTAATTGACTTAATTTCATCTTCTTGCCTTTAGTTCTCCAAGCATTATAGAGTTGGTTGGTGGCTGAAAAAAGCACTGAATTTGTCTGAGAGCAGACAAGGCTTTTCTGTGGTCAGTCTTGTTCCTCTAGGAACAAGAGGTCTCCTCTTGACTGTCACCAGTTGTCACATAAGGCCACCGGTTGTCACATACTTAATTCTTAACCAGGCTGGACAGATTACAATTGCAAATTATTTAAAAAGTGTTTCACCCTGCTCAGAAGCCAGACCTATTGCTTAAAGCTACACGCCCCAAATCTTCACAGACTTCCTGACTGCTTAGACCAGCTGTTAGAAAACTCCAGCCTGTAGGCCAAATCTGGCCACTACCTGTTTTTGTAAGTAAAGTTTTATGGGAAAACAGACATAGACATTAATTTATATATTGCCTATGGCTGCCTTTGTACAAAGTTGCAATAGATCATATGGCCTGAAAAGCCGAAAATATTTACCATCTGGTCTTTTACATAAAAACTTTTCAATCCTTGGTCTAGATTGTTACTTGGGGCCCTCCCAGGGGCCATGGAGCATACATACGCAACAAAGAACTTCCACGAAGCCCTGTGATATGTTCTACAAGGTCCCTTTCTACCCATAGCCTCGCCTTTATTGATGAAATCTCAGCAACCTAATGACTACCTTTCTGAACCGTCTTGGTCATTTCGGAGGCTAATAATATTTTCATTAGATGAAGTGAATTTTACTTCAAGGATTTTGTTGAAGGGTTTATTATATGAAAGTGTATCCTAAGTCAAGCTCCATGAGACATGACAGCTTCTTTATTAAGCACTGGGTATCTCTTCTCCCCTTGCCCTTCTGCATTCTTACCTACTGTTAAATATGGTTAGTTTTGCCCTAAGTTTGCATGGGTTGGTCACTTTCTTCCTGGATCCCTGAAAGCAGGCCTAGAACAGCTGGGCCAAGGGCTGAGGGCCGCTTCCAGAAGCAGATTCTTCTCCCTTCCATTTCTGTTGTTGTTGCCCAGCAACAATTTGAGAGGCCCCAGAGAGATTCCAAAGGCCTGAGGACTTGGCACAAAATGGTTTGTGAGCCATTATTGCGAATGATCCCTGAATTATATTTTTCATTGCACCTTTCAATTTCACATATGCTTGTATACTCACATACTCCTGGGAAATTCAAATAATTTGCACAATAAGAAGAGACTTGGTGTATATATTCTTTGCCAAAGAGTTTTTACTGGGAGACAAGAACAAAGTATGACAAAAGGCTGTCATCATAATATGTGTTTCTGCGGGGGGAATAATTTCAAAACTGCTTTGATAGGAAGACTGATCTGATGCTTAAGCCCACGAAGTTTGGAGTTAAAGCACCTGGCCTTGAAATAATACTACTGTCTATTTTATAGGTTGTTGTGTCAATGAAATAAGAACCTTTATTTTGTAGCTTAAGTCAGTACTCTAAGAAGGCTGTCATTGTTCATGGTGATGATAGTATTATGTCCAGAAGGATTAAATTAGGGCATTACACGTGTGTTTTTATAGGTACACGAAGTCAGAAGGAGAGTTTGGAAAGTGATCAATTAATTGCATCTATAGCCCCACTTACTGGCTTCTTGTTATTCTTGACCTTATCCTGTAATTTGTAGTCTCTGCCCTCTGCCTTTGGACAGAGTTGTGCTTTTCCTTGATCACTAGGATGTTACCAAATGTGCCTCAAGTGGATGCTTACAAAGATCTTGAGTGTCTCTCCATCTCCTCTTGAGTGAGCTTGCTTGGATTTGGAAACTTGCCAACTACATGGAACCAAGCCTGGACTAGTGTGCTGGAGGATGAGACAAGGCATTGCTGAATTGGCACAGCCAAGGTCATCCAGCACCAGGCCACCCTCAAACATACGAGCTAGAAGGTCAGCCACAGTGAGCATAACTGCCTACCTAACACTCAGCTGACCACAAATGCACGAGTGAGTCCAGTCAAGATCAACCAAACCTAGTCCAGATTAGCAGAAATTCCCAGATGATCTATAAGTTCATGAGATGTAACACATGGTTGTTATTAAAGCCAGAACATTATGAAGTGATTTGATGAACAGCAATGTGTAACTAATAAGAAAGCGTATACAGTATCTATTTAGTACTAGTAAATGATTAATGCAAGAAGAGAATTTAAACTCTTGTGGGATTATTAGATGCTTTTCTTCCCTGTACAAATGGTCATGGTCCAGAAGCCTAGAAATGAAAACCATGTTCAACTTAGCAATTGCTTCCTTTGTTATAAATACCAACTCAGTCCATAGAGATGGTTAACTAATAAATAAAGCAATGGTTAGTCAATTAAAACTGAGGATCTATTCTGAGTATTTCCCACTGATTACAGAAATGAAGTCTCCTGGAAAGGAGCACACCTAATTCAGGCTAAAAATAGTACAACTAAATATCTGGAAAACAGGACATGTGTTTGAAGGAAAATATTCAACCAAAAAAAAAAAAAGTGGTTTTCTTCTTTTATAGACAACACTAATTTCCTGAATGCTTGTGTCAGCTTTTTGGTGACAAGAAAGGATGAGTAAGACACTATTATGGTTTAAAGTACAGCGAGAGAATAGTAAATTTACGAAGGCAGAAGTGAAAAGTAGAAAGCGAAGATGATATAGGTGAGTGGGATGTTGTCATCAGCTTTGATGCTATGATGCTTTGTGGATGATTCAGCTCTGGATGATAGGGTTGAACAGTTCTGTACCTCCTTGGCAAAATTCCAGTGTTCTGAGCATTTGAAAATAAAAGCAGTAGAGAAAGAGCTTCAAGTGTGCTCTCACAGTAGACCTGCAGCAAAATTGTGAGGTGCAGATTGTTGGAGTTGGTAGACATCTTGTGAAAGGAATCAGAATATGTTGTAGGCAGTATACAAGCATATGTCATTCATCCATTTATTCATGCAGTGCTATTATAAGATATAGTATGAGCCATAAGGGTGGCATAAAGTTTTCATCTATCTGTCAATTTAGTTAAGATATTTATTGAGTTAGATAATGTGCTAGACATGAGAGATACAAAAATGAAAAGGAACATGGTCTCTGTCGTACAGGAATTTACCAGCTAGACAGAAGAGACAGGGAAAGAAACTGGCGTTGATCATACTGAACGCCATCATGAAGGAGGTTTGAGATACTGCTTTTTCCTCTCTGTGAAGTCCTGAGTCCATGGAAAGGCCGAGGGGAGAAACATCGGCAGCAACATGGCAGCTCTATTAGTGATGGAAACTGGATTGGGAAATGCGATATCACATCTGTCACCTAGAGGTTTTGGCAACAATATTTCGGCCTAGAATTCAGCCCAGCACATTCAGTGTACTGTGCTTACCCAGCCTCTGGCAGAGTGGGACAGCTGAAGCTTCCTGGAAAGGAAGAAGCTCTTGTTACCCGGTGGAAAGCAGATCGCAATGGATACTTCCTGCAGTCAGTCAAGCTTCTGAAAGTAGAGAATCAGGGAGGAGCTAAGAAAAGCAGCGGTCAAGATAAACTAAGCCCCTTATCCCCAGCCCACAAATAAAATGCTTCAGTCTTTCTTCCATGGGAATGAAGTCAGGGATACAGAAAGAAACCAAATATGTTTCTCTCAGTGGTGTCTATAGAAAAAGGAAGTCAAAGAGAGATGAGGGTTCTCCCCTAATGTCTGAGATAACACAGCTGGAGGCCCTAATCTAACCTGGATTTGGGGATCAAAGAAAGTTTCACCAAGGTGAAAACACATTCTTCTGGCTCAGGAGGAGTTGTAGAGGTGAGAAAACAGTGAGTTATTGGGCTTCAGACAAGACAGTGATCAAGAATGGGTTCACAAAAGAGGCATTATCTAAAAACAGTCTTGATTGGTAGATATATTGCAAAAACTGAAATGGCTTGGCAAGCTCATTCAGTGCGGAAAACAGTTACCTGTCATATAATAGGAAAGCCCATGTCCTAGGAAAATGAGTGCCAAATTCAGCAAGTCTTTGGAGAATGTATAAGAGTGTGGGGGATAAGATAACAACTCTGTTTGGGGCCAGGTACTAGAGCATCTAGGATGCCAGGATAGTGAACCTGTTTTCTTTTCTTCTTATTCTTTTTTTTTTTTTTTTTTTTTTTTTTTGAGATGGAGTCTTGCTCTGTCACTCAGGCTGGAGTGCAGTGACGTGATCTTGGCTCAGTGCAACCTCCGCCTCCCTGGTTCAAGCAATTATCCTGCCTCAGCCTCCCGAGTAGCTGGGATTACAGGCATGTGCCACCATGCCTGGCTAATTTTTGTATTTTTAGTAGAGACGGGGTTTCACCATATTGATCAGGCTGGTCTCAAATTCCTGACCTCATGTGATCCACCCACCTTGGCCTCCCAAAGTGCTGGGATTACAGGCATGAGCCACCGCTCCCAGCCTGAACCTATTTTCTTTATACTCTATCACACCTACCTGACCCCACTGCAGGATTCCAGTGACAGGTGGTGAGGTCCTGGTATGAAGCAAGGGAACTGGGGAGATGGACAGAGGAATACAAGTGCATAAAGCAGGAAGGCCAGGAAGGCAGAATCTATGGGAATGATCATGATGAGGATTACTGAATGAAGACCAACAGTGAGACAGTAAGATGTTTGAGGAAAGGGTGATTTAAACAGAAACTAGAACATCAGTGCCATGGAGACTAGTCTTCAGTTCTCTGAATGCCCAGTTTAAGGAACCAGCATTCCTTTAAAATAGAACTATTCAGAAGACAGAAAAGTGGGCAAGGCATAAAGATGTGTTGAATCTATACTTAAAGATTATGGCTAAGTTCTGAGAGTGGATGAAATCGCTCTCTCTCTCACACACACACACACGCACACAGTAGTAGAAAAAAAATAAAAAGAAGGTGGCCAAGGAAAGGAGCTTGGAGAAACACCCCTTCTTAAAGGGCAGGGGCAAGCAGAGCATCCCTCAAAGGAAAAATAGAAGATACAGTTAGTTTGAGAGATTTCCAGAGTGTAGTGTCACTGAAGTGATGGACGTTAGATAGACATTTACCTGCAGTGTTGGTATATTGGCATGGATACACCCTCAATTTTATTTTTCTCCAATTTGGCTTTTCTTCTTATCTGCAAAATGGGAAGCAAAATTTCTGTTCCAGTATTTGGTGACTGAGAACCTGAATATTTAAGGATAAAAAGAATAATATTTTTAGGTATCAAATTAGCTATCAATTGATTTTATTTTACCATTTCTACCTCCTGCATCTGTCTGCTAGTTTAACACAGGGAAGGGGCAGTGGAGGGATGGGTGCTCTCTGGGGGAAGGAGGATCTCACATAGGGAAAGACTCCCTCTCTCTGAGCCCAGAGGACTGAGAAGGATGTCAGAGATGGAGGAGAAAGGCAGCCAGGGCTGTAACTACATCTCCTGCTCTCGAGGGGGTGATATGCTGACTACATTGGGGGACTATATGGGGCAAAGAGCTCTAACCCACCTCTCCACTAAGGACTCACAAAGTACACCAGAAGGCAGAGAAGCCAACATATGGAATCCCAGCATGGTTTAAGAGGATGGACTGGCATAGAGAGAGGGTTTCATTAGCAGGCCTGAGATTCCTTAGGTGACATACAGCAGAAAGGAAACTAGGTTTCCAGCCCTTGGGACTGCAATGGGCCCACTAAAGTGGGATTGAGGAGATCCTTCAAGAGACACTGAGAGATGACCTCTGGGGTCAGTGTTGCTGTGGGGATGTGGCATGACTCAGAGAGGTCTGTATTTCATGGTGTCATACCACCTAGAAATAATTACTCCCTCTGATTTATGAAAAGATCAAGTCCTTGCACTTAGAGCAAGAGCTTACACATGGTAGGAAGGTTCTTCAATTTGACTTCATAGCATCGTAAATTTCCCGATATACAATGGCTGTCTTTGTTTCCCCTTCTTCATCAGATCCCTTGCTGTAAGACATAGGTTCAGCCTGATCCTGGCTTCTAACTTCACATCCTCTTTTCTGGCCTTAGTAGAGAAGTAAGAGCTATCCTCACATGCCATTGAGGGACTCACATGCAATCTAGAGCAGGAAGCACTGCGCAGAGCTAACAGCAGAGACCCAGGAGTCAGACTTCCTGGACTGGACGCCTTGTTTCATGTTTCCTTACTTTGTGACTTTAGGGACTTTAGGGACTTTTCCTTGTCTATAAAATGGGGTAATATGAGTAGATAGCTCCACTCAAAGAGTTGTATAAGGAAGAAGATAACTAGCCATAAAGTTCTTAGCATTAGAGTGACTTGCTATAATTATAGTAGAGATTCTACAGATGTTAGCTCTGTTATGTTTCACAGAAGCTTCTACTACCCTGTTGGCATACTCAAGCCTAGGACTAGAGTAAGTTTTGGACTTGGACAAAGTGAGAACTGAGGAGGATTTTGGTGGAGGGCTAAAACGGGTGGTGGAGCCATTGGTCTCAAGTGGGCTGAGAAGAGTTTATTATTCAGGGATGTCAGCATCAACAGCACTGAACAGCCAGGGTTGAAGCAAAACCAAGCAGATTTGATGAGGTGCCACCCAACACACACCCAAAGATTAGGCATGAGAAGCTGCCCTCCGCATGGGACCATGGGGTCATGCCAGCTGTATTCCTGCACAGCCAGGGAAGTGCTGGTGAGAAAGAGACCAAGAAAAATAGCAATGATTTCAAAGAGATGGCCTTAAGTATAGATAAATGATTTAACTATTGATAATATTCATTTTTCAGTTAACAGGGAGTAACTTCAGTATTTTTCTTTAAATATTTAGCAAGTTGGAGTGAGGGAGAGTAAAACAGTAGGGAAATAAAAGAGCCACACATGCTTTCCACATTGAAATGTAACATAATTCTATGTAAGTTTGAGCTCTGATTTACCAAAATTCCTTTACTATTTCCCTAGCCCATTGCAATCTCATGATTAGGATGGTAAGCCCTGTGGAAGATGGGTGCATTTTGTATTGTTTAGTGCTTAATTTGATGTCTGGTGAATAGTAGGTATTTGATAAATAATATGAGAAATGAATGTTTCCTTCCACTGTTTAGCATATCCACTTTTAACCAAGGGCCCTAGCAAAATGTGGAAATATTGACATTTGGTTTGGGGTCATCTTCTTACTCCCTCTCCAATTCTATCCCTCAGAATTTGTGTCTCTGTCTTTCTGCAATCAACTTTAAATTGGAAGAAAGGATCAGAGTCTCATTTACACTAACATAAAAAACAATGTAATATGTCATGTCTCCAACAGACGTTTGTTCATTAACTGGTTCCAATCCTTGGCCTTGGGGTGGTGTTTCTGCCGTGGAGTGGGATCTATGGGAGCAGTTGGAAGGGAGATGTTCCGTAAGTTGAGAAACACTCAAATTATGCCTCAATGGCACTGAGTGATTCTGCTTAGGTGAATGTGCTTGCTCCAATAGTAAGCTTTGCCTGTAATAACTAACTAGTAATACAGAGGTTTTCATGGCAGACACAGACAACACTCTCTCTTAATCCCCAAGAAGGGAAAAAAAATCTAATCTTGGAGTTTTAAATTTCCACTCAAAATGAGCTTTTTCGTTTTGTTTTGTTTTTTTTTAAGTCCAGTTTCATTGCTTCCTTCTTGTGAATGAAAGATCACACAGGCATGGGTTTCTGAAGGTTATCTATAGTTTTGCCTAAAATGGTTATAATTGGAGCAATGAAATAGTGATACCTGCAAAGCCTGAATAACATTATAGCATTATGCAAAATGAAGGCACTTTAGAAGAATAAAGGAACGATGACAATGCAAATCAGAGCCAGTGAAGGTCACACGTTTTGCATAAAGTGCCTTGCAGTCTAATTCATGTGAACTTCGCCTGAGGAGAGGAAAGTGACTTATTAGAGCACAATGCTTTTTCAAAGAGCATTACTGCAGAGCCCTGGATCTGCTTACACATCCCACAGGCGGCTGCAAGAACTCGGTGAGGAGCTGGGTATAGGCATAGCTGAGCTGAAATTATAGAACCTTTGTTCAGAAATAAAATATCCCAACTTCATCATTGTACTCAGGCTGTCTTTCTTAACCCTTTGATGGCTGAACTGAATGAGAGTTGCTTAGGGAGCAGGGCCAGGCAGTTATTTAAGGGCTGCCATGTTTATTACCTCCTTTTATTCTCAAAGTAATTTGAAACAGAAGAGTTGATTTTTGTCCTTTTTACAATTTAGGATATTGAGTCTCAGAAGTAAAATAATTAGCTTATGGCACGTATAGGTGTTGTAGCTGACATTCAAGCTCTGTTAGATCCTGAGGTCCAAGGTTATTTCACTGTATCATGCCATCTAGAAAGAATTACTGTTGGTGCTTTATGAAAGGATCGAGTCTTTGCACTTAGAGCAAGGGCTTACACATGGTAGGAAGGTTCTTCAATTTGACTTCATAGCATTGCAAGTTCCCTGACCTCCAAACTCTGTCTTTGTTTCTCCTTCTCCATCAGATCCCTTGCTGTAAGACATAGGTCCAGTCTGATCCTGGCCTCTAACTTCCCATCCTCTTTTCTGGCTCAGTAGAGAGGATAATGCTTTACTTCATGATGCCGTTCAGGAATCCAAATGCAATCTAGAGCAGGGAGCACTGTATAGAGCTAAGAGTAGGGACCAAAGACTCAGACTTCCTGGACTGGACCCCTTGTTCCACGTTTCCTTACTTTGTGACCGTAGGAAATTATTTTGTCTATAAAGGAGGTAATACAGATAGGTAGCTACCCTCAGAGTGGTGTGAGGAAGAACATAATTTGCCATTTAAAGTTCTTAGTATCATTACTTACATTGTAATAAAGGTTCTATAGATGTTAGCTCTGTTATGTTTTACAAAAACTCCTACTACCCTGTTGGCACACTCAAGCCTAAGACTAGAGTACATTTTTCATCATGATCAGAGCCAAGAAAGAGTTTCTGCTATTACTGCAAAAAGGTTTTCTATGTGGCCAGCCTTGCACAGACTAGCCGGATCATTAGACTCACCTGAACTGCTAGGTCAACAGGCAGAGGCTGAGTCCTGCCTTGGAAATCCAATCTTCACTGCACATGAAAACTTGGAGGGGTTTAAAAAATATATTGATATCTGGTCTCCACCCAGGTGCCACCCCAGGCTAGCTAAAGCTGCCGGGATTGAGAACCACTGCACCATAATTTTAAAAAGCAGACTTTATTTTTTGATAAGGCAAGGACGTCAAGTTCAAGTCTTCACTGAGGAGCTTTCCCTTTAGGTACTGGGTGTAAAACCCTATAAATAGAGCTCATTTGGTTAGTTTGACATGGTTGCAGATACATGACTGGGGCAACTGGAAGACCTTCCTGCCCCTAGAAAGGGAAACTCTTTTTGTATAATTTACACACATAAATACTTCACAGAATAATACAGGAGAGGATAGAGGTATTGGTAATACTCTAAGTTCTATAATAATTCAGTAGAGAAAAAGAACAGATGTGTTAAGAAAGAGAGTAGGTTTTGTACTCCAGATGGTCTTCAGTTCAAACCAATTTTCCACTGCAAACCAATTCTGAGACTCTGAAAAAGTTATATACTATGGAGGATGTTAACTGTTTGGCAGGATTGTTGTGAGAATTATCAATACTAATTCAAATATAGCAAAATGTCTGGTTTATAGTAAGCATTTAATCAATGGTAGCTATAATTTTTGTGGGCTGAAGTCTTCCAATATGGTTTCCTGGATGAGCTCACTCAAAAAAACTTAAGCCTTAAGGAATGAGAAGTTTTAATATTCTGTTTGCCATAAAAACAGAGGAGAGAGAAGCAGAGGCTGTAACCAAGGCACTGAAGATAGAGAATGGTGATCTGATGGGATAGAGGTGTTAGTTACCTGCTTCACACCCACTTCCACCTTCTTTAGATACAACAACTTTTGCAATGTGCTTGATCCCAGGTGACAAATCATGATTGGTTAGTTGAATTAAGTCATGGATACCTTTTCCACCTTTATTTTATTTTATTTTTATTTACTTATTTTCATTTTTTATTTTTATTTTTGCCTTTCTTATAGGTAAGGGAGTTGATGGAACCCAGTTCAGACTAATGAGAGTTAAGGGGAAGTTGGCTGGTGGACTGAGAAGTTTTCTTTCTAGATAAAAAGGACAGATATCTCATTCCCTTTTTCTTCCTGCCTTTATTTAAAATTGTGGCTCTTGGAGCTATGGGAACCACTCTAGGAACCATTCTATAACCATAAGGGGATAGCAAAGAGGATAAAAGACCAATTTACTAAAAATAGTGAGGTTGAAAGATGGAAGGAGGAGGTGTTCTGATAAGTATCCTTGAGCTGCCACATACTTAGGACAATCTTTTTACACAATTCTTATTATATAAGGGAGAAAAATACAATATGGTCATGTATTGCATTAGGATGATTTGGCTGACTACAGACAGCATAGATGACAGAGGTCTTGTAAAATTATAATACTGTACTTTTACTGTATCTTTTCTATGTTTGGATGCACTAACAATAACCCTTGAGTTACCATTGCCTACAGTATTTGGTATAGTGAGTGACATGCTGCACGGGTCTAGGAGAAATAGCATATGCCATAGAGCCTAGGCATGTAGAGGCTCTACCATCTGGATTTGTGTGAGCACACTCTATGATGTTTGCACAATGACAAAATCACCTGATGACACATTTTGCAGAATGTATTCCCATCCTTAAGTGATGTATAACTGTATTTATATAAGCTACTGTTAGACCAATATTCTTTTATTTGCAACCCAAAGCATTCCCAAATTTTATACACATATGGCTAAAGCATTGATAATATCGCTTCCCTTCTCCTCTCTAAAGATCAGCGTAGTTCATCCTATTCCTATAGTTAACCTCATAGGTCTAAGAAAAGAAAGGCCTAGTAGGAAAAACCCTCTTTTGATGGAGAGTTGGGTAAGATACAGAGGAGAACTTGTTCACCTAGAGTATTTTTTTTTTCCCTAGGAAGCACCTCTCAAATGTGTCTATCTGTAATACACATTTCTTCTATGGATTTTAGAAAAGGCCACCGAAAATCTAGCCAAGTTAGAATGAACACTACCTACTTGAGACAAATGATTCATCCTATTTCTGGAAATCACAACCATGTCACCCAAAGGAAGAGAGCCAGTCTATTGTTTTAATACAATCTGAAGCATTCCCAACAGTTTGCTCCGTGCCCTTCTCCAAACCCTAAGAGTTAAATTCCTCTGATGGAAACCCAAGTGAGCTTGTGCACTCTGAGGGGATTGGGGTCACATTTTCTAAAGGTAGATGACTCCTTTGTCATTTCAGGTGTAAGCTATTGTACGTGAGCACCACTGTGTATGGCTGTTAGTACAAAATCTGCTTCTGTCAAGTTTCAGGGAATATAAGGGTATGAATCATACTGAAATTGCATATTCTCATGAAACCACCATGAAACCACCATGTCTGGTGTAACACACTGCCCATTGCTGCTCAAACATCAGAGGTTTTTTTGTTTTTTTTTTTCTCCTCCTGATCTAGGATTAGCCAGAACCATGTGTGCTGATAGATGGAGGATGTGGATATCCCACAATATATTCTACATGGCCTACAAAGACAGAAGTGCTCCAATTTTTCTCCCATCCTGATGTCATAGTGCTTGAAATGTCAGCATTCCTTTGCTTTTAGTTCTTCTCTAAACACATATGTTGCTATTGTAGGAGGTATATTGATGAGTTTACACTAAGGAACTAAGGTGTAAATGGTTAACTTCATTCTATTCCCCTGTCTGGTAAACCCAGATGAGTAGAGGCAGGAAGTTTTAGTCATACTACACTCTATATTCTTCTTTGTGCTACAAACATGACCTATACTTTTTTTTTAATCTGGATTCCTTTGATCACTATGTTCTTGCATGGACTGTGCTTCCTCTCCCATCTTTATCTTCCAACATGGTCTTGACCAGTCAGTGTTTAGCTCCATAACTCATGTGTTGGTTAATTCATTCACTCAGTCACTTGTTCAATTCTCACCATCCCAGCCCTTGTGGAGTCTAGAAAGAGACATAGAGGTTAATCAAAGATTCACACTATTCAATATAGCATTACCACCCTTGAAAGCATTATAATGAAGAGGCATTTGGTGCTATGAGAGGGTATCGTAGGGGTATTTTCCCTGGTCAGGGAAGCAAGGAAGGGCTTTCCTAAGGAAGTGAGGGTTGATCTATAACTGCAAGGGAAACAAGGGGTTAACTAGGCAGCCATAGTTGGCTCTGGGCACTCATAGGATTGTGGATGGTTAGGAAGATTAAATGAGACTGTGAATGCCTTTAGTAGGGTTCCCAGCACATAGTGCATGCTCAATAAATGGTGACTGTTATGATTACTGGTATCAGTTTTATTGATTGTGAAATGCAGCCATATTCAATAGTATAACCTTTTAACCTTTGTCAAGGTACGCTAAAGTCTTCTAGTTATAAAGTCTGACTCATTCATGACTTCAAATCTCATGAACTCATTTTTTGAACTCAAGAACTCCTTTTGGGGGGAACTCAATTTTTATGTCACGATATGGGAGGCTGAAAAGCCAACTGGACTGATGCCTCAGGCAAGATATTAGTCTCATTTCCTTTCCCTACCTCCTAAGACATGGAGTTTTGGCTTCTGACCTCTATTGTAAATTGAAAAGTAAAAATCTTACTTCAGTGTTTATCAAAATTTTAGATGTGCATTATCATTTGACCCAGCAAGTCTCCTTGTAAGAATCGAAACTTATACAAATACATATAAGCCTAAAAAAAGACAAGGGCAAGAGTGTTCATTTCAATATTTATAACAGCAAAATATTAGAAATCATTTAAATAACCATCAATTTGGAAATGGTTCTGTACATCTCTATGTCTTGTTTATGAAAGACTGTGCAGGAGTTAAAAACCATGAGGTGGATCTTATCCAGTAAGTCCAAGGAATATTTCAAAGTAAAAATGAAATGTCACATGTAGTGTGATCCTATGTATGAAAAATAAATTGAAAAGCAAAACAATATGTGTGAATAGTGTGATGGTCAACAGAGTATACTCCGATGTTAGACTACCTGGATTCAAATCTCAGTTCCCCCAGTCCTAATTGGTTAAGTTTGGGCAACCGTTTAACCAATCTGGCATCAGTTTCTTTATCTATAAATATGGATAAAAATAGTACATACCTCACAGGGATGTTGTGAAGGTTAAATGATTTAATAGGTAAAAAGTGCTTAGAACACTACTCTGCTCTAAGGGCTCACATGTGTTTATTATTTTTGTTGTTGTTTGTAATTTTTATTTTTAAATTGTAAATTAAGAAATTATTGAATATACTTATAAGGTACAAAGTGAGGTTATGATTTATGAATACAATGTGGAATAATTAAATTAGGCTCATTAACATATGCATCACCTCAAACACCATTTTTTGTGGTGAGAACATTTGAAATATACTCTCTTAGCAATTAAAAAATGTATGATACATTAATATACATGAATACTATATTCGCCACATTATACAATACAGAGTCTCCTTGACTTATGATGGGGTTATGCCCTGGTAAGCCCATTGTAAATTAAAGGTCAAAAATGCATTTAATGTTCGGAAATGGTGGCTCCTGCCTATAATCTCAGCACTTTGGAAGGCAGTGGAGGGCAGATCACTTGAAGTCAGGAGTTTGAGACCGGGCTGGCCAACACAGTGAAACCCCATCTCCACTAAAAATACAAACATTTGCCGGGCATGGTGGCGCATGCCTGTAGTCCCAGATACTCAAGAGGCTGAGGCATTGAACCTGGGAGCTGGAGGTTGCAGTGAGTCAAGATCGCACCATTGCACTCCAGCCTGGGCAAGAGATAGAGGCCATATCTCAAAAAAAAAAAAAAAAAAAAAGCGCGTTTAATACACTTAATCTACTGAAAATCACAGCTTAGCTTGGACTGCCTTAAATGTGCTCAGAACACTTCTATAGTTGGGCAGAAACATCAGGCAAGACAGACACGGTAAAGATTGGTGGTTTACCCCCGTGCATGGCTGATGGGAATTTACAGCTCTTGTTGTCACTCAGCACTGAGGGAGTATTGAACTGCAGGTCTCTAGCCCAGGAAAAGATCAAAATTCAAAATTTGAGATATGATTTCTACTGAATGTATGTGGTTTTTGGACTGTTGTCAAGTTGAAAAACCTAAATCAGGAACAATGTCTATCTCAGAGAACAAAAACTATTCTTTTTGTCTGATTGAGGCTTTGTACCCTTTGACCATGGTCTCCACATGTCTCCCATGCACCAGCTTCAGGTAAGCACCATTCTTCTATTCTCTGCTTCTTTGAGTTCAATTATGTTAAATTCCATGTGTGAGTGTGAATATGCAGTATTTGTTTCTCTGTGCTGACTTATTATTTAGCATAATGTTTTTCATTTCTATCCCTGTAGTTGCAAATGACAAAATATCTTTCTTTTTTAAAGCTGCATAGTATTCCATTGTGTATATGTACCATATTTCCATTGTCCACTCTTTGGTGATGGACACTTAGGTTGATTTTATAACTTGGCTCCTGTGAATAGTGCTTCAGTGAACATGGGAGTGCAGATGTCTCTTTAACATACTGATTTAAAAGCTTTTGGGGCCAGGCATGGTGGCTCACACCTGTAATCCCACAACTTTGGGAGGCTGAGGTAGGCAGATCACTTGAGGTCAGGAGTTCAAGACCAGACTGGCCAACATGGCAAAACCCCGTCTCTACCAAAAAATTCAAAAATTAGCCGGGCGTGGTGGCAGGTGCCTGTAGTCCCAGCTACTTGGGAGGCTGAGGCAGGAGAATCGCTTGAACCCAGGAGGTGGAGGTTGTAGTGAGCCGAGATCATGCCATTGCACTCCAGCCTGGGTAGCAGAGCGAGACTCCATCTCAAACACAAACAAACAAAAAGCTTTTGGGTAAATACTCAGAAGTGGGGTTGCTGGATCATATAACAATTCTATTTTTAGTTTTAAGAGAAACCTCCATACAGTTTTCCATGACAGTTGTACTAATTTACATCCCCACAAACAGTGTACAGGTGTTCCTTTATTGTTACTGTTATCATTATTAAATATATATGTAAGTGCATAGAAAAAGGGCTATAGAAAGACTGCAGATTTTCCAATAGATTCTGAATTAACAAAAACAGGTGATACCTATGCATTTATCGTAAGTTCCCATTTTATTTAACCAAGGATACAAAATGTAAGGGAGGCAAGCATGACCTCATGTTGCTCATCTTGTCACGTCTTTTGTTCTGGGGCCTTGAATCCTCATCAGAGCCAAAAGCTGAATGTGATACTCTCCACCCAGGTTGGGCTCTGCCATGTTGAGATGACAGCACTGAGAAGGTGCCTTGTGGGAGAGCTTTATGATTCCACAACTATGGGGTGGGGAGAACTTACCTTTAACAACCTGAATGTTTGGGTTTCAAGGGAGAGAGTTTGCAAACTTCAGGCTCTCCTGGATGACAAACTGAACTCAGTATTAGGAAGGCCACATTCTCCTGCCAGAGGAAGCAGAGTGGATACCCATGTGTCTTTCCAAAATAGAATACTGTGTGTAGCTTTCCAGCGATTCAGAAAGTCTGTTTCACCTCATTCTGCCCCTATCCCTACCCCACACCACAGCTCTGCTTGTATCCTTTTTTTCCTGGGTGATTTTGGCATTGAGTTTGACCCAAGGACATAAGTTAATTTTTCTTCTCCCATCCACTAAATTGTTAATTAATGGCGGGGAGAGAAGTGGGGGCAGGAGTTGAAGAATTGGGGGATTGACTGGAAGAGGGAAACCCACAGAGGGAAACTTTCAATGGTTACTCCTTATACTTCTTGGTGGTTTGAAGTGTTTGCAATGAGAAAATATTCATGTAGTAGTCACCTGTGTGTGCTTTTTACATATAAAAAGTTCTTGCTGTCTTTATATCATCTGTCTATGGAGGCTGACCTTTGGGTGGTGAACAGGATAACAAGAGGTCAAGTTCCACAGCTCCTTTTCTCATGATAACAGAATAACTTTATTTGCTTTAAAATTTTTAGTATGCAATTTTTCACATACAGAAATGTAGAGAGACTATTATAATGGACACATGCCTTGGTTTAACATTTACTAACATATTGCTGCATTTGCTTTATTTTTTGTTTGTCTGTTTTGCTCAGTATTTTATTTTTTTTGAGGCAATCTCACTCTGTTGCCCAGGCTGGGTTCAGTGGTGTGATCTCCGCTCACTGCAACCTCCGTCTCAATAGTTGAAGTGGTTCTCCTGCCTCAGCCACCCCAGTAGCTGGGATTACAAGCATGCACCACCACACCCAGCTAATTTTTGTATTTTTAGTAGAGATGGGGTTTCACCACGTTGGCCAGACTGGTCTCGAACTGCTGACTCCAAGTGATCTGCCTGCCTCGGCCTCCCAAAGTGCTGGGATTACAGACATGAGCCACTGCACCCGGCCTGCTTAGCATTTTAGAGTAGTTTATATTTTAAAGCAAATTACAGATATCACATTTTAACCTCAAATATTTCAGAATGCATATCTAAAAAGTAAGGCTATTATGTTACATAACAATAATACAATTATTATACCCATAAAAATTAACAGTAATTTCCTAGTGGCATGGAAGGCCCAATCCAAATTCAAATGTCCTTAATAGGCCCAGAAGTTTCCTTCATAGTTGATATATTCAGACCACACACTGCATTGGGGAGTCTTTCGTGGTTTTCTGTAAGGCCTCTGGAGGGCATCAGGATTATGAGGGATGCCTTGGTCCTCAGCCGGAAAGAGGCAGTTGGAGAATGGCTGTACTTTCCTGGGTGATGGTTTCCCATGGCAGAAGCTAAGGCACCTGGCACTCTTGCTTAATGACCAAGAACCAGAACAGGAACAAGCCTGTGATTACTCATTGACCTGAGCTGGGGATTGTGTGACCAATATGCAAATCACATGCAAATCTGAGAAAACTCCACCGACTCCCCTTAAAGGGGTCAATGAAAAGTGAAGAGCATCTATTAGTTTATTGCATCTGTTAGGAAAGAGAATATGTTCTTAAATTTGTGGAATTGAGGCTTTGTTGGTTTATAGCACTTTTAACTTCACTTTCCTTCTCCAGACAAGTGAATTTGGCAGGTTATCAACGACCCTCTGCTTAAACTTTGAAACTTAGGTTACTTGTCCTCAGCAGAAAATCTCCTTAGCTGATCAGTGCTATTGCCATACATGCACTGCCCTGATTGCCTTAGGACTCCCAAATTCAAGCCCTAATTCTGCCGATAACCCCGTATGAGCTTCATTCCAGCTTTAAAAATCACTCACATCCTCTGGAAAATGAAGGGGTTGACCTAATGATCTTCGAGTTGATTTCTGGTTCTAAAGCTCTAGGTATCCCTGAAAAGATCTGGCCTTTTTTCTTCAAATGTATCTCCTGGAATCTGATGGAAATTGGAAATTGAGGTCATAGATATTCCTTCAGTGTGCACTGCTGGAAAAAAAAAAAAAGGAAAACAGCAATCCTCATTCATTTTACTACCTATCTCCTCATAATTTTTTTCCCAGTTTTATTTTTTTTTGTTTTTATTGATGAGAAAGATTATTAATAGGACACTTGGATGCATTCATCCAAATTGAAGTTTTGATCCCTTTGAATGATCTTAAACACGTGATTTTAAGAAGAAAGTCTTGTGAGTGTTCCATGGCCGGACCTGATAACTCAATACTGGTTAAGATACCGGAACAAAACCAAACACCCTCAAAGATACAAGATTAGAGAGAGGACCTGGGTGTTCAGAGGACCTGGGTGTCTCAGCTTCCTGCACGATGTGCCAGTTTCTAACTTTGAACGCTGACAGGTGAAGGGAGAGTACATTCCTTGAGTCCTTGCCAAGAGCCAGGCCATACATGCATGGCTTTATTTAAACCATGACTATAAAAAGTAAATATTCTTAATCCCATTTTCCAGATAAAGAAACTGAGGTTTAGAAGACAGTTTTAATTACCCACTCAAGGTCACACAGAAACGAGCATCAGTGGATCCTGGCCCAGATGTGGAGCCAAAGCCCTCCCTGCTTCCCCTTCTCATTATCCGCTCTCCTGTGGTCTAATTTTCCTCTAAAAATGATAGACGTTGATGCTGGTCAAGACTAAGAGAATGTGGATACAACAGAAGTGGTGTCTGAGGTATTTTCTTTCCAGGTGTATTTGTTGGATGCTTGATTTTTGAGCTGCAGTCTTTAGCAGCCAAGTACAATTCTGTTGCTTAATATTAATGACCTAAGCTCTCAGTTCTCCGTTAATTCCAGGTCTTCACGCCCATACTTGTTCTACAGGGAGAGCTTTTCCCCTTCTTTATCTGGGTACCGCTTTCTCATTGCCCCCTTCGAGAGCTGCCTCTGACTCCTCAGGCTAGGCCAGGGCTCCCTGGTGTGCACCCTCCTAGTTCTTGGGCCTTCTCCTTTTGAAGCATGTGTTTATATACATGTAGTTGCTGTTTAGTATGAGACAGGTTGGTATGGAGATTCAGTAAGTTTCTGAGTTCAGATCCCAGGCTCCCTTACTTACTGGAGAGCCTGGGATCTGAACTCAGAAACTTACTGAATCTCCATACCAACCTGTCTCATGCTAAGCTGCTTCTATACAGCTGTGGACCAGGTTACTTAACCCTCATGTGCCTCAGTTTCCTCATCTGTGAAAGAGAGTTAATGATGGTACCTAATATCCATAGGATATTGGTGAGGATTATATCAGTTAATTCATGTGAAGTCCTTAGAACAGTGCCTGGCGTGTAGCAAGCACTCAATCATTGTTAGCTATCATTATTTTGTCTTGCTTTCCAGTAAACAATAGTTCTACTTGGGTGGATACTATAAATATATCTGTCTCATTTACTGTTGTATACCTGGTGTCTGCAGGCATTGCAGATACTCAAAAAGTATCCATTTTATGCTCTAATTACAACCTTTCTGTATCATGCCCTACTGAATATCTGCCACATGCTAGGCCAGATGAATATCTGCCGCGTGCTAGGCCAGAATATCTGCCACATGCTAGGAGCTTTCATATGTATGATTTCTCACAACTGTCATAAATTACTTATTATTGGCATAGCCATTTTACTGTTGAGGAAATAAAGGTTCAGAGAAGCACACTGATTTGCTTTGGGTCACACAGCAATTCAAAAGCTGGGGTAGTATTGAACCCCATATCTGGATGATTCTGGGCCCAGTGCTCTTTTCCTTCGTCTAAGCTGCCTCTTTGTGCCACAAAAGGACAATGGGCCTTATGTAAACCCTATGTAAATAGGAGGTTCTGATTTCATGAAACCAAAGCCAAAGCAAAGTAAGCAGAAGTTAACAAAAGAGCTACAGTCATCTGATATTTTATTTATTTTTTTCTTTTAAAAAAAGATACCTCTTCCTTCTTTCCTAGATACCAAAAGCAATGTTGATTTCTGAGCAGAGAACAAAAATCATGAAGGCCTCTTCCATGGAGTTCACAGATTTCTGGGTAGAGGACGAAACACCACTTTGTAATGCTTATTTGTTGGTAATTATGGTGGACCTCTTGAGCACTCTGAACTGTGAGAATTCGCAGCTTTGGACCATTAAGCTAGAAGACCTCTGAAGAACTGTTGCTATTGTACCAAATTAAGAACAGCGTATTTCAATGCTGCTCAAAGTTTAATGTGCACACGAATCACCTGGGAGCCGTATCACAAAGGCTGATTCTAATTGAGAAAGTTTGGGGAGGGACGTGAGATTTGACATTTTATTTTATTTCTATTTATTTATTTATTTATTTTTTTGTGATGGAGTCTCACTCTGTCGCCCAAGCTGAAATGCAGTGGCATGATCTCAGCTCACTGTAACCTCTGCCTCCCAGGTTCAAGTGATTCTCCTGCCTCAGCCTGCCGAGTAGCTGAGATTACAGGCATGCACCACCACATCTGGCTACTTTTTTTTATTTTTGTATTTTTAGTGGAGACGGGGTTTCACCGTGTTGGCCAGTCTGACCTGGAACTCCTGACTTCAGGTGATCTGCCCACCTCATCCTCCCAAAGTGCTGGGATTACAGGTGTGAGCCCTTGTGCTCAGTCAGATTTAGCATTTTAAACGAGTTCCCAGCTGATGCTGATGCTGCTGGATCAAGGACCACGCTCTGAGAAGCAAGGGTTTATGGGGCTTTCTTGGACTGCACTCTGGCCAAACGCAGTGACTCCAGTAAGGCGTGGCCTTTGCAACCACAGGAAGAGCAGAAGTCTGCTGTGGAGCCGCCTGCATCCAAGTCCAGCTCTGCTGCTTGATGGGAATGGGCCCTTGGGACAGATTCTTCTCTTGGAATCTGAGTGTTCTCAGGTATAGACGGGTGTTTTGGGTGTTGGGAAGAAGCAACGATTGGATGCAACTTATCTCTAAGGGCCCTTTCGATTCTAAGATTGCATGACTGCCTGACTTGTTCTAATGACTGCATTGAAGTTGAGATGTGTGTTTGTATGTGCATGTGTGTGTGTGTTTAGGAGGGAGTGGAGAGGAACTTGGAATCTTATGAAAGAGACTTCTAGGCAGTTGCTTTGGAAACCATGTTTGTGATAAAACTCCTTTGCTTTTTTTTTTTTTCCTCCTTTGTTGTCTAGTCCCATTCCACCAGGTGGCCAAGAGCATTTTGTATAAAATACTCCATCTCTCATGCTCCCCATCTCCCTGGATTCCATATTTTCTTTTGAATTTGTATTCTCTGGCATATTTAGGGCTTTTCGAAGTTTTTCGTGTTACTATGAACATTGAAGAGACAAAGGAAAGCAAGAGGAAAGGAAGGGAGGAAAGAAGGAAGGAAAACTTACTGTTCCTCTGTGCTTATTAACACAAAACTTTATGGAAACATGTTCTATCACACAGTGTTATTGGCATTGGACTTATTAGGTTGGTGCAAAAGATATTGCTGTTTTTGCCTTTAAAAGTAATGGCAAAAACTGCAATTATTTTTGCACCAACCTAATATTTCCATCAGGTGGGATTTTAGGAATATTATGAAAAAAAGATGTACCTTCACAAGTAGATAGAGCCTACCTCTCACAGGTGAGATTGTCATACTGACCATAGTCACTTTTTTGGACAATCTGTCAATGTATTAATACATTCAGGGCTGATTTGGCATCAGGTGCCATGGAAGGTGTCATAGGAGGTACAGAGGTGCATTGTACGTGGAACCACAGCTCTCAGCATGGTCGGGTCCCCTCTTGAGAAAGAGCCAGCAGACATATAAAATAGGTAGCATATCCTTGCCCTCTCATGAGATAGTCAAGCATTTCTCCCTCCCACCATTGAATGCCAGGCCTAACCTCATGCCCCTTGCTCCCTACATGGTATCCAACCTTGCCCTTGATCTTCATAGGCCCTGGCCTGGTTCTCATCACTTAGTCCTGATATTCTGTCTTGGCGCTCAGGATGAATGTTTAGACTCTGTTTGTTTTTCTCCTCCTTGACTTCAGTCAGATCTCGCTCTCTTTTGGGCTATACTATTCTAGACCACCTGAAAAATCTCCATAAGTCAACACTGCCCTGGGGGCTCCTGCATCCTATAACCTCATGGATCAGTGTATTACTTTCCTATTGCTGCTGTAATAAATTATCACAAAGGCAGTGGCTTAAGGAACAACCTTATTATCTTACGGTTTGGAGATCAAAAGTCCAAAATGGTTCTCAGTGGGCTAAAATCACGATGTCAGCAGAACTTTTTTTTTTTTTTTTTTTCCCTGAGATGGAGTCTTACTCTGTTGCCCAGGCTGGTGTGCAGTGGCACGATCTCAGCTCACTGCAACCTCTGCCTCCTGGGTTCAAGCGATTCTTCTGCTTCAGCCTCCTGAATAGCTGGGATTACAGGTGCCTGCCACCGTGCCCAGCTAATTTTTGTATTTTTAGTAGAAACGGGGTTTCACCATCTTGGCCAGGCTGGTCTCGAACTCCTGACCTCGTGATCCACCCGCCTCGGCCTCCCAAAGTGCTAGGATTACAGGTGTGAGCCACCACGCCCGGCCAGAACTGGGTTCTTTTCGGAGGTTCTAGGGCAGATTGTTTCCTGGCCCTTTGCAGTTTCTGAAGGCTGCCTGCATTCCTTGGCTGATAGTCCCCCTTCTCAATTTTCAAAGCCAGAAAGGGCCCAGTGAGTCTTTCTCATGGTGTCATCTCCCTGGTTGTAAACTTTATGCCTCCTTCTTCATTTAAGGATCCTAGTGGTTACACTGGGCCCACTGCCTATTCTAGTATAATCTCCCTACCACAGATGCAGCTGATTTGCAAAGTTGATTCCATCTGCAACCTTAATTAGCTCTGGGAGAAGATTCCACTCAGAGTTGGGCAGGAGGTAGCTTGAGAGGCAACTGGCCAGGGAATGTAAAAGAGGGCTCAGAAGCATTCTTGTCTTTATACTATACATTTGCTCTAACCTACTTCACAACTTTGGCAAGAAGTATATCTTGTTGAAAAACATTACTCTGAGACTACAACAGAAAATTCAATATGTAGCAATTGCCATCAAAAGGACAAAACAAACATGCATTAAATATTTAAACTACAGCATAAGAAACATCTATTATTAAATGCAACATAGGTTATCAGTGCAATAAATAACAATAATGAATAGTTCTCAATGTTCTGTAGGAATGAGCTTTATGTCAAACAATGAGCTGAGTATTTTACATACAGATTATCTTTTAATTTTTAAAACAACTATGAGGTAGGTGCTATTGATATTTACTTTTTAATTTTTTTTTTTAGATGAAGTCTTGCTCTGTCACCCAGGCTGGAATGCAGTGGCACGATCTCGGCTCACTGCAACCTCCGCCTTCCAGGTTCAAGTGATTCTCCTGCCTCAGCCTCCCAAGTAGCTGGGACTACAAGCATGTGCCACCACGCCCAGCTAATTTTTTGTATTTTTAGTAGATACAGGGTTTCACCGTGTTAGCCAGGATGGCCTCGATCTCCTGACTTCATGAGCTGCCTGCCTCGGCCTCCCGAAGTGTTGGCTCATTACAGGCATGAGCCACCACTACTGGCCTGATATTTACATTTTTAAACAAGAAAATATAGACTTAAAGAGGCTTGGTATGTTGCAAAAGGTCACAAAGCTGTATATGGTGAGGAGGAATTTGAACCTGGGTTTGATTCCATCACCCGAACCCAACCACTAGGCTCCACTGCCACTTTAGGAGTTCAGCGGAGAGAACAATCAGTGAGACCTGAGTGGCTAAGAAAGCCTTCCTGAAGGTGGTGATATGTGAACACCCGTTTAAAAGGTTGCTCTGCTGGAATCCTCTTAAAATCTAAGACTAAAGAAAGAACCAGAACTTATTTACCCTAGAGCTACCAAAACCATGTCACCCCCAGGGCCTGCCTGTGCATTAGGGCAGTGTGTATTAATGAAACATGCTGCTTTTATTTCAACTTCCCACTTCCACCTTGGTGAGGGAATTAAAAAAGAAATCACCTTTGTTTTCTTTAGGCCTGTAGATTGGCTTTTTTTTTTTTTTTTTTGCCCTTCAAGAAACATTTCCAAGCATGGCCAGAAGAGGGTGTGCTTGGGTGTAGGGGAAGGACAGGTGGGACGTGCTCAGTGTGGGATATGCTCTCAGCATGCTTTAGGGGCTGTTTTAAGGAACATAAATTAATAAGGTAGAAATTACTTGTATCCCATTAGAGACTCTGCAGATCACGCAAGTCATTCATTCCTTATTAATCATTCACTTAGTAGGCACTATGAATATGGAAATCAGCAAGACATGGCCCTTTTGAAGATCTAAGAGTCAAAAGAAGAAAATAAATAGAAATCATCTTCTATGAACAAACTCAGGCACAGTTATAGCAAACATGTATTAAGCACAGACAAAGCATCAGGTGGATTAAACATGTGGTGCTGATATTAATCTTACACTGTAGATAATATTATTCACGTTCCATGAAAGAAGATCTAAGGTTGGGGTTGCCCAAAGCCCCACAGCAAGCAAGCAGATTAGTTAGGATTCAAATGCAGTCCTGCCTGACTCCAAAACATACTTTGTACTAAACCATGTGATACCCCCTCATAGCCTTCTGGAGCAGGGATCAGCAAAGTTTTGCTTAAGGAGCCAAACAGCAGATACTTTAGGCTTTGCCAGTGAAGAGACAAATGAAAGATGTTATGTAGATACATATATATACATTTAAAATGAAACCAGTCAATAATGTAAAAATTATTTTCAGCTCACAAGCCATAGCAAGGCAGCAAGAGTTTTCCTATAGACCACAGTTCCAGGGCAATTTCTCTCTTCCATATTCTTCCATATTGTATGTAGTGTGTATATATATGTGTATACATATATACATATATGTATATACGTATATATACGTATACACGTGTATATATGCGTATGTGTATATATACATGTATATATGCGTATGTGTATATATACTACATATATTTACTTATAGAGATGTTTATATATAAACATGCAATATGTATATTATACTACCTATCTACATATACAGTATGTGTATATCTCCACATATACCTTATCTGACATTCTAATGTGTGTGTATACATATTGTTACTTCTGCTAGGATGTGATATCTTTGAAGAAAAAGATCATCTAAGCCACCTTTGCTTCTCTAGAGAGTGCTACATAAATTCTTGCCTATAGTAATGCCTAATAATGATAGTGTTGGAACAGGTGTAATCCATTATTATTTACCGAAAAGACTCCATGGAGAAGGCCATGAATATTTGTTTTATATTGCACCAAGTCACTAATTCCGTGTGAGGATAAGATGTGGTTTTGCTGCTTGAAGTGGTTTTGGGAGAGGCTCTAGAATTTCAGAAGTTGATTGATTTCCAGGCATCGTGACTCCTGGGCTGAGCAGCACAACAGTTTAATGCTTAAGTTCCTGAGTTTCAGAGATTCACAGATCTGACTCCTAATTTTTTCTTCTGCTACTTTTCTTTCTTGAGAGGGCATGGTTCATAGGTTACAAATATCTGTGACAGTAATGATGAAAAGTTCATATTCCCTGTGTTCTTCCTGTGGTCAGGAACTGGTACGGTAGCTTACATGTGTGAAATCATTTAATTCTTATATCAACTCTCAAAGGTAGGTCATATCATTGCCCCCATTTGTTAGAAAAACAGAGGCACAGAGAGGTTAAGTAATTTGCTTAAGATTACACAGCTAGGAAGTGTCAGAACGAGATTCAAACCAGATGAGTTGGCTACAGAACCTGTACTTTATTATTATTAAAACTCCTATGATATTTCTTCTCCAGGGAAATTTATATGAAAAAGCTGCAATTTTAATAGAACTGGAATGGAGTTTCCCAAACCTTGGGTTTGGAACCTATGGTGGCTCTATCTTTGATCTTTTTCTCTCTAAAATGATGAGCACGATAAAAGAGCCACATCATCTGCTTAGAAAATATTTTTATTTTTGAAAAACTTCATTGAGCAAGTGGTAGATGCTGTTGGAGCGTGGAACTCCACACACCTTTCTGTTCTTTCTGTTCTTCTATTAGCAGTTAGTTAAGTCTCCCCTCATGGAGACTTCATACTTACAGTGGTTTAAGAAGTGAGAAACCATGGGGTGTTCAAAGGAGAGCCATTGTGGCAAGAAGTCTAGAGATAGTTATGGGCAAGTGATCAGTCTAAAGAAGAGAAGACTCAGGGCCCATGGCAGTGACCCCCAACCTCCTGGCAGATGGATGCTTCACTGAGGCAGCCAAGCATCGTTGTTAAGACCTTGATTGTCTCAGACCCAACTCCACACTCTGAGCTGTGTGCGTCAGGGGGAACTACTTACAAAGCCTCACTTTGTTTATTAGCAAAATGGAGACACTAATACAAATTCCAAACCACTAATTTGCATATCTAAAATCCCCAAATACCTGAGAACAGAAAACATTTTCATAAGCCCATCACAAACTCATCTTTGACCTAAACTGGCATGAGACGGGAGACTGGAGACTTACTATGATATTTCTTTATCCCACAGTCTGTGAATATGCACATATTTTGTTGCAAAATATTAATGTGTTTGATTACAGCATGCTATCCCAGACCCTGCTGGTGGGGTTAAACAAGATACAATACATATACTATATATTCTTAAATAATAAAAATAGTTATGAATTTCAAAATTTGGCCTAAAAGTTTTGGATAAGGGATAGTGGCCCTGTGCTAACTACCTCATTAGGTCTTGGGGTGGATCAAGTAGAATAAAATATGGAAAGGGCTTAGCAGAGTTAGTAGCACATCATAAATCAACAATAAATGTTTCATTTCCTAAATAGCTATTACATTCTATGAATTAGGTATATTAGTTGAGCAGTTTTGCTCTATCGTCCCATTGATTTTACTCTTAAGAATACTGTAATACAACTTTGTTTAGAGTCCTCCACTATTGTCTCCTGAGATTTTTTTTTTCTTCCAAGATGCCTTCTGAATGTTTTGAATCTGGTGCTTTCATGATTTTCAAAAAATCTCCATAAATTTTTTTTAAGACATAGAAGGCTTATATTCCTTATTCCAAAGACTCTTAAATAGTTTGACTGAAATATTGAGAGAATTTTTATCACACTACCTGAAACAGCCTGTCTCACACATGCATAAGCAACAACGTCGTGTCTGCTGCCCAGCCAAGCACAATCAGAAGTGTCTTCAATTGTTATGAATGTTCACAGATACAGTGTAAACACATATGCATCTTTAGAATAGATGATTTGCAGTACTGTACTACAAAAAGTTGTATTTAGATGGAATTCAAAGAGACCACCTACAGCATGCTGTAAAACAAACAACAATAAAATAACTTCCTCACAAGTAGATTTGTTCCAAAATGGATTGGGCTATGTTTGGTATTATTAAATTCCAATTCTCCAGCAATGGGGACTCTTGAGTCTGGATAAATGCTTATTGGGCATATTGTAGCTGGACTTCAAATTTCACAAAGCATTGTGCTTGAGATGACCTTTGAGAACCTTCTAACTCTCAGATTCTATGAGACTTGAGGAAAGAAGAGACAATCTAAGAGAATGGGGAAACGCAGATGAAACATCCTTGACCTCCCAGGTTTTGCTTGATTCTTGGAATATTCTCTTCGGAGGGGTTGGATTTGAAGGTCGAGTGGAGTTCACTTCAGTCATATATTCTGCCCTGCTTCTGTCCAAAACACAAAGTATAGGAAAAAAGCATTGAGTTGTGAAACGTAATTATGATAAAGAAAAAACTTTACATTTCACATAAAATTGTTAGATCAACTTGGCAACATATGCAGAAGCAGTGCGGAAGCAACTCAGTCTTTAAATTAGCTACTGCTAATGCATACTGGCATTCTACGGTGAAAAGGGTTTAAGAGTGAACACGACACACCCCTTCACCTCTTTCCATGCCAGAGCTCTGAATCGACCAAGAGATGCAACGGGGCTGATAGTTGGAGGATAGAATGCCAGCTCTATTACTGACAAACACTACAAAGCAAAACTACAGTGGGCTTTCCAAGAGTCCCCAGAATTAGTCTGGCTTTTCTGCCCAGTCACTGAAAGGGCTGAAAAAATCAAAACAAGACAAAACCACGATAAATATCTTTCTCCTTGAGGTA
Source organism: Homo sapiens (assembly GCF_000001405.40). Lineage (NCBI taxonomy): Eukaryota > Metazoa > Chordata > Mammalia > Primates > Hominidae > Homo > Homo sapiens. Next base: position 126,873,616 of record NC_000008.11, read on the forward strand.
GGACCTTTACCTACTGGTAGAGAACACAGGTGCTCTCTGCAAGCCATTATGGCCTATAAAGAGGAGCACTGTAGAATGCTTATCTTCATCCTAAACTTTACAGTGAGATGACCTCGAAGGCCCTCTATGGAGAGGAGTAAGCAGGTGGACAGCGGTATTTAGGGAAAATCTGTCTTTGTGGAGAAGTTCCCTACCTAATTAACCTTCCCTTGTTTGAAGCCTTTTTTGGTGGGACCTGGGGGTGGAAGAGCCCATCTCATTTATCGTTTGTCCTTTGGAAGCATTCCACTCTCCTAAATGGAATTTTATATTGCACACTTTCACATACAAATTGTACAAAACCCTGACCCTTATGTTTGGAAGAAGAGAAATAATGTATTCTATTAAAAGGAGGTCCCCCCATTTAATTGCACAATGATGTGACGGTGAAGCACCCCTAGAGAAGTGTCCTTTAGATACATCTGTGCAGAAGGAACTAGCTGCGTGAACTGGGACAAGTCATGTCACCGCTCCTGGCCTCATTTCCCTTGGGGATTAAGCCCAGTGGGGCACTGGAGGCTGCCTTGGTCCCTTCCAGCCCTCACATTCTCTCACACTCGGCTCTTCTGTTTCCAAGAACAATAATGACTGCAGAAAATATCATTTTGCCTTAGATTGTGATCTTCGTGACTTCATCTGTGTGAACAGACAAACATTAAAAAAACAGCTGAAGCATAACACAGGATCTAAGGCCATGTCCAGGGGCCCTTCCTTAAAGCCTCCAGTTGAGATAAACTTTTAAACAAACAGCATTTGTGTGTTGAGAGAGGTGGGAGAAGGTGGTACGGTATGAAGTGGAGTCTTTATTCAGGGTCTAAGCTCTCGTTTCCTGGGACAGTGAGAACTTTGTCTTTTCGGAAAGCTTGCCTGAAGTGTTTGCCTGTTTTATAGCTTGAGGTCAGGGAAGAAGAACAAGATATATCTGAGCCGCTTCCTCCCTGAGCCTTTCATCCCTCCCTGCTACCTAAGTCTGCAGCCTCTGCACCCTTTGGCTAGATTCCTGCTCAGGAGAACCAGGTCAACTCGCACACATGTGCACATACACACATACAAACACATATGCACACAACAGAACAATCGCACTCCTTTCTACCACTGAAATGAGGCTGATTCCCCTGTGGAGGAAGGGATGGTTTGCTACATGGCCCTCACACAGTCCTCACTCCTTAATGACATCCTTGCCTCACCCGGCTTCACTGCCCCTCTCTGGAGGCTGCTACAGTACTGTGTACATTTCCAGTCTACTTTCTTTGCCTGGAAGGGTGCTAATTTTGTTTTCACACATGCATAGCACTTCTAGTTCATGAGCTCTCTGAATGCAAGGCCTGTATCTGATTTACTTTTGATTCCCTGGTCCGAGGCCTTAGTATATAAAGAGCCATCAGCTCGTGATTTTTGAATAAATTTCAAATTAAGGAACATAGTAAACACCTTTTGGGATCTCTGCTTATCTCACAACCACCTCCAATTAACTGCTCATTAATAGGGGTGGACGTCTGGCAGCCGTGTTTCAACTCTCTAAGACTCTGTATGAACCAATCAGAGTCCCTCTAGCAGGTTGAGAGAGAACGCTTAGCCTTTCCCACAGCAGGAACGGGGATGTGAGGTGTCTGTCCTTCACCAAGTCTCCAGAGAAACAATGTAAGCTCTGCAGAAGATATAGAACTGGGCCGGGGGCGGTGGCTCACGCCTGTAATCCCAGCACTTTGGGAGACCCAGGCGGGTGGATCACGAGGTCAGGAGATCGAGACTACGGTGAAACCCGTCTCTGCTAAAAATACAAAAACAGCTGGGGGCAGTGGCAGGTGCCTGTAGTCCCAGCTACTCGGGAGACTGAAGCAGGAGAGTGGCATGAACTCGGGAGGCGGAGCTTGCAGTGAGCCGAGATCGTGCCACTGCACTCCAGCCTGGGCGACAGAGCGAGACTCCGTCTCAAAACAAAAACAAAAACAAAAAAACAACTGAAGACCTTTTATTAACAAAAATAATGCAAGGTTGTTATAACAAATCAGACCACGCATACCCATATGATGGAGGAACCAATGTTCGAGAATGGCTAAGAATATTTTATAAAAGAAAAATAGGAAGCGGGTAGGGGCTTATCCTACCAGATTAAAACAGTGTGGTAGTGAGTATAAATACGGTATGTTGGCAGAACAGATAGGATCCCGCTACATATAGGCACTTACTCGATAATAAATGTGCCACTTCAGTGGGGAAATGACAGATTGTTATTTTCTTAATGGTACAGAGACAATTGATTCCACATTTGGGTGAAAAGCTAGCTTAAATGGAGTATAAAAATAAATCCATATGAACTAAACATAAACATAAAATCATTATTAAAAATAGTATTAAAGACTATACTTTGAGGTGGAGGCAGCTTTCTAAGCAAGATAGAAAACACAGAAGCTATAAAAGACAAACTATTAGCAGCTTCAGTTACATTAAAAAATTAATAATTTTTAAAATTGGAAAGAGATCCCATAAAGAAATAAGCCAGGTAATTATTAGAAAGTATTTGCAACTCATATGATGCACAAGAGGATATTATCCCCAGGATGCAAGGAGTTTCTACAAATTAAGAACTAAAAGATAGACAACCGAACAGAATAATGAATGAGGGCATAGTTTTAAGTCTCCCTCCCTCTCTTTTTATAAAACACTAATTTTTGTTCAAAGCAATAAGCAAAAGTTTAATTTGTTCTGTGTCCTCTATATGTAAAGTCCATAAAGTTCTGCGGGAATCATCTCCTTTTAAATATGAGCTGCTCAATTTCGACACTGAATTCAGCTAACGTATATTAACCAAGAGAAATCAAGAGTGCTTTGAATTCCCACTCAAATTCATTTGACGGCTATTTGCCTTACCACGCAGGGCTTTTATAAAGCCCCAGGAACGGGGTGTGCAAACAGTGGTACCTAACTCAATTATTTCTCTTCCACCTTTCTTTTCTTTCTTTCTTTCTTTTTTTTTTAATTGACTAGTCTTCTTCAGCAGCTGTTTCAAAGGAAGGGAGGGAGGAAAGTAGGAAGGAGGGGGTGCAGGCAGCCTGGCCGAATTGGTCCATTCTGTTCCTGGTGCGGTTCCTCCTCTAGCCACATGATGGCGGCATGAGCATTGCCGTACTTCTGCGCTCTCAAGTCTAGCGCTTTAAATCCCCAGTTTTAAAGCCAGGGGCGCCGGGGTGTGTTTGTGTTTGTGCCTGCAAGTCAAGGCCATGCCCAGACTTAGCACTCTCAGCTGCTCTGTAATGCAAGTCGACAGGAAAATCTACAAGGGCTTCACGGTCTTCTTTCTAGAAAAATCCCAACAAGGGTTTGATAGTAAAAAGTACTTCGTAGTCATTTTCAAATAGGGGAGAATTTCCTGAAGTATGCAGCATCTGCTCTGCCGGGTTTGCAATCTGTGCACAGGTATTGCAGTTAATGAGCCACCGGCTTGCCGCTTCCAGGGCCAGGCTGGAGCAGTCAGCTGGTGGAATGATGGGAACTGCAATCGGCAGCTCTGCACCAACGTGCCCCGGGTTGGAAAATGTGATTTGTGACAGAGAAGCTTGGGAATAATAATGAAAACATAATTGCTCCAGGTTGGTTGCTCTCTTTCAATTGCAAAGCCGTCTCACCTCTTGTGAGAGGAACTGTAGTTCTAAGCGTTCATTTCTCTAGAACAACTAGAGGCACACCCAGCAACTGTCCTTCTGCCCCCAGTGAAACTTGGATTTTTTTTTTTTTGAACTCCAGAGAAGAGCTGTCCCCCAAATTCAAGAAGAATCGTACTTACTTCATCTCCAGGATGCCTGGGGCAGCTTGTCTGTTCAAGCAGAATCTCCCAAGTCATGAATGTGGCTTTGAAACCTATTAGTCCCATCCTCTGATGCCTGGGACCAGGCTATTATATTGTCGGGTTGGTTTATTGTTGTTGTTGTTGTTTGTTTTTGCCTCATGAAAATAAAAAAAATTAAACCCCTGCGTATGAATGAATTTTCATCGATTTTTCATTTGGTCATCCTACAGAAGAGGCAGAGGATGTTGACACAAACTTACAGACTGGGACTCCAAGGATCAGCCAGATGAAATGCTATGTGCAGAGTCTTCATTTCCCAGCTCAGTGGTGGACAGCAGAGGACTCTAAGGTGGGTTGCCCTGATTGGAGTCCCCCTTCAGCCACTTTAAGTTAACGGATGTCTCTGAGCTCCAAGTTTCTCATCTGTAAAATGAAGAGAAAGATGTCAATTGCTTGGGTTTTGAGAAAGACTGAAAGAGATCATAGATGTAAAATACTTAGCGTGGGGCCCGGAACCTCTCCTGTGGCTGGGAGTGAGTGGGCATGTTGCACATTGAGAACCTCTTTACACAATTGCCCATCCTCCTAGCCCTGCAGTCTGTGCAGACATTTCCATGCCAATCTCCACGGTATTTGTGCAAGTAATTCTTTCTGCCATGGGGCTTCTCTGGCTGACTTCAGAATGTTGCTCAGCTTTAAAGGATGGACTGAGAGGTTAATGCTGGCGGAGGCACCCTAACCAAAGGGGGACTGGATCTGTTGGATAAATGCATCCGCTCTTCATTTCCCCAAGGGTGATGGTTCCGAGACATGTCTCAAAAGAGGGGGACACTGAGCCACAGTTACTCCCAGGAATGGCCCAACACACAGCATATTTCTACATTCATGTTTCTTTTTCCTGTTACTCAGCGGTGCTTCACTCTTGTTCCTTAGAATCACCTCATAAATGAACTACCTTGACATGCCCTGACCCAGGCTCTTTATTTGGAAACCCAGGCTAGGACAGGAATGAAGAGAAGCCAGACCTTCTGACTCGAAGGTTAGGAGTCTTTTGATTTACACACACATGCGCACGCACACAGACACACACACTTTGTTTTGTGTCCATGGCAGGCAGGTGGAGGAAGGGGGAGTTTGGCCAGCTCTAAGGTCTTTCTAGATCATCCCATACATTGCTGGGGACCTCCAAGGGACAGACAGTGTCTTCATCAGGTCCTTTAAGGACACAGGTTCCTGTGCATTGATGGCATTAGTGCTGAAGCCCAATTGCCCCAGCAGCAGCAACCAGCTTTGATCTGGGGCTGGCATCAGGCGGTGCCAGCAGATGTCTCCATGATGTGATTTAAGGGCACCATTAGACTCTGCCATGCAAATATATTATATGGGTGGGGTGGCACTCTAACCTTAGGCTATTTGTCACACTGGGGTAAGTTGGAACTTGCAGCAGGGTAGGCAGTCCTGGGTGAGTGCCATGTGCCCACCCCCACTTTAAGCTACCATTTATCCATGATCAATTATGAGTCAGCACCACGCTAATACTTCTATGCCCATCAGTCCTTTCTCAACCCAGGCTTTACAACAGAATCACCTGGAGCACCTTTAAAAGTGCCAGTTGTAGTCCCCACTCCCCTCCAACCCCATCCATTCTGTTTTAATTGGTCTGAGGGTGTGGCTTGGACATCCATAAAGTTCCTCAGCTAATTTTCATTTGCTGTCAAGTTTGAAAACTGCTGATACCCAGTTGTCTTCTTTATCCTCACCCCGACCTTCCTAGGGAAATATCTTTACCCCTAATTGTTCAGGATGGGAAGCAGAGAATGTCTTGGAGAAGTTAAGTCACACAGCCAGTTAGCTGTGGAGCAAGGTTTCAAATGCAGGTCTGACATGTCAGGCTCCAATCAAAGTAATATTTGCCAAATTTTCTTCTAAAAATGCCAAGGCAGAGTGTGTTCTTCCGAGAGAGGATATTAGAGTGACCAGAAGCAGTCTGGAAATTTCTTGAAAGTCTCAAGCTTCATCTTAAAAACTCTTTATTTGTTTTGGTAAAAATGGTAAGATTTTACATTATTTTTGACAAAGTTGATATTCCAAGAAGACAGGCTGGGGTCGTTCATACCACACTGTGCTTGCAGGGGATTGTATACACTGGTGTGAGCCACTGAGCCTGGTCTATACACCGATGGACAGGAGAGGACTGGAGGACATGATGAGGGGATAGACGTGGAAGAAGGAGAAAGCAGAACTTGGGGAGAAAGAGTGATGGGTATCTGGATGCCCTCAGGACTGATTCTGCTAATATTTCTCACCATATATCTTTTAAAAAGTTATTAGCTTTGGAGGATGCAAGCATTCAAGATTGGTGTAAGAGCACAGCTCATGATGTAAATTTCACTTATCCCATATTTCAGAGGTTGACAATTTTTTTTTTTTTTTGAGATGGAATCCCACTCTTTCACCCAGGCTGGAGTGCAATGGCACAATCTTGGCTCACTGCAACCTCCGTCTCCCGGGTTCAAGCGATTCTCCTGCCTCAGCCTCCCGAGTAGCTGGGATTACAGGCACCCACCACCATGCCTGGCTAATTTTTCTATTTTTAGTAGAGATGGGGTTTCGCCATGTTGGCCAGGCTCATCTGGAACTCCTGACCTCAGGTGATCCGCCCGCCTTGGCCTCCCAAGACAAATATTTTTAATAAAGGGTTAGATAGTAAATATTTTGGGCTTGTGGCCCATGCGTTCTCCATCACAGCTATTCAACTCTTGCTATAGCACAAAAGTAGCCATAGACACTACAGAAATGAATGGGCGTGTAGCCATGGACACTACAGAAACAGGCAGGTGGGATTTGGGCTGTGGGCAGTAGTTTGCTGAACCCTGTGCTTAGTTTGCTTACTTAAAAGTGTGAGTTAGATAATTAGCTTAACTCTTGATCTTCTCACTTGATTTATCTATAAAATCTCAATGTAAAGGCTAGACTAGATAACCATAACAGCTTCCGGTTTGCTCTGGGAGTACACACGTGCACTTGTGTTGCTAGCCTCCCAAAATGGATTTGGTTTCCAGTTAAGGCACTGAGACTTGGCCAGGTACAGTGGCTCATGCCTGTAACTCCAGCGCTTTAGGAGGCCTAGGTGGGTGAATCTCTTGAGACCAGGAGTTCAAGACCAGCTTAGGCAACATAGCAAGACCTCCCCCTCTAGCAAAAAAATACAAAAAATCAGCCAGGTGTTGTGGCATGCACCTGTAATCCCAGCTACTTGGGAGGCTAAGGTGGGAGGAATGCTTGAGCCTGGAAAGTCTAGGCTGCAGTGAGCCATGATTGTGCCACTGTACTCTAACCTGGGTGATGGAACAAAACCCTGTCTTTAAAAATTAATAAAATAAAGAGACACTGAGACTTTGAACAGTTTGGTCTAATGCTTCACATCTAACAAGCAGAAGGCCAGAATTTGCACCCAAGCCTTTTGGTAACTAAAGCCCAGATTCTTTTCCAGGCTATAACCATGTTTCTAAGCAATTGTTTGAAAATACTTCTAGCCTAGAGATCTACGAGGCTACGATTTCATTTACCTTCTCTAGCTGGCTCTTTGCCCAATATGTGACAGTGCTAAAATATACCAGGCAAGCCACTTTTAAACAAATAATGTACCTAGGATTGAGTCTATCCATCTGAGTGCATTGACTTGGCATCCTGTAGGCAAATATCGGGAGACTGATCTCTTTTGGGGACCCACCTCCTTCAAAAAAATATTTGGCAATTCATCTGAAGCATCTCCTTATTTCTGCTCTTCCAGCTGTCTCCATTATTGCAGGGTCATGCAAGCACTCCCAGAGTGCAATCCCACCAACAGCAGCCTGCCAAATGCAATAGATACACTCCCCCTGTGTCATTGGCTTTAAATGGCCACTGCGGAAATAGCCAGGAAGCCAACAATCACTGTGGCCCAGATGCCCACTCACCCTGTCACTCATTTCCCCTCTACTTAAATTTCAGCCCAACATGTATTTATGTGTCCAATCATTCTAGGCATCCAAATGAAGAATACAAATGTGCCCTCTGCCTCACCCTCTAGAAGCTGCCGTGCCAGGGCCTGTGCTAGGTGCTTAAATATATTCTGTCCATTATGCTATTTAATTCTTCCAGCAGCCTTACAAGGTAGAGATTATGATCTTCATCCTACATGTATAGAAGATGTGTGCTAAGGTAGCGTCCCTTCTCCTCAGAGAGCTGGGTACGCTTGGCTCAAATCTCCACTCTCGTGTGTGGGGACACTTAAGCCCTCCCCTGAGATTGTTGTGAGGTTGTTGGTGGGTACACCCTCCGCACTTCCTCTGTGGTACACTCATTGTTTAGATTTTGGAATGGATGAATTAAAAAGGAATCAGACAGTCAGATACCAATGGCTCTTAAGTCTCTGGGGTCATAGATCCTTTTGAAAATCTGGTTAAGGTTTAGCAGATGAGAAAACACATGTAGTCCGGGCACAGTGGCTCACGCCTGTAATCTCAGCACTTTGGGAGGCCTAGCCGTGCAGATCACCTGAGGTCAGGAGTTCGAGACCAGCCTGGCCAACATGGAGAAACCCTGTCTCTACTAAAAATACAAAAATTAGCCAGGCGTGGTGGCAGGCGCCTGTAATCCCAGCTACTTGGGAGGCTGAGGAAGAAGAATTGCTTGAACCTGGGAGGTGGAGGTTACAGTGAGCTGAGATCGTGCCGCTGCACTCCAGTCTGGATGACAGAGTGAGGTTCCCTCTCAAAAAAAAAACAAAACAAACAGAAACGACGTGTAATTATCTATAGTTTGTATACTGTTGCAGCGGGTTCATGGACAAAATTGAGTATGTGCGAAATGTAGGTTAGCATGCTAGACATGGAGCTACTGCTAGCACCTGGTAGACCCTTGGAGCAGATGCTTCTGGAGCCGACCCCCACTACCCTGTTCCTTATCCCCTTGCCCTTACCACAGTGCACACCAGCCCCAGTGTCCACCAGCAGCTCCTGCATTTCTCTGTCTAAGGGCTTTCTTTTAGAGCAAGATTTGCTGCCATTGTGATGACCTGAAGTGATAAGGAATGAATGCCCCCCTGAGAAGAGCCCTCAGTCAATGATTGATAATGTATGCATACCCCAGCTCCCGCTCCCTTTAGTGAGGCCAATCCCAGGCACATGTGCCACACTGTCTCTCAGTTCACTCAGTCGGATTAAGCTCCATTGCCCACACTGGTTGCTGGCTCAAGGGTTCGTCTTTTACTGGCTACCTTCTTTTTCCCCACTTTCCTACCAGTGTACCCTTAATTACCAAATAAATTAGTTTAGTTGCACTGAAATCTTTTGTTTCAGAGACAGCTTCTGAAAAACCCAAACTAAAATAGCACTCAATAGTTTTATGTAGAATTTGTTATTCCTTGTGCTATATGAGTTTTAATGGGTATTAATTTTACAGGTGGGAAAATATGACACATACACGCAGTTGCAAGCTCAGAGGTCTAGGGCAAGGTGGATGCTAAGCTTAGCTGGGATCAAAGTCTTTTTACTCAAAGACTTGCCCTCTTTTTCATTTATTGAGACAACAAAACTAATAGATGTCATTGGGTAAGACATTGGGCGTACATGGGACAGTGAGTGAGATAAGGTCTCTATATGCAGCTCACACTCTGAAGAGAGGAGAGAGACAATAAGCACATATAACATGAAATAATATTTTGATGAGGATTATCAAAGAAATATACAGGATAGTGTTAAAACAATTAAAATGGGGGGATCAGCAGTATAGCGAAGGGTAAGTGGTACAACCTTGGATAGGGGTTGAGAGAAGTCCTCATGCTCCTGGGTTCTTCATCTCACTTCATTGTATTTTCATTCAACAAATGTTTACTGGACTCACACTATGTACCAGAAAAGAAAATGGACAGAATCTGTATTCTTAGGGAGTTTACAATTGCAGAAGAGCTAGGGAATAAACAAATGAGGGAAATACCAGCTAGTAATAACTACTTTGAAAAGAAGAATAATAGGTTATGAGACATAGCATATTTTGTCCTTTTCCACTGAGGTTCCCTGAGAAGATTAAGTCCAGCTACTCTGTTGCATACATAGGATATAATAAGTTAATTTCTATGCATCTAGAATGGTACTGGTTATGTACAAACCCTTGAAACAACTGAACAACAAAAATCCAGTTACTAAAAGTATGTGTTGTGTTCTGTGATTCAGATGAGCAACACCAGTTGTGAAAAGTTATCAAAGGGAGGTATTGTTTAAGCAGAGCTCTGAATGTCAAGAAGCCAGGCTGGGTGTGGTGGCTCACGCCTTTAATTCTAACTCTTTGGGAGGCCAAGGTGGGCAGATCATGAGGTCAGGAGTTTGAGACCAGCCTGACCAACATGGTGAAATCCCATCTCTACTAAAAATACAAAAATTAGCCAGGCATGTGCCTGTAATCCCAGCTACTCAGGAGGCTGAGGCAGGATAATCACTTGAACCCAGGAGGCAGACATTGCAGTGAGCCAAGATTGTGCCACTGCACTCCAGCCTGGGGGACAGAGTGAGAATCTGTCTCAAAAAAAAAAAAAAAAAAGCCGGCCCTTGAGGGTCAGAGGATGGCAGGTATGGGGTAGTGGGAAGGGTCACTGCAAAGCCTTGAGGGCAGAGTCTGGCTTGGGTGCTCAAGGAACAGAAAGAAGCCAGGTGAGGCTAGGCAGGTGGATGAGAGGAGTGGGAAAAGAAAATGGTGCCAGAGAAGTAGGAGAAGGTAAATTATGGAGAACCTTATTACCAAAGTTAGGAGCATATATTTTATTCAAAGTGTGGGCAATAGTTTAGACACAGCCAATAATCAAAGAAGGAAGACCAGTTAAGATGCTACTAGGACATGTAATTAGGAGGTGCGGTAGCTTTATCCAATGTGGTAGTGGAATCAACAGGAATTACTGACGAATTAAATATGAAGGAAAAAAGAAAGCAAAGATAACACCTGGCTTTATGAGTGGCAGATGAAGGGTAGAGCCATTTACTAGGATAGGAAAGACTAAGAAGAAACACATTTGCAAAAATAAACTGAAGAATTCTGTTTTGGTTATGTTACAATTGAGGTGACTACTTGAATCCAAGCAGTAACATCAAATTGACTTCTGAGTATGTGAGTCTGGAATCTGTAGAGAAAGATCTAAGAGTCTTCACCATGGAGAGGATGTGGTCACCTAAAATGACATTGACGGTCCTGTAGGACTTATTGCCTGGCTTAGCATTTTCACACTCTCAAGATGGTCCTGTTTTGGCTGATTGATTACATCCTTGTTCTCTGTGTAGAAAATATACATGGCGAAGTAAAAGGAGTCTAGGGAAGACCCCAGGACATCACAACACATAGAGGCTGAGGAAAAGAGGAGGCGCACAAGAGATTGAGGGAAAAAATAGTCATTGAGGTAGGAGGAAAACCAGAAAAACATGGTGTCACACAGACAAAGGAAACATGTTTCATGAAGACAAGATAAGCATGTCAAATGTTGCTGGAAGTTCAGGCATGCAAAGGACATCCATGGGATCCGTACATTTCATCTGCTGGAAGTCATGGTTCCAGGGGATGGGACCATGACTCTCTATAGGACACAGAACAACCTGGGCCTGCAGAAATCTAGGCTATAGCATCACAGATGAATTAAGGACGGTGTGTGGTGTACATGGAAAGGCCATGGAGTATTTCGTTTTAGCATGCACAGAACAACTGAGACAAATTTAAATTTCTTGAGATAAAAGAACAATGCCTTGTCAACGACATTGGCTGATACTAAGCTTAGAAAACGTAGACATTTATTTCAGAAAATAGAGAGCCTCCAAGGGCTCTGGCTTCCCAATAATGTTCCTACTACTGTTATTGCTACTATCTGTTACTACTTCCACTACTGCTTCTGCACATCATTTCTTCTAACTCCCAGGCCAGTGCTGTTTTCCAGCAGATGATGCTGTCTCAGCAAAGCTTCTTGGCTGGTTATATAAAAGGCAATGGGGGAAAGAGTTAATTGGCAAACAGAGTGACTACATTTGCAACCCAAGAAGGCCTGCTGTGACTTGTTATCTGCAGAGCTAAGCAGCTTGCTGTACAAGTGATATTCGAAGCTCATTGCTGTTAATGCCAGTGGGGCCACTTAACACCTTCCCGTAAATGGTCTCAAGATTAATATCTTGCCATTTATTTTATGTTATTTTTCCCCTTTGGAGAGAAGTCTTTCCTCATTTTTCGCCTTCAGGAGTCAGAGCTGAGAGAAGGTCAAACCCGGGGTGAGATGCGAACCTGACAGTTCCTTTCAAACTTCTCCCTGTGCAGCATGAATCATAGAGTTGGAGAATTACTCAGCAGAAAGGAAAGTGCATGGGCCTTGGAATCACAGACCTGTGTTCAAATTCTTAGTAACTAAATGAAGGAACTATTTAATTCATCTCAGCATTATTTTCTTTTCACTTGTTAAAATGAAAAGACACAATGAAATCTGTATCTGAGGGCCTTTTTTGAACAACTCACTCTAATATGGCTTCTACTCTCTCCACTGGATAAAACTAATCTTGAAGTGCATGTTCATTACAATTGATGCACATTCTTGCCTGAAACATATTTCTGTTACCTCATGCATTCCTAGTTTTCTTTCTACCACCCTGGTTACACTTGTTCAGTCTTCTGTGCTAGCTTTTACTCCTCTATCTGATCTCAGAATATGAAAATAAGCCTTCTTCCCTCTTCTTAAACACTCTCTCTAGATAATAGTCATCATTTCATTAAACACCATGCATGTGCTGACAACTCTCAGATTTATCTCCATAGCCTAGATGTATCTTTGGAGATATGGTCTAGTTTGTCCACCTGCCCACTTGCCATCTCCACTTGGATGCCCTTTAAACATCACACACTAATATACCTATGAATCTTGAGCTTCTCCTTAAAAAACCATTCTACTCCAAGTCTACCACATCTCAGTAAATGACACCATTACCAACCTTATGACCCCAATTAAAAGCCTAAGGTTCATAGTAAATCCCTGTCTTCTGCCCTCCATATAAAATACATCTGTACCTCATGAGGATCCTATATCCAAGTGATATGATTTGGGTTTGTGTCCCCACCCAAATCTCATGTCAAACTGTAATCTCCAGTGTTGGAGGGGAGGGGTCAGGTGGGAGGTGATTAGATCATGGGGGCGGAGTTCCCTCTTGCTGTTCTCCTGATAGTGAGTTCTCATGGGTTCTGGTTGTTTAAAAGTGTGTAGCACCTCCTCCTCTCTCTTTCTCCTTCTGTGACCATGTAAGATGTGCCTGCTTCCCTTTCACCTTCTGCCATGATTGTAAGTTTCCTGAGGCCTCCCAGCCATGCTCCCTGTAGAGCCTGCAGAACTGGGAGCCAATTAAACCTCTTTTCTTTATATATTACCCAGCCTCAGGTAGGTCTTTGTAGCAATGCGAGAACGGACAATATACCAAGGATATCTTAAATTCATCAATTTCTCTTCATCTCCACTAGTACCTCCTAGGAGGCATATTTTTCATTTTCCCCTCCAGATCCATTTTTCAGCCTTCTCCAACCTGCATGATTCCTTGGCAGACTGAGCTGTATATACTACTATCAATAAACTCCCCAGCCTTTGGAGCGGCTAATTGGATTTAGCTAGTGGAGAGTACTAGCGGGAAATTGGAGAGGAGAAAACTGCGGTTGGAGTGTGTGTTCCATGGGCTCCTCTCTTTCAGGATGGCCGTAGACTTACAGGGATCCTTCATAGAAGGTGTCATTCCCGTCAGGAGGCAGCCTTCTGTCTCCATGTTCTAGTTAGCCCTCCCTCTACTTGTGCCTCTGTGCCCTGTGTAGTAATGGCTCTCCACTGGTCCTTGTCTGCAAGGAACTGCACAGCTCTCTGTGTCTTTCTCACATCCTGCCTTGCATGATCCCTGTATTTAACACCCCCGAGCTATCCTTCTTTGAAAATGCTCTCTATTTCCTGCTGGGAGCATGACAGTTTCTGTTTTAAGTATTCTGTATTTTGTATTTGAGTCACCAAAAAACAACAAAAAAACAAAAATCACTGTCCTAATTAGCCTCCTACACTTACCAAAACCAGCCTAATAAAGTCACTGCAGCAGAACTGAGTGGTCATTTCAAGACTTATATCATTTCACTTCACTGCTGAAAATATTTAAGAAGCTTCCTTTTGCATTACAATAACCTCCTTATTAATGGAATTAAGTCCCTTCATGATCTGGCCCCTGCCTACTCCTCAAGCATATTTTGTGCTTTTCTATGGCTTTGTTTTTTGTGCTTCAGTCATGCAGATATAATTAAATTCTTTAAAACACTCCAAGCTCTTTGCTGCCTTGTGGATTTCATGCAAGTTCCTATTTATGCCTAGACTCCTTTCCTCACAGAGAACATGCATATTTGCCTCCTCTTATTGCTGAGGTTTCAGTTTAGTTGCCACCTTTTCAGAAACACCATTTCTGACACCCGTCCTAAAGTAGTTCTTTCTTCATCATTCTTTGCCATGGCTTTGTGTTATTTTCTTTCATAGCAATGACTTCATTAATTATTATTTATTATTTAATTATTTAATATATGTATCTCTTCGGTACACTGTAAGCATAACTCCATTGTGGTGGTGGTGGTGGTTTTTAATCTCACCCCATTATAAACAATGTCTATCATATAGTAGGAGCCTGATAAATATTTATAGATTGAAGGCATTGGTCAGGTGCAAATACCTGGCTCATAGTATATGTTTGTTTATTGAGCATGTACCATTTAGCAAGTGCTTTATGATCCCTGAATGTTTGTTAGTAATATTAATAAGATAATCAAGTCCACTCTTTCTTCAGGTACTTCTGGTTATCATGGATGGATTTTTGAGACATAATTCATAATTCAAATATTTAGGGTAATTAATCAATTGATTTTCATAATGGGGGGGCATGTAGGGATACCTGTTCTCTAATTGTCCTATTTTCTAAATACCAATCAAGTTTGATGAGTCAGAATACAGAGAATGAAGCAAATTTACCCGCTTACAAGCTTGGGAAATAGGACCTGTTGGTGGAGAAGAGTACTAATCTATTCCAATAGATACATATTGTTTTTTTTTTTAATTATTTATTTATTTATTTTTTTATTATTATACTTTAAGTTTTAGGGTACATGTGCACATTGTGCAGGTTAGTTACATATGTATACCTGTGCCATGCTGGTGTGCTGCACCCACTAACTCGTCATCTAGCATTAGGTATATCTCCCAATGCTATCCCTCCCCTCTCCCCCCACCCCACCACAGTCCCCAGAGTGTGATGTTCCCCTTCCTGTGTCCATGTGATCTCATTGTTCAATTCCCACCTATGAGTGAGAATATGCGGTGTTTGGTTTTTTGTTCTTGCGATAGTTTACTGAGAATGATGATTTCCAATTTCATCCATGTCCCTACAAAGGACATGAACTCATCATTTTTTATGGCTGCATAGTATTCCATGGTGTATATGTGCCACATTTTCTTAATCCAGTCTATCATTGTTGGACATTTGGGTTGGTTCCAAGTCTTTGCTATTGTGAATAATGCCGCAAAAAACATACGTGTGCATGTGTCTTTATAGCAGCATGATTTATAGTCATTTGGGTATATACCCAGTAATGGGATGTCTGGGTCAAATGGTATTTCTAGTTCTAGATCCCTGAGGAATCACCACACTGACTTCCACAGTGGTTGAACTAGTTTACAGTCCCACCAACAGTGTGAAAGTGTTCCTATTTCTCCACATCCTCTCCAGCACCTGTACATATTGTTATATTTTAAAAATAGTTATTATTCATATTAAAGTGGATTCCAGCATAAATAAATAAAGGCTTTTGGATAGATTTACAATCTGAGACTTCTTCACCTAGTGGTATTTATCTGAATTAGAGGAATAGTACTAGGAAAAAACCAACAAGCCTCTTGGACGCTACTATTCATTGCACATTTGAACCAAGACAGATAATAAACACAAATAGATATAATAGTTAAATAGCACCTGTTAAATTTTTAGTTAAAATTTTTTTACCTATTTGGGTAATGAGAAAAATTATAAGTGACTCCAAAAGGACTTAGATTAAAGCAAGTGTTGGGTTTTTTTCGTATAAGTTTCAGATATAGGAGAAAACCTTGAGTGGTTGTCTTTAGTGGACTCATGGCATGTGGGGTGGGGAAACAGAAGAAGCAAAATAGCACCATTTTATAAGTGAGGCAGCTGAGGGTTATAGGGATTACATCTTGTCCAAGGTCAAAACAACCTTTCTGAGTTGGAGATGAGGACGCGTACCTGAGTACCTGCCTCCTGGTACCATGATGGTCAGATTCAGAAGTCCCCTCCAGGCCCACATTTCCATTTTCTTAAATTTATGTTCAGCAACACTTTATACCATGTGTGGTGATTTTAACAAGGTGAATAGTTAAACCTAGGAGTCCTTTCATATCCCTATTCTTACCTTGGCCCCATAGCATCTTCATTAAGTTGGTATTTTGGTTAAAGTGAGACTCAGAGAAGAAAGATCCCTGCTTTTTGGGAATGTAAACTCGTACAACAGTATGGCAGACAGTACGGAGATTCCTTAAAAAACCAAAAGTGGAACTACCATTCGATCCAGTAATTCCATTACTGGGTATCTACCCAAAGGAAAATAAGTCATTACATGAAAAAGACACATGCACATGCATTTTTATGGCAGCACAATTTGCAATTTCAAAAATATGTACTCAACATAAATGCTTATCAACCAATGACTGAATAAAGAAAACATGGGATATATACACCATGGAATGCTACTCAGCCATAAAACAAATAAAATTATGGTCTTTGCAGAAACTTGGATGGCCATTATTGTAAGTGAAGTAACTCAGAAATGGAAATCCAATTATCATATATTCTCACTTATAAGTGGGAGGTAAGCTATAAGGATGCAAAGGCATATAATGGAATGATATAATGGACTTTGGGGACTCAGGGGAAGAGTGGAAGGTGGGTGAAGGTTAAAAGACTAAACATTGGGTACAGTGTATGCTGCCTGGGTGGCAGGTGCCCCAAAATCTCAGAAATCACCACTAAAGAATTTATCTATGTAAACAAAACCACCTGTACCCTGAAAACTACTGAAATAAAATAAAAATTAAAACTAAAAGAATGAAGGTGCAACAACCATACACAAAAAAATTTACCAGCTTTCCTGTGGTCACACAACCAGAAAGTGACAAAATAAGGCCTCAAATTGTGGGTGTGCTGATTCCAGTTCTTATTGTCTTTTCACTTTTTGGTGTAAAGACAGTGAAAACAGCACAGGTCTCTGTTCTCTTTCTTTCTGTTTTGAGGCAACAATTTTCTTTTAACACCTGTAACAAAAGTGTGGTACCTTATTTCTCCCTAAAGGCCGAAGGTTGGTGCCTTCCTCTGATGATTGCCACAGGCGGTCATCTGTTATCACCTGCTTCAGTGTGGAGCCACTTACAGAATCATGAAAAGAGAATTTACCCTAAAGGGTCTTGCTCAATAAACGTGCCGAGAAGAGGGAAGTGAGAGGGAATGGAGCTTTTCCCCACTGTCTTTACATAATTACTTTCTATAGGCAATGTTATAGCAATGTATAATTACAGGCATATAATAATAACTCTTGTTCTCAGGCCCAGAATTCAGGCTATGAGGTTTTGCGTAAGTAGAATCTACCTTTCAGTGCTGTGTAGAGGAGAGGAATTGGGAAAGATTTTGGAGGGCACAGACTTGGGTTCAAAGTACAGCTTCATCACCTGCTGGCTTTGTAGCCTTGGACACAAAGAACATCTTTGACTCTTGCTGCTTTATTATCTCAAAGGATACCTCAATGGGCTTTTGAAAGTTTAACTGAAAAAATGTATGGAAAATATATAATAATAATATAGTAACTAAAATCAAATAGACACTCTAAAAATGTTTATTTCCTTCTCCTTCTCCATCCGATCGTGAGTAATACAGACTTTACCATAACATCTGCCAAGGGCAATGCAAATGAATCCTCTTTTCATCTTGAGAGGCAGAAGGCATGCATGTAGGGAATTGCTAAAAGTTGTGATGCTGTAAGCCTATCCAGAAAACCAAAGGCCAGTGGGTTAATGCCCCCTGTCCTCAGTGAAGCTACAATACATGATACAATGAGAACATTCTGTATGGTTTGAAGCTGAGAAGTTTCAAGCTAAGATAATTAATATGAATTGGCCAAAGTACACCCAAAGTAGGATATGAGTCAGTTGAGATCCCAGACTTCTGGCCTAGACAAGATCTATTCAAATCCAACTCTATTGGCAGAGTTTATTTTATTTTTAGGACCTATTTTTCTAAAGATTTAAAATTCTTCTCTAAAATCATACCCTAGTCCTTCTTATTTTCTTATCTAGTTTCTCCCTTTTTTTAGGAATCCCTTTAGGCCACAACTTTTGCTCAGGTGTAATAATAATGTTCCTCCTACTGCTAAAAATAATAATGGTCAATATTAACGCAATAATGATATGTGATCATTTATATTATGTAATCTATTCATCAATTTTATAAGCATATAATAGCATTCCCACTTTACAGAAAAGAAACTGAGCTTATAGAGGTAGAGTAAATTGTCCATGGTCATTAGAGTAGATGGCAGGGCACTTCTAGGTCTGTCTCATTCTAAAACCCATATTCTAAATATACTTTTATATTCTAATATACTATCTTCATTCCAGTTGTGTATACATTAAATGTCTAGCCTCTTTTCCATACATTTAGGAGTAAATAATATTGCTTTTTAATGTATTGAATTCTGTCCCTTAATAATAGCAACAGATTTATAGTTTCTATGAGTTTTCCAGAGATGAAATGGCTGCTGACTCATCTTCAGTTGATAACTCAAAACATCATACACTTAACACATCCATGGCATCGTGGCCTTCTCTACCAAACCTGTTTCTGCCCAAATCATACACTGACATGTCATAAAATGGCACCATTGTGAACCTAGTGTCTTAGGTGAGAAATTTGGGATTCCTTCTTACCACCTCGGTCTGTTTCACATGTCACATTCTACAAATCAGTAAGTCCTAATGCTTTTACCTCTAAAATCTTAATTAATCAACATTTCTCTATTTCCATTGCCACTGATGTTCTGAGCAGAGGTTGGAGCACTCCTGGATAGAGGTGTCAGAGAGGGTATTTGAGAATTAGATGTGGAGCTTATTCAATGGGCTCTAAATTCCCCTCAAATTATGACACTTCATGAACTTATCTTCTCTATTGTATGTAACTCTCAAAAGGAGGTATTTAAGGGCTCAATGTGGCAAATGTAAGAAAAGCATCATTGATAGGAACATGTAGATAAGCACTCAGGCAGCTGTGGGCTGGACTATTTTGTGGAGCGGGTTTTTTGTCTGTGTGGTTTTGGCTCTCTGTCTCTCTCTGTCTCTCTCTCTCTGTCTCTCTCTCTCTCTCTCTCTCTCTCTCTCTCTCTCTATATATATATATATATATATATACACATATACATATATATATGTACTTTAAATTCTGGGATACATGTGCAGAACATGCAGGTTTGCTACATAGGTATACTGTGCCATGGTAGTTTGCTGCACCCATCAACCCGTCACCTACATTAGGTATTTCTCCTAATGCTATCCCTCCTCTAGCCCCCTACCCTAGGACGGGCCCCGGTGTGCGATGCTCCCCTCACTGTGTCCATGTGTTCTCATTGTTTAACTCCTGCTTATGAGTGAGAATATGCAGTATTTGGTTTTCTGTTCCTGTGTTAGTTTGCTGAGAATGATGGTTTCCAGCTTCATCCATGTCCCTGCAAAGGACATTAACTCATCCTTTTTTATATGAGGAGCTTTTTTTTCATGTGTTTGTTGGCCACATAAATGTCTTCTTTTAAGAAGTGTCTGTTCATATCCTTCGCCCACTTTTTGATGGGGTTGTTTGTTTTTTTCTTGTAAATTTGTTTAAGTTCTTTGTAGAATCTGGATATTAGCCCTTTATCAGATAAATAGATCACAAAAATTTTCTCCCATCCTGTAGGTTGCCTGATCACTCTGATGATAGTTTCTTTTGCTGTGCGGAAGCTATTTAGTTAGTTAGATCCCATTTGTCAGTTTTGGTTTTGTTGCCATTGCTTTTGGTGTTTTAGTCATGAAGTCTATGTTCTGAATGGTATTGTCTAGGTTTTCTTCTAGGGTTTTTATGGTTTTAGGTCTTATATTTAAGTCTTTATTCCCTCTTCAGTTAATTTTCGTATAATGCATAAGAATGGGGTCCAGTTTCAGTTTTCTGCATATGGCTAGCGAATTTTCCCAACACCATTTATTAAATAGGAAATCCTTTCCCTGATGCTTGTTTTTGTCAGGTTTGTCAAAGATCAGATGGTTGTAGATGTGTGACATTACTTCTGAGGCCTCTGTTCTGCTCCATTGATCTATATATCTATTTTGGTACCAGTATCATGCTGTTTTGGTTACTGTAGCCTTGTAGCATAGTTTGAAGTCAGGTAGCATGATGCCTTCAACTTTGATCTTTTTGCTTATGATTGTCTTG
Source organism: Homo sapiens (assembly GCF_000001405.40). Taxonomy (NCBI): domain Eukaryota; kingdom Metazoa; phylum Chordata; class Mammalia; order Primates; family Hominidae; genus Homo; species Homo sapiens. Next base: position 126,894,022 of record NC_000008.11, read on the forward strand.
GCTATACGGTCTCTTCTTTGGTTCCATATGAAATTTAAAGTAGTTTTTTCCTAATTCTCTGAAGAAAGTCAATGGTAGTTTGATGGGGATAGCATTGAATCTATAAATTACTTTGGGGAGTATGGACATTTTCACGATATTGATTCTTCCTATCCATGAGCATTGGAATGTTTTTCCATTTGTTTGTGTCCTTTCTTATTTCCTTGAGCAGTGGTTTGTAGTTCTCCTTGAAGAGGTCCTTCACATCCCTTGTAAGTTGTGTTCCTAGGTATTTTATTCTCTTTGTAGCAATTGTGAATGGGAGTTCACTCATGATTTGGCTGTTTGTCTATTATTGGTGTACAGGAATGCTTATGATTTTTGCACATTGATTTTGTATCCTGGGACTGCTGAAGTTGCTTATCAGCTTAAGGAGAATTTTGGCTGAGATGATGGGGTTTTCTATTGTACACTTTGGCTAGCGTGCAGTCATTTGTAGATGACGTGCAGGTAATCTTTCCAAACCGAATTCTAACACAACGGCAAGCATCCGGAGTCTGATCTGTGTGGGAATTCCAACTCTGTCAGAAGTGTGCATGTGTCACCTTGGGCTCCTTAGCCTCTCTCAGACATAATTTGCTCATCTGTCAAAAAGATGATTCCTACCTCACATAGTGAGTGGACAAAATGAGATCATAATGCTGATGATGATAAAGATAATAACGTGTATTTATTTATTTATTTCAAGAGCATTGCATGTCAGATAAGTGACAAGGATGGAGAGCACAAGAGAGACACGGTTCCTATCATTGGGGAGTTTATTATTTACAGTGATAGACAGGTGTTAAACAATACTCATACAATGCTATGTAGATAATCATTCTAATAACAGGTAAGACTCATCGGCACCTTTGCTATGCTAGGTAGTCAAAGTGTTTTACATACGTTATTTCATTCAGTCCTGTGGTAGACCTCCGAGGTAGACACTATCATCACCCCATTTTGTAGATAAAGGAGCTGAAGCACCAAGAAGTGAAGTAACTTATCCAAGATTTTCCAACTACTAGTTGACCAAGTCCAGATTTGAACCCAGGCTGCTTGGCTCTTTACAATCTCCTATTATACTGACAGTGTCAAGAAGGCAAACAGTAGGGCACTGTGAAATAACATACTAGGGATGCTGACATAGATTGATTAGGGTGTCTGGGAAGCCTATCCAAGGAAGTAACATTTAAGATGAACTTTAAAGGATAAGTAAGAGCCAGGGCAAGAAAGTTTGGAGCAAATACTTTGACATGGGTGTGGAACAGACATAGATCAGGTGGGAGGAACCTTGAGAATGAGAGGGGGACCAGGGCAGGGGAAGCTGCAGAGACCAGCAAAGGACCAGAACAGGCAGCACTTTAGAGGCTGTGCCAGGGACTGTGGATTTTATTTTAAGAGCAAAGAGATCATTGCAGATTTTAATCAGGTAATGACATGATATAATTTTCTGAGATCTTGGTAGGTATTGGGTATTATGATATGCTGGGTATAGTAGAGTAGATGGCATCCTATGAAGATTACATTTCTTAAAATCTCACAGGTGGTATGTGGCTAATGCAGAGTTTACTATGAGGCTAACCTGTTTCCACAGCCTTAACCTTAACCGTGCATGGTCCTGTATAGGGTGTACCGTATATTCTATGTGATAAATACCTCTAATCTACCATCTGGTATAATTCCATCCAGTCCTATTGCTTTCAGTCCCACTCTCATGCCAATGACTCCCACATTGATGTTTCCAGTTCCAGTCTTTCCTGGGAATTCCAACTCAGCAGTTGACTTGGTATCTCCATTTGTATGCTTATTGGCATCTCAAACTTAACATGTGAAAATATGAACAACTGATTTCCAGTTTTCAGTGGCGGCTTCATTATTCCATTGCCCGGGTTATATAGTTGACTGTCATCCTCCACTCCTCTCTTTAGTGCCCCAAAAGCAATCTGTCAGCAACTCACATTGGCTCTACTTTCAAAACATAGCCCCCTCCCCTTTCCGAATGCAAATCACCAGCATCTCTCCCCTCATTCTTGTTAAAACCTCCTCATAATTCACCTGGCTTCTACAGTTATAAAACTGTTTTGCAGCTTTTCCTCTTAGAGTGAAAGAGAAAGTTTTCACCATGGTCTATAAGACTGTACCTGTTTTATTTATTTTTTTATTGCTCATTTGTTTACATTTAGTCTGTGACTACTTTCATGCTATAACAATACAGTTGAGTGGTTGCAACAGAGACCATATGGCCCATGAATATAAAATATTTATTATTTGGCTCTTTGCAGAAAGAATTTTCTGATTCATGCTCTATGTAATCTTCACATACTCCCCAAGATATGCACACACATACACATACTTCTCTGACCTCGTCTTCCAACACTCACACCCTTTCCTACTCTGTTTTAGCTACATTGGCATCCATGCAATGTCAGAAACTTTCTCAGAATGTCCTTACCTCAGGGAAGTTTACTTGCCTTTCCCACTGTCCGGAGGACCCTTCACCCATGATCAAATGCATTCATCCATTCATATGCAAAGCTCCCGAGCTTCCTTTCAAGGTTTTTGCTCAAATGTCATGTGATTCAAACACTCTCTTCAGGTTTCCCTGGTTTAAACAAAGAAACAAACAAACAACACCCTCCCCTATTGGTCTCTTTCATTCTCATCTTGCTTATTTTTCTTTGTACCCCTTACTTCCACTGACAGTGTGTAACTTGTATATTCTCTGTCCCTTGACTACAATGTAAACACCATGAAAGCAGAGACTTCATTTTATTCATTCCTTCATCATCTGTGACTTGAAGAAAGCCAGGTATGTAAATGCTCAATTACTTTTATGAATAAATGAATGCATGAGAAAATACTTGGACCATAGTAGAAAATGTCAGCATAAGTTCTAGAATATTCCTTGGGTGCCTGTCATGTGCTAGGCACTTACTGAACACTTTCACATACATTGACTTCATGTTTAACCTCTCACAAACCTTGGTAGGAAGGGGCCCTTGTTTCTCTTCTGTCCTTTCCATTAAAAAAAAAAAAAAAAAGATATCCCTGAAACAATGGGCTGTGAAAGCTGTTGTGTACTGAGGGGCAGGAAGAGGCCATGTCTCCGGAATACTCACAAGTGACAATTTCTGAGGTCTGAGCCACTTCTTCCCTCCAGGTGGCTGCTGAGAAAAGCACTATCTCTTTAAAATAGCTCACATCATTAAGATGCTAATAATAAATCATAGTTATGTGATTTTTCCTAAAAAGATTAAATCCAGGATCCTTCCCCAGAAATCCAGTTCCCGCCACAATGGGCATCCTGTTTACTATGCTCTCAATAATAGAGTCCTAACTGGAAGATGTCAGAGTGAAATTAAAGGTCAAAGCACATATGGGTGTAGCACTTTTGAATTTTTCTTCTTTGTTGAATACCAAATACAGATATGCATCTCAAAACACTGCCTAGAGCCAACCTTCTTTTTTTATTGTGGCAAAATATACCTAACATAGCATTTAACATTTTAACTATTTTGAAGTGTATAGTTCAGTGGTATTATGTACATTCACATTGTTCTGAAACTGCCACTACTGTCCACTTCCAGAAATTCTTCATCTTGCAAAACCTTAACTCTGTACCTGTTAAACCATAACTCACCATCCCTCCTTTCCCCAGTCTCTAGAAACAACCATTTTACGTTCTGTCTCCATGAATTTGATTACTCTAGGTACTTCATATAAGTGGAAACATATAGCATTTAACCTCTTGTGACAGGCTTATTTCACTTAGCAGTATGAATTCAAGGTTTATCCATGTTGTAGCATGTGTCAGAATTTCCTTCCTTTTTAAGGCTGTATAATATTCTATTGTACACATATACCACATTTTGTTTATCCATTCATCTATTGATAAACACTTGCATTGCTTCCACCTTTGGACATATTGTGAATAATGCTGCAATTAACATGGTTGTGTATATATCTCTTTAAGACCCTGTCTTTAATTCCTTTGGGTATATAACCCAGAAGTGGAATTGCTGGGACATATGGTAATTCAGTGTTTAATTTTTTGAGGAACTGCTATATTGTTTTCTAATCAATCTTTTATTAAATTTGCCATAGGTAAAATTTTAAAATCTAGATTAAAAGACTGGCTTTGAGAAATGTTACAAAAATAACAAAAGTGCTAGTCTTTCACCCAGTTTCATGTCTCATGACTTAGTCACTGACTTCCCAGGTTGCCCTAAGGACCACTTTATTGTTACACTAGGGTGCAAGCATTCTGTCTTTTTTTCTTGTGTTTTGTTCCCCAAGTGAGTCAACTGAGGAAGCCAAGAAGGCTGAGGGAACAACGCCAAGCTTTTTGTAATTCTTCCTTCCCTTTTCTCCTAAAATCACCAGCTCAATATTATCTGACCCAAGCCCGAGAGCTATGTATCAAGGCTATTTACTTGTAACCCATCTGTGACCCTGTAAACCTCTGAAGGGGCATTAACAGACCCTGACAGACCAAGGCTAAAGGGCTGGAATCATACAATGTTAAATTATGACCTGGATTGGAGTATTGCGCCATGTGAATGTCTGCACTTTTTGGAGTCATGAGGAGAGCCCTGGAAATGGGGATTAGGCCCAGCATCAGGCTCTATTATATGTTCTACTCCTAGTTTATTTAATACGATCTTGGCCAAGATATTTAACCTTCTCTAAGAGTGGATAAATTCTTCTCTTAATGCTACGTTTAAATAAATAGTAGTGATATGGTTTGTCTCTGTATCCCCACTGAAATCTCATCTCAAATTATAATTCCCATGTGTCAAGGGAGGGACCTGGTGGGAGGTACTTGGATCACGGGGCAGTTTCCCCCATGCTGTTCTCATGATAGTGAGTGAGTTCTCACAAGAGCTGATGATTTTAAAGTGTGGCACTCCCCCCCTTGATCTCTCTCTCTCTCTCCTGCCACCATGTGAAGCAGGTCTTTGCTTCCCTTTCACATTCTGCCATGATTGTTAAGTTTTCTGAGGCTTCCCCAGTCATGCAGAACTGTGAGTCAATTAAACATTTTTTCTGTATAAATTATCTAGTCTCAGGTAGTATCTTTATAGCACTGTGAAAACAGACTAATACAGAAAATTGGTACCAGCAGAGCAGGGCACTTTTATAAAAATACATAAAAATGTGGAAGCAACTTTGGAATTGGGTAATGGGCAGAGATTGGAGCAGTTTGGAGGGCTCAGAAGAAGAAAGGAAAATGTGGGAAAATTTGGAACTTCCTAGAGACTGGTTGAATGGTTTTGATCAAAATGCTGATAGTGATATGGACAATGAAGTACAGGCTGATGTGGTCTCAGATGGAGATAAGGTACTTATCGGGAACTAAAGGAAAGGTCACTCTTGCTATGCCTTAGCAGATAGACTGGCAGCATTTTCCCTTTGCCTTAGAGACCTGTGGAACTTTAAACTTGAGAGAGATGATTTAGGATATCTGGCAGAAGAAATTTCTAAGCAGCAAAACATTCAAAACGTGACCTGGCTTTTTCTGAAGCATATAGTTATGAGTTCACAAACAGATTATCTGAAATTGGAACTTATGTTTAAAAGGGAAGCAGAACATAAAAAGTTTGGAAAATTTGCAGCATTACTATGCAGTAGAAGAGAAAAACCCATTTTCTGGGGAGAAATTCAAGCCTGCTGCAGAAATTTGCATAAGTAATGAGAAGCTGAATGTTAACAGTCAAGACAATAGGGAAAATATCTCCTGGGCATTTCAGAGATCTTCAAAGAAGCTCCTCCCATCACAAGCCTGAAGGCCTAAGAGGGAAAAATGGTTTTGTGGGCTGGGCCCAGGGCCCTTTGCTTGATGCAGCCTTGGGACATGGCACACTGAGTCCCAACAGCTTCAGATCCAGCCATAGCTAAAAGGGGCCAAAGTACAGCTCAGACCATGGCTTCAGAGGGTACAAGCCCCAAACCTTGGTGGCTTTCATGTGGTATGGGCCTGTCGGTTTGCAGAACACAAAAGTTGAACTTTGGGAGCCTCCACCTAGATTTCAGAGGATACATGGAAACACCTGGATCTCTAGGCAGAAGTTTGTTGCAGGGGTGGAGCCCTCATGGAGGACCTCTACTAGGGCAATGCAGAGGGGAAATGTAGGATTTAAGCCCTCACACAAAGTCCCCACTGGGGCACTGCCTAGTGGAGCTATAAGAAGAGGGTCACCATCCTTCTGACCCCAGCATGGTAGAACCACAGACAGCCTGTGCTGTGTACTTGGAAAACCCACAAGCACTCAATGCCAGCTGACAAAAGCAGCTGTAGGTGCTGTATGCTGCAGAGCCATAGAGGCAGATCTGCCCAAGGCCTTGGGAGCCCACCCCTTGCATCAGCATACCATGGAAGTGGAACATGAAGTCAAAGGAGATTATATTGGAGCTTTAAAATTTAATGAGGTCCCTGCCAAGTTTTGGACTTGCATGGGACCTTGGTCCCTTTGTATGTCCAATTTCTCCCATTTGGAACAGGAACATTTACCCAGTGCCTGTACCCCCATTGTATCTTGGCAGTAACAAACCTGTTTTTGATTTTATAGGCTCATAGGTGGAAGGGACATGCCTTGTCTCAGATAAGACTTAGGACTTGAGCTTTTGAATTAATGCTGGAATCAGTTAAGATGTTGGTAAGGCATGATTGGCTTTTAAATGAAAAGGGACAACAGATTTGGGAGGGGCTAGGGGCAGAATGATATGATTAGGCTTTGTGTCCCTGCACAAATCTCATCTTAAATTGTAATCCCTACGTGTCAAGGGAGGGTCCTGGTGGGAGGTGATTCGATCATGGGATGGTTTCCCCCATGCTGTTCTCATGATAGTGAGTAAGTTCTCATGAGTGCTGATGATTTTAAAGTGTGGCACTCCTTCCTTTGATCTCTCTCTTTCTCCTGCCACCACGTGAAGAAGGTCCTTGCTTCACCTTTACTTTCCACTGTAACTGTAAGTTTCCTGAGGCCTTCCCAGCCATACAGAACTGTGAGTCAATTAAACATTTTATTTTTATAAATTACCCAGTCTCAGGTAGTATCTTTATAGCAGTGTGAAAACAAACTAATACAGTAGTTTCCTAGAAGAAAATAAAATATTACTCAGAATTGCAAAATATGTTATATACAATAGTAAAAATTATTTCCTTTAAAAAAAGATGGAGGCTGGGTGCAGTGGCTTATGCCTCTGATCCCAGCACTTTGGGAGGCTGAAGCAGGTGGATTACTTCAGCCCAGTAGTTTGAGACTAGCCTGGGCCACATGGTGAGACCCTATCTCTACTAAAAATTTAAAAAAATAGCTGAGTGTAATCCCATTACTGGGAATGTACTCAAAGGGTTATAAAGACTATTCTACTGTAAAGACACAGGCACATGTATGTTTATTACAGCACTGTTCACAATAGCAATGACTTGCAACCAACCCAAATGCCCATCAATGATAGACTGGATAAAGAAAATGTGGCACATATACACCATGGAATACTACGCAGCCATAAAAAAGGATGAGTTCATGTCCTTTGCAGGGACATGGATGAAGCTGGAAACAATCATTCTTAGCAAACTAACACAAGAACAGGAAACCAAACACTGCATGCCCTCAGTCATAAGTGGGAGGTGAACAATGAGAACACATGGACATGGGTAGGGGAACATCACACGCCAGGGCCTGTGGGGGGTTGGGGGGCTAGGGGAGGGATAACATTAGGAGAAATACCTAATGTAGGTGACGGGTTGATGGGCGCAGCAAACGACCATGGCATGTGTATACCTATGTAGCAAGCCTGCATGTTCTGCACATGTATCCCAGAACTTAAAGTACACATAAAAAAACAAAAACAATAGCTGGGCATGATGGTGCATGCCTGTAGTCCCAGCCACTTGGAGGCTGAGATGGGAGGATCACTTAAGCCTGGGAGGTCGAGGCTGCAATGAGCCATGATTGTGCCACTGAATTACAACCTGTGTGAAAGAGAGAGACTCTGTCTCAATTTAAAAAAAAAGAGGGGAAGAGATTGAGGGTCAGAACCTCATGGACTCATTGTCACTCATTTCTTCTCTTCTTGGCCCAACTTTTAAAGACTTCTGTAGCTCCTTTTGGTACTCTAGTGCTTAGTAGAACTTAGTTAGGAAGCCAGTAAGATAGATATCTAGCTATTGATATCCAGCTGTAACATGCATTTCTTGAAGTTCTTAGAGACCCCAATATGGAAGTTTCTTTATGAACTGGCTTTCTAAATTCAGTTTATAAAACAGTTGTTCATCAAAAGTCTAAAGATGCAATAATACATCAATGATGATTCCTGCCATCTGTTGGTTGTGGTCAAAGCTGATGGGGTTTTACTCTGATTCACTGCTTTGTTTACAACTATTTAAGTTTGTCAATGTTTTAGAGATGAGAAAACTGAGGCTTAGAGAAGCTGTGTGATTTGGCCAACGCCAGCCTGTATGTGGAGAAGCCAGCATTTGATTCTAGGAAAATTTGTCCTTGCAGCCTATATTTTTAAAAATTCCACATGATAGTCACCTTTTAGAAGCCAGAAGTTGATAAGTAGAGAAGCTTTTGTATACAGCAGATATGAGAGGCAGGAGGTACATCCACTGGACTGTCCACCACCGTTGTCCCAATACCACCGTGAGAGGTGCCCATCCCTGGCCAAAATCACCAAACTTGTTCCCTGCAAAGAACCAAGTCTCCTGGGCCAGCCCTGTGCAGAGCTCTTCAGCAAGTTTCAGAGATTAAAGTGATTCAGTTAAAGGTTCAGAGCTACAAAACAATTTATTTGGTCTAAGATTGGATCTTTGGGATTGAATTCTCCATCAATTTCCACATCTCTTTTATTCCTTCTTTTTGCCTCATAAGGGGCTTGTCCTTTTTAATTACACAGGTGCTTCTTCTTCTTTCTTATTTCCTTCCTCAGAGCTCCCTGCAGAGATTTTGCCACAGTTGATTGATAAGAAGATATTGATTCCAAGGTCAGAGTTCAGAAATATTCTTATAAATGAATCATCTTGTTAATAAAGGGTCACCCAAAAAGTTCGAGGATACAGATGTTGCTGAAATCAGAGCTCTCAGCAATTGTAGCAAGAGAGATAAAATGGCCCAATGTCCCCTGCTCAAGAAAGTAAATTAAAGGAAAGGAGAGATAGAATCAAAATTACCATTTATCAAGCGTCTATAATATGGATGCAAGAGTCCTGTTTCTACAATACAAACCTTATGACCTTGGGCGAGCTTCTTACCATCCCCAAATCTTAGCTTCTTCAACTGTAAAGTGGTATCATTAACATCTTCAAAGGCTGTTGTCAGGATTAAATGATGTATGTAAAGTGCTTTGCACAGCTGCTGTCACATAATAAACAATATAGAAATGGTCGTTGTTAACTAGCATTATTGGAATTATTTGTGCTTTTGTTTAACCATCACCAGTATCCTAAGTGATAGGCATCAACTAGAATTCTAGGTTGGAAAATCATAAAGCAAAGATATTACACAACTCTTGCTTGTTGCTAGTGCAACAGTGTTTCTCTTTATGATTTACATATGAAAAACAGACCAAGTGATGGCTATTAGAAAAGGGAGGGATGTAGAAAAATAAAGCCAGCTGAGGGGCAGAACTTGTGCATTTTGCAACCATCCTCAGTTTAATGTTTGGCATTCAATCCTCATTACTGACTATGTATGGCTTCACAATAAATCAAGAGTGTGCTATATGAGAAAATGAAGATTTATACAAAGCGAAATTGAACAAATGGTGAATAATTGATTTAGCTGACCTGACAACACCCACTTATAAATAACACAGAATGTTTTACTTTGGCAGTAATTTAGTTTTCTGGGCATCCTGGCTTCTAGCAATTCTCTATAGCGGCCCAGTGCTTTCTGACTTTCCCATACAGAAGAAAAAAAAACTTAGATCATGAGCTCTGTCCTCCCAGTATCACCCTGGCATGATCTATAGCAAGTATGGTTCACATTAGACATTCCCTGAAGAATGTACCGATCCTTTATTTAGTCCTCTGATTTAAGAATATAGTTTGGCCTCTACATAGCAAAACTTGAGACATATTTAGTTAGCTTTAAGAATTACAGTGTTTACCAGTCTTATAATACAGTCTTAAGAAAAAAGTAAAATAAACAACATAACTATAAAATAAACCATATTGTGTCATTGTTTAAAATGCCTTTGCTGGCCTCTGGATATAATACATTTCATCTTAGAGCACATTAGTGTAGGAAGCATTTATTTCCAAGTTTATTATCCCAAAGAATGGTATAGATGAATATACAAATCCTTGGGCATATCCACACCAAAGGCTATATGAATTCAGAGATGGCTTACTAAACAAGATACAGAAGCAAATGAGGACATTTTGGCAGACATCTTTGTAGCATTCCAGAATCATAGAATATTAGGATTGAAAGTGTCCTGAAGAGATTATTCTGTTTAACCTCTTGATTATAGGCTCAGTTTCATTCAATAAACATACAGCGAACTTCTGGAATGTGACAGGGATTAGGCTGGGATTAGGTGATGGGTATGTTTAGGGAGGGGAAATGAAAAGGAAAAAAAAAGGCAAAGTGTCTGGCATAAAAGAATTTCTATGCTACTAGATGCAAAATTTGGGTACACATGGACTGAGGCAAGTACCATGAGGTTAGTGTGAATAAAGTAGTAAAGAAACAGTTGAAGGGGAGACAACTTATTCATATTTTTAGCTTGGCCAGCACAATATCATTCTTTTTTTTTGTTCCAAGGCAGCATCTTGCTCTGTTACTCAGGCTGGAGAGCAGTGGAACAATCACAACTCTCTGCAGCCTTGACCTCCTGGGTTCAAGTGATCGTCCTACCTCAACCTCTCAAGTAGCTAGGATCACAGGTATACATCCCCAAGCCCAGTTAATTATTTTTTATTAAAAAAATTTTTGAATGGATGAGGTATCACTATGTTCCCCAGGTTGGTCTCTAGCTTCCAGGCTCAAGTGATCCACCTGCCTTGGCCTACCAAAGTGCTGGGGTTACAAGGATGAACCATCTCATTCAGCCAATATCATTCTTACATGAGCTTCACTTTACTTCACTCATTCATCAAAAATCTATTGACCATCTTCTATTAGCCAAAATACTGTGCCTGAGTACTTGGGGATGCTGAATGCAGTAGTCATGATCTAGCTTTATCATGAGTCTAAAGTCTAACAAAGAAGGTTGATATTTGGATAGGAAATTGTGGTGTTGTGAGTATTCGGAAATATTGTGTTCCCTGCTCAGATAGACCTGTATGTAACTGGCCTGAAATACTGTAGGAAAACACAACCCAAACAGGCCAGAGAATTATTCTCTGTTTTTGGTCCCTCCTACTTAAGTCGGAGAGGTGAGGCATATGAATGAGAAGATAATTAGCTTGTCTTTATTTAAAAGAATAGACTTCAGGCCAGGTGCAGTGGCTCATGCCTGCAATCCTAGCACTTTAGGAGGCCAAGGCGGGTGGATCACCTGAGGCCAAGAGTTTGAGACCAGCATGGCCAACATGGTGAAACTCTGTCTCTACTGAACTACAAAAAAGTAGACGGGTGTGGTGACAGGTGCCTGTCATGTAATCTCAGCTACTCGGGAGGCAGAGGCAGGAGAATGGCTTGGACCTGGGAGGTGGAGGCTACAGTGAGCTGAGATCGTGCCATTGCATTCCAGCCTGGGCAACAAAAGCAAAACTCCATCTCAAAATAAATAAAAATTAAATATAGACTTCAAATAAATATGAGTTGTGCGGAATTTTGCTTGGCAAAATATATAACTGGTAAACTGAAGAGATCATTGTAATTTCTTGCTACAATTTCGTGCAGTGGAATACTTTCCGGCCTGCAAATCAGGGGTTCTGAATTCAAGTTTCAGCTCTGCCATGGAAGTAGGTGTGTATCCATACTGGTAGGGTCTTAATTATATTGAACCTTGGTTTTCTTGGATGTGAAGTGAGGAAGTTACTCCTGCTAAACTCTAAGTCTGTTCTTCTTTTGACAAACTCATGACACGGGAAGGCTCTTTGGCCCTGTCACACAATTAAGCTGGAATATATTTCTAATATATGCTTCAGAAAGAGAGCCAGTTGTATTGCCTACAGGTGTCACATTACTGATATTCTGTTAACATTGATAATGCATCAACTCCCAATTTTTTGTTTTTATGTGTTTGAACAACCAACATTTGAAAGGCAAATCTTCCAACAAATCATATCCTAAAGTTATTTTTAATTACCAGTGAGAAAATGATTGCAGCAGTCTGCATGGGCTTTGTGCATGGGTTTGTCATTTGGGGTTGTGTGACATTAAGGATCTTTATAACCCTGGATCTCAGTTTTCTTGTCTTAAAAACAGGACTGATTATAGTGTCTGCCTCATTGGGCTATTTAGCATAAATAAGACGTGTAGTGTAACCATGGTGTCTGGCAGATGGTAAATTCTTAATGATTATAGCTCCTATTGATGTGGGCTTTCCAGCTGACAGTGTTGTACCCTCTCTTGAGTTCCTTTTTTATTGGATTGATTTCTACTCACATAGGTGGAGAATGGTAAGCCTGGGACTTGAACCCAGGCAGATATTGGAGACTGTACTCCACTCACTTCACTGTCTCTCTGATTACTTTTAAAAGTTGATGACTTTTAAACATTAAGACTCATTGACAACAAAATAAAATTTAAGAAAAAAGCTTATTAAGAAAAGACCTATTGATAATATGAGTCTTTGAAACTCTTTTCCTGGTGGACTTTATATACCTGTAAAGGACTTTATATACCTTTATAAAGGTATACACTTTATATACATTATATTGTTAACTCTTATTCCACCCATTAATATTAGAAATATAACAATTCTTTTGCTTTGTCTTAGGACCAGAGTTATAGTCCAATTAAGTTTTAGTCATGATAGGACATTAGAATTTCAAAGTACATTTGAGAAACATCATTAAAAAGGATACATTTTGGAAAGCTTTTCTATACCTGAAAGTACTGAGTCCTCATCTTTTATGTATTAACTAATTAGTGTATATCAGAGGTCTCTGATTTCTTGTTTGCATAAAAACTAACTAGCTTTTTGATTTAGAGGAGTGAGTTATTTGAAGAGTATGATGGTGAAACAATAATAGAAGCTAGTGTTTGTTGAACACATGTACCAGGCACTTTTATAGTTTATTGTATATATTATAGATATTTTACTTTACACATTTTATTACTATTTTTATAATAATCTTGCAAACCAGATATCATTATATCCATTTGACTGATTGTCCAGATTGAAATCAAGATGAACCCATCTCCAGAGCTCAGCAACTTTCACTTCCACTTTGCCAGCCCAGAGTGGAAGGGAATGATGTTTACAGGAGCAATGGAAAGGAGCAGCCTTGCTCCAACTGGCTAAAAAAGTGTGTGTGTGTACTTGTATCGGTATGTGATTATTTTTGTGAACTAGGATATTGTATACATTCAGAAGATAATACTATTAAAATGAAACAGGTCATGAGACTTTTTGCAAAAAAAAATTTATATAAAGAATAACTATTCCATTATAATTAATTTGGGAAATCTTCATTTTGATCTAACAGGTGAATTTAAATGAGCTAGATGCACATTCTGCTTTTACTCATGACAACCGTGATGGTGTCTCTGATTTTGCCTAGCAGGGGTGTGATCAGACGAATGAGCATACAAATATTGTGAAAGAAAGACTGGCTGTTAAAAGTATAACAACTTACATTCATGTAGAACTTATTTATTTGTTTATTTATTTTTATTAGTTTTTTGAGACGGAGTCTCGCTCTGTTGCCCAGGCTAAAGTGCAGTGGCATGATCTCAGCTCACTGCAACCTCTGCCTCCCAGGTTCAAGTGATTCTCCTGCCTCAACCTCCCAAATAGCTGGGATTACAGGTGCCTGCCACCACACCGGGCTCATTTTTGTATTTTTAGTAGAGACGGGATTTTGCCATGTTGGCCAGTCTAGTCTCGAACTCCTGACCTCAAGTGATCTGCCTGCCTCAGCCTCCAAAAGTATTGGAATTACAGGCATGAGCCACTGCACCCAGCCTCATGTATAACTTTAGTAATCTTACTATTTCAGCTTCACAAGGGCACTGTGAAGAAGTCATCTTTTCATTGTCCCTATTTAATAGATAAGCAAATGAATTTTAAGAGAACTTGAGAGCTTGCCAGACTTCAAACAACAAGACACAGAATTAGGACTTAAGCCTTAATCTTTTGGTGCCAAAAACAATGTTTCATCTAGCCTACACTGTGTTTTGGTGGAGTAGGTTGAGGAGAGGGTCTCCAAGAGTGTTTGGCAGCAATAACCAGCACAGGCAATTATTTGCATAGCAATAATAAGCACAGATTGGTATTCCTTTGATGTTGTCAATTTTTAATCAAGTACTTAGGGTCACTTGAAAACAAAATTTAAACTACCAGATGTATCCCTTGCAGTTCACGATCTGATGTTTTTGCTATTGCGTTTAAAAAATTATTTCATAAAGTTTACAAGTAAATGAAATTTATGCAAAAGTCATTGAGCATATATTATTCTCAATGGAGCTCTCATTTTAGAAGGATGAAGATAAATGTATGAATCATTATAATAGATTTGTCATGTTTTAGAATATTTACTATGGATGTTGTGGGAGAATGGATGACTTCCTTCCTCTTGAGGCTGGTATTAAAGGTAACCTTTATGCAGCTGATGATATTTAAATTGGGTCTTAAGTTGGAAAAATCTGTAGGCATTCACCAGAAATGCTTAGGGAAAACTGAATTCAGGTTGAGAAAAAAAGCATTTGAATAACATGAAACTGTGAAAAATCAAGGGATTTTTTTAAAAATAGCAAATAGTAAACAATTCAATGTGTCTGAAACATAGAAAATAAATAGGAAATGTATGTAGACAAAATTGAACAAGAAATTTGGTATTTAATTGTGAGGAGCCTAGTCTGTCTTGCTGAAGAGTGTAGAGAATATCCTATGAGCACTGGGAGGCCATTGAAAATGTTCAAAAAAGAAGTGGGATGACCAGATGGGAGCAGGAGAAATATTTCATTGGCAGCAATGTGGAGAATGCATGAATAGGCTGAAAGCAAACAAGGGCTGATGCAGTAATCCTGTCAAGAGATGGGAAGACCTGGGGCAGTGGCAGGGGAGACAGAGAATACGCCCCCAAAGAGAAACCTAGCTTTGTGGGAATGTTTTCGAATAGCTTTTGTAGATAGGATTTGTAGCTTCCATCTCACACTCCATATGTCTTCCTCAGAAGAAGAGCTAAGAATATTTCCTTCCTTCCTTCCTTCCTTCCTTCCTTCCTTCCTTCCTTCCTTCCTTCCTTCCTTTTTTTTCTAGACAAATTTTTGCTCTGTCACCCAGGCTGGAATGCAGTGGCGTGATCTCAGCTCACTACAACCTCCACCTCCTGAGTTCAAGCAATTCTCTTGCCTCAGCCTCCTGAGTAGGTGGGATTACAGGTGTGCTCCCCAATGCTTGGCTAATTTTTGTATTTTTAGTATAGATGGGGTTCCACCATGTTGGTCAGGCTGGTCTCGAATGCCTGACATCGTGATCCGTCCGCCTTGGACTCCCAAAGTGTTGGGATTACAGGCGTGAGCCACTGTGCCCAGCCTGATTTATTTTTTAAAAAATACAAAAGAAACCAGCCCTCACTATAACCAGTGAAGCAGTTTGAAGCTATGAAAAGAATAGCTAATAATGTTCCCCCACACTATCCTTTTCCCCCAGGAAACCAATATTAACAGCTTGATGGGTATCTCTGCATCTGTTTTCAATGTTCTTGCAAAACATATGGACATATGTTTTTGGTGTTTTTTATTAGAAACATCAAATTCATACATAATTGTCTATGATTTACTTAATTTCTTTATTAAATATCTCACTTTTAGAACACATTATGGACATCCCTTGAGGGTAACAGATAGAAATAAAACTCACCTTTTTAGATAGCTGAATAATATTCCTTGCATGGATATGCCACAATTTGTGCAGTCTTTTTCTTATTTGTGTATTAGGCTTGTGTCTTTTTTTCTCACTAGAAACTATTAAATGATATTTACATATTTTTAATTATATTATCTAAATAATGGCTACAGAAGTTTTAAAATAATCATTTTGCATTTTTTACACCTTGAAAGGACCTTACACATGTCAACCAACCTCCTAATTTACAGATGAGGAATCAGAAGTATTGAACAAGGCAGCGAAGCACTCAATGTCACATAAATAGTTTGGTAGTTCCTCTGGAGCCAGAATCCAGTTTCCTGAGAGCAAACTAGCCCTGTTTTCACAGGGGAGGTATTTATAGGGAACAGAGATTTCGATTCCTAAATGGCTGGGGATCTGTAATCACAAGGAATCCACATTTAGAACTGTTCTTCCAGGCCTGATTTTAATCACAAGTCTACCCTTCTTTTAGCAAACAAAGCCTCCTTTGCCAAAGCCAGGGCTAAACTCACTCCAGCCTTCTGGTCTGAGGAAGTGCACTTTTATCAAGTGTGTGGGGTTTCCTGGTTGGGGGACAGAAGGCACCTCCTCTTCCCTTCCTTGCATAGATCCCTTTGACCTTTTAAACATCCTTGGAGGCCTTGTTTCACTTACTCTCTTATATATACAGCCTCCAGGCTTCTAGGAATAGGTAGAACAACAACAACAAAAATACTCAGTGTTTCTATTCTGAAATGCTAAGTAGGAAAAGAGGCAGAAGACTGGTGACCTTTTCCTGTAGTTATTTCCAGACCTGTCTAATCTTTAGAATCATTCTGAGAGCTTATTTACAATACAGATTACTGATTTCAAGTATGACTTTCCAGGGGAGACACCAAAAAGAAGCAATATTTTAAAATACATTATTTTAAGTTTATTATTTAGAAACTCAGCCAGGCATGGTGGCTCATGCCTGTAAAACCAGCACTTTGGAAGGTAGAAGTGGAAGGATCACTTGAGGCCAGGAGTCCACGATCAGCCTGGGCAACATAGCAAGTCTCATCTGTATATTTAAAAAAAAATTTAAGAAAGGAAAAAATTACACACATACTAGCATGCAATACATATATTTTTTTCTGAGTTCCCAAGTTTTTCAATGATTAGCACAGTTAGTGACCTGTGGACTGAGTCTAATATTGCTGTTTTCTCAGTGAGAAAGTTGAGCTCTGGAAATGCTCTACACCTTGCCTGAAAACACACAACAATGGTCTTGTGGCAGAGCTGGGACTACTCCCAGTTTCTCAGGTCCCAGGGCAAAGTTCTTCCTTTCAATTGACAAACACAGATTTCTTTTAAAACAGAGAAGATGATTTATCTTTGTCAAAATGCCATTGTGAGAGGATGTAAGAAAAAAATACAAACTAGACAAGTGCTTAGGTTTTCACAGTGTTGGACAGAAGCAGCATTTCTGATCGGCCTGATTGGGGTGCAGGAAGGTACGTAGCCAGAAGCCCAGGGACGTACGGGGGCCACAGGGTCTCACCCGCCTATTGTATTTCAAAGGCTGGTGAACGGAGAAAGCTGTTGAGGTAGAGGTCATTTCCATTCATCTCTTAAGCATATGAAAGACATTTAGAGACTGAATGATTTTCAGTCCCTCTAGGTTTGGGAATTAAAGGTAAATATGGTGCGGAAAATGCCTTGGTCTGGCTTTAAAGGCTTGTGTGAAACGCTTCCCAAGGGGGGAGCTGTGGGTCACTAAGAGGTTGCTGCTCACTAATGCCCATGATTGGTTGATGATGTGCAGCTCCCTCTGAAGTGGCAATCAGTCAGAGTGACCACTGCCCTTTCGCTGCAATTATCAATGGTCCAGCAATTTCCCTCAATTTTAATCAATTTGGTTTCTGAATAGCTCTTTTCTTTATTTTAGACAAAAGAGGCAAGTGTTCTTGATCAGGATGCCCCCATGCTCCCTGGCAGCTCTTGTTTTCTTTAGGAAGCCGTTTAGAGACCCTGTCCACTATTAGGCTGTGTGGAAGACCTGAATCTCCTTTCATTAGAGCAAGATTCATTTTGGCTGACATTCTAGCTGAGCCCAGCCCACTGTGATCAGCATGGTGACTGCTGGGGGTGCAGTGGAATGGGGAAAGTAAGAGAGAGGTGGGTATAGGGAGAGCTATGGCATGAAAACAGACTTAAATGATTGGTACTATTGGTGTCTATTAGGGTTGCCAGTTACAATAAAAGACTCAGATTTCAATTGAGGATAAATAACACTTTAATGTGGGACAAATTTACACTAAATTTTTTTCATTGAGTATCTAAAATTCCAATGTCATTCGGTGTCCTATATTTGTATTGGTTAGATGTGGCCACCTCAATATGAATAGTTACGGGTAGAGAAGCAAATAAGATCAAAGTCCATGAAACTAAAAAGCTGATGGGAAGTACAATAGTATCAGTGGTGACCTAGCACTTTCATTCATTCATGAGTGCATTTGTGTATTTGAAGATTGATTGATTTAGTAAAGATTTATTGAATCTTGTTACATAGCCAGTATTTTGATGGGGGTATTAAGATGAACAAAACAGGTAAGTGTGATTGAAGATGTGTGAACCAATGTTATGATGCAGTATGATAAGCCTTGATACAACAAATGTAGATACAAATATGGTTATTGGCGCTTGTGCTTTTTTCCATTCATCACACTAGAGGGATGATATGATTTGGCTGTGTCCCCATCCAAATCTCATCTTGAATTGTAGCTCCCCATAATTTCCACATGTCCTGTGAGGGACCTGGTGGGAGGTAATTGAATCATGGGGGTGGGTCTTTCTCCTGCTGTTCTCATGATAGTGAATAAGTCTCACAAGATCTGATGGTTTTATAAAAAAGAATTCCCCTACTCACGCTCTCTTATGTGCCACCATGTAAGACGTACCTTTGCTTCTCCTTTGCCTTTTGCTATGATTGTGAGGCCTCCCCAGCCACGTGGAACTGTGAGTCTATTAAACCTCTTTCCTTTATAAATTACCCAGTCTTGGGTATGTCTTTATTAGCAGCATGACTAACACAAGGGGTATGACGAACAATGGCTGAGAGCTCAAGCCAACAGTGCTTTAGAATATACCAATCTTTCTTTATCAGGAATCTTTCCCATTTCATCATCTTCTTCAGACCACATTCAAGATAACTCTTCAGGAAGTAGGGTGAGAGGGTGAATATCAAATACCTCTATACTCTATTTGTAAAATAAATGTAAAACTGAAAACCATTCTAGGTATACAAATTGGGTCATGACCTTCAGTATATTCCACAGGTGTGTAAGAAACAAACAAAGGAATATGTGATATTTCTACTTTAAGTTTTCTCTAGATAGAAGTCCCAAAGGCATCTTATTAAAATTAGTTTTTAAACTGGACCCAGACTGCTTGCTTGCCATTTTATTTTCTGCAAAATATTATACTACCTTTCTAGTGTGCTTCATTCTCTCTGTACTCCCCAATCCCACATCACATCCACGAATATATCCTTTTCAAACCAGAGTCAGAGTTACAAGAAATAAGCACAGAAAAAATGCAGTTCAATTGGATTTTTTTTTTTTTTTTTTTTTTTTTTGAGATGGAGTCTCGCTTTGTCGCCCAGGCTGGAGTGCAGTGGCGTGATCTTGGCTCACTGCAGCCTCTGCCACCCAGGTTCAAGCAATTCTCCTGCCTCAGCCTCCCAAGTAGCTGGGACTACAGGCACGTGCTGCCATGCCCAGCTAATTTTTGTATTTTTAGTAGAGACAGGGTTTCACCATGTTGGCCAGGGTGGTCTTGATCTCCTGACCTCGTGATGCACCTGCCTTGGCCTCCCAAAGTGCTGGGATTACAAGCATGAGCCACCAAGCCCAACCTCAATCTGATTTTAAAAGTGTTCAGTACCTATTAGTTGCTGCAGGCAATTCAGAGATGAACAAGGAACAGTTTGCTTATCTTGTTAAATAAATTTAGAGAGCAGTAATGGAGTTAAGAGAGTCCACTGGGGAGTCCTTGCTTCAGATGCTTGCCATGCTCCAGCTGCCTTCGTTGGGATTCCCAAACAGACACAATCCACTCCCATAAGAAATCTCACTAGTGCCAAGTGTGAACCCAACATCTCGGCCATGGGTGATTGGAGTGTATGTTTGCTTGGAGTGGATATGTAACTCAAGGACAATCAGCCAGCAGACTGCAGGTGGCATAGAAAGACTGGCCAGTGGATACGGTGGTGACCACTGTGACCAGCAGATTTTCTCCCTTTGAAATAAGCAAACAGCAGTGAAGAAAAAGACAGAGGAGTGGTTGAGCTAGGGTGAAGAGTC
The DNA here is from genome assembly GCF_000001405.40 of Homo sapiens. Taxonomy (NCBI): domain Eukaryota; kingdom Metazoa; phylum Chordata; class Mammalia; order Primates; family Hominidae; genus Homo; species Homo sapiens. Next base: position 126,914,367 of record NC_000008.11, read on the forward strand.
CAGGCTCAGAGGCCCCACAGGAGAGGCACAGGCACGGGCAAGGCTGTTTGACTGACCAGGTGTGCACACTGTCTATGCGAACAATGGCCTTGGGATCTGTACAATAAGCTTGCTGGGATCACAAGTAACCTTCTGGTTCCCGAAAGTGTTTCCATCCCTCTGAAGCCTAGAGGTGTGAACATCTCTATCCTTCCTGGAGGCCTGACTGTGGAGATGCTCTGGGTTCCCATGAGACATGGTTGAGCTCCCTGCTTTTCTTAAGGCCATACCTTTTCTTACAACAACGTTGTATGATCTTAGGTAATCCAAGAGTGGCCTGTGCTTCTTACAAGCAAAAGGTCAGACTCACAAACCCAAGCCCAATAAGATTATTACGTCATAAGGCAATGTAAGACGTCTGCTTAGAGCACAAGGTAAAGAATCTGAGAAATACAGTGGAGTGGAAGGCCAGTTTCTGCTGGGAGACTTAGACACAGCCTCATTAAAGATGCAGCATCTGAAATGGGCTCTAAAAGAGGGGTCAAGAGTTTTCTAGCAAGTACCTCCTAGGAAAGTAAATAAAACCATATGCTTGTAATAAAAGCATTCCTCTGCCCGCAGAGTTGAAATCAGATGTTCAGATTTCGACTCACTAAAACACGTGCATGTGCATGCACGCATACACACACACACCTGGCACTTACCCATCCCATATCTCCATTATGAAACACCTTCATGTCTTTTCATTTGCTCCCTGCAGAGAAAAGATATGAAGGAGAAAGGAAGCTAAGAAAACAATCAGATAGATGGTGATTGAGCTAATATCTCACCTTGTCCCAGGTGCTTATGTTACCACATTGAAAACTCACAAAAATTCGCTAATATCATGCTCCCTTTTTATAGGTGAGTTAACTGAATCAGAATAGATGCGTGATTTGCCCAACATCACACAAACATTAAAGATATGAGTTTCTTCCTTTTTAACTAAAAAAGGTAAAGTAAAAACAAAAAAAGCAAAACTTAAAAATTCAAGTATTATCATATAAAACCTGTTCTCAAACCACCACTCCCGCCACCTGCCTTTATGCCCTGGACCCAGGTCCTCTGACTGCTTCTTGGTGGCTTAGGACCCACCAGAGCCACACTTTACTCAGACTAAGACTTCCTTCTAATAACCCAGGATCTATGACAATTTTGACTCTCAACCCCATCTTAAAACTTACCTGCCCTATGCTTCATTCCCTGAGATTATTGCCAAAAAATTGATTGTGAATAAGAAAATCAAACACTGAGATATTAATAAATGATGATCAAAGTATAATCCTTTCTATTAAAGTAAGATAAAATGGAGACCAGACCTGAAGAATCCTTCAGAGCAGGCAAAGCCAATTAGACCTCACAAGTGATCTTACCTTTGGTTTGTAAACATAAGTGAAACTTAAATAGGGCATTGCTTTTTGTTTTGTTTTGTTTTGTTTGTTTTTTTGAGACAGAATTTCACTCTTGTCACCCAGGCTGGAGTGCAGTGGTGCAATCTCGGCTCACTGCAACCTCCTCCTCCTGGGTTCAGGTGATTCTCCTGCCTCAGCCTCCCGAGTAGCTGTGACTACAGGCATGCACCACCATGCCCGACAAATTTTATATTTTTAGTAGAGATGGGGTTGCACCATGTTGGCCAGGCTGGTCTCAAACTCCTGACCTCAGGTGATCCACCTGCCTCAGCCTCCCAAAGTTCTGGGATTACAGGCGTAAGCCACCGTGCCCAGGCCCAGTTGGGCATTCTCTTATCAATTATATTAAAGGAAAATGAAACTGAAACTGAAGGCTAACCAGTCAGAAGCCACCAACTCACTTACATAACTGGGAACCTGATAGCAGTAAAGACCAAATAAGGTAACTGTATAATAGTAATCTATCAAATATTTTCTTTACTTTACTTCCATATTCATCCTATAAAAGCCTTTCCCTTGGATTCCCATGATGGACCCCACAAGTAACTTCTGATTTGGAGCTGCCCAATTCATTAATTTTGTTTGCTCAAATAAACTCAATTTTAAAATTTTATTGTGCCTCAATTTACCTTTTAACACTTCTTGAGACTGTATTGCATTTTATCCTGTTTGATAACTCAGCATATCCCTAAGAGTGAAATTCACCTTATCAGTCCAATAGTTTGTTGTTTAAAAAAAAAAAAAAAAAAAAAAAGGTCTGGCAGATACTCATTGGAGTCCAGCACTCAAAGTGCTCCTGAGTCCAGCCCTAATTCTTTTCCTCAGAAACTACTATTCATTTCTCTTCAGCTTTTTCTTATAAATACTGGGACCCCCAAATACCAGATTCAAAGAGAACAATAAAATTTTCTGAGCCTGTCACATAGTCCAGCTTTATATACAGCACCCTTTTTTAAAAAAAGTGAAATTAGTATTTGTGGACTTACTATGAGTTTAAGCTATATTTTGAATCTGCTATAGTCATAGGTTGACTAATCAATGTTTATTTTCTCAACAACTGTGGCCTTTTGTAGCCTTTCTTCAGTGGTATAAAGGTACTGCCCCATACCAGCTTGCAAAAGTTGATAAATTCTTAGAAAATTTGTGACTGGTTGACTCCTTCCTCTCTTGCTTCCTTCCTTCCTCCTTTTTTCCTCTTTTCCTTCCTTCCTTCCTTTCTTCCTTCCTCCCTAGCTTCCCTTTTCTCTCCCTTCCATCTTCCCTTCCTCTTTCCCTCCCTCTTACCTTCCCTTTCTCTTTCCTTCCCTTACTCCCTCTATTCCTCATTCCCTTCCTCTTTCCCCCCATTATTTTTCTTTTCTTTTCCATCTTTTCTAATATTTCTAATATATACTGGGTATTTTGGTAGGCCCTTTACATAAAACCTCATTTCATCATTATAACAACTCGCTATAACATTTTAATTCAATTTTTACAAATAACAGAGCCTCAGAGCATGTAGTTAATGCCCCAAGAAAGCACTACTGCTAAATAGTAGAAGTGGAATTGAAAAACAAATCTGTCTTGTTTGGAAGCTCATATTCATTCACAAATCTGTACTGAAACACACACATGATAAAAACAAAAATAAACAAAGCAAAAAGCTAGGTTGGTGATTCCCAAACAGACTAGCTCTGCTTCCAGATGTTGCCTTTGAAAGATCTGTTACTGGATGACAACATGTCTTCACATTCCCATCAGACTTCTGCTTCACAAGAAATATATTAACTAAAGTTAATAATGAGGATGAGAGGGGGCAACCTGCTCTGGCATTGTCTGAGGATAAAAGACTGAGGCACAAGATCTCACTGCCCATCAGAGAAAGTGAGATGTTTTAGCAGGGTGCTCCACAAGAGGTTGCTCTGTCTTGGTAGGAGATACTGGGTACCGCCACATCCCTCACCAACTGTTGTCAAAATATCAACTGGAGATACAATTTGGAAATGTTCACGCTTTTTTAATCCTTTTGTTTCTCTGAGGTTGCTTATTTCCCTCTCTGGACACTGTTTTACTAAGAGAAAAGCTCTATAACTCAGCTCTTAGAACACCGAACTCTAGTGAGTTCAGGATGGATGATTCAGAAACATCTGGATTTAATTTCCTTCTTAACAGACATGAGACTCGAAATTAAGGGAAAATGTTTTTGGCAAATTTGGGGAGATTGTCAAGCCCCAAACCAAACTTAAAACCTAAAATAGAAAAGGATGAACTCATTTACCCATCCAGTCAACACACATTTATTCAGCAGGTGCATCCAGGTGGCTGGCACCACCCTACATGCTGGGAAACAGTGCACAAGACAAGTAAGCTAGACATGTCAGCAGCTTGAGAGAGAAGATAAATTCATAAACCTAGAAATAAGCAGGACAATTTCATATTTGGATAAGTCCTGTGAAAGCATAAAATAGGGTCTTTCATAGAGCACATAGATTATGAGTGGTGGTATCATTTTGGGTTGGGTATTTAGGGAGGGCCTCTCTCAGGAGGGAAGCCTTGTGAAATTCAATGACAAGTGAATCTCTTCACAGCTCTCAGTCTTCCTTCCACACTCTGCTTCATGTCTTTGAGTCAGCCTACCCTGGTTCTGTTGATTCCCACTCTAGCTATTTTTCCAATACTTCATTCTCTCTCTGGCATGCTAAATCTCCACTCAGACTTGACTTCAAGGTCTAATCTAAATGAGGCAAAAAAGTAGGGCCAAAAGGCATGACCTGGTTAAGATCTTGACTTTCCCTCTTAATAGTGTTATGTCATATATACATTTAACTATACTTGATTAAATTTTACAATTTGACAAGTGTTAACTTATTTATGCACCTGTAAAATCATCACAAAAATGGAGATAATGAACATATCCATCACTGTCAAAAGTTTTCTCCTATACCTTTGAATTTCCTCCTTCCTACTTCTCTTTCTATCCCCAAAACCTGTAACCAGTAATATGCTTTCTGTCAATAAAGATGAGTTTGCATTTTCTTAAATTTTATATAAATTGAATCATATACTTTATTTTTTGGCCTGGTTGTAAAAGTGCCAAATTGTTTTCCAATGTGGATGTACTATTTTATATTTCCACCAGGGGTGTATTAGAATTCTAGTTGCTCCTCATCATCACCACCTCTTGGTACAGTGAGTCTTTTTAACTTTAGGTATTCTAGTAAAGTTGTAGTGGCATCTTACCATGCTTTTAATTTGCCTTTTCCTAACTACTAATTGTGTTGAACATATAAGCATGTGCTTATTTGCCATATGTATATCTTTTTTGGTAAAGTGCCTATTCAAATTTTTACACCATTTTTCCTTAGGATTTTTGTTTCCCCATTGAGTTTTTAGAAGTTTTTATATATGCTGGATATACGTCTTAGATATAACATATGAACGTATTTTCTACCAGTTGTGGCTTGTCTTTTCACATTCTTATCAGGGTCTTTTCAAGAGCAGAAATTTTTAATTTTGAAAACAAAATTAACATTTTTTAAAATTTTGCTTTTCATGTTATATCTAAGAAATCATCATCTAATCCAATGTGATTTTTTTCCTATTTCTTTTAATTTTTAAAATAATTTTAAGTTTTACATTTAGGCTTATGGTCCATTTTGATTTATTTTTTTGTATATGGTATGAAGTATGGATTGAAGTTCGCTTTTATGCATATGCCTATCCAATTATTCCATCACCATGTGGTGAAAGACTATTCTTTTTCCTCTAAACTGCTTTTGCTTTTTTATCAATGGTTGTTGGTATTTGTGTATATCTATTTCTGAACTCTATTCTGTTGCACCTGACTACTTATTTTGAAATCAGTACCACACAGTAACGTTTACTGCAGCTTTAATAGTTAACTCTTGAAGTTGGGTAATATAAATCTTCCAATTTTGTTCGTTTTAAGAGTTGTTTTTGCTATTCTAAGTCATTTGAATTTTATATAAATGTAATAACCAGCTTGCCAATTTCTACAATTCTGGAACTTTCTGGAATTTTTCTAAAATTAGATTGACTATATAGATTAATTTTCAGAAAATTAATATCTGCACAATGGAGCATCTTCCAATCCATAATATGGTATATGTTGTCATTTGTTTAGTTCTTTAATTTATTCAGCAATGTTGTCTAGTTTTTAATGTGCAGGAGGTCTTAGACATCTTTTGTCAGATATGTAACTATTTCACAGTTTTGATGCTATTTCAAATGGTATTTATTGTAGTGTCAATTTCAGGTTTGCTAGTATATGTAAATACAATTTATTTTGTATATTGATCTTGTATGCTGCGACCTTGCTAAATTAACCTCTTGGTGGAGGGAGGGAGTAAATTCTACATAATTTTCCATATAAATAATTTCATCTTCTGGGATTAAAAACATTCACTTTTTCCTTTTCAGCTTGTTTTTCTGGCTCCTTTTCCTGTCTTACATTACCTGCTGGAATCTTTAGTACAATGTTGAATAGGAGCAGTGAAAGGAGGGCATCACTGCTTTGTTTCTGATTTGAAGGGAAAAGCATTCTGTCATCATTTAAATATGATGTTATCTATGAGTTGTGGTAGATGCTCATCAAATTGAGAAACTTTCCTTCTCTTTCTAGTTATAGAGAGTTTTTATTAGAAATAATATTTTTTTTTTCTGAATCATCCTCCTAAGTGATACTGACCTGTAGTTTGTATTGTTGTTGCTGTTATTTTTAACCAACCAGGCAGACAGCACTGATGACCTACAGTTTTTTATTCTCGTAATACTTTTGTGTTCTTTGGATATCAGAGTGATGATGGCCTCAGCATAAGTTGAGAACTGTTCATTCCTCTTCAATTGTTTTAAAGAGTTTGTGTATTTTTTTAATGTTGATAGGATTCTCCAGTAAAATCATCTGAGAGTAGCATTTACTTTGTGGGAAAGTTTTTAACAAAAAATTATTTTAAAAACTAGATATAGGGCTATTCAGTTTCTTTCTTTTCAAGTGAGCTTTGGTATTTTGAATGTTTTGAGGAATTTGTGTATGTTCTCTAGTTTATCAAATTTATCAGTGTATGAAGTTGTATATAATATTTTATTTTTCCTTTAATATATAGAGAATCTATACTGATGTCACTTCTCCCATTTCTGATACATGTAATTTGCCCTCATTCTTTCTTTTCTGATTAGCCTACCTAGTGGTAAATTAATTTTATAGACCTTCTCAAAGAAGCAGGTTTTCATTTTATTAATTTTCTTTATTTTCTTTCATATTTTATTGACTTAAGGTATGATTGTTTCACTTCTTCTGTTTCATTATTTTTGTTGTTGTTTGCATGTGTTTTTGCTCTTTCTTTTCTAGTTTCTTTTGTGGAAGCTGAAGTTATGATTTGAAACTTGCTTTTCTTTTCTAATATAGGCCTCTTGTGCTATGAATACCCGTCTAAGTGCTGCTTTAGCTTCATCTCACAGATTTGATAGGGTGCTAACAATGTTTTCTTTAAGCTCAAAAGTCTTTTTTATTTTTCTTTTGATTTTTTTTCACTGGCCCATATTTATTTAGAAGTTTGTTATTTAGTTGTTACATATATAAAATTTTTCTAGAATTTTTTTTTGAGACAGAGTCTTTCTTGCTCTGTCGCCCAGAGCAAGAAAGTGCAGTGGCGCGATCTCGGCTCACTGCAAGCTCCACCTCCCAAGTTCATGCCATTCTCCTGCCTTAGCCTCCCGAGTAGCTGGGACTACAGGTGCCTGCCACTATGCCCAGCTAATTTTTTGTATTTTTAGTAGAGACGGGGTTTCACCAGGTTAGCCAGGATTGTCTCGATCTCCTGACCTCGTGATCCGCCCACCTCGGCCTCCCAAAGTGTTGGGATTACAGGCGTGAGCCACTGCACCCAGCCCTCTAGAAATATTTTGATTAAACATCTACGTTAACTTTTTAAAATATACTTTACTTTTGAGAGCAGGTTTAGGTTTACAGCAAAACTGAGTGAAAGGTCCAGAGTTCCCATATGACAATGGGTATTGACAAATGTATAATGACATGTGTCCACCAGTACAGTATCATACAGAAGCGTTTCACTGCCTTGACAATCCATTGTGCTTTTCTTATTCGCACCTCCCTTCCTCCTAACCCCTGGAAATCACTGATGTTCTTACTGTTTCCATAGTTTTGTCTTTTCCAGAATTTTGTATAGTTGATATTTTACAGTATGTAGCCTTTTCAGATTGACTTTTTTTTTCACTTAGTGATATGCATGTAAGGTTCCTCTATGTCTTTTTATGACTTGATAGCTCATTTATTTTTATCTCTAAAAAAATTCATTATCTGAGTGTGCTACAGATTATTTATCCAGCTATCTACTGAAAGACATTTTGGCTGCTTCCAAGTTTGGGCAATTTTGAATCAAGCTGCTGTAAACATTGCGTGCTGGGTTTTGTGCAAATGTAAGTTTTCAACTCATTTGGCTAAGTACCAAGGAGTTTGACTGCTGGATTGTATGGTAAGAGTATATTTAGTTTTGTAAGAATATGCCAAACTGCCTTTTGAAGTAATTTACCATTTCTCATTCCCACAGTAATGAGTGAGAGTTTCTATTGCTCCACACCCTTGTCAGCATTTGATGCAAATGTTTTGGTTTTCGGCCTTTGGCCATTGAGATAGGTATGTAGTGATATTTCTTTGTTGTTTTTATTTGCAATCCCTTAATGACATAAGATGTTGAATATTTCTATATGTTTATTTGCCATCTGTTAATCTTCTATGGTGATGTGTCTTTTCAAGTCTCCTTTTAGGACTTCTGCACATTTTTAATAGGTTATTTTCATATTGTTGAATTTTGAGGTTTTGGGGGGTTTATTTTAGATGATGGCCTTTTTTCAGATATGTCTTTTGCAAATATTTACTCCAAGTCCATGGCTTGACTTTTTATTCTCTTGACATTGTCTTCTGTGAAGCATAAGTATTTTAAAAATTTTAATGAAGTCTGTTTTATCAACTTTTCAATGGATTTTATCTTTGGTATTGTATTTTAAAAGTCATTACCATATTGAAGGTCATGTAGATTTTCTCTGTTGTCTCCTTGGAGTTTTATAGTTTTGCATTTTACATTTAGGTCTCTGATCCATTTTGAGTTAATTTTTGTGCAGCATGTAAGGTCTGTGCCTAGATTCTTTTCATTTTGGTTGTTGCATGTGGACGTCCAGTTGTTTAAGCACTATTTATTGAAAAAAGAAAACATATTTTCTGCATTTTATTGCCTTTGCTTCTTTTCAAAAATCAATTGACTATACGTATGTTGGTTTATTTATTTGCCCTTTATTTTGTTGCATTGATCTATCGTTTATCCTTTTGCCCATACCACACTGTCTTGATGACTATAGTTCTATATTAAGTTTAAAGTTGAGTAGTGTCAGTCCTCTCATTTTGTTCTTCTCTTGAATATTGAATTCGCTATTCTGTGCCTCTTGCCTCTCCATATAAACCTTAGAATCAATTTGTTGACATCCACAAAATAAGTTGCTAAGATTTTAATTGGCATTGCATTGAATCTATTGATCAATCTATTGATCAAGTTGGGAAGAACTGATGTCTTGACAATATTGATTCTTCCTGTTTATTACTTGAAATATTTCTCCATTTTTCTGGATCTTTGGTTTATTGTATAAAAATTTTATAGTTTTCTTCATGTACAGCTAGTGCATATTTTGTTAGACTTTTATTTTTTTGAGTGTTAATGTAAATGTATTATTTTAAATTTCAAATTGTTCTTATTCATTGTGAGTATACAGACGACTGACTCTTTTATATTAAGAATGTACTCTGCAACCTTGCTATAACTGCTTATTCATTCCAGGAGATTTTGATAGTTCTTTTGAATTTTTTTTTTTTTTTTTTTTTTTGAGATGGAGACTTGCTCTGTCACCCAGGCTGGAGTGCAGTGGCAGGATCTCAGCTCACTGCAGTCTCCGCCTCTGGGATTCATGCCATTCTCCTGCCTCAGCCTCCCAAGTAGCTGGGACTACAGGCACCCACCACCACGCCCAGCTAATTTTCTTATCTTTTCTTTTTTTTTTTTTGTATTTTTAGTAGAGATGGGGTTTCACTGTGTTAGCCAGGATGGTTCCAATCTCCTGACCTTGTGATCCACCCGTCTCGGCCTCCCAAAGTGTTGGGATTACAGATGTGAGCCACCGCGCCCAGCCTGAATTTTCTATGTAGACAATTATGTCATCTGTCAACAAAGAAAGTTTTATTTCTTCCTTCTCTATACATTTTTTAATTTATTTTTCTTGACTTATTGCATTAGTCAAGACTTCCAGTATAATGTTGAAAATGAGTAGTGAGAGGGAACATTCTTGCTTAGTTCCTGATCTTTGTGGTAAAGCTTTTTTGTCTTTCTTTCCTTAATAGGTGTTTCAAAATGGAATGCATAATATATTTTACTGTGAAAGAAGTTCAATGCTTTAAAATTGTTGTCACATACCAAAATATCTAGTTTAAAGCTTTTCATATAGCATACATTAGGTAATGTTTATTAAATTCATTATCAGTAGTTCACGTCCTAATTACTTTCTCATATGTCTATTAAAAACACAAATAGTTCATTTTGCTGATCCACAAGAAGCTTCAATGCTATGAATTGACTGTAATAGCTGCAAGATCAGTATCTAATCCCACTCCTCACCAACTCCCCTCTCCAAATTATTTATTCTAAATCAGAGTGAGAATTTGCTTCAGATTTAATACACTCAGGAATGAGTTTCAATGCAAAATGAGACTCAAATTACCAAGATAGAAAATCAGAGCAAACTTGTTTATCCTTTTAGGAAAAGACATTTGCCAGAGGAAAGGCTCTTCAATGATTCAAAATAACTTTCAAGAACTGATGCACTTTTATTGATTCATTTGGTTTATTGATTTAATTGGTTAAGGGCTTAAAAATACCAAGGATATTTCCATTCTAGGCATTCTACTACAAGATAACACTCCAAAAAGCAGTGAAAACTAGGGATAGAGACACAATTTTGCATTACAAATGTGTGATGTAAATATACGAGTGAAGTGATAGCTCTTGAATGTGGAAAAAAAAGTGTCCATGCTTTTCAAATGTGGAATCAATAATTTAGGTACACCAGAGTCTATGAAATACAGAAGAAAAAATACCTGCCTTTGGGTACCAGATTTTATGCTAGGAATTATTCATGTGTTATGTCTTTAATCTTCCCAGTAATCATTTTGTGAGATAAATATAATTTTCCTCGTGTTCAGGTAGGATAGCTGAAACAGAATGGGTAAGTTGCTTGGCTAAGGTCTCATAGCTAGAAAGTGGCAAAATCAGAAAACACAGAAAATACTCATTGTATATGTGCCAGTGATTGTGTTAGAATATTGAAAGGTATGATTTTGTTTCGTCCTCGCATCAGCCCTGCGAGATTGATTTACAGTATTTTGCAGATGAGAAAATGGTGACACATAGAGCCCAAACATATTATACAGTGTCACGTGGCCAGCAAAGTCAGCATCAGGATTCATCTTCTGTCCTCTGTGATAACTAATTGTACCAGGAAAGGAAAACATATGCCAGAGAGGCTTTGTGGGGGAGCTCACGTTTAGGCTGGATCTCAAGAAAAGCCTAAACATTATTCTCCAGAGTTGAAAAGAGAGGTTTGTGTGGGAGGGAGATCTTAGGCTGAGAAAGCCCAGGGATGACTGAGGAAGCTGCCGCATGATGCTCTCACAGATGGCCAAATGGTTTGTCCAATATGCCTCCAGGTGAAGGAATAGCAAACTATTTCCTGACCCTTTCGGCTAGAGTAAATGGAGATCTTACTTGTCAGGGGTCTGGATGACAGTTGTGTTTTCAAAGTGTAGACTTAAACTGATGTGATTTCTAAGCCTACCTGAGTAACTTAAGGCAAGTTATTAAAGCCCTCGAAGTCTCAGTTTTCTAATCTGCAAAATAGGGTTAATATTAATACTTATTTCATCACATATTGGTTGAGAGGAGATTGGGTCACTCAGGGACTGGGGCAAGATAAAAATCTTTGGATTGGATGCTATTTAGTGACCTTTCCAATTCTAAACTTTTCTGATATAAAATTTGACAAAGTATTGAGTCTTTAATGATGAAAACCTGGAATTAAAGAAATTGTTAGTAAGTACATTGCCTAGCATCTCTCATAAAACTTAACTTCCTAGGTAGCTGTATCTAAGGTGGACCCATATTTTTTGCATTCAAAAAAGAAAAAGAAATCTAAACCTACTGAGCATTTACTGCCAGGCAGTATTCCCTTCACTTTGTATTCATTATGGTTTTTAATCCCTACAAAACACATATGGCAAATATTATTCATATCATTTTGCATTTAAAAGAAATGGGACTAAGAAGTGGAAAAACTTTCCCCTAGTTGCAAAATTGGCAACATGAGAATCCCAGGTTTGAACCCACATCTGTCTGACTCCAAGGTGTTTGCTCACTATCCTGGGCATGTTAGATCTACTCTAAAATGAGATCAGTTTCTCTCCTCCAGGCACTCCTTGAACAGACCCCTAGTCTGAACTTGAGGAAGAGAGAGACTTCCCTTCTAAAGACGTCTGGCCTTCCAGCGGGAGGTGGGTATTGTTCCTTAGCATTCCATAAACTGTGTTCTAACCTGCCCATATCCTGTCACTCCAGCTTCCTTCCCTTGCTGATAGCTGGGCTGACTGTAAGCAGCAGCCCTGATACGCACTTCACTTGCCTCTTTGCCCAGTGGATACAATGATCCTTGACAGAAAAGATTTATGGGATTCCCATACTTCCAAAGAGGCACAATCCAGATGTGAAACAAAGTTTACTGACTCTCCTTAAAAATCTTTTTTTACCTAAAAAAAAAAAAAAAAAAAATTAAACCAAAAAAATGAGGGAAGCCCAGATGTGAAGTAGAGTTTACTGACTCTCCTTAAAAATATTTTTTTTACCTAACAAAAAAAAAAAAATTAAGCAAACAAGCAAAAAAAGAAAAGAAAAAAAAAATGAGGGCAGCTGAAGTGCTTGGTCCACACCCTTTAGAGCAGACACTTACTGTTCCTTATGCTCCAGTGTAAGTGACTTCCCTTTTCCTTTCTTCTTATCGCTTCCTTTTAAAGTGTGCCTGGAAGCATTGCAAAGGGGAAAGTATAAACAATGTCAGGGGTGGTGCTATATTTAAAGGAAATTTAGGTCTTGCATCCTGTCCTTCTCTTAAAAAATAAATAAATAAATAAACTCTCAAGAATTCCTGCACATTTTGTACCCTTCCCTTGGTGCGAGTTTATTTACATAGTTAGATAACCAGTTTAGCCCCGATAATCTCAGAGCTGACTTTCTGACTTTCACATTTGTAGTGAAAAGCTCCTAATCTCAGCCTTCTGGACTAACCGCTTATCCCTCTAACAACTGTGTTTTTAAAAATGCTTCCAGGAATTTCCTCTTTAACATTCCCCAAAAAGGTGTAACATCATAGGGTTTGAGTTAGAATGACTTTCAGAAATGAAAGGAAAGGTGTTAGGAGTAAACTGGAGACCCGTGAGTAAAATCTTATACTTACGGTTTGTTTGACTTTCAAAAACAAATGTTGTCAAAAGATGTGATCCAACATTTAACAATTAATAGATGTCACATTTTAAAATCTGGCTTTTTAGATTATTTTTAGAGTGGAAGATATGGCAAACTTGGGCTGGCAATTCTACCTGACAATAATTAGATGGAGTAGCCACTGCCCCCGTAGGAGAGGTGAATCTTTCTCTTATATTTCTCTGTGTTTCCAATATTAAGGCTCAAGTCCTCTGTGTTTGTGTCACCAACATTGAGGCTCAAGGCCAACAGCCCCTTAGGTCATTATATTGCCTTTGCATTGTTGTTGCTATATTTAAGAAAATTATATCTTATGATTATATCTGTATGACCTTCAGCAAATGACAACCTCTTGAAGTGGTGTCATTGTCTGGGGTAAATACCTGAGATTCGTTGTCTCATGGCCACAGAAAACAAAACAGTGAGGTTCAGAGTGGCAGTTTAATAGGTGAAAGAAAGAGAAGAGCTCTCAGCAGCAAAAAGAGGTCCCAGAGACATGGGTTGCTGGTTCCCCAGTGGAATGCAGAGAGTTTTATAGGTGAGCTTGAGGAGGCAGTGCCTGATTTACATAGGGCAGGAAAGATTTGGTTGGACCAGGTGTGCCATTTATAGGGTATGAAAAGGCTGGCTACCCCCACCTTAATCTTTTATTATGCAGATGAGTTCTCTATGTGGTCAGCACCGTGTTGCCTGTTTCTTTACTGTACACGTGGTGGCAAAAAAAAAAAAAAAAAAAAAGCGAAGATGGAGCCTCCATGTTGAACATACTGGCCCCCAGGTAACCCTTTTCTATTAGCACAGTTGCCAGCATTCACCTGTGCAAGCTTCCAGCTTGCTTATCTATGTTTGCAGGTCAATTTTTCAGGCTGCTCTTTTTTAGGAAAAAAAAAATGTTTTGGGGAAAAAAAATGCTTTCCTTTTGGGTTTTTGTTTGTTTATTTTGTTTCGTTTTGTTTTTTTTTTTTTTTGAGACAGAGTCTGGCTCTGTCGCCCAGGCTGGAGTGCAGTGACTCAATCTTGGCTCACTGCAAGCTCCGCCTTCCGGGTTCACGCCATTCTCCTGCCTCAGCCTCCCGAGTAGGTGGGACTACAGGCACCCGCCACCACGCCCGGCTAATTTTTTCTATTGTTAGTATAGACGGGGTTTCACCGTGTTAGCCAGGATGGTCTCGATCTCCTGACCTCGTGATCCTCCCGCCTCGGCCTCCTAAAGTGCTGGGATTACAGGCGTGAGCCACTGTGCCCGGCCGCCATTTTCCTTTTGTTAAAAGGAAAATTTTGCTGAAGACTCTGTTGCCCTTACTATCCCCCCAAATAATTTATTTCTAGCTCCTGTATCATACTCTGAGACTCAAATTTCTCCTAAATAAAATGGAATAATAGTAGTAAATATGTCCTTTGGGTGTTTTGAGGCTAAATGAACTAATATATGTAGTGTTTAGAATAGTTCCTGATACACAGTAATTGCAATAGATATATTATTACTCTTATTTTGTTCAGAATTTATTGAGAGTTATTGTTATTGAGAATTTCTGATACACAGTAATCGCGATAGATATATTATTACTGTTATTTTGTTCAGAATTTATTGAGAGTTATTGTTCAGAATTTATTGAGTTATTGAGAATTTTTGATACACGGTAATTGTGATAGACATATTGTTACTGTTATTTTTGTTCAGAATTTATTGAGAGTTATTGTTAACTAAGAAAATAAGGGTTTCTAATGTAATCTCTGTCTGCCCGACTATATAGTGTTTATATTCTTGGTGACTTAACATTTATGAGTGAGTATCTCATTACTTCATGATATTTTCTAGGGCATATTTATGGAAAGATAAATGTAATATTATTTTAAATTATTTTGTTTTTTCCCTTTATAATACTTTTAGAACATAATATTAAGGTGGTTTTAAAACGTATGTGTGAGAATATATTATAGTATACATAAAATTTCTTTCTGAGAGTAAAGATGCATTACAAAATACTTGATCTGAAAAGAGCATGTGGGTTTGATTATGTTGAGTACCTTGGTCTAGTGTTTTCCACACATGGCCTAATTACCTTCTCTGACTTCCTAGAACATATAAGGGACTATTTTGGTCAATTCTCTGTCTGACTTTGCAACATTTAAAGAAAGACCAGTTTTATGCATAAAGAGAATAGCGATTATCTAATCAAATTGGAGTGACCAAGTTACAGCTTTCTAGAAGAGTAATGCTTGCTAATTGACAACCTTCAAAAGAGGAGAGAAGCATGTCTCAAAGGAAAGGTTCTAAGAGATTTATCCTTCTACTGCCTATTAACTGGGTTTGTGGCTCAAGGTTTAGGAAAGAGTCATCCAATATTTCATGCAAATCCAATGGTAGCTCTTGACACCAGAGTTCATCTCATTCCAAGTGTGATGAAAAACTATTGGAGGGTTTCAAACAAGTAGTTAACTGGAATTATTATACTCTTAAAAGATCACTGTAGTTGCTGGAAGGCACGTAATCCTCAAGGAGGAAGGCAGACCAAGAGGAGAAGCAGAAAGATCAGTTAAGAAATATTATCTCAGATGAGGAGTGAAACTACAGTGGTAGCAGGGAAGGTGATGAGATTTGGTCCAATTAAAAATATACTTTGAAGGCTGAACAAAAAGAGTATGCTGATGGATTAGATGTAGGATGTAACAGGCATCTAGCTGGCTCTTTTGGAATCAAGCAATAGCAGGAATGGTGATGCTATTGACTGAAATAGAGAACACAGAAAAAAAAGCAGGATTGAGCATGTGAATTCAAGGGTTCCATTTTGAACATGGTAAACTTAGCAGCCCATTGTTATCTGAGTGGAAATGCAGCTGGATATGTGAGTCTAGACTTTCTGGAAGAGGTCAGGTCTAGAAATGTGATTTGAGAGTCAGCAGTGTATTGGTCCTTTTAAAATCATGATCTTGGATGAGATCTCTAAGAAGTGAGCACAGGGACTTACTAATGTTGAAAGATTTAGGAACATCAGGAGGATCCAGCAAGGGAGAGAGAGGAAGAGACCTAGATAGACAGGACAAAAAAATTTGGACGTATGGATGTCTTGTAGTGACAAACATGTTTTAAGAAGAGAAGGTAATCAGTTGCGTAAAAGACAACTGAAATGTCAAGGAAAATGATCGTTGCGAATTCATTGTTGGATTAAGCAAAATGTTTCTTAAGCTATTCTAGGTGTTTTAAAATGTTCATTATCACGTGTCTTAAAGTGGGACTTTAAACATATTTGTGCTGAGCACTTAGTTAAGGTTTTTAATCTGGAGGCCTGTGTGATTTTATTCTGGGAAAATTTCTCCTATTATTTCGTGAGTTTTTTTTCTTCCCCTCCACTTTCTCGGGCCAGTATTTCTGGAATTTCTATTATTCAGATGTTCAACTTCCTGCACTGATTTTTCTAATTTTGTTTTTTCTCTTATTCTCCATCTTACAATATTTGGCTCTACTTCTGGGAGATTAGTGTGACTCAACTCTTTTAAGTGAAAGAGTCGGGTGTGGTGGCATATGCCTGTAGTCCTAGCTACTTGAGAGGCTAAAGCAGGATCACTTGAACCCTTGAGTTCAAGGTTACAGTGAGCTGTGATCATGCCAGTGTACCCCAGCCTGGGCATCTCTAAAAATAATCAACAGAAGATAAATAAGTAGATAGATAAATAATAGATAAATAAAGAAAAAATGAAGGAGAATTCAGAGTCTGATAACTGATAAAGAGAAGAACCTGAGGGATCCATTTGCTTTACTTACATACTTTACAACAATCACTTCCAACATTATACCTCAGATCTGGGCTAATACGTAGGAGGGTGTGCACATCCTTTGGCAATCTTTAGTAGGATTTTGAAAGCTTAGCAGGAAGAGAAACATACCTGGAGGGGAAAAAAATGTACCCAAGAGATTTACTTGTCTTGTGGCCACAAGTTAAAGAAAACTTCTACCAATACCAAACTAAATCCCAGAAGTTCTTCTGATCTCGGAGGAATTTGAAAGAAGGCATTTTACTGTGGGTTACTCACGTGCTGATAAGAAAGACAGACATAAGCAATTATATTCGCAAGCTCCTTAAGGCTTTGATGATCAGGGCATGCCAAAATTGTTACCATGCCTGTTCCCTGCACATTCAGCTCTTGACTCTCACCTTATCAGGTGTTTTTCTAGATTTAAAGTTTTTTTGTTTGTTTGTTTTTTGTTTTTTGTTTTTGAGATGAAGTCTCACTCTGAAACCCAGGCTGGAGTGCAGTGGCACGATCTCAGCTCACTGCAACCTCTGCCTCCTGGGTTCAAGCAGTTCTCCCACCTCAGCCTCCTGAGTAGCTGGGACCACAGATACGTGCAACCAAGTCCAGCTAATTTTTTGTATTTTTGGTAGAGATGGGGTTTCACCACGTCACCCAGGCTGGTCTCCATCTCCTGAGCTCAAGCAACCCACCCTCCTCAGCCTCCCAAAATGCTGGGATCATAGGCGTGAGATACTTGATTCTCTTAATTTTCTGGTATCTTGAAGTACTGAAGTGTTATGAGTTGAGTTCATAATTTTATGTAACTCCTTCCACCATGTGCTAAGTACCTTGGTACTTAAGAACAGACGACATGATCTTCATCTTTCAAATCTATAATAACATTTAAAACTAGAGAAGGGAGGAGATAACAGACAGCCATGGGGTTGGTTGCAAATGGGGTATGGGACTGGTAACTATCATGGTTTTAAACGTTATGTGTAAAGGTGTAGGGAAGGGGAGAACTCTCCTTTTCATTCTAAGATATTGTTCTGGAAGGGTAAAAGGAATATTTTTTTTTTTTTTTGAGATGGAGTCTCACTCTGTCACCAAGGCTGGAGTGCAATGGCACGATCTTGGCTCACTGCAACCTCCGCTTCCTGGGTTCCAGCGATTCTCCTGCCTCAGCCTCCCGAGTAGCTAGGACTACAGGTGCGTGCCACCATGCCCAGCTAATTTTTTGTATTTTTAGTAGAGATGGAGTTTCACCATGTTAACCAGATGGTCTCGATCTCCTGACCTCGTGATCCACCTGCCTCAGCCTCCCAAAGTGCTGGGATTACAGGAGTGAGCCACCACGCCCAGCCAAAAGGAACATTTCTGCCTCACAGTGTGACCAGATGTTTACAAACATATTGCCTGCACAAGATCACAAACCCTGTCTATACCTGGTTCCACTCTTTTAAAGTGACAATAAGAAGAAAGTACTAGAGGCCAGGAGCGGTGGCTGACGCCTGTAATCCCAGCACTTTGGGAGGCTGAGGCGGGAGGATCACGAGGTCAGGAGATCAAGACCATCCTGGCTAACATGGTGAAACCCCATCTCTACTAAAAATACAAAAAATTAGACGGGCGTGGTGGCACGTGCCTGTAATCCCAGCTACTCAGGAGGCCGAAGAAGGAGAATGGCGTGAACCTGGGAGACGGAGCTTGCAGTCGGCCGAAATCGTGCCACTGCACTCCAGTCTGGGCGACAGAGCGAGACTCCATCTCAAAAAAAAAAAAAAAAAAGAAGAAGAAAGTACTAGAAATCAGATTTTGTCTCGTAGTTGCAGAAGAGCAGTTGTACCAGACAAATCTGTCATAAATTGTATGCTTTCTCACATCCCCTCCCATCTGAACTTTACTACCCATGGCATCCTTCTTTCGAAAGAACTCTAGACTGTACTTGGTTCAGGGCCAGCTAATATTAAATGGGGTGGGCAGGGATCCAGTAGCAGCCTCTATTTAATTACAAGATGGTTTGATAGAAAGGATGATAGACAATTACCAAATACCAATCAAAGTCACTTTCCTTGTGATTCAGCTGACATAAAAGAGGAATTAGTCAACTGAGGGCAATAGATCAGATAGGCAAAGAGAAGACATGCTGTCATTGGGCCTTTTTCTTTTTCTTTTTTTTTTTTTTTGAGACAGCGTCTCACTCTGTCACCCAGGCTGGAGTGCAGTGGCGTGATCTCAGCTTACTGCAAACTCTGCCTCCCGGGTTCAAGCGATTCTCCTGCCTCAGCCTCCTGAGTAGCTGGGACTACAGGTGTGTGCCACCACACCCGGTTAATTTTTGTATTTTTAGTAGAAACGGAGTTTCACTATATTGGCCAGGCTGGTCTTGAACTCCTGACCTCGTGATCTGCCTTCCTCGGCCTCGCAAAGGGCTGGGATTACAGGTGCGAGCCACCATGCCCGGCCCATTGGGCCTTTTTCTTATGATTTTCATGACTTTTTGCTTTGTAAATAGTAACAGCTTAAGTAACAAATGGATTTGATTAATTCCTTTGTCTCAATATTCCCATCTTCTCCTTTACGAAAGTCTTCCTCCAAGACTTAGTTGGGAAGTAACCAAAATACTTCATTTCTCAGTTTTCTTTAAAGTGTTGATTTGACTTCTGTTCTCCCAGGAGCAAGATGAGAGGTGGTCTCTGAGTTGATTACCAAGGTAGGTTTACTTCAAAGTGACTGAGAGATGAAGATCAACATAAGTTCATACAGATCCAGATGTGCCAAGCTTGGGTGGACTTTCTCTCCCTTTCTTTATCAACAGCTTTGATGATGTGCCAGGTAAAGCTGTCTATAGCCATTAGCTGCTTTGATGACATCAGACATATACTACCTGGCAACCTCAACTCTGCATTCCTGGAAAATCTCAGGAAACTTAAAGGATCATCTAAAAATTTATTTTGTATGTTTTGGGAGTTTGATTAAGAATTGTGGGTCAAACATCTATCTTTCAGATGAGGCCAATAACTATATTCTAATTTTTTCTTCAAAGCCACAGATACTCCAAGCTAAGGACCAATGCCAGCAATTATATGTGTGTATATACACACACACACATATGTGTGTGTATTTATATGTGTATGTGTGTGTGTGTGTATTTGCAGAATTTGTATGAGGGCTTTCCATGTTTCAGTGGCTATGGAAGAGAGAAATAGACTAGGCTGGGACCGATGGATCTCAGGTTTTGACCCATACTCTGCCACTGTCTTTGTCACTTTGGACAAATGTCTTCTCATCTCTCAGTCTTCTATTTTCTAAATTGGATAGAATTAGATGACTGGGGTTGAAAGACTTCTCTAGAAATGAGGGTGCCCAACTGCCTTCATTTTAGAAGTGAGAAAACTGAGGCTTTGTGTGACAAGCTTTTGCTGGGATCCAAGAATGCTCATAAGCAAGTTTTTGCCACTCAGCATTCAGTTTCCATTCCTATGGTGACAGCATTCCAGTCTCCTCTAGAGAGCCCCATTCCCTCATTCTCCAACCAGTAAAAGGGGCTAACTGCAGTTACTATTATTGGAATTAACATGTGGCTTAAGCCTGCTCAATCAACATGTTTTGTGTCCTCACAGTTTCTCAGACCTTGTGACTGGTTGAGGGATGAGTCATGACTCAAACTAGACAAATGGGAGCCAATGAAACACAATTAGAAAACTTTGCTTTAAGAATTGAACAATGAGGTGTGTGGTTTCTACTGGAGTGTGAGAGTAAAAGTGGAATCAATTAAAGCTGTGCTTCAATCAAGAGAGGAGGTTCTACTTGAAAATGGAGGCAGATAACAAGTGACAGAGTGTGTTGTGAGAGGAAGATTGAGTCCTGTAGATATAATTTGAATCCCTGGGCCCAACTTAAGCTAAATGTTGGAGCCAGTCTGCCCTGGTTGGAATCACAACTCTGCTACCAACAAGCTATGTGGCCTCCTTGAGCAAGCCACTAGACTTCTGTATGTCTCAGTCACCTCATTGAGGTGAATAAAGATGAAGACTGGAAACTTGCCTCATAAGGTTGCTGTAATGAATACACAATTCCATACCCAAGTGCACCATATGCGTGTGTATGCACAGCGCACACACACATAGACACAGACACACACACACAGTTACCCTTATTATGACTGGAGTTGGCAGTTGTATGAGCCAGTACGTTCTATATTTTGCTGAACACAGTTTGATCTCTGACAAAATTAATTAATCAAGTTAGCAGCAGATCTTAAAACCAGGTATTCTGACCCACACTTCAGACAAATTAATTTCCCATCACTATAATGATGCATCAAATTAAGGCATTGGACTGTACAGAGAAGCAGTCCATATATTCTCTGAGTTTATTGAATTACCTTTCAACTAATGTTAAAGTCTAGGTATTCAATTCTGGGAACTGCTGTGGATTTTGTTAGGTGTGATGCTACTGTGTTACTGAACAGGGAAATGGCCTTTCTTTTTTCTTTTTTTATAGATACACACTGAAGTATATAAGAGTCAATGTTATAAAAATCTATACTTTATTTTAAAGTAATTGTATTAGTCGGGGTTCTCTAGAGTTGACACTCAGTATTAACCATCACAGTAATTTAGCAAAATCCACAAAACAAGACAAAGCAAATATGACAAAATGCTAGTAACTGCCATTCCACTGAATGATGGATAACTGAATGTTTATTATAAAATTATCTCAACTTTCTTGTATGTTTGAAAACCTATATAATGTAAACCTTGATTACAGTTCCTGACTTAATTATTTGTCTTCCCCATTTCAATGTAGCCACCATAAGGGCAAAGTTGCCTGGGTTACTGTTGTATTCCCAGTGACTGTAATATAGTACCTGCTTAATAAAGACATAATTAAAGGTGAACAGGTTAGACCTTGTTAGCTGAGAGGAACTTCAGGCCATCTATAACTGAAGATGTGGGTGCTCTGCCACATCCTCTCATCACCAGTCATTCCTGTGCATGCTGACAGCTTTCTACTGCAGGCATCTGGGACTTCTGTCCTGAAGGCTGACCTCAGGGCACTCAGCCTCTGCAAGGGGCTGGCCAGATGTGACTTTCCCCAAGAGAAGCCCTGAACCAATGATAAGCAGATGTTGGAGGACAGTCATTTTAGGTTTCTTGTCCCTCTATTGAAACAATCTGTGGCTTATTCTATATTGCTTCTCAGAGATTCCCAGGGCAATTGAGCTCAAATGGCCCACTGCATCTCCCTGCTTATGAACCCACTTTCCTCGGTTTACTTCTCTCCTCTTTCTTCCATCTGTACTCCCATACCTAAAATCATTTCTGAAATAAACTACTTGCCTCCAAATCTGTGTCTAAGATACAATTTCCAAGAGACAACCTGAGACAGAACGGTAAAGAAGATCAAGTCTGAGCAAGGTCACCAAAAGTAAATATAGAGAGGAAGGATTGGCTGGAAAAACTTTCTGGATAGACTAAACTAATAGGAGAACTTAGTCTCCTGTTAGCATGGGGTGATTTAGAAGAAGACATTTCTCCCCGAATATATCCTATGGTTTGTGCAGGTCTGACCAAGTCAGTCAGTTGACTTTACTGGACATTGGGAAAAACCCTGTGCTCATCACCAGCTCCACCACTTCTAAAATAAAACAACTGAGCTATTCACTTTCAACCCCCCTTTCTGCCTTCTCTGTGGAGACATTTCTTGGTGCTGGTTTTTGAATCATTAGCCAAGTATTCTTTTCCTCTCTGCTTGGTGACTTTGCAGTACAGTAAAGACATATGCTCCTCCCTGAGAGCCAAACCTAAATTCCATCCTGGCTTCTTCGAATGCCCTTGGATGAAAATAGACATTCCTTTCTCCTACAATCTTTGTGTATTCTTTTTTTATTAGACATGCTATGTTAAATCCATTAATGAAGCAGTTATGCCTATGAAGCTCCTAAATTGTGTCCAACTCAAAGCCCCCATAAGATGAAGCACAAAGCTGAGAAAAAAATAAAGTTGCCCTAGCTACCCATTGTCCATGGGGTACGATATAATCTGCTTAGTCTGACAGTCAAGGACCTCAATGACTTAAAGTTCCAGAAGTACTGGAGAAGATCAAGAAGATCTAAATTTGATTTCTAACATTTTCACCACCCTCCTGGGTGGTTTTGAATCCATGCCGTTTCATTAGCTCTCCAAACAAATAACAGCATGCACAATCCATAAGAATACAATTCTTATTTACCCAGGCAAATGAGAAGCTTGTTGCTCATAGGAGAATGATGTTAGAGGGATTAATGAAGCAAGTAATAAACCTTTACGTCTTCTTATATTTCCAAATACTCTCCCTGAATTATGCTATAAATCTTCTAGCTACAAGGTATGGGAATTCAGCGTACCTTTGACTTATCTTGCTTAACCTTTTCTCAAAGCTCTCCCTAAATCCTACTGTTTGTACCATCTCAAAGTTCTCTAACTGGTCTCCCTGGTTCCACACACACCCTCCTAGTAGCCCCTACTCCTATCTCTGTTTTATCCTGCTGCCAGTGGATGGTTCAAAATGTGAGTAGTTTTACATTGTCTCTGGTTTCCAAAGATTCAGTAGTTTCTCCACTGAATTCTACTTTGTTCCTTGGTAACTAGATTCAGCTTCATTTCTCTCTTCAGTATCTTGAATCCTATACTTCATCCTTACAAGTCTTGAAATGTTCCCTCAATTTTCCTTCACTGTGCCTTTGCTTAAGCTGGTTTCTTTTCTTGGTGCCCTTCTCAAATATATATATTTGTCAAAGCCCTAAATATTCTTAAGGTGTTGCTCAAATTTTATTCCATTCCCCCAAAATCATGACTTTTTTAACCTATAGTACCATAGCACATGGTTTCTCTATAACAAAATTTACAATCTTGTTTCCGAAAGATTTTGTTTCTGTTTTCTTCATTTGCTGGTGAGTGTTTAAAAGGCAGTTGCTGTTTTATTCATTCAAAATCAGCCATTAGCTCTTAGAACTGTGCTCTGTACATAGCAGGGGCTCATTAAATGAAATCCCTGAGCATAACCGCGGGGTAGGGCGAGGTTTGGTTCTTGGAAATGTAAATGACCATGAGGTAATACTGACACTTCTGACCCTTTCCAATCTCTCCTCTCAGAGACCAGGAACTGCATTTGGATTTAAAGAAACAAAACTTTCTGGCACCTACTGTGGTGAGTAGCTTCTGACATGACTCTCAGTGAGCTCTTCCTCCTGGTGTTCATGTGCTTGGGTAATCCTCTCTGAGTGTGAAGTGAATCTTACAACTCACTTCTAATAAATAAAAGATGGCAGAAGTGATGGGATGTCACTTCCATAACTACATCACAGGTCGTGATGTCCATCTTGCTAGCACTCTCTCTTTGGTTGATACTCTATTCACTTGCTTACTTGTTGCTAAGTTGTAAGGCAATCTGTGGAGAGATTTACCTAGCAGTGAACCAACCACATAGCAAGGCCTCTGACTAAAACCTTGCAGGGACAGAGGCCTCAGTCCAACAGCCTGTGAGAAGCTGAATCCTGCCAACCACCGCGTGATGGTTGATGATCACATGGTGGTTGATGTGATCATGAAGGATGAATGTGATCATGGAGAATGAAGAAGCCAATCCTTTCCAGTTAAGCCTTGAGGTGATTGCAGTTTTGTGAGAGACCCAGAGACATAGAATCTTGCTAATCTGTGTCCAAATTCTTGGCTTAAAGCACTGAAATAATAAATGCTGTTGCTTAGAGCCACTATGGTTTGGGGTAATTTGTTATGCAATAATAGGTAACCTAGATATCTACTTTTGAAAATTCTGCCCACCGTGTTCATTCTATCAGGACATGCTTTCTTATTGATGAATGGCCAGTGGCATGGATTTAATTGTCCTTCTCTCTCTCTGTTTCCATTCCAGGGCTTTGTGTAAAGATTCTTAGTGCTTATTAGCATGGTTTATAAATTTAGCTTCACAAAGCTAGTACATAATTATGCAAAGCTAGGACTTTAATAGAAAAGAACTTAAAATAAGACTCAGTGAAAATATATTAATTGTAGATTACTTAATAGTTTAGGTATTTTGTGCGGGTAACTATTTTCCCAATGCTACAAATAAGGAAAATGAGAATAACTGAAGACACTGGCTCAAAAGCACACATTCAGCAAGTGTTAAAATTAGATGTCAAGTTCAGACATGTGCACTGTCAATAGCAAGCTCTTTCCCCTAAACCAGAGTCCTCAACTGTGGCTATACATTGCAATCACCTGAGGAACACTAAATACATATTGAGAGAGTCTGATTTAATTCTTTCAGGGCACAGCTTGGGCATTGGGATTTTAGAAACCACCCAGGCAATTCTAATATATAACCAATTTAAGAAGCACTAGGTACATCTCTGAGCCTCCCAAATTTTGTTCATGTCCAATGGTACTTAATTACACTCTGTGTTTGTCACCTGATTCTTGAATTTGAAACCAAGCCACTTGAATTCTTTCTGAAAAGAACAGACTTTCACCAGGACAGAAGAATCTGTTGAGTACACATTGTGGGGAGAAGCATTTTTAGGTGAGGAAGAAACAGAAGGGGAGGAATCAACTCTGACCTTGAGTTAGTTACACAGTCATTGAATGAGGAAGATTTTATTACAGACCAGGACACTGGTCAGCAGTTTTCCTACATCTTATATAGCTCTACTATTGACTCATATTTCACGTGTCCTTGAGTAATAGTCATTTCCCTTGAATGATAGTATTTTAGAGTTAGAAAAGAATCTAGAATTTAATCTTTTTCTGTACAAGGAAACTGAATCTTAAAAAGGAGAAATGATTTGATAAAGGCCACACAGCAAATGAGTGACAGAACTGGATCTAGTTTACATGTCTATACTTGGACTATGGATCTTTCCACCACACCAGAGCAAGCTCTTTTTGATTAAATTCTAGGTAGGTAGGTATATGTTTTATTTTCCAAAAATATGGAACTGAAAAAGAATTTCAGGCCTTTTCAAACCCATGCTCTGTTTCCTCCTGCAGAGTGCCAGATTTCAGGAATGTTTTATTTGCTATTCTTTGTGCCTGGAAACTCTTTCCTTAGGCATACTTTATTGCCATCCTCTTCGCTTCATTTATTATTTGCTCATATGTTGTCACCTTAGCAGAGAGGCCTGCTCTGATCACTCAATATGGAACAGCAACCATCCCCCAGCACTCCCTTCTCTTTGCTCTATTTTTTCTATTGCTTTTATCATCAGCCAGAATGTATTTTGTTCAATTATTTATTTCTGTCTCCTCCGCTCACCTTACTAGACTGTAAACTGCATAAGTAAAGGGTCTTTGTCTGGTTCTTTTTCTACTGTACCCCTGAGGCCACCCTGAAGGAGGCCCTCAATAAACATTAGTTGGTTAAATGTATAACTAATAGTAAGATCTTCAAATATGAACCATCCTGAGAATGAATAAATTCAATGTCAAGAGACACATTCAAGTACAGGTTCAGTTACCACCTAACAGAGATCGAGAAAGTGGTCTTCAGACACAAATGAGAAATCAAGTCTGAAGACTTCTAAAATCCCTTCCAAAACGGAGAGTCTATAATGTAAAAGATTACTTCTCCAAACAGGATACTCATGGTTTGCTGGAATTTTCATGGATTCTTTATATAAGCACTTAATTCATTCAATATTTTTTTGTTCATTCAAGGGATATTCAGTGAGAAGCTGCTTTATATGTGTTAGATACAATTTTTGCATGAAAAATGCAAGAATCAAGTGGTGGCTCTCATGAGCTCAAACCTTCTTCTCCATTCCTGACTTTTCATCTTTCTCTAAATATCTCTCTACTTTCAAGTATTCCTTTATCATTTTTAGAAAGTCAAATTCAGCCTAACTGGTGACCACTGGGAAAAGTAAGAGTAAATTTGTAGCATAACTTTATAGTGTATGAGGTTCCGAACGTCATATAGCATTCATTCCTATATTTTTTGCAAAGCAACTCATAAGAAAGGCAACCACGTACCATCACTCCCCAAGGTCTCGTTCTTTTTAAAATAAAGGAAAGAAGGCTATATCAGACCCCCTATTGTTTTATTTTTTGCCCTTGGGTGACTGAGCTATAATATGACTTGGTGAGAATTAAAGACCAGAAGAGAGTTATTTGAAGTATTAAAGTTTTCTCGGAGTTACTTCCATTGGAACCATTCTCCATTGCTCACTCTGGAGGAAAGACTAGAAGTACATTTTTGTATTTTTAACCACCAAACCTGACCCTTCTTAGGCATCTTCTCAGGGACTTACTTCAAATCATGTTCTAAGGTTTTTATCAACAAAAATTATCAATGTAACAAAGACTGTGTTGGACCTTGTGATTATGAATAATATTTTTTAAATATCAGCTTTACCAAGATACAACTCACATACCATAAATCTTACCCTTTGAAAATATAAAATAAAACAGTTCCGAGTACGTTAACAGAGTTGTGCAACCATTACCACTATCTAATTTCATAAAACTCTCATCACCTTGAAAAGAATCCTGTACCTTTTCTTGTCACTCTTCCTATTATGCCTTCTCAGCAGTTGTTGGCAAACAATAATTTATTTTCTGTCTCTAAGGATTTTCCTATTCTGAACATTTTATGTAAATGGAATTATAGATATGTGGGCTTTATGTCTTGTGTCTTTCATTTAATGTAATGTTTTTAAGGTTCATCCATGTTGTAGCATGTATCAGTACTTTATTTTTATAGCCATATAGTATACCATTTTTGTATAGATGATATAACACTTTTTATTTCTTTGTATAGATATATAACACCTTTTATTTCTCCATTTATTAACAGGTAGTCATTTAGGTTTTTTTCACATTTCAGCTACTATGAATAAGGCTACATAAATGTTTTGTATAAGTTTTTATGTGGCCATATGCTTAAATTATTTTGGGTATAAACCTAGGAGTGCAAATGCTGGGTCATATAGTAACTCTGTGTAACCTTTTGAGGAATTGCCAAACTGTTTTACAAAAAGACTGAGCATTTGATGTTCTCACCAGCAATGTATGAGGATTCCATATTTTTTACATGCTTGCCAACACTTGTTATTGTTTATCTGATAACAGGTATCTTAAAGGGCGTGAAGTTGTATCTCATTGTTTTCATTTGCATTCCCTTAATAGCAAATGATGTTGAACACCTTTATTTATTTATATGTATATGATTATTGTCCATGTTCACATCTCCTATGGAGAAGTGTCTGTTCAGATCCTTTGCCTATTTTTTTTTTTTTTTTTTTTTGAGACAGAGTCTTGCTGTCACCCAGGGAGTGCAGGAGTGCAGTGGCACAAACTTGGCTCACTGCAAGCTCTGCCTCCCAGGTTCACACCATTCTCCTGCCTCAGCCTCCCGAGTCACTGGGACTACAGGTGCCCACCACCACGCCCGGCTAATTTTTTTTTTTTGTATTTTTAATAGAGATGGGGTTTCACCGTGTTAGCCAGGATGGTCTCGATCTCCTGACCTCGTGATCCACCCGCCTTGGCTTCCCAAAGTGCTGGGATTACAGGCATGAGCCACCGCACCCGGCACTCCTTTGCCTATTTTTAAATTGAGTTATTTGTCTTTTTTTGTTGAATTGCGACTGTTCTTTACATATTCTAGATACTAATCCGTTATCAGATATGTGATGTGCAAATATTTTCTCCCATTCTGTGGGTAGTCTTTTCACTTTCCTGATGGTGATTTTGAAGATCAAAATTTTTGAGTTCTGAAGAAGTCCAGTTGCTCTATTATTTTTGTTTTCAATGCTTATGTTTTTGGTGTTATATCTAAGAGTTCTTGCCTAATTCACAATAACCAAGATTTATTCCTGCATTTTTTTCTAAGAGTTTTATAGTTTTAGCAGTTACATTAAAGTCTATGATCCATTTTGTTAATTTTTGTGTATGGTGTGAGGTAGGGGTCCAAGTTCACTTTTTCGTATGTGCTTATTCAATTTTCCCCAACCATTTGTTGAAAAGACTATTTTTTACTCATCAAGTTTTCTACACTCTTGTTAAATGTCATTTGACTATAAATATAAGGGGTTGTTTCTGGACTGTTAGTTCTATAACATCAGTTTGTATGCCTATCATTATGCCATTGTCACATTGTTTTGATTACTGTAGCTTTATAATAAGTTTTGAAATCAAGAAGTGTGAGTTCTCCAACTTTGTTTATTCTCCTTTAACATTGTTTTGGCTATTCAGGGCTCCTTAAAATTCCATGTGAATTTTAAGATTTACACACACATTTATTTTCAAAAATGCATCTGGGATTTTGATAGGTATTATATTGAATCCATAGATCACCTTGGGTTGTACCACTATCATAGTAATATTATATCTTCCAACTGATAAAACTGGGATGCTCTTTCACTTTATATCTTCCTTAACTTCTTTCAGTGAATTTTTTTTGTAGTTTTTAGTGAGCAAATCTTGTACTTCTTTTGTGAAATTAATTCCTAAATTTTTTTGATTCTTTTTGATGCTATTTTCTATAGAATTGTTTTATTAATTTCAATTTTATATTATTCATTGTCACTGTATAAAAATATAATTGATTTTTGAATGTTAATCTTGTGTCCTGTGCACTAACTGAACTCTTTTATTAGTACTAATAGTTTTTATAGATTCTTCAGGATTTTCTATATAAAACATCATTTCATCTGCAAATAGAGATTGTTTTAATTCTTCCTTTTGGATCCTGATATCCTTTCCTTTATTATCTACCCTAATGGTCCTGGATTGAACCTCCAGTAAAATGTTCCACAGAAGTATCAAAAGAGGAAATTTTGTCTTATTTATTGTATTAGGAACAGGCCATTCAGTCTTTCACTATTAAGTATGATGCCAACTGTGGGTTTTTTATAATGGTCTTTATTAGATTGAGAAAATTCTTTTCTATTTCTAGTTTGCTGAGAGTTTTCTCATGAAAGAATATTGTTTCTGTCAAATTATTTTTGTGCCTCTTATGATCATGGGTTTTTTTCCTTTGTCCTATTAATATTAATATGGTATACTACATTGACTGATTTTCATATATTAAATCAACTTTTCATTCCTGGGATCCATGGTGCATAATTTTTCATATATTGTTGCTCACTAGTAATTTTCTAGGGATTTTCGCATCTGTGTTCAAAAGGAATATTGGTCTATAGTTTTTTACCTTATGCTGTTTTTTTTCTTGTTTTAATATCAGTGTAATCCTAGCCTCAGAGAACGAGTCAACTAGTGTTCCTTCTCCTCTATTTTTCTGGACGAGTTGTGAAGAATTAGTGCTAGGTCAATTCATATTGTCCAGCCAAGTGACAGAAAGAAAAAAAAGAATGAAATAATAAAAAATAGAGTCTCAGACTTGTGAGACACCATCAACTGTAACGATATACAAAGCCCTACTAGCTTTGCATTTTCACCTAGCAGTAATTAACAGGGTAAATAACAGTTATAGAAAATGTGTACTTTCTTTCACTTCCATTTCTACAACTCCCCATTCTTTTACATCAGGCAATTTTCACTGATTGTTACTGCCTAGCTTCTGTGGGGACTTAGTTTGCAACCTCTGAAATAGAAGAACAACAGAAATAAGGAGAAAGATATTTTAGAAAGGGAAAACAGCAGAAACAAAGAATAAGGGGTAAGAAAGTGTATGGCTTCTTGAGTAAGAGTAAAGATGGATTTGGCTGAGGAGGAATTTTTGTAGGAAGGCAATAGTAGACATTTCTGGGAAGAATAGCTGGAGCTAGGCTGTGGAGAGCATAGATAGCAGTGCTTTTACATAAAATTTTGGAGCTCTCAATGTGTTTCAAAGAATAGAAATACTAAGTATCTTATTTGATCTCTACTGGCACTCTGCAAATGAGATTTATGGTTGTTATTACTATTATTATTGTTGTTATTACTATTTTGAGACAGGGCCTCACTTTGTTGCCCAGGCTGGAATTCAGTGGCACAAACATGGCACACTGCAGCCTTAAAGTCCCAGGTTCAAGAGATCCTCCCACCTCAGCCCCCCAAGTAGCTGGGACTACAGGTGTTTGCCACCTCACCTGGCTAATTTTTATATTTTTGTAGAAACGGTGTTTCACTATGTTGCCCAGGCTGGTCTCAAACTCCTGAGCTCAAGGGATGTGTCTGCCTCAGCGTCCCAAAGCACTGGGATTATAGACATAAACCACCACTCCTGGTTTATGGTCATTATTTCTAAAATGTGGAGATTAAAGCTGAGAGTCGCATAGTCTGTCAATGGCTAATAGCAAACAAAACTGGAAACACAATTGAGATCTCTCAGTCTAGCCCACTGCTGGTAGACAGACAGACTAGCCATCACAAACAAGCTGTACATGGGCCATAACCTTGATTGTTTTGTTCTCTGCTTTATTCTTGGCACCTAGAATAACATGTAGCTCTTGGATGAAAGAAATAATTTTGAATCCTGAGAAGCACAATAAGCACAATCTGCTTATTCTATGGTGAGTTATCATTGGCTCTCTCAGGGGTTTACAGCACATGTAACTCCTGGAAGGTAGAAAAGACTTAACCAGGTGCAGCTATTTGCTTCAGCTTTACAGCTCCTCACATAAGCTGAATTGGCTCACTTGTTGGGAATGTTCTGCTTCAGAAGATACCAGAGATTGGGCTCATCACATGACTTTATAATGAGGAAATCTGACTGACCTTCAAGATGGTAGTAGACAGGCTGGCCATTGGGTGGGGATTGAAGACCATGGTGAAAGGCAGTTGTCACTTGGAAAACATACTCTGTTTTCAGATCATTCCTAATATAAGATGTAACTACTATTTGCTTAGGAAGGAGAATTTGTCCTGAAATCTATTCCTTCTGAAGAGTCTTTTTTTTTTTTTTTTTTTTTTTTTTTTTTTTTTTTTTTGTATAGAGTCTCACTCTGTTTTCCAGGCTGGAGTGCTGTGGTGCAATCACGGCTCACTGCAGCCTCAACTTCCCAGGCTCAAGCAATCCTCCCATATCAGCCACCCAAGTAGCTGCGACCACAGGTGCACGCCAACATGCCCGGCTAATTTTTAAATTTTTTTGTAGAGACAAGGTCTCCTTATGTTGCCCAGGCTGCTCTTGAACTCCTGGGCTCAAGCAATCTGTCTGCCTCAGCCTCTCAAACATCTGGGGTTGCAGGCATAAACCACTGCACCCGGCCTGAAGAGATTCTTGAGGCTTTGTGTCAATGTATCAGATCCCCATGTTTATATTTGTGAACCATTTCTGAATGATTGGATTTAGAGTGTGGCATTATAAAAGGCTATAGAATTTTCAAGGCCCAAAACAAAAAAAATGTATTTTGTTGACTCATGAATTAGAGGACATCTAATCGAGATTTAGCTTGGTTTCTTACACAAAACACCAGACAGAGAATTTAGAGGCCTGGATCTTATACATGTTCCAATATAATGACCCTTAGCTGGTCTTATGTCTGAGTTTCAGGGTTCTTCCATGTAAAAACAGGGGTGGAGAATTCCTAAGGATCTTCCAGGTTTACAGTACACTTACTTGTATTTTGCAATGTTTCCTGAGAAGCTTCAAGTTCTATGATTGATCTTGTTGTGAATGTTGTTACTAATTCCAGTTGAAAGAAATATGAAAGACATATTTTTACAGTAATCTCAACAGGTTCCAACCAAATTTGATATTTGCTCTAGTGCTCTGGCAATACTTTGTATATAGCATCTTGTAATTTTTAAAAATAACATGAATTACTTATTTAACTTTTTTTTCTACAGTAACTCTTAAGGAGGCCAGATAGGAGGTAACAAGTTTCCATTTTTATATATGAGGAAACACCCTCAAAGAATTTCAGTAATTTATGAAAAATAATTTAACTAATTAATGGAAGAAGTGGAACCAGAACCTGGGTCATCTGATTGGATGGCCCAGAAATTTAAAAATTATTATTAAACAACTACTTATATATACATATTTTGCTGTGACATCATCTTATGGGACCATAAGACATGTCCTAATTCTCCGGAAGCTTCCATGTGGTACATCTGTAATCAAATAATTTGAGTAAATTGTGTAAGAGCAATAATTAAAATGAGAATGTGAATGAAGGGAACACAGAACAGAGAAGAGCACAGTCCCACCTGGGGAGTTCTTGAATGGCTCAAGTAAAAGAAGGCATCTGACTATGGTCTTAAAGAATGGATGAGTCGGCCAGGCACAGTGACTCATGCCTATAATCCCAGCACTCTGGGAGGCCAAGATGGGCAGATCACCTGAGGTCAGGAGTTCAAGACCAGCCTGGCCAACATGGTGAAACTCCATCTCTACTAAGAAATACCAAAAAACTAGCTGGGCGCGGTGGCGCGTGCCTGTAATCCCAGCTACTCAGGAGGCTGAGATAGGGGAAAAAAAAAAAAAAAAAAAGCATGAGTCAGCCAGGCATAGGATGGAAGAAGGAAATTTCCTGATGGAGGGAACAACATGAACACAAGTACAAAGGTCAGAAACAACTTTTTCTGTGCAGGGAAAGATAGGTGCTTCTTTCTGGAGCATAGATTGGAAAGTTGGGATTGGAGTGAAGGGAAACTAGAAAGGTAGCTGGAATCAGATCATGAAAGGTTGCTTTTACTTTGTAAGCTGGCAGCTTTTCCTGAAGGATGTGGAGGGAAGCTATTGAAGGGTTTTATGTGGTCGCATGACTCGGTCCCACTTGTAGATAGCTCACTATTGTGGGTGCATAGAGGTTGTGAGAGGAGGCAAGAGAGGAGGCAGGGAATTCAGTTTGGTGGCTTTAGCACAGGATGGAAAATGCTCAGATGTTCTTTGGAGCGAAAGCAAGCAGTTAATTGGAAAACCAGAGGTGATCATCTTTCCAGGGGAAAGTGAGCTATTTTCCCTCAGTACTTGGTAGCTTAAGGTTGTGCACACTACTTCTCTTAGTGTTGTGAATTACAATCAGATTTCGCATTGGAGTAAGCTAAAAATATGCTGTAAATAAGATAAAGCTAATGCTACTAACCAAATAAAATTGGTTGACTACTGTAGTTTAGGCAGTGAGCAAAGCCCTTTACATTCATTATATTATTCGGTATTCTCAGCAGTATTGCAAAGTAGGTATACGTATCACAGATGGAAAAATTGAGGCACAAAGCCAATAAGTTGCCTGCTAAAGATCTCGGAGCTAGTGTGTGATCAAGTTAGAATTCAATTGTGGGTTGGTGGCTGGTTGCAGTGGCTCATGCCTATAATCCGAGCACTTTGGGAGGCCAAGGCAGGTGGATTGCTTGAGCTCAGGACTTGAAGACCAGCATGGGCAACATATGGAAACCCCATCTCCACAAAAAACACAAAAATTAGCCAGATATGGTGGTGTGTGCCTATAGTCTCAGCTACTTGGGAGGTTGAGGTGGGAGGATGGCTTGAGCCCAGGAGGCAGAGGTTACAGTGAGCTGAGATCACACCACTGTACCCCACCCTGGGCGACAGAGTGAGACTCTGTTTCCCCAGTCCCCCTAAAAAATACAGGTTAGACTGTTTCCTCAAATGTAGCTCTTCATTGCAACGGGTCTTGAAGTAAAAATAATCAAACTTAGAGTAAGAATGGAGGGCACAGACCAATAAGAGGAGAGGATAGGGTGTGGTGCAACGTGTGTTTCCTCAGTGCAGCTCAGTGGCAGCAGTAAAGACCTACGGCTCACTGTAGTCAAAGATTCCAGTGTTCCCACCAGGAAAAACGAAAAGACAGACAAAGCTACAGTTCCTGTCTGAGTCCTACAGTGATGATGTGAAACATTTTTGCAGGCTTGGATGACAGGCCAGTGAATGGGGCTGAGAAACTAACTCTGCCTCTTTTACTGCTGCATTCCCTTTTAGATTTCTTATATAAACTGTATATTCTGTGTCCATAGGCTGAAGACCTTTGTTATTTAGAACCTAGATTTGGCCAGGCGCGGTGGCTCATGCCTGTAATCCCAGCACTTTGGGAGGCTGACGTGGGCAGATCATGAGGTCAGGAGTTCGAGACCAGCCTGACCAACATGGTGAAACCCTGTGTCTACTAAAAATACAAAAATGAGCTGGGCATGGTGGCACACACCTGTAATCCCAGCTACTCAGGAGGCTGAGGCAGAAGAATCGCTTGAACCCGGGAGACGGAGGTTGCAGTGAGCAGAGATTGCACCACTGCACTCCAGCCTGGGTGACAGAGCGAGACTCCATGTCAAAAAAAATAAAAAAATAAAAAAATAAAAACCCTAGATTTTGGGGAAACTTTCACAAATGCTTGTGTCTATCTCAATAGTGTTAATGACTATTGATTTGCTATGGGCAAAAAAAAAAAAAAAAAAGAGGAAAATAATCTACCTTGGAACTCAAAGCCATCAACTTGACTGATATTCTTTCTGGATTAGTTTCCATCATCTCTCCTCAGCCTGTTGCCTGGAAATGAGGGAAGGCAGAGGAGAAGATATTTTAGAAGTGAAAAAATATACTAGTCATAATTCAGAATATTATCCCACTAAATTAAACCTAAATGTTTATAAAACACCAGAAAAATCTAGGGTATTGCTATCACTTTTCAATAAAATTGATTATGTGAGCTCCCTGAGGGCAAGTGATAGGTCTGTCTTGTTCACTGCTATATCCTCTGTGCATAGAATTGTGTCTGCTATATGATAGACATTTCAGAAACATTAGTTGAACAAATGAATTAATAAAGTTCTCAAACAACCTTCTTCCTACATTCAGATGATAGTTGGCTTTACTAACTTTCAGAAACACATCAGGAACCTGTGATGTTTATCAAACAAGGGAAAGCCTGTCTATGAAAGAGCGATTAGGTTGGTTCACTGGTGTTCCAAAAGTCAGAGAAGGGACCAGTTGATGCAGACTCCAAGTGGGCACATTTCAGTTCCTTAAAGGAAATGTTTGACAGCTACAGTACAGCAATCACAGAATCATCTGCCTTAGGATCTCACAAGAAGCAAGTTAACTTACAGATCAAGTTAGATGAAGACTGAGAATTGATCCTTGGATTTGACAAAATGGAGATCACTGATGACTTTGTCAAGGTGGTTCTAATGGGGCAAACGTCTAGTGAGGGCGAGTATAAGAAAATCTGAGAGAAGAGAAATTGGGTAACATTTAGGATTCTGCTTTAAAGGGGAACAGAGAAATATAGAATAACTGGAAAAGAAGGGTGGGTTTAAGAGAGGAGTTTTGTTGTTGTTTGTTTCTAATGTAGAAGAAAGAATGTTATGATTGTAGGCAGGTGGGAATAATTCATCAGAGAGGAAAGTTTGATGACAGAAGAATGTGTTGAATTATTGGAGTGACCCCCTTGGATAAGTGATGGAGAAGACGCACAATTCCACTGCACAAGCTGAAGGGGTGGTCTTATCCTGGGGCATGGACAGTTCATCTGTAGTTGTGATGAGGGAGACAGATATCCATCACTGAGTCTAGATGCTGATGAGTGGGTGGATGTAGTGGCTGGCGGTAGTGGAAATTCTCAACAACACTCATTATATGTCATTTCATCATTTGGCTTATGTGTTTTTCTTTCCCATTGGGCTACAAACTCCTTTGGGACAGTGGCTTAGACTTATTTACCCTGTTTTTCTGGCAGTTTTTAGTTACTTGGCATTTAATAGATACATTTAAGTCTAAATGTGACTAAAAGGTACACCTGCATTTTCTGAATACTAGGGTAATACTGGAAGTCTCCGGGATATAGAGGTTGTCGGGGGTATGAGAATGGAAAAGGTTTAAAGACTAATTCCAGCAGTATTAGTGAAAAAAGAATATGCATTGCAGCTGTGAAAAGGCTGTGACAGGAGCATTAAAAATGTAGGTGAAGTACAGATTTTATGAACTCAGTAAGCAAGTTTTATTAAGAGCCTCCCAGGACCCAACCCTACACTCTGTACTGTTGGGACTTGAAGAGAAGAATGATGTAGGATGGCTCTTGAAGACTTTATAATCTGCCTGTTGTGTCAAAACCTTACGTAACCAGGCAGAAGATCATATGGCCCTGACTCAATTATTCCAGCTTATTAGCTAATAGTGTGGGCTCTGAAGTAAAAAATGTCTGAGATTGAATCCAGGCTTTGCCAGGTTGTCATTGAATAAACCTGGATCAGTTATTTTGTCTGTATCTCAGTTTCATTGTCTTTAAAGTAGTAAAGATAGTTATCACTCATTGTAGGCTTTTATGAGGATTAAATGAGTCAATATGTGTAAAAATGAGAACTGGACACATAGAAGTAACCCCCGCATGTTAGTCACCACTATATTTAAAGGAATAGGTGTGAGTATGTACTGGGCAGACAAGAGGTATGATAGAGAAGGCACACTCTAGAGTGACTGTCTGTCTTCACTGATTCCACCCAGTGGCTATGTCCTTCTTACTTCTTGACCCCTGGCTGTGTTGAACCGCAGAAAGGGACTTGTTGACTGAAGCCAGAACAATCAAACTCTCTCACTTAAGAATTTGCCATCAAAATGAGAGACACAGGAATTGATGTTAGTAGGAGCTGAGTCACATTTGTAGCATCAACTTTTATCAAAAAGGCCACAGACTCCTGGTACTGAAGTCCTTGTGATTTCCTCAGCTTGTTTTTCCTGAAATTCAAGTGTTCAGTTTCTTACTTAAGTCTGTGACTACTCCATTTCCAATAAATCCTTTGTCACCTGAAGAGCAAAAGTTTTTTGTTTTTTGTTCGTTTGTTTGTTTTTGGCTTGCAAGCAAACAAACTTTTGCATATGTAAATAGATTCCAGGCTCAGTGGAGCTCCCGAAGGGAGGGTACTGTACCATGGAGTTTTCAACTCTTAAACAGGCCATGTAAGTCATTTATTTGTTCAGCCAGCATTTAGCGAGATCGTTCTGTTTTAGCATTGCTACATATTAGGACTACATGGATGATTCAGATGGAATTTCTGCCTTCAAGGAGATTGAGTTTTGTAGCCAAGAGATTTCTGTGCTAGATTCAGAAGAAGAAGGGATCAGGCTAGTTTCATGGGTTTAGGAGGAGTGAGTGGGTTTCTGGTGGCACCATCAAGTATTACTGAGTCTGGACAAGAGATGTGATCTTTGGGAACACGATTGAGTACCCTTCCAGTGAGCTGTCAAACTCCTGCGTTTATACCTCTCTTCTTAAGCACTTTCAAATTATTCCCTTCAAAACGAAATTTGGAAGTCGAAATCTTTGGGGCTGGTGAAAATAATACTACAAACATGCTATTCCATTCATTTGTCAATGGAGGTTAACATACATCTCTCCCAGTTTTGTTTGTTCAACTTTAACATTGTAGCAAGTTTTAGTATCATATTTTCAAGTGGAAATAATTTCTCCACTGTCTGCTCTTCTTTTGTGGTGGTTGGGGGGATACTTTTATCCTAGTTAATCTTTTCAGTTTCATTTCTCACTGTTCCTCTATAAACACTGGGACTCCCATAATCATACTAGCATTCCTTTCATACTCCATGATTTTTTACCTCCATGCCTTTGTTAATACAGTCTCTCCCCACCCGCTGAAAGAATGTCATCTTCTCATGACTTTATGCATAAATTACACTTGTCTTTTTCAGCAGAAATGTTGCATACTCCATGAAATTTTTTTAAACACTTTTCAGCTAAAAAATTCACTTTTTCGAATTCCAAACGTGCCGCCTGTACTTCTTTTTACAAATTTTATTACTTGATGCCTCATGTCATAGGCGTTATCTCCAACAGTTATCTGCCTCTCTAAAACTGTTGGAGGACATTGTTATCTGCCTCTCTAAAACTGTTGGAGGACATTCACACAGAATGTTCTAGAGGCTTTGTCTCATCTCTCAAAACAGTAGCCCCTGCTCAAGGCGTCTTCACAGAGCTTACTTCAATTTCTGAAACTGAAAAACAATGCATATTTTTCTAGGTCCTGATATGTGAAATGTAGATTTTCTAGCTGCTTTGATAGATAAGGTAGAGGAAAAGATGTATTTCCAAGAAGGAGTGAGGTACATGAGCCTAGGTCATTAGGGACAGACAGGCAAAGACGCTTCAATGACTGAGCCAACATGGGGGAGAGGGACAAGGAGGAAGAAGAGCAGGCTGGGTTCCAGAGGTGACAAATCAAAGTAGAAAATGTGTGATGGGTTGGGTTTCCCTGGAAACAGCTGATATGGACATTAGCATGCAGGTTATTTCTTAAGGGCTGTTTCTGGAATTAATACTTGTGAAAAGGAAGGAAAGGAAGCGGGACTGGGAAGTGGAAGATGTTGTGCTGTTATGCAGTCTCAATGGAATCCTCAGCTGATCTTGCAGGAAATTCCAAAGATGAGATAACCCTTCAGAGCTGTCCTGAGTTGTGTCAAGAAGGAAGGCTTTCTCCCCAAGCATCAAGCAGCTATTAGAGGTAGGCTACCCCAGGAAGGTGCATGTCCTCTGGCAAGATGACATCATTCCACAGACAGATGAAATGTGACAGCTATTGGAAGCAGGCCGCCCCAAGAAGGTGCATGTCCTCTGGCAAGATGACTTCTTTCAACAGACAGATGAAATGTGTCTGCCAGCAGCACTTTTAGCAGCTGGAATAGTAAGTCTTTTTGACTATGGGAGGAGGACCTGGGCAGTGCATCATACTGTCCAACACAAGGTGTTTGTGTGCCTAGGGACAATGCAGGTAACTGGAAGCCAAATTGATGAGGCTATAAAATTAGCATTCAGCTTCTGAACAGTGGTTCTAAGTAGCCTCAGTAGGCCTTAGTTTTCATTACTGACAATCAAAATTATCCTATGAGTTGCAACCTCTATTCGGGTATGAAAATGCAACTTTACTTGGTGGTCTATTTCTAATTGGAACAATACCAGACAATCTAGTGATATGTGCCATCACATTTTGCACATAGTATATTATTCAGTAAATGACTGTTGAATGAATAAGTGACCAAGTAAACTTTTTGAGTTACTGGAAAGCGGCATACTCTGTTCTATTTTATGAACCTCTCCTTAGCACATTTAAAGTCTCTTGCATTTTCTTCTCCATTTCAATCCTGGTTTCTACCAGGGCTGTCTAGTCTTCATGGTCTTATGCTTTGGTTTATTGCCTTTTCTCTTTGGATTTGTAAGGTACCTTTTCTATACAGCATCTCTTTTCTTTGGCATTGAAGAGAACATTGCTCCATTTTCTTTTTGCTCCCAAGGGGTGTTTGTATGTGTGTTTGATCTCCAGAACCTTGCTCCTATCCTGGAATGAAAGTGTCTGATTTACAACATCCCATCTTCACCACCCAGGCACAGACAGATCCTTGTGAAAACTCAAATAAAAGTATATATAAAGGAAGCGGTCTCTTTGCAATGTCTTTTGGCCAACCACCTGCATCTTACTTGAGCCCTTCCTGCTTGAATCAAAGCCTTGGGTGGTCTAGGGCTTGTTTCCTGGCTTTGGTAAAATTCAAAGATTTGGTAAAATCCAGACAGAATGAGAAAGTCACAGATACAAAAGAGGATAAGTTAACTTGAGGATCAAAACAGGTAGTTCTAGGCAGTCATGATCCAAGATGAGTGAAAAGGGATGAATTAAAAATTAATTAACCTTCTCTAATCTGCAGTTTCCTCATCTATCAAGTAGAGATAATAGTATCTAATTAATATATGCTATTAGGATTAAATGAAGTTATATATATTTTTATAAACGAATTTATAGATATAATTATATATATAGACACTTAACATAGTATCTGTTGAGAAGTCAGTCTTTAACAAGTTGACATTTTATTGTTTAATACAGATTGTTATTATTAGAATTCAAGGATGGGGAATACAGCAATGTATTAAATAAAACAGAAATCTCTTTAGAAGCATTTAAAGATATTGGCAATAGTAGCAATGACAAACTGGGCTTCAAGTCAGCAGAGGACAGATTTTTTAAATATGTTTATCAGTCAAACAGATGAGATGCTGGACTGGGACTCAGGATAACTGGCATCTAGGCAAGCCTCTTCTCACAATGATTTTGGGCAAACACTTCAACTTTCCAAGGATTCATAGAATCATATTTTAAATAATACTATAGAATAGATAGTTATTGCTCTCCAAATATTTAATGTGCTTCTCTATATCCTTCAGCTTTCCTCACAGTTCAGTCACAAATAGCACTGACCAATGAGCTGTGTTTGGAAGTGATGTGTATGAGCTGTGTTTGGAAGTGATGTGTATGTTCTTAAGAATAGATGTGTGGCAAGGACAGAAAAGCAAACACAGCATGTTCTCACTCATAGGTGGGAGCTGAACAATGAGAACACATGGACACAGGGAAGGGAACATCACACACACGGGCCTCTCGGGGGATGGGGGTTGGGGGAGGGATAGCATTAGGAGAAATACCTAATGTAAATGATGAGTTGATAGGTGCAGCAAACCAGCATGTCACATGTATACCTATGTAACAAACTTGCACGTTGTGCACATGCACTGAAAAAAAAAAAAGAATAGATGTGTGGTCTTCAGGTTCTTTCTTTCCCTGCTATGGTGAGTATGGAGGGTATGGGTTGAAATCAAGTAGGCACAAAATAGGACCAAATTGAAATACCTGAGTTACCACATGGAAGAGAGGTGCCCTAGGGCACTACTCTACTTTCAGTGTGAGCAATCTATTATGATAATAGTATATGCAAGTTTTCATATTAAGCCATTGAGATTGTATCCTATTCTGATGAGCATAAATGGCATAGGATTAGATTGAGCTTGTCCAACCCATGGCCCTTGGGCTGCATGTGGCCCAGGATGGCTTTGAATGCAGCCCAACACAAATTTGTAAACTTTGTTAAAACATTATATATATATATATATATATATATATATATCTCCACATATATATATATATATATATATATATATATATATATATTTTAGCTCATCAGATATCATTAGCATAAGTGTGTTTTATGTGTGGCCTAAGACAATTCTTTTTCTTCCAATGTGACCTGAGGAAGCCAAAAGATTGGACAGCCTTTAATTAGATGATACCCAAGATTTATTCCAGCTGTAATAGCTCTCATTCTGACCATTAGGATGAATGGAGAATGTGAACACTGTGTATAAACATAGCTCTGTCATATTTGTGCTCAATACAGAACTTAGGAGCCACTTTATAAAGGTTTTATTTTATCATAGATGTGATGATTGGGGCCATGCCAAGAGTTTTGTCCTTTTCTGTTTTTTTTAAAACACATATACGTGTGTGTACATGTATGTGTGTTATATTGATGTGAACAAAGATTTCTATTACTGCTTTTAACCAATTTTTCTTCTTATATACTCAAAGTGAGATTAACACACAATGGCTCATGGCACTAATTTTAAAAAAGTAATACCAACTTGGTGATAAGGAAAGGAAAGTGGGATAAAAAAAAGATTCAATAAGGCAAGTAATTAAATGATATCGCTTTTTTTTGCATTTAAATTCTAAAATAAGTAGACATATATGACTGTGTATAATTACAGTGTTATGCCTAAAACAAAGATGATATGAAAATATGCACAAGTTTCAACTGATGGCAAAGTTAATCTGAACTGCAAGTATACATTTCATCAAGAGCAATCACAATACATAGACATACACACATATCCTCAAACTGCAAATCTATGTGAACGTTAACTATATTAATAATAGTAGAGCTAAATAGCTAAGAGATTGAGTTCTGAAATAAAACATTTTACCACCTGGGTAAACTTATAAAAGTTATTTACTATCTCTAAGACTCAATTATCTAAAATATAAAAAAGTAAATAACAGTAGTATAATACTAGGACCTATCTCATGGGGTAATTCAGAGAGGATAATTGCTAATGATCTATGAAAAGTGCCTAACATAATGCCTGGCATAGAGAAAGCACTAATAAATGTCAGCTATAGACATAGTTAAATCACCTCAAATAGAAAAGTATACCTTAGGTAATACAAGATTGTTTATCTTTCTGGCTAGCAAGACCATGTGATCTGAAGGATGTAAAGTTACTTTTATATAGATGTGGTATTTTGTACCAGATTACTTTCTAACTGGAGAGTTTTCTATAAAGCTAAATACCTTGCCATAGTCTGAAAGTGGATATTAGTTCCTACCTTTCTCCACCCAGCCCTTCAGAGACATCACTTACTTCTTGAATGGGGCACATTACAAGTCAGATCTTCTACAGAAAGGTCCAAAGGGGTGAAATGACTGCCTTATCTTCACTTGGGATTTTCTTTCGTAAGTTCATAGTGTATATTTTTGTTGTCATTGAAAATGGATCTATTTTCTAAATGCTTAATGATGTGTAAGAAATGATCTTTTACCTATTGCACACAGTAAGTGAAAAACTGACTAAAATTAGGATTCTAACATTAAAATTAACACTAATCAGCCAAGCACGGTGGTTCATGCCTGTAATCCCAGTACTCTGGGAGGCCGTGGTGGGTGGATCACGAGGTCAGGAGTTCGAGACTAGCCTGGCCAATATGGTGAAACCCCGTCTCTACTAAAAATACAAAAAAAAAAAAAAATTAAACGGGCGTGGTGGCACATGCCTGTAGTCTCAGCTACTCAGGAGGCTAAGGCAGAAGAATTGCTTGAACCTGGGAGGCGGAGGTTGCAGTAAGCTAAGATCACACCATTGCACTCCAGCCTAGGCAACACAGCGAGACTCCATCTAAAAAAAAAAAAAAAAAAATCACACTAACCAAAAGAAAGATTGAGTGGCTATATGAATATCAGACAATGCAGACTTCAAAACAAGAAATATTGCCACATGTGAAGAGAGGTATTTAGAAATAATAAATGGGTCAATTCATTAATAAAATACAACAATTCTAAGTATATGTGCTCCTAAAACCAGAGCATTGGAAAAAAATGAAAAAAAATCTGATAGAACTAAAATGAGAAATAAACAAATCCACAATCATGATTTCTCTTTTTAAGTTCTGTCTGATTTTGAAAAAAAAAATCTGATTGAAAAAGTGTACAAGTAAATGGGGTTAGACATTTAACAAGAAATTCTGAAATAAATGAATATTTATATATCACTCCTTACACAAAAATAAACTTCATAGAGATATTACAGACATAAATTTAAAAGT
Source organism: Homo sapiens (assembly GCF_000001405.40). Classification (NCBI taxonomy): domain Eukaryota; kingdom Metazoa; phylum Chordata; class Mammalia; order Primates; family Hominidae; genus Homo; species Homo sapiens. Next base: position 126,958,215 of record NC_000008.11, read on the forward strand.
AAGAACTATAAATATTTTACTAGAAAGAATAGAGGAAAACCTTTATGACCTTGGGTTAAGCATGTTTGGTAGACAAGAGGCAAAAAGCTCTAAGCATAAAGAACAATTTTGTGATTTATTGAACAAAATTTTTTTTAAAAAATCCAGTCGTCAAAAGATCCCATTAAGTAAATGAATGTGCAAGTCACAGACTGAAAAAAAATTGCAAAATATTTTATTGACAGTAGACTTGTATAAAAGCTAGATAAAGAGCTCCTACACACCAATAACAAAAATAAAAACAACCCAATAAAAATGGGCAAAAGTTGTGCACAGACACTTTTTAAATAAAAACATAAAAATGGTTAATAAGCACGTGAAGTTTAACATCATTATTTATCAATGATGTGCAAACAAAAATCACAATTAGACAGCATTTCATACTCCCTATAGTGGCTAAGATTAAAAAGGCTGACGGTATCAAATTATGGCTAGGACGTGGAGCAACTGGAATGCTTAGACATTGCTGATGGAAACAGGAATGTCACGGTTATTGTCAGGCAGCCATTCTACTCCCTGATACTTACCTAGGAGGAATGAAAAAAAATGTGACTACAGAAATATTGTCTAAATTGTTTCTAGAAGCCTGATTTTTAATAACCAAAACCCAGAAACAGATCAAGTATTCACATACAGGTAAACAGATAAATTGTGGTATAGTGAAACAATAGAGTATTACTCAAAAAGAAATTAGAGTAAATTGGTTATACACATTTAACATGAATGAATTACCAAAGCACTAAATTGAGTGAAAGGAGGCAGATATAAGAGAAAAGATAATGTAGATTTCATTTTTATATGAAATCTCCTAACAGTCAAATCTAATCCATGTTCCCAGAAATCAGAAACCAGTTCACAATTCTTTCCTTTGCTAATCCTATTTACTGGTGATCTTACCACATACATTTTTCGTACAGCGGACTTTTTCTTTTTCTTTTTGTAGTTCCCATTTCAACTCCCTTCCTTTTTTAAGCCTGTTTTTAGATTTCTACTAGATACTTTAAAACACTTATTGAAAGCTGCTATCTAATAGATCCTCAATCTATGCAATCATTGAATTTGCTTCTTATCTTGATTCTTTCTTAGCTTTACCTTCATGTTTCTTAACACTTCAAGTGTCTTATAATTGTTAGTGTATGTCAGGTCTTATGTGTAAATAACTGTAGAGACTGAAGTAAATAAGGCTTTTCCATGGAAAGGTCACACATTTTCTTTTCAAGGCTGCTCATGCAGAAGCCTGAGTCAATCTTGCCTGTAGTGGGGCTGAGTCTGGGCTTTATGTTTGCTTTATTTAGATTATGAACACCACTGGCTTCTAATGATTTCAGATCAGAATTAGCAACTTCTTCTCAACTGGCTGGGGATCTGAGCACCAGGGAGGCTCTGGAGATCTCTTTGTGGTTTATAATCCAACCGCCAGTTTTCTAAATATGTAAAATATCTCTCTGCATTACACTCTGCCAGATTTTTGAGTTTCTGGGGAGTTCCCCCCTTTTCTCAAGGATGTCCCTGGCTTTCTGATTTCTTGGGAGATTAATCTCTTCCCTGCTGTCTTGTTCAGCCTTTAGAGGCCGGTTCGTGATTTGACGGCCTGGAGAGTCCCCAAAGGAATTCTCTCTTTCCCCAACTCCGCTTTCGGCATCTTCTGCCCTGCACTCTGCTCCAATCTTTGTCATCCATTGCTTCATACTTTGTGTTGGCCTGAAGTACTCAAAGAGGTTTCTCAGTTCTCACCCTGAATGCCTGTAGATATGTCCAGACTCATTGTGTGGCCAGAGTTCCTTGAGATTGCAAATCTCCACATCAGCTCACTCTGCCATTAAAACTTCATTAAACCTTGAGATGATTTCTCCTTCTCCATCTATGGTGAATTCTGCCTTTTGCCAGACAATACAGATAAAAGCAACAGAGGCGCTCTTCTTATTTAGAAGGGCTTGTTATTCTCTGGAATTTAGTTCATTTAGACATTCTCATCCTCAGATTTCTAATGGGTTCTTTGATCTTAACAGCTATAATTTTGCAGTTTATTCTGCTTCTAGTGAGATTGACAGATTCTTACTCCTTTTTACATCGTAATCAAAAGCCTATACTTTCATATTGCCACTATCGTTATTTAATTTATTACTACCCAGGTTAGGTGTTGTCAAAGAATGGCCTGCATGACAAATCCAACTACCCCTATGTTTCTATATCCTTCAAGCTAAGTCTGGCCCTTTATATGAAATGTTCACTAACCCCCAACCTAGACTATGACATGTTCTGTGTCATAGGATGGTTTTATCTTTCCCGTTTAAAAGAAGGATATTCATTTTGTAGTGTGTTTGCACACATGGAGCAGGAAAAGGAATGTTGTGGAGAGAAGAGAAGAATGTGTGAGCGGGACAAAGAGATTGTGCAGGCCACACATGCTGTCTTTGGGACAGCTTTCCTTTGGCTTCAAATTAAAGAGGCATGTAAGAGCTGTAACATCTCTTTGACATGATTTTCTGGAACAGTTGTTTTGGCATTTGGACTGAGGATATAGTTTTGGCCAACCAATGTTGTCATATTTTGAGGACGCTTTATCTCTACCATAAGGAATCTTAGTCCTGAAAGCCCTTTCTCAGTAACAATGGTGCTACAAACAGGATTAACTCTGTATGTACTCTGTGAAGAGAAGTCACTGGCTCAGCATCCCAGTTAAATGACTTCATGTCTGGGCTTACCAGAAATGCCTGCTGTTTTGATGTCTGTGCTGCAGAGATGGGGTCCTGACAGACACAATGCCCCTTTATCTAAAGCCATTCAAATCCTTTTTCCTGTCCCCTTCCTTAGTTATCTCTGCTCCAGATGACTAGGTGATGGCTGCTGAAAATAGAGTAGAGAAGAGGTCACTGTCACTGTGGTCAGGAGCACATCATTTAAACATGTGAAAGGGAAGCTTGAAATCTGTCAATTCCATATTCCTCACTTTGCTTTCTTGTGCTTATGAATATATATGTCCACAATCATTTGCTATGTTTAAGAAAGCAGGAAGACCAGGTACAGTGTCTCACACCTGTAATCTCAACACTTTGGGAGGCCAACGCAAATCCAAGGAGGATTGCTTGAGCCCAGGAGTTTGAGATGCCAGTGCACTATGATTGTGCCACTACACTCCCGCCTAAGCAACAGAGCAAAACCCTGACTCTAAAACCAAAAAGAAAAGCGAATTGTAGCTTTTCTCCTGTCACCAATTAATGAATGTTTACTGAGCATTTATTAAGTGCTAGGACTTCTGGGGGATGTTGCCTTCTAAACCTTCCAATATTCTTGTTGCCATAATGGCTGTTCATACACCTCTTTTTATACATCCTCATCGCATCCTTATAAGTCACCAATCATCATTATCATCATGATTATCACCATTGTTAGTTTTATTTTCTAAATCAGGAAAGTAGGACTGAGAGAGAATTAATAAATTGTCATGTGTTATAGTTAGATATGTAGAACTGGAACCCAAACCAGGTCACCAGATTCTGGATCCTGAATTCTGGATTCCAGGTTCTAGCTTCTGCACCACAATTGATTCTCAAACCTATAACTTACTCTTGGGCATACTTTTTTTTGGCCGGGCGGGGGGTGGGGTGGGGGGCAGGGAATGATGTCTCATTCTGTCACCCAGGCTGGAGTGCAGCGGTGCGATCTCAGCTCATTGCAACCTTCAGCTCCCGGGTTCAATTCTTGAGCATACTTTTGATGAAACACATGGCAGGGTTTTCACTTTTTATTGGCTGTGAGTATACCACAGCTCTTAGAATAGATGCATTCTAGTCATGCTTGTAGAAGCCCCTTATCTAACATCTGTCCTTTGGAGCTTCAAGAATGGCTCTTTGTCAATGCCAATGAATTTGCAACCATGGAGGTTAGATCCCAAATTAATTCTTGGAATACTGCAGGAAGGAAATAGGCCATATGATTTCCAATAGAATTATCAGCACAACATAGCACATAGATGAAAGAGTTGATGACTAAAAACAGTCCAAGTGTAAATTTTCTGGTAATATTAGGGACTCATTGAGTACTATGGATAAAAGTCTACTTAGATATCATCTCATCATATTCCATTGGTTTTTGGATAATGGATCTGAAATTCAGAGCAGTTAGGCCAAATGTCCAAAATCATTTACTTGATTATGAGGAGACTTCATCCCTATTTTCTATCTCAAAGTCCATACTCTTTCCATAGCACTACATTGATTACACAACTGCACAATACTGTGCAATTGTCTCTTCTGCACATTTAATTTTCATAAATGAAACCGTATTCAGCACCTATCAAAAACAGACAAAAGGAAATTGACAATTTTCAAATGCAAGTACCACCACCCTGACTTAACTCCACGAGCATGTCCTTGCGTGAGGATGAACTGTGAGTTATCTGCTTTCTCCTTGGCTAATCTTCTATCTTCTATCTCTTGGCCTCATTGTAGTATCATACAATTTGTTAACTTTTTTTTTTTTTTGTACAAATCTAAGCCCAGTACTTCATTGCTGCTCAAAGAAACAGCAATGTCTTTGAAAACTGAAGAAAAAAACTGGCTTAGACATCTCAGAATTGAGAATTTTAGGTGCTCTGGGTCAAAAATTTCCAATAGATTTTCAAGGGAAATTGATATAAAACACAGTTTTGTTTCTTTGTATTGATTGCAGAATGAAATCTTTGCCTCTCCCTCATTTCATTTCTAGTAAATGGGGTTTTCTAATTTTTAAATTAACAACAGCCCCTTTCCTCCAGCAAAGTATGACTCAATCTTCTTAAGGGAAAAATATATTTATTAAATATTGAATCTTATTTAAGTGCTCCTTTCCTACACATAATGCTTTCTTCTCTCTCTGTGGTCATAATTGTGAGTTTAATTCATCTGGAAATTAATAATATACATTAGTCCATCTCACTTTGGCCTGATCTCTTCTTTAAATCCTTTTTTGCTTGTGGCTTATCTCCTCCACATCTAGACTTTAAGTTACTTGAAGGTGTTGTACCTTATGTCTCATTTCTGTAGTGTCTTGAGTACTCAAGGCAGCCAATAAATACCTCCGTTAGAACACATATCTGGAAAGACACATCCCAATAGAAGTAGTATCCCAAAAGAATGAAATTTTTCCTTTTGTTAAGCACTTCAGATACATTATTGCAAAAATGCTAAGGGCTAAACATTTTGAAGAGAAAGGGATATCTCGAATATAGAAACTGAGGCTGGGAGAGGATCAGTGAGCTGCCACAAATCAGGCTGCTAGTAAGTGTGGAGCGGGCGTCTGATTGCACCTGCCTCGTGCCAGCACAGATGTTCATGCCTCATCCGCTGATGGATCTGTGCCACTGCTGCTTGCTGAGAAGAGAGGTCAGGCAAGCTTTTGCACAAGCCGTTCCCTCTGCCTGGGACATCTTTCCTAAGCATTATTCATTCACCAAGATCAGGATTAAATGTCCACTACCTCTTGAGGTGGAACCATCTTCAAGCAAAATTTGCCTTTCTCTCCCCTGGGCTCATATCTGTACCTTGTAAGAATGCATGAATTTCTTTCACTCCATCATAGCCTTCATCAGCCTTGGTGGTAAATATTTGTCTACTTGTCTGGTTTTTTTTGTTCGTTTGTTTGTTTTTTCACTGAAATGAGAGTTCTTTCAGGATAGAGACTGTGTTCATTCAATCTCCCTACCACCAACTCTAGCAGGTGTTTAATTTACATAATGAATTAAATTTCTCCTTTTACTATATGAATACCTTCTCATGACTCCATTAAGGAAAAGAACAGTTCAAACCTTCCACTGGTCCACAGGATGCCTCACTGCTGTATAGACTCTAAAGTTCGGTAGACCTCAAAGATTCATTGAGTTTGACCTGGACATTTGGAGATTGAGAGGCCATATCTCTACTGCTGTATTTTCTCCCATTAGAGAGGATAAAGGAAGCCAGTCATTCTTTCAGACTTTGCTTTGTGAGTCT